>NC_000008.11:101964222-102589222 GCF_000001405.40 Homo sapiens
CCCCCGACTTTGACATCAGCTTATATTAATCTACTTTCTTTGCATATATCTATTACAAATCTAAAGTTTCTCTAACTTGACCACAAGAATATAGTATTAGTTAAGGTAACGCCAGTTTCTATAACCAATAACCCTCTGATTTCATTGGTGTAATCCAACAGAAATTTTTATTTCTCCCTTGCATAGATTCAAAGGCAAGGTTCTGATTGGTGACAATGCAGGGTCCCAGTAGCCTTCCATCTTGTGGCTCCACCAACTTCACTGCATGGTTTCCAAAGCCACCATGGAAACAGTATGAGGAGAGCACCTGGTGAAATGTGTGGTTTGGGCCAAATTTGGAATTGGTGCACATGACTTCTGCTCATACAGTCATTTTATTTCCCATAACCCAGAGACTTACCTGTGTAACCAGAAGGAAGAGGATAGAAGTTTGGTGAATAGTGAGCCAATCTCTGTCACAAATACCACATTAAAATGTCTAAACATCTGTCTAAATGTCTAAACATGTACAGAAATCCAAATTATCCATAAGGACAGTCAAGGATTCGCCTAATTTTGAAAGAAGAATGATATCGCACAGAAAATAGGTATGGCAGCACACATATTTCATAAAAACAGAAAATGTTTTGGTACAGAATGGGAAACACCAAAGGAAGAATGACTCCAAAAGGCTTCTTAAGGCGTGTGTTAGGAATGCCCACTTCTTCTCAAGCATAAGAAAGTGGGCGAAGGATATGAACAGACACTTCTCAAAAGAAGACATTTACGCAGCCAACAAACATATGAAAAAAAGCTCATCATCACTGGCCATTAGAGAAATGCACATCAAAACCGCAATGAGATACCATATCACACCAGTTAGAATAGCAATCATTAAAAAGTCAATAAACAACAGATGCTGGAGAGGATGTAGAGAAATAGGAACACTTTTACAGTGTTGGTGGGAGTATAAATTAGTTCAACCATTGTGGAAGACAGTGTGGCGATTCCTCAAGGATCTAGAACTAGAAATACCATTTGACCCAGCAATCCCATTACTGGGTATATATCCAAAGGATTATAAATCATACTACTGTAAAGATACATGCATACATATGTTTATTGCAGCACTGTTCACAATAGCAAAGACTTGGAACCAACCCAAATGCCCATCACTGACAGACTGGATAAAGAAAATGTGGCACATATATACCATGGAATACTATGCAGCCATAAAAAAGGATGAATTCATGTACTTTGCAGGGACATGGATGATGCTGGAAACCATCATTCTCAGCAAACTAACCCAAGGACAGAAAAGCAAACACCACATGTTCTCACTCATAAGTGGGAGTTGAACAATGAGAACACATGGACACAGGGAGGGGAACATCACACACCAGGACCTGTTGTGGGGTGGGGGGCCAGGGGAGGGATAGCATTAGGAGAAATATCTAATGTAGACAATGGGTTGATGGGTGCAGCAAACCACCATGGCATGCGTATACCTATGTAACAAACCTGCATGTTCTGCACATGTATCCCAGAACTTAGAGTATAATTTTAAAAAATGTTTAAAAAAGAAAAGAGCAACAGCAGATTGAAAGTAAAAACACTTATTTTTGGAAATGATTTTCTATTGCCTAAATAATTTGTAAGGAATAGCAATGCTGTGCTGTGTTATTCCCACATTACTCATAATTATTTGTCACTTAATAAATTGAAATAGATCAAAAAGGGTAAATTGATAGGTTTGACTGGATGAAAATAAAAGCTTTTGTATGTTAATAAACAACATAAATGTTTTAGGAACATTCTTGCCATGATTATGACGAAGAGCTAATATCCCTAAAATATAAAGAACACTTGCAAATAATGAAATAATAAAAAATACTCTGATAAAAAAAAGAACATTATTAGATATTTCACAAAATACAAAGTATCAGTAAAATAAAATAGTTTAACTCAATGGCAATCAAAGCAAAAAAAAAAGAGAAAGAGAAAAGTTACCCATTTTTTACAAATCAAGTTGGCAAAGCTTTTTTTAAAGGTTAAAATACATGTTGGAAAGAATGTGCTAAATGGAATACTATGCAGCCATAAAAAAGGATGAGTTCATGTCCTTTGTAGGGACATGGATGAAGCTGGAAACCATCATTCTCAGCAAACTATCGCAGGGACCAAAAAACCAAACACCACATGTTCTCACTCATAGGTGAGAATTGAACAATGAGAACACATGGACACAGGAAGGGGAACATCACACACTGGGGACTGTTGTGGGGTGGAGGGAGGGGGGAGGGATAGCATTAGGAGATATACCTAATGCTAAATGACGAGTTAATGGGTGCAGCACACCAACATGGCACATGTATACATATGTAACAAACCTGCACATTGTGCACATGTACCCTAAAACTTAAAGTATAATAATAATAAAATTAAAAAAAAAGAATGTGGTAAACTTAGCATTCTTATCTAGACCTTTTTGACATAGGTATGAAGAAGCTTAAACTTGCTCTCCAATCTAAAACTTTCATATTCAGGAGTCTACCTTAAAAGAATAATCAGAGAAGATCACAGAGATTCAGGTGCAAGGATGTTCATCACAGCATTATTTTTAATGATGAAGATGGAAATAACCATTGTGTCAAAAACATTGCATAATTAAACCATGGCACATTTATACAAGAGAATGCACCCATTAAAAGTCATGTTTTTGAAAAATAATAATGAAATAATGTATTATGGGGAACAAATTAGGATATAAAATAATATATATTCATGATGCTAATTTTAGAATATATACGTGTGTGTGTTCAGCAGTACATAACATGTCTATGATAAAAAGCAGTTGGAATGCTTGATGAAGGGAAAGAACTAGAGCTTTCAAAACAGCTGCCAAAAATTTTTGGAACAAACTAAATTCAAATTATTTTCATTTTTTACCTATCTGTTGGTGATAACATCGTGCTTACTATGCCCTTAAAGCCTGAAAATTTTAGCAGTTGATTCATGAACAGTGTTGTAAACCACAACGGAAGTTGCCAAGGAAGTGTGCTGGACTCCATTTCTCTTAAGATGAGGAAAGCAAACAGCATCAAATAATTCAAAGGAATGTTTTAAATCCAAGGACTTTTATTAGGGAACACAAGTTCATCTTCACCACATTTTGATGTAAAAGCAATATGAATCCAAGATCAATTCCTCTTTTGGTAAAGATGCCTTACTTCCTGAGAAACCCTTGTTCGGAAGGGACAGGAATCCTAGGGGCCCAATATTCAATCCAAGTAGTCAGATGTGGCTACTGTCTCTTTGCAGAGGAGAAGGTAGAAAGTCGAATCAATTGGTTAAGTGTCCCATACTCTGCCACTGAGACAACTACAGTTTTGCTGCTAAAAGCAGAACACAGACTTCCAGTGCCAGGGCCTGCCAACTAGCAGGCGTCTCAGAACCCAAGGCCTAATGGGTTATCAATGCCAGCAAGAGTTCTGGGAACCAAGGCCCCACACTGCCACCAGCAAGGCAGCAGAGGGTGAGGATTCTTCTCTCCCGGCCTCACTCTCTTGGACTCTCTACCCCAGAGTAGGCCTACGTTCCCAGCATCAGAGCAGCTTGTTGACACAGCTCTTAAAATTGACACACACACACACACACACACACACATGCACTCACCCTCAGTCATTTCATGCCAGATGCTCTGCCAAGGCACGTTAGCCAGAGGAGTTTCAACATCAGCAACCTCCCCTCTGACAACCCCAGTGTAGTGTGACACCCAGATCACTAGCCATGAGAACAAGTCAGAGCCTCAAAGAGAAACAGAATATGATTGGTTGCCCCTTAAGAGGTGTTAAGCAAATCTGCCCATCACTTTCAGCTTTGTATAATAATAAGTTTTGGAGAGCCTATGACCAATGTCACCCATCTACAGACCTCCAGGTTTCTCTAAGCCCCAAACTCTGGAGTCGGTAGGTATTGGCTTTATATCTACTTAGCTAAAAGAGGCTACTCAAGTGGGTCTTCCCAGAATAAAGAAGTTTTGCTCCAAGGTGAAGAAATCACAAAAACTGGAAATAAATGGCCAACTTTAAAGGGCAGTTTTTCTTAAAAGAAAAAAAAAAATAGATTTAACTTCCATTTCATATAGCCCCTTGTACCTTAAAGCAACTTTTCCAGATCAAACAAGCAGATCAATAGATAATTTTTGTGACAAATAGATTTTCCAGGCTGGAGTTTAATCATCTAGGACTAAGCCGTGGTAAACAAAAACTCATAAACTCATCTCTTTGAGGTCAGTGTTTGACACCAAGGTACTGCCTAGAGTGCTCTGCTGTCACACCTGAGTCTTTTTATCCCTAAGATGGGTCACAATGCTTCCTGACTCAGGACGCTGTGAAAAATGCTTGCTGTAATGCCTGCACTGTTATGGCCCAGTACCTGGCACAAGGAAAGGGCTTGTAGTTTCTTTCCCTACTTCCTGTGCCTGCCATCTAGCCACCCTCTTCCCAAAACCCTCCACATCACTCTCCTGTAAAAAAAAAATGCTGGTCCAAACAGCATATGCCTTCTTCACATTGTGTTCTTCAAATTCTATCATAAATTTTTCCCCTCCAAGTAAAATCCCAGCAAAGCCCCACAATGCATACCGAGCAAATTGGTGAATGTGTTCCTGAAAGAGCCTGCCTGAAGCCCCATTGCCTAGTGAAAAATAGTTGCTAGCAAAATGCAATCCAAGCATCTCTGAGGACCCCAGTTGCTTGAGACAGTCCTGAATGAATTGTGATTGGATTCTACTGTATTCACAGGAGGAGAAGCAGGTTGGAGCTTTCATTGGTTCAGCCTTAAACCATCTTGGAATTTGGCAACACAAGCAGTCTCTGCAAGTGAGGAAAGCCCCCAGGGCTGAGCCGAGCACACCACCTGTCTCCATTAAATCTGGTGACATACAGAACCATTTGTTCCTTGCAGTTCTCAGCACAAAGCTACAGTTATTTTTAATTCAAAAAAATACGGTACCATCCAAATGATGTCTCCATTTTTACCTAAGCCAAGCTCTGAAGGCCCAGTCTCACATTAAAGGGAGAAATCTCCTGCCTGTATTAGCTGGTGAATTCACTACTCAGAATGGACCAAGAAATCTGAGTGGGTTTCTATTATTCAAGATTCCATTCTCCTGTTTCTGAACAGCCCTCAGTCTATTACCCCACACTTCGTAATGATGATACTGTTACTTCAACATAATTTTTAGCTTTTCAAAGCCCTTCAACATTTATTTCATTTGACTAGAAGAAACTCTAAAAAACACATAGTTTGGGAGAGAGTATTATGTTAATTATCATATCTTTTAATGAAGACATAAGTAAAACCCAGGTCATCTGATTCTCAGACGGGGCCAATGGCTATGAGAGCCCAGGGTGGCTTCTGCCTGGCAAAAAAAGACACACCTCAGAAGGGCTTTTTAATTTCTTCCAGCATGAAACTTCGTCTTGGTAACTACTACCAGATAATGGATGACATTTCATTACATTTTGTGATACATCTAGAATTTCCCATATTGAATCATATGAAATAACTAATGTTTGGCTGTTTTTGACTTACAAAAACAATTTCATATGATTTGACCTAATACTTTACAACTTTCAGCCTTCTGCAGGCCAGACAGGCCCAAGCTCTTAGATTGATTTCAGGCCTGAAAAATGTAGAAAGTAGAAATAAATCTAAGTGTGTGTGTGTGTGCACACACATGTGTTTACAGATAATAGAGCATACATCATTTAGCTTAGCCATTTAGGTACAACCCTCAAAGTGCTCTCAGAGTAATACTACAAATAATAATAATGAAGAGAAGGAGAAGAAAGATGAGGAAAAGCCGCTCCATGAACATTAAGTAACTTACCTGTAACTTTCCAATCACTGATTTATCTCTGTAGTAACTTAGCTATCACAGATCATTTCTTAGCCCAAGTCCCTACTTATTTCAGTTTCTACTCTCCAGATTCTTAGAATGTAGCAAATAACCTCTTTAATGCCTTCTACTTTTTAATAAGGAAATATGGAGATTTTGTTCATGTATTTACATTGCTTCTGCTGGTTTCTACTTTTTCTTCCAACCTCTTTTCACCCATAATGATCTTTTAATTGCATTGTGTATTATTGCATTGTAATAGTGCTATAATAACAAAATATTTCCTTGCAAATTTTCCATCAATGGTACTGCCTGCCCCCTCCTGGAAGGCAGATTTCTACCATCAAAAGAGTCTGAATTTTTTGTAGAATTTTTGTGGCCCCAACCCAAAAAGCTCTATCTACTCCAAAAAATTGTTTTGGTTGTACAGGCTAACTATTTTCTAGCAGTATATTACTCTACACAGTTGTTAAGTTTCAGGGCTCAAAGCCTAACATGTGGTTTAACAGAAACTAGGCTGCTCCTAGGAAAGCATATGACAGAATTCTGCTTCTATCATTGTTGTAACAGAATTTTTTGAACTCAGAAAACCCCCATAAACCCACTAAGTTGCATCAACTGTGTTTGCTACAATGCTGTTCAAATCTGCCCCCTCACCCAATGCCAAAAATCTTTCCCTTGAGGTGTCCTAAAGATGTTGCCACAGTTTAAATATGGTTTTTCTGCTCCAATACTCAGGCTGAAATTTGATTATTGTTGTGGCAATGCTGCAAGGTAGGGCCTAATAGGAGGTATTTGGGTCATGGGGACAGGTCTCTTATGAGTATATTAATGCCATCTTACAGGAGGGAGTTCACTCTTGAAAGACTGGATTAGTTGTTATAAAGTGAGGTCCCTCCCTGTGTTTGCCTCCTTGCACATGCCCGTCTGCCTTTCTGCTTCTGCCATGTCTTGATGCAGCAGATGGCCCTCATCAGAAGCCAAAAAAATGCTGGAACCATACCCTGGGACTTTCCAGACATCAGAATCATGAGCTAACTAAACCTCTTTTCTTTATGAATTGTCCAGCCTCAGATACTCTGTTACAGCCACACAGAATGGACTAAGACAGATATGAAGCACGAGATGTCAGTGTGTATCGTGGTCTTCAGCTTGACTCCTCCTGTCTGCAGCATCATTCCTTCTCTCAGACAGTAAAGGTTACATGGTTGATATAGATTGGCTCTGTGTCCAAACCCAAATCTCATCTCAAATTGTAATCCCCATAATCCCCATGTGTCAAGGGCAGGACCTGGTGGGAGGTGATTGGATCATGGGGGCAGTTTCCCCCATTCTGTTCTCATGATAGTGAGTTCTCATGAGATCTGATGGTTTTATAAGGGGCTCTTCCCACTTTGCTCATTTGCTCTCTCTTGTCTGCTGCCATGTAAGACATGCCTTTGCTTCTCTCTCATCTTCCACCATGACTGGAAGTTTCCTGAGGCCTCCCTGGCAACGTGGAACTGTGAGTCAATTAAACCTCTTTCCTTTATAAATTTCCCAGCCTCAGGTATGTCTTTATAGCTGTGTGAGAATGGACTAATACAGTGATGGTCCAAAGTGGTACCAACTGGTTGCACAGAGGGCATCAACACAAAGTCATGCCTTCTGTTGATGGCTGACATGGCTTAATAAAAGACCCTGAGACCCCAGAAACACTGACCTGGCCTCTTGACTCTATTTTTATTTACCTGGCTGCCCACCTAACCCCAGTTATCCTCCCCTTTCCCTTCATCTTATGCCTGCCACATATGAGAAATCTGGAAAAGACATGAGAAAATATGTAATGACTTGTAGAAAGTCATGCCATCTTCTGCAGCTGGGAGGTTGGGCTCTTAGATTCATCTTGGGTTGGAAGAGAATTGGACCTGAACAGCCTTTCCATGTATTCTCACAAAACCTCTCACAGGAATCCACGGATTCACTAGAGGTATGTGAGGAGGAGGAGGATGTTGATGAGGATGAAAACTGACATGCATATTTAAACTTCTACCTCTAGAAAGCACTGGCAAAAAGTAAAGGCACAAGTCAAGAACACGGAAAAAAATCAAGTACTTCCAATGACATTGGCACCAGGACTTCTGGAAAAGCAGTGAGGAGACAGGGCTTTGAATAGAGCCCAAGCTTTGTGGTCAGGCACAGTTGGACTCTGGACGGGCCACTCATAGGCTATACCACTATGCACATCTCAGCTTCCTTGTCTCTAACTGGGACAAAAATAGCTATTTTAATATGTTGTTGTGGGGATTAAATGAGATAACCCATCTGCTACTCCAGAAAAGTGTAACTATTTTTTCCCTCTGTTCCCTTTATTTTTGTTAGGATGGCCTTGATGAGAATAACATGGCTCAGAACCCACTTTTCAACCTGAAGATAATTTCTGCAGGAACAATGATGTTTGAAAGCTTACCATGAAATCTGCCACTCAGTGAATTCAACTTCTTTCTAGAAGGTTCATTACTAAGGGCATTTTTGAGTATCCTCAGTGCCTGGCACTGAATTGGAAGTTACTTTTTCCCAACCTAAATACATAGTTTAGAAGTAGTTCAATGTCCATCGTGGGGAAAACATATAGTTAATATTGAGATAAAGCCTTGAAAGATGAGTAAACCCTTCTCTCCCTGATGGGCAATGCTCCAGTTGGTGCAATTCAGCTGTCCTGAGCTAGGCCACACTGAAAGATTATGATCCCAGAGTTCCCCAGAACTGCATAGGGTAAGCTGGATCTGGACTGAGGATCGGCTCACAACAAACAGTTTGTTCATTTGCAGTGGGAAGAGACAGTTGTCACTTTAAGAGGAATTGGATGAGCCAGGGTGAAACAAAGAGCCCCTAAAGTGCTCCATGAAAAAATTAATGGGGATGGGGGATATTGAGAGTTGCCCCAAAGCAGGAGTGGTATGAGGAAGAGAAGGGCAGTGATATGGATGGGGCAGGAGGCCAGGGCCAGCACTCTAACAAGGAAAGCAAGGGGGAAAATTTGCAGAAAGAAATTTTCTGTTCCAGGTATGAGAACAGAGGACCACACTTTGTTCAGATTTCCTTAGTGTTTACTTAATATCCTTTTTCCATCCCAGGATCCCATCTAGGATACCACATTACATTTATCATTATGTCTCCATAGGCTCCTCTTGGCTGTGACTGTTTCTCAGACTTGCCTCGCTTTTGATGACCTTGAGAGTTTTGGAAAGTCCTGCTAAGGCATATCATAGGACGGCCCTCTGTTGCAAGCTGTCTGATGTTTTTCTATACTTAGACTGAGGTTAGGGGTTTGAATGAAATAGACTTCAGAGGCAAAGTGCCATTTTCATCATGTCATATCAAAGGTGCATATTCCCCAGGATAATTTTTAAAAGAAAACTAATATTTAACCCTAAACTATCTATGTGCTACTGTCCCCCAACTGGTATCCACAAAGAACTAGGAATGTCCACTGCACACAAATGCCATGTATGAGAATTGTTTGGGGTAAACCAAGGAGAAGAAGCTGGTGGTGGGTTCACACAGAAAACAGAGGGGAAGAGCCACAGGTGAGACAGATGTGTGACCAAGAGTTCTGGAGCAACCAGAAATCAGAGCAAGAGTGGACCATGAGACCACAAGCTTCTAACGTTGCAGAGCACCTAGGATAGAGTTCAAGTCCTTTTTATATATCAAAGAATCAGGCAACCCCAGGTAACATCTGAGTTACAAATTCTTCTGCACTTCACGTATTTATTGAACAGCTACTATGAGTCACGCACTGTACCAGGTGCTGAGAGCTGGGGAAAGACATAAAGATGAATCAAATGCTTTTCCTTCTCTAAAGACCCTTAAGGAAATATAAACGCTACCAGCCTGATAATCCTTCTAGTCTTGCACTTGTTCCATTCTTTCATCAGTTTATTATCTTCACAAGATCCCAGGGTCACACAAGAGCTATGTTAACAAGTGGCCAGGGGCAAGAACTTTAGCTCTCCCTGCCCTCAATAATCCTCCCCCAAAGCCAGTCCAAATTTTATTTAAAAGTATTCCTTGATATAATTAATTTCCACTTTACCAATTTCCCATTTTATCAATTTTCATTTCATTGAAAGTAATGGCAAAACCCGCAATTACTTTTGCACCAACCTAATATAAATAAAAGCATATTTGGAAGACTTTTTAAATTTTATGATCTTTGATATATAAACTAAGAAAAGCTGTGTGTTTCCTTTGCAAATTTACCTTCATGAAAAGTCCCTGTCCCATTCTCTATCCCCAGCTAAAAGATTACTGCCCCAAACCCCCTTCTATGTGGAAATTCTGGAGCCACCCCATGTGACATAGGGAGGCAGTATATTATCATGGCCCTTTGACAAGAAAATACAAGCACAGAAAGGACAGGCACTTGCTCAAGCATGTGGGATGTCATGTAAGCCAAGTACACAACAGGGATCAGAACAACTTGGATCCTGCCTGCTGAAGCCGCTCCCTTAAAAAATATATAATAGCCTAAATGCTTACATGACTAGCTCTGACACATAAGCTGATACAAGCAAACATACAATGAAACTTTCTGCAATTTTTGTGTGTGTTCAAAACAGCAATAAAAGATACTAAAATAACTAACAACATGCCGACAAGGGGTAACTGCTATTCTAGAAATTATACATACATTCAGGGTAGAAAGATCTATGGGAAAACACCTTAGTTATGCCAGAAAGGACAGGAAATGGAAAAATAGCACCTCTGGGCATAAGCCAGTACTAATATTTTGAAATGAAACAAAATATGCCCCATCTATGTAAGCACTAAATACAGATACTACATATACTGAATCAACGCAATTGACACATATACAAAACACCATAGAACATTTGAGCAAGACAGAACCTTAGGTCATCTCAACCAGAGGTTTTTCAATGCTTCTTAAGTCTTAGAACCTTATGTACAAATGAAATATTATAAAGATAAACATTACATTGGTTGGGTGAATTGGCCCAGTGACCCCTTTGGCTCTAAGGGGATCAAATAAACTCTGTTTGAAAACCACTTCTCTAATCCAATCTCCTTATTTTACAGGACTATTTGAAAATATGCCAAGAGTAAGAAAAAATTGTGTGTACTGGTGCAGTGAGGGGTGTTTTACTCACAGCTTTATTTCTTCGTGTTCCAGAAGTTTGCCATAGCTGCAAAGGCAGTGCTTCTCAAACTTCAGTGTGTATAGGAATCACCTGGAGAGCTGTTGAACTATGGCTCTCTAAGCCCCACCCCCGGAGATGCTGATTTAGAAGGTTGGGGTGTGGTCATGGATTTGCATGTCTAATCAGCTCCCAGGTGCTACTGCTGGGGCCTCACTGTGAGTGTCACTGTACTTAAGAAAAGCCTACAGAAACGGCCTTGCTCTATTGGAAAATGGAGGCACCAAAAATAACCCTTGTAAGGCTCCTGTGTCCAACACACCAAGGTGCTTGCAACTACTAGCATTTGTTCAGGTGACTGAATTTGTGAGACCTCTACGATTTAAGGTTAGCTGCTGCAAGTGAGCAGCAACTTACATTGGCAATATCACTTCTCCTCCTTGGGACAGTGCAGAGGTTCACCTTCCAAAGCTCTCACATAAATGTCCTTATTTTAATATGGGATTTTCACACTTTCCAGGCTTTCTGTTCCTCTGGTGGGCTTCTGTGGAGAGTATGCAAGCTGTGTTTTCTATCTTCTTTTTTACCTTATATCTTCTCTTTGTATTTCACCTTCACTCTCCAACCTATTCTACCCTGCTCTGGGCCTTGTACAATTGACCCTTATGGACCAAAGCAATGGTTCCCTTATGTCTTGACTGCTGGTTGGGTTGTACTCATAGAAGGCATTGGCAGGAGATTGGGAGGTGGAAGAAAAGTATGCACTCCCCCAGCTTCCTCCCGCCAAGATGCCGTGGGTTCGCTATACTCCATTACCATTTTCACAGCTCCTTTTAAGTGGCCAACTCTTTACAGCTCTTCTCTGTGGGTTCTGGTAACTCTCCAGGCCTTACCCTTCAGGACTAGAGGGAGTAAAGGCTCTCAGCTGTAGCTAGCCCTGGGTGCTGCACTATCTCTAAATGATTTCTATAAACCCTGCCCTCACTTTCACAAGTCACCCCTTTGTTAAATTCTCCTCAAATTACCCATTTGAGAGTGCCTGCCACCTCCTGTTGTGACCTTGGCTGGTACACAAGCAATGTCTCTTTGAATGTTCTCCTGAGGGACCTGGGATTGGGGACCCCCCGACTAATAACGACCTACTCTCCCTGTGCTAACTTCAATTTAGCAAAACTTCCCTCCCCTTCCCTCACTCACACAGGGATGAAAAGATAAAATAATTTATTTGACCTCAATTTACACTTTTGGAAACTCCAATGTTCATATCCAGGCTAGTTGTAGCATTTGATGTATGCAATAGCTTAAATACCCAAAGGAATATACAAAATAAATTGTACACATAGATTCTTTTAGATTTTATTTGAAGCTTTTTTTATGGTTTGCCAAGTATTTTAAAGGCTGATTCTTTCATTAGGAGAATGCCTGTCATTGAATAAACATTATCTATTATTCAACAATATAAACTAAGCTCCTACTATGTGTCAGGCACTTGGTCAGACCCAGTGTATACCCAGGTGCACAGTCTACCCCCCTGCCCTCATGGACATTACAGTCTAGCAAAGAAGGGAAATACTTAAAAATGAATCACAAAGTTTATTCTTAAATTACTACTGTGGTAAGTGCTATGAAGGAGAAACACAGACACTATGAGAGCATCCAAGGCAAAGGGGCAGGAGTGAGGAAAGAGGAAGTGGGGGCCAGGGACAGTGCCAGGAAGTTAGGGAGGGCCCCTGACCATGCCTAGGAAATAGCAGGCTTACGTGGAGATACTTCATCTCACCATGATCTTTTCTGAATCTTCTCCTGATATAAATTTAAATTTAAAGAGAAACAAAGACATTAAAAATGTGAGTTCTTTGGCAAAGAAAAATGGTTATTTCTCCTTTCCATCTTTTCATTACCTCTCTCTCAGCAGGTAATGAAAAGATGGAAAGGAGAAATAACCATTTGCCCAGCATGAAGCATTACCCAGAATTTTTTTTTACAGTGAAAAAAAAAAGAAAAATATTGTGGTTATTACATGTGTTTTCGCACTAGGAGAACAAGTCTCCATTTTCTATTTTTGTCCTAAACTATATTTATTCAACATTCACACTCTATGTTTGGATACCTCTGCTGAAAAGTTAAAAGTATTCTAAGAGAATTGGGAGATTTTTTTCCATCCCTTAGGACATTTTTGTGGGAATTTTTGTTGTTAAGTTCCCCGAAGAAATTTTCTAAGTACTCAAATTGCTAAAAGGCATTTAAAAATGAACTAATTTTCAAATTAGCTGAATGTTCAAGCAGCAAACTTGTTATTAACATGGGGCTTGGCCCCTTAGACACTTCCTGCTCTTACTCTGTTTCAAGCAGACATCCCATTAAAGGCCACACAGTTGTGAACACTCAAGGACAACTCCACCATCCGTCCTTCCAGGTGCACCCACTCTGCCCTGAGCATTTCTGGGGGCTGCAATCCTTAGACAGCTCTCAACCAGACTCTGGCACCAGCACAGACAGGTATCTGCCCTTCCATTTTGTTGACAAATTCCTCCTTTATGACACACACAGCGATCCTTTCAGAGTGTTTAGATTTTTATCCTAGCTCAGACAGGCCACTGGGCATATTACTTACTTTCATGAAGGCCCTGATACTTAAGATGGTCTTCAATTATTTAAAGGCTGAAAGAACTCTAGGTAAGTCACGGTACATAGAGCAGGAAATGAGCAAGCCCAGGGGCTTTGTCTCCTCTCCTCTTCCTTCTCTCCGCCCTCAGTGCCCCCTCCCCAACAAGCCCCTTGTCCCCTCTCAGCAGCTTCTTTTTTAAGGTAGATGTGCCTCGTCCATACAGCAACCAGTGACCCGAATATAAATATTGTGCCCACCCCCGAGAAGTGCATATGCCTGCTTGTCAGTCACACTACGCAGGCTGATTTTTCAAGTTAAAAAAATATGATTACTGTACTTATGTATCCCAACTATGTTTACCTCTTTTTTCCCCTTTGCTAATTTAAACAGAACCTTTTATCCTTTAGTTAAGCAAATGGCAATTAAGAGCACTTGTATCATAATCAAGGTCGAACTATTTCCACATCCTTCATCCAGGCTCCCAGAGATTATCACCATCCTCACTCTCATTACTGACACGGATTAAGGGTCAGATCCTGTCCTAAGTGCTTTACATAAATTGTATTTCATTTTATCTTCCTATGAATTCTGCAAGGTGAAGACTATTATTCTCCACATTATACAACTGAGGAAACTGAAGCACTAAGAAAGTAAGTTACCTGGGTAATAAATGGAAGACCTGGGAGGTCAGCCCAGATCTGCCTGATTCTACAGCCCAGTCTCTACACCATGATGATATTTGTCAAAATGGAACTCAACCCTTCAACTGAAGCATGCATAATGTGTGCAGGTGGTGGTGGTGGTGGTGGTGAGGACACTGTTTTTATAGTAGCCTCTAACATGCATGAGGGGGCAGGCAGACTGCTTGTCTTATTCACCATGGATCCTCATCACTTAGCACAAGGGCTTGGCACAAAGTAGGAGATCAACAAATGTGTGCTGAGGAGAGGGAGGAAGAAAGCAAGAAACGAAGAAAGGAAGGCAGGCAAGCTCTCCAAAGGAAAACAGTGTTTGATAAAAATCAGTGTTGGGTAAAAAGCAGATAGCAATACATAACTGTCTGAAGCTCAATTCCTGGATCTGAATGCTATGGCCCTTTAAGAAACAAGGAAGCAGTTTTTCAGTAGTTCAGAGTAATGAACAAGATGGGGAGCAAACTATTAATCAAATGGTAGACTACTCAGATCAATCAGATCAGCCCACATACAAACAGGCAAGAAATGCTCAGAGAGCCAAACCCCAGAGAAGCAGAAGGCAGATTTTCATTCCAGAAGATTCCAAGAGTGGGGCTGGGCAGATGACCACTGGCAGGGGGACACTGGGAGCAACCCCAAAGACTAGTAAGTAATCAGGAGGGCATCTTTCAGGTAGCAGGCATTCTGGAGAAATTTCTTTTTGCTAAAACCTAACAAGGCTCATAAGGCCAGCCCTCAAAGTATGGCGAAGAATGCATTCTACACCAAGAATGACTTATCATTCATTACACTGTTCATTGCATGTCTACCACACTGGATGCTGGGGACAGAGTAATGAACAAAGACAACGTTCCTACTCTTAGGCAGCTTACAACAAATCGGCAAATATGCATGAGAAATATCAGGAAATAAGTGCTATGCAGAGAATA
The DNA here is from genome assembly GCF_000001405.40 of Homo sapiens. Taxonomy (NCBI): domain Eukaryota; kingdom Metazoa; phylum Chordata; class Mammalia; order Primates; family Hominidae; genus Homo; species Homo sapiens. The sequence goes on from NC_000008.11 coordinate 101,979,480, forward strand.
AAAATAGAGTCCTATAGCACTCTTGGAGCTTACAGCAAATCAACAAGTAACCATGAGAAATCTCAGGATGGGAAGAGGCATCTGCAGAGAAACCATGCTACTCACTTTAAAATAACACAGAAGAAAAACAAGAAGTCATTCTGAGTTTTCTCAGTAAAGCCAAAAGCTACAATCTCTTCTTCTTCCTGGAATTTATAGACATAGTTTTCCTTTCAGAATGCTGAAAGAAGTGTGATTGAGTTAGACTGTAACAGCTCAAATCATTATAAAACAGAGCAAGAGCAACAAATAGAAAAAAGTGAAGAAATCCCTATCGACAGTGTTAAGGATGGATTCTGCAAGCCTCGGTCATTCTGGCAACTAACCGACTTTCCCAGCCAGTCTAGATGCCCCAGAGACCCTGTTAGCTTCAAGGAAAGGTGAAAATCAGAAACTCAGCCAGGATAGTCCTTGTGTTACATCAGGGCCTGAGGGGCCTCATGAGCTCACTCACAGGAGGATAGGGTGGTGGTGGTCCTGTGAAGGCTTGGCAGCTCTGAGGGGCAAAAACACAGTGCTGAGCCAAGGCCAAAATGGGGGTGGGGGCAGGGGGCACTGGTTGATTCCACATCAGCCTTGGCATCCCTGGAAGCCATGTACAGTGGCCAGGACAACAAAAGTAGTGCCTACAGCACTCAGACAATGGCCTTGCTCTCTCACCAAAGGGGAAAATATACAACCCCAAAACCCCACTCCCCATCTTCTCCCTGCCCACTCAACAAGGAAAAGTGGAGGTGGGGCGCACATTAGATGCTGTGTCACAGTTATGCCATGTCTTCTGGCACAGGCGGCGTTTTACTGAAGGGGGAGGCATGCACAGTGCAAACCTTTTTTAGCCCCCAAAGAAGAACTATGTCACAGTTAAGCAAGGAGGCCGGATTTATTCTGTGGGCACTGCAGAGGGGCTGCAGGTTTTTAAAAGGGCTAGGATCAGACCCACGCTTCGCAAGAGAAAGACTATTGGCGAAGGGTCTCAGGATACATAGAGAAAACTGAACAAGAAGGCAAAGTATCTGGAAACAGTGAAAAATGAGGAATAGCCAAAAGGACTGGGGAAGAAAAGAAAACTTAGGGGACACAAAATAATCCTTTTCACGTATTTCAAGGGCTCATCTTTGGAAGACGGTTTTACATTTCTCTACAAGGAAAGAATTCAAATAGAAGCTCAAGGGGGCAGGGATAGATTTCACCTGAAGACTAAACAAAAGTACTTTCTGATGACTAATGCTGTGCAAAAATAGAGCAGGTTACCCATGAAAGCAGTGAGTCACTGGCGGTATTCATGTACCATCCAGATTGCATAGCCATGAAGATCCCAGGCCATTTTAAGCCCTATTATTTATTGCTTTTCTTCTGTCATCCCTAAGGCCCTTCTAAGTCTATCCAAGTCCTACTCCTCCTTAAAAACCCAATTCAAGTTCCATCTCCAACTTGCTGCATGCTTTTCCACAACCATCTCTCTCTTTTCCAAATAAAGCACTTATTACCAGTACCAATTATCTGGAAGATAAGTACAGTTTTGTGGCATTATTTCAATTAAACAGTCATTTAATTCTTGTATATCAATCACTTTTCATGGGTTTTATCTCTGCAATCAGATTAGCTCCTTGAAGGCAATAACCTCCTCTTATATTTCTCAAACTAGCTTTGCACATAGCAAATGGCCAACCCGTTGGTTTATTACCAGGTTTCCTTAGTGCCTATTCTGAAAAACTACAGGTCTCAGTATAAATTTCTTGTATGCATACCTACAAGAAACCTTGTGGGTTCCTTCAGATGTCCTATCTTGATTATTTCATTTCCTGATTATAGCCAGTTATATTTTAGTTTTATTGAGTTAAATATTTCTTCCAATTAAAATAGTATTCTTCCACAATGTATTTTTAGAGAAGGGGAAAAAAGATTAAAACTTTTAATTAAAAACATTTTATAACCTTTCTTTCCATCACAAAATAAAAGGAATGGTTCAGCAGCAGAATGTCATCCAGAAAACCAGCTGCTTATGAAAGGATTAATTTTTCTCATGGCTGAATTAAACAAGTGCAATTAACAGTACTGATTTATTCTCCTGCCCAAAGGTTACTTTTGTGAATATTTGAATTCAAGACCAATGACAAATTAAAGTGACCTTCAAATTAAATGGCCATAAGGAACTTCTCAGCTCCTGTGAATCTTTTTATGGCTACATCTGCTGAACCTGGCTTTTTAAGGAACTATAACCTATTTATGTGAACATTTCTTTTTCTAAACAGTCTTCAGTGTATATGAATTCCAAGTCTCAAAGGGTAGTTCACGTCCTTATTTTGGGAGAAGGAGCCAGATTCATTCTGATATGAACGTTTTGTCCCCTACCAATCTCATGCTGAAATGTCAATGTTGGAAGTGGGGTCTTCTGGGTGGTGTTTGGGTCATGGGGATGGATCCCTATGAATGGCTTGGTTCCCTCCTTGTGATAATGAGTGAGTTCTCCCGCTGAGTTCACGTGAGATCTGATTGTTGGAAAAAGTGTGGCACCTCCTCTGTCTCTTTCTTGCTCCCACTCTCATCATATGATGTGCTTGCTCCCCCTGTACCGTCCACCATCATTGTAAGCTTCCTGAGGCCTCATCAGAAGCCAAGCAGATGCTGGTGCCATGCTTGTACACCCTTCAGAAATGTGAGTCAAATAAACCTCTTTTCTTTATAAATTACCCAGTCTCAGGTATTCCCTTATAGCAACACAAAAACAGACTAACACACATTCTAAGCCAAAGAAATTGAAACTAGCTTAAGACACTGCTTTTAAGCAGGTGCCATGAGCTTGTCATATACCAACTCCTTTTGGATATTAGGAATTAAGGCAGACTGAATGGGAAGTAACTATAAACTATAAGTTTTACAGTTTACAAAGCACTTTATAACTATAAACTAACTATAAACTATAAAATACTATGAACCTACCTTGTATGTTGAAAGCCACTGTGCAAGAAGTTAGGCTTCTCATAAAAAAAGGGTATAGCCTTGAAAATTCCTATGATTTCTCATACATAAAAAATTCCATAGCTGGGCATGGTGGCTCATGCCTGTAATCCCAGCACTTTGAGAGGCCGAGGCTGGTGGATCAGGAGGTCAGGAGATCGAGACGATCCTGGCTAACATGGTGAAACTCCGTCTCCACCAAAAATACAAAAAAATTAGCTGGGTGTGGTGGCACACGCCTGTAGTCCCAGCTACTTGGGAGACTGAGGCAGGAGAATTGCTTGAACCCGGGAGGCAGAGGCTGTAGTGAGCCGTGATCACACCACTGCACTCCAGCCTGGGCGACAGAGCGAGACCCCATCTCAAAAAAAAAAAAAAAAATCCTTATACCATTGTCATGTAACATATGTTCTGTGACCTTGAATAAATTAGCATACACTGGAAACTGTGAAGGGTTTAGCAGACACATGCTCTTCCCTTCCATCTTGGGCAGCTTCAGCACCAAAAGGCAGCCTAAACCCACTGAGTATGCAGAGTCTAAACAATTCCATTTTTAAAGAAGAAATAAGCCACAGTGTGACTAGACCCCCAAGCGGCTACATTCTACCAGATACATATGCTTCTGAGATACAGGCTGAATGAGTCTCAGAACTGTCCTCCCTTTTGAGCACATTTATCACAGAAGTTCATCTACCTTTGGGGTTCTGTCCCTCTGCTACCAGGTAGTGAGGGCTGCTGTCACCTAATTGATGGGCATGTTTTCTCTTCTTCCCCACCCCTGGCTCATCTCAGGGGCTCTGCCGAGGGCTTATTTTCTGTTACAGAACTAAGATTTCCTTTTCTTTAGGAAAGGTTATTTCTAAATACCTTAGCCCTCCCCTGTTCCCTAACCCCAGGACTCCGTCCCTATGCCATGGCCTGAAGCAAGCCAGAAATATGAAGTTTCAAATTCTCTTTGTCCCAGAGCTAATGATATTTTGGGATGAATTTTATGCAATCTGAATTTTCACCCTTTTCTTAGTAGAGAGAAACTTATGTTAAATTCACCCATGCAACTTAGGCCTCCATGATGAGCTTGTCTTTGTGAAACAAACATTAACTAACCGAAACTGTAGGGTTGTGTGTATGTGTTGTGATGGATACTTTCCGCTGGCTCCTTCAAATCCACTCCCTACCCTTCTCCACACTGCTCTGTACCCCAGAAGGCTGAATTTTATGGAACGTAGCAATGGGCCTTCTGGCCTTTCTGGGCTTTGGTTGAGGTTTGCCAATGGAACTCCTTGGCAGGTGATCAGAAAGAAGAGGAACTGATGGGTTTACTCTTCCCACCATCTTCCTGGTGGGTGGATGTGCTCCTCTGTGAAAGGCACAGCCCCATGTCCAGTGGCACCTCCCACATCTGAGTTTGGTGCCCTACCCAGTCCCCTCCAGGCTTAGGGATTACAGTGGCTTCCCAGGGTGCTTTCGTCATCCTTTGTTAGTTTCTTTTAACCATGCTGACACTTTTGTAAATAGGTCTCTCCTGAATCACCTGCTCGAATATGCTATGTTTCCTGCCTGGACCCTGTGACATTATTTTCAGTCTAGCAATCTTCAGAAATGTCTCCACCTGAGGTTTCCACAAACCATGAGCACCTAAGGAACAGGATGTTTATAAAAATGGCTCACTCCTTATTACTTGGACAGTTCTCTGTTTCTAACTCTTTAACCTTCCTAAAGATTTTAATGCCAAAAACATCCTGTATTCAATTAAAATATTATATACCACAATTCCAGGTACTGCATCCAATGGAAAGAGCTCCTGCTTTCAAGACTAATTGTATAGACATAGACTTCTTCCAACATAGGGTTTCATTACATAGTCTTGATAAATACCAGTATAACAATATATATCATTGTGACATCAGATAGCATCACTTATAGAATAAATGGCCTGAGCTTTGAAGAATAAGGGCAAAAACCTGCTCTACAGGACAACTGACTAATAAATGTTGAAGCTCTGAAGCAAAAAGCATTTGCTTAACCCAGTTTAATTATTTCTAAATGACTCAAAAACAACTCTCAGAAACTTAGGAGGCCAATAAGCACTGAAACACGTTCTTTCCATCAGCAGAGAGGGCTTAGAGGACTCTCCAAACAACATCCTCTCTCACCCTACATTTGAAACTGAAGACAAGCCAAGAGCTACCAAATGTAACCTTAGCCACGCAGAACCCATTTGAAGCAAGCGGAGTACAGCAACATTCTCTTGATTAAGTTTCCTTTTGAGCAAGATCAAGGGAGTGGTGAAAACCCAGCACTTGACTTTTAAGTCACAGAGAATGGTATTTAATGATTGATTCTGTGCTTCTCCAAGACAACTCTACCCAGGGGGTACCCACCATCACCTCAGTTCACATCACTGTGACTCAACTTCCCATCTCTGCTGAGAACTTAGGCACCCCACACACTTTGGGAGCTGGAATACCTCCCATGGACACCAGCCCTTTAAGTAGCCTGTGACAGAGGACACCAGAGTCAGGGACATGGATTTTAAAGAACTATGTAGCTTAAGGGCCTACCCTTATCCCTTAATCAAAGGGTGAAAATTTTCAAAGCACAACCCAAGTTACTCACATAAAGCATATTACAACCCCTGATGTTCACCTTTGGAACTCCGCCGCCATGCTGCGTGGAAGCCAACAAGCCATGGAGGGGTGCACGTGGACAGAAGACAGGGCTCCCCTCACCCCGGGTCTTCTGATGACCCACCCCCAGCCCAAGCTCCCAGCTGCCAGTCATGTGAGTGAGCCGTCTTGAAGGTGGACCCCCCAGCCTCCACTCGACCCACCCCAGCTGATGGTATGCAGAACAGACCTGAGCCCTCCCACCTGGACCAGCTCAGATTAGAGATTTGTGAGGTATGGAAGTGATTGTTGTGTTAAGCCCCTAGACTCAAGGGTGATTTGTAATGCAGCCATAGACAGCCCAAACTTTCCTGGTAATTCCAATATGAAACCTGTTAAATATGTCCTCAGCCAGTGAGAGGATGGAGAAATGAGAGATGAGGCAGATTCTATAGCTTTTATATTTTTAAAAACTGTGAAAGGCTAAATATAACAAAGAAAAGCAGTTGTGGTCTTTCACAGTTTGACATTTTACTCTGTTTTAAGGGCTAGAAAAATTAAAGGAAGAAAGAGGATGAACATTAATGTTGCTGGGACCAGAAAACCAGCGGGCATTCCAAGCCCTGTCCCTTCACGTTAGGATCCCTCAAACATTTCGTTTTTCTTCCCAAGCTGCTTATATTGGCTGGAAAGACTATTTATACTCAACATTTCTTCCCAAAAGGATCTTCAGATCAAATTTTTAAAATACGCATTTAATAACATTCAAGGAGTAAGGGTTGGAACTTGGAAGCCTTAGGGACTCTTTCCTCTCAAAACTATCTTGCACACTCCCGCCACACAAAATTCCTCAAATTGCCATTGGTATATCACTCGCTTGTTCAAAAATAAATGATCATTCCTTTTTGTTTACTGAACTCAATCCAGTTTTCTTTCTTTCTTTTTTCCTTTCCTTTTCTTTTTTCTATTTTTTTGAGACAGAGTATCACTCTGTCGCCCAGGCAGTGGCGCGATCTTGGCTCACTGCAACCTCCGCCTCCCAGGTTCAAGCGATTCTCCTGCCTCAGCCTCCTGAGTAGCTGGGATTACAGGCAGGTGCCACCATGCCTGGCTAATTTTTGTATTTTTAGTAGAGATGGGGTTTCACCATGTTGGCCAGGCTGGTCTCGAATTCCTGAGCTCAGGTAATCTGCCTGCCTCAGCCTCCCAAAGTGCTGGGATTACAGGCGTGAGCCACCGCGCCCAGCCCACAACATTCTGATATTCTTTATCCATCTTTTATGGTACTATGGCTTCGCCTTGAACTGGTTCTGAACATGCCTTGGCTATTCCCACCTATAAGCTCTGATTCACGTCAAGCCATAGACTCTTACCTGTGTCTTTTGTTCAGTCAGCCATCTTGCAAAGTCATGTTCAAACCTGATCTCAATTTTAAAAAGGAGAAAATCCCTGCCCACCGCAGCTGCCAGCAATCCCGCTCTCCATTTAAACTCGTACAGCACTCAACACTTGCAGCTGTCATCTGACTCTATGCAGCTTTGCCCATTCTCCAGCATCAAGGGCAGGGCCATCTCTCTTGCATCTTTGCACTCCTCCTCACCCAACTCCACACACACCCAGAGCCCAACTCAGTATCTTTAATAGCTTATATACTGAATTAATGCTTATTAGATTAGTTAATAGAACTAAATAATTATAGCAAATGGCTAACAAGGATTCTTCCAGGAATATTTTTGTCTCACCCAGTGCTTAATCTTAAGGAAAGAATTGCTAATTAGGTAATTTTGAGCTTGAGCCAGCCAGCTGGGGTTGATAAGAATGTGAGGGGAGCGAAGACTCTCCAGCAGGGAGGTGCTGCTGATGCCCTGCTAGATATGCTGGGGGTCCCCGGAATCACACCTGCATAGGACAGATGGGATCTTAAAGGCCACCTACACAGAGGGTTTATCTTAAATTTATTATGTATGAAGAAAGGTATAGACAGTATTTAGTGCAAACCTTCATGTCACAGATGAAGACAGTAAAACTCAGAGGATAAGTGATAAGCCCCCCAAATCAGCAGAAATGGCCTCAACCTCAGATCTCCTCACTCCTATTCCAACATTCTTTCCACTACAGAAAACGGGGCGACTATTGCCTTTTCTCAACATGCACTCCTCTTTGAAGGGCAGACTAGCAGCAGTGTTTCAAAGTGCACGTTTGATTAATGTTTTTAAAGCCAATTTTTCCTGTGAAGAGTGACCTAAATTGCCAGACATTTTCTTCTTGAACAAAATCAAAAACTTCCTACTTTTGTCCTCTGACTGAGAAAGGTGTGTCCATGTATGTAATATCCAACCATTTTTTCCGAAGGAGAAGGGATATCTGATTTGAGCACTGCATCGTGCACGTCTCTGGGCGGAAAACAATGAACTGGGCCACCTAATTGGCATATCCAAAAGAAAAATATAAGTGATAAAAGCCAATGCATGAAAAACAAATCCAAGACAGAGGCAGGATGTGTACATTTACTTGAGAAATTGTTAAAAGCAACTTAAATTACAAACTCCTTTCCTTCAGAGCCTCAGCACCACCCCTGTCAGTATACTGCACATCCATTTTACTAGATGGATATTCCAGAGTCCAAGATGTATTACATCTTTCCACCGACCTTGTCAAAACACGCCTTTTCCATCACGAGAAGTAATAAAGTAACAGCATAACCTAGATCAACAAGATCTGACACACAGACTGACACAGTAGCACAAACTCACCTGGAAAAGGAATTTTTAATTAAAAGAAGCAACTCATGGCCGGGCGCGGTGGCTCATGCCTGTAATCCCAGCACTTTCGGAGGCCGAGGCGGGCGGATCACGAGGTCAGGAGATCGAGACCATCTTGGCTAACACGGTGAAACCCCGTCTCTACTAAAAACACAAAAAAATTAGCCGGGCGTAGTGGCGGGCGCCTGTAGTCCCAGCTACTCGGGAGGCTGAGGCAGGAGAATGGCGGGAATCCGGGAGGCGGAGCTTGCGGTGAGCCGAGATCGCGCCACTGCGGTCCGGCCTGGGCGAAACAGCGAGACTCCGTCTCAAAAAAAAAAAAAGAAAAAAAAAAAGAAAAGAAAAGAAAAAAAAAAGTAACTCCTAAGAAATGGGTACTCCATAGTGTTTTCAAGTTCTTGCTCTACATTTTGACAACATATGGAAAATCTGAAAAGTGTTATATACGTAATATACAACAGATTAACATATGCATGTATGCGTGCATGTATGTGTGTGTATGTATTTACACAGGCTGAAGCAGTAGAGTAGGGCAGTTAAGAACCCAGACTTTAGAGCCAGATCACCTAGTGAATATCCCAGCTCTGTCACTTACTGTATGACATCGAGAAACTTACTTGAAACATTATCTAGTTCAGTTTCTTCAACTAAAACATGGAGTTGATCATATTAGTTAATTCAAAAGGTTGTTATGAAGACTCAGTGACAATACACGTCAAGTGCTTAGAACAGTGCCTGGCCTGACTAAACATATAAGTGCTGTTGTTATTATTGCTGTTGTCGTTATCTGTGGTAGGGACAAAATTATTAATATGTGACTATCCATGGTCTTCCCCTATCCTTGTCTGCTTCTAATGAAGGTATATTCTTGCTTACCAAGTCAGCTTCAGGGTTTTTCCCTTGTTATATGAAGTCTGAGTCTGAGAGAGAAAATCCCCTAGAGGACATTTAGACTCTATTTCCCCAGAGAGGTTCTGTACAGCAAGAAGAGCCCTGTGGGTTGCATGGGCCTTGGGGAAGATGGCTGGATAAATGAGCTAGACAGCAGGTGCCAGCAGAAAAAAAAAAAAAAAAAAAAAACAGAGAAGCCAGTGAGAGGTGAGATAGCAATGGAAAGAGAGATGGAGAGGCGTCTAGCAAGTGCAGCCTGAGTCAGGATTGAAAAGGAGAGGACTGGAGTTTTAAGAATGTCCATTAGATTTCTTTGAGAGAAACAATAAAGATCAAAATTAAATATTTCTAATTAATTTTGAATTTGGTGCTCTACTGGGACTGAACCTCGTGGGAACCTGGCTTTTGTGTGGGCTGTGTGGCAAGTGATAAAGAGGGAGCAATGTGAAGTATACAGTTTCAGATTTATAACAAGTACAGGTGATCACAAAGCAGTGAATGTCAGTGAGCAGAGCACACAGTTTTCAAAAGGAGCTAAAATAGGCCCTGGATGTATTCACTACAGCCCTTTGAAAAATATTCTGGCAATGTGTATCCAGAGCCACAAAATTGTTTCTCACCCTTAATGCACTACTAATTCATCCTAAAGGAATAAAGAAACTTTATACATAAAAAGATGCTCATGGCAACATTACTTATTATAGTTTAAAAAAATTGGAAATAACCAACCAACCAAATTAGAGAAGATTGATTTAATAGGATGCTATGACTTTGTTTAAAATTATAATGTGGCAACTTGGAAAACAATTTTGTGATATAACATTCAATTATAAAAACCCAGAACACTGACTCTAATCCTGGAGCTGTCCATATGCAGTTTAAAGGAGACAGGAAATATCATGTTCTTAGATTGACGGACTATAGCCCTGTTTGCTGATGTTGTTCTGCTGACTCACTTGCTTCTCCTGGCTTTCAAAACTCCTTTAGTTTCCTTGGAATAAGTGACTTATGGACTAACCCTCATCTGATTAGAGCTGTGGTATCTGTAAGTGCCCACCTCACTTTAAAGAGATCTGGTCCTAGGCCCTCTCGTTCTCCTGGTTATAGTACAGAAATGATAAGAAAAAGAATTTGCATTCATTTTCAGGTTTTGAAGCTTTTACAATTTCAGATTCTCTGACAATTGGGTTTAGGGGGTTAACACAGCCTTTCACATCACATTTCTTTAAATAAAAGTCCCAGCATGCCTGGGTCAGTAAGTAGGATGCTTAGATAGTGCTTTTATTGAGAGCCTGCATGATCTTGCCACATCCCCTGGTAGAATTCGTCCTGGTTTTTTATTTAAGAAACTTGCTGAAAAAAGGAGAAACATAACATCTTAACACCATTCATTCATTCACTCATTCATTCCACAAGGAATCACCAATTATATGCCAGACACTGTTTTTGCTACTAATTATGTCACAGTCTCAACCTGTAAAAAGTGCACAGAACAGGTAATTCTTACAAAACGTGATGATAGCCTTGAGAGAGAAATTATGGGCAAGACCTAGGAGGTACAATGAACCCAGCTTTGAGGAAGCCAGGGAGGGAGATAGCATTCCACTGAAGTCCTGATTAATTCAAAGCAATCAGGTGGGAAAATGAAGAAATAGGCTCAATTCAGGTTCTGTATTCATGTTTCTAAGCCACTGATATGGTTTGGCCAGTGTCCCCACCCAAATCTCATCTTGAATTGTAGCTCCCACAATTCTCATGTGTTGTCGGGGGGACCCGGTAGGAGGTAATTGAATCATGGGGGTGTGTCTTTCCCTTGCTGTTCTCTGGATAGTGAATAAGTTTCATGACATCTGATGGTTTTATAAAGGGGAGTTTCCTGCACAAGTTTTCTTCTCTTGTCTGCCTCCAGGTGAGAGGTGTCTTTCACCTTCTGCCACGATTGTGAGGCCTCCATGCCACATGGAACTGTGAGTCCATTAAAGCTACTTCTTTTGTAAATTGCCCAGTCTAAGGTATATCTTTATCAGCAGCATAAAAATGGACTAATACAACCACATTCTCTCAGGCTCCCACAGCATTAGGGCAAGCAATATTCTCCTAAATATAGCCCCCTGCCAACCACCTATCTATTAGTAGATATCATAAAAGTAACTTGCAGAACAAAAATCCCCTGAGCACACAGCAGACGAACTAAAACCTGAATGCCCACTGTGGCTAGGCCCTTGTACTAACTGGTAATCTTGCCATTTTGATTTGCTTTGTCCCAGACAAAAATATTCTGCTCCATCTTAGCTAGGCTCTAATTTGGTTCTGTGAATGGCAGTTGCAGAAAGTAATTTATTTGGGTCTTAAGCAGAAACGAAGGCATACTTTGTTAGGGTGTAGAGGGCATGGTGACTCATTTTTTGACTGCATTGTATCGACAACATCCTATTTTTATATAAAAAATTCATCTCCTCCAATTCTGATGGTGCCCTGAGTCACCTCAGTGTGGCAATCAGAGAAACTATACAGCCTTGTCATAATTGCTATCAATCATCAGGTGCCCCTAACCTCTCATGGAAACGCCACCAATGCTACCTGTTCCTATGAGGCTGCTACCCTTAGAGCAGCAAGCAGGATGAGAATTTGAGGGAAAAGGAGTCATTATTGATCTGTCTCTATTGTAATCTCACTATCACAGAGACTTTAACCTTAAAATGAAAAACTTTCTTATTTTGGCCTCCTGAATGAAATTTGGGGAGGAAGAAAACTAATTTTGAAGGATTCAGAAGGTTACAAAAAGTTACCTGAGACATAAATAGTACCAATTCATGTGTCTGAGTTCTCCTCCCAGGCAAGTAAAAGGCAAGAAAGTTCGGGAAGGGCTGGGGGTCAGAGGTTTCTGGTGCCAATAGAGGAAGGCAATACAAGACCCTGAAAAGAGAGAGCAATACAGCTCAGCGAACCATCCTGTGCAAAAGGGGCTGGCTAGGTCAAGGAAGGACTCAGGTTGACAGTAGTAGAAAATAGAAGAATGGAACAAATCTGTTGGTGCTTTTCCTAGATCGTCTGTGGCCAAGGCAGGTGCCATGGAGGACCCAGAACCATTTCAGAAAACCACTGACCACCACGCAGAGCAAAAAATGGTCTTTTGAAGAGGATGGTCCTCTTGAAAATCCCTCAGAAAGGTGTCTCACTGGGGACTTGCCATGTCACTTGTCAACAATTCCAGCACAGCTAGTTTTTTCTTCTGATATTGGAGCAAACCCCTGCTTCTCTGGTTGAGCAGCAGCTAAAGTATCTGGCTTCATTTATAGGCTATGTTGTATGAAAAGTGCATTACTACACTCCATGTGGCAAGATGCCTGCATTATGAAAGTCGCATGGGAACTGACGCCATCTGAGCAAAGAACATGGGCTGCTGACATATCCTTCCCTGAAGCCAGATGGATGGGTGGATAGATGTGCTGGTACTACTCAAATGTCCGGTGGGCTTGTTTTCATTCTCTCTCTCCCCAGCCCCCATTTCCTCTTTCCTTTCTTCTGCCCTAATCACATATAGTTGAACTTGATAAGTAACAGTATATAACCTTTTCCCAAGGTCAAGTGAATTTATGAATTTCTATTATTAAACTGTAATTATATGTATTATTTAAGGCTAAAAATATAAATGCTTCTAAGAAATATTAAAATACACAAAGACAAGCCATGCATTATGGGTTAATAAAGAAAATCAAACTATTGAGGAGATCTTTCCTCCATTTTGTGTCTGACAGGAAAGAGGTCAACTGTGCTGGTCCACACCACAATAATATGAATGGCTCACACCCCAGCTTTGCCACTTACCAGCTGGCTAAACTTGAGCAAAGCCATTAACATCTCTCTGTCCCAATTATAAACGGGAATAATAATGGGTTGTTGTAAGGCTGAAAGAGCGAACACATGTGAAGCACTCACAGCAGTTTCTGGAATGGGGTCATTGCATTGCACAACTCCAGAGTCACATTCACATCGTTGTCCATGTGAAAGGCACCCCTGGGAGCTGTGCAGTGTTCAGCCCATGCCCAGGCCTGGCACACAACAGGTGCTCACTCAACATTTACTATTCTTATCCTTTACTGAGCTCTTACTATGTGCTGAGCAATGTGCTGAGTGATTTTCCAGGATTTTTTTTTACTTAATCTTTCGAACAACCCTATAAAGTAGAAACTCTTATTTCCATCTTCAAAATAAAAAAAGTAAGGCACAAAAAGTTTAAATAGCTCGTCCAAGATAAGCCGAGGAACCAGGATTCAGAAACTGGTGGTCTCATGCTTATTAGCCATACTAGATACCACGGATGGCAGGGGCATGCAAAGGGTCAAAGGGACAAGCCCTACTTAGAGTAAGTTAACAAACTAAAATAATTAATCCACAAGCTCACTCTACAGGAAAAAAAAAAAAAGATGGTAACAAACCATTCCTTCTATTTCCAGAATGTGTAGCCCTGGGCTCATTACCTACTGCCGCCACTTTTTCCCTGGTGCTACATAAATTTAGAATGCCGTACCCCAAATTACAAATATCATCAGTTTTCCAGAGTCATCAAAGACCTTGCTGTGCCCACAGCGCCTAACAAGGGCACCTGTCATTAGTTAAATAAGTAAACTACTAGGTTGGTAACAGAAGGGTCAACACAAATACATCTGCTAATTGGCTGTTGAACCAATGTCCCAGCAAAGGGAAGAGGAGCTCCACTGCCCACAGTAGGACCTGGAGTTTCAGTCTTTGGCTTTTGGACTAACTCTTGCTGTCTAAGGAGTAACACTGGGTGGGAAACTATTTTACACCAGGAAGTCCCAAGGATGGGAAGCAGGGGCAGGTCTGGCACAGAATGGGGAAGGGTAGGTGAAGCTCCAACAAGTTCCCTCCTCTTGGTCCTCCTACTACTGCCTCTCCCTACTACTCCAGGCTGCTCCTGCCTCTCCTGCTACTGACTCTCCATTGTGTTTGGGACATACTGCACTTTCACAAGCTAAAAGGACATAGACTTCTTGAAGCAATGTGGCAGAACAAACTCTGAAATCAAACCAGGTTGAAATCTTGACTTTACCACCTATCACTGTGCGACGTGCTAAACTCCTTGGAGTCCTCTGAGCCTCAGTTTCTTCATCTATACAACTGAGATATGAATAGCATCTTCCTTATAGAATTGATGTGAAGATTAAATGCAAGTCACCTCCCAGCACTGCATAAATAAAAGCTGCTCTTCCAGACTCTGGACTGATGAAAAGTAGTGACATTTTCTTTCTCTAACTTATGAGGAGGTAGACATTAAAATAAGTGTTATGTTCACCAAAGCAATTGCCATAAGAATATCTTTAGGCAGCATTTTTTCCTGAAGCTTCTTTTACTTAACACATTTCTAGAACTTCTTCTCTGGAACTGCCTTCAGTATGTATAACTTTGGTGATCTCTCTCCTTAGGGGATGAATTGAGACAAGAGTGACCATTCAGAGCCAAGGGAGGTATTGGGAAGAGAAGCATCCTGTTGGTCAAATGCAAGGGGCGACTGTGAAGTCCCAATCTGGTTCCAACACTATTACTCTAGTGATAGTGTCTCCAGCTCTATCACTGCCACCCACAGCTCTCTGATTCTACACACTCAAGCCTCACCCCACCCCTGGCCCAGCAGAGTTTTTCCCTGTTCCCAGGGCTCCTTGAGGGCTACTGTTCCTGAATGAAGTGTCACAGCCTTCTCTTCCTGATCCATCCAGAGATATCCTATTTATCTAGTAAACCCCAGCCCACAGGTCAACCCTTCTGTGAAGCTTCTCCTGTCTGTGAGCCACACTAGCACAGTGGTTAAAGACACAGACATGAAAGTCCAATGACAAGGGCTGAGGAGAAGCAGCAGGGCAAGGTTGCCATGTGCATGGCCCGGAGAGCCACATGGCTGGGGTCTGAATCCTGCCTCTACTACATGGTCATGAGCCTTGTGCCTTTAGACCAGTTCCTTCATATCCCCAAGGCTCATTACTCTCAATGATGAAATAGAATAGAGTAGTAGCTACTTCAGAGGTCTACTTTGGAGCTTATATAAAGCACCTAGAACAATACCCAGCAAGTATTTGTTTAATAAAGTCCTAAAACCATCTCTTAGCTGGGTGACCTTGAGTGGCCCATCTAACTTTTTTTGCATCTCACTTTTTTGTCTTTAAAATTTGAAAGAAAAATAACAGCTACTTTGTAGGATTGCTGAGGATCAAACAATGTATGGCACTTGAGCAGTGCCTAATTGTGTAGAGCCTTGTATATGGTAGGATTTCAACAAAGTTATAGTTTTTTTAAAAAGTTTGCTTCTTCTGAACTCAGTAACAGCTTATTTATTATCTCTATTATGGTACACATCAAATTATATTACAATAGCCCAGACTGGGGACTTCTTGAGAACAGGAACTCTGTCATTATCCTTCTGATGAAGGGAAAGCCAATTCAGCTGGCAACTAAGATGCGAGAAGGATCTGAAAATTCAAACCAAAACCATAACTTGCAAAATTAGATTATTATTCACAACATTGAAAACCTGTATAAGCCATGACATGCAAAACAAACTAAACCCGGACTCTATACCTGCTCATTCAGACACATATTTTATTCAGCCATTCTTGCACTGATATAAAGAAATACCTGAGCCTGGGTAATTTATAAGAAAAGAGATTTAATTGGCTCACGGTTCTGCAGGCTGTATAGGAAGCACAGTGGCATATGCTTCTGGGGAGGCCTCAGGAAGCTTCCAGTCATGGTGGAAGGCAAAGGGGTAGCAGGCACATCACATGGCGAAAACAGGAGCAAGAGAAAGGGGAGGTGCCACACACTTTTATACAACCAGATCTCCTGCGAACTCAGAGCAAGAGCTCACTCATCACCAAGAGGATGGCCAAAGCCATTCATGAGGGATTCACCCCCATGATCCAAACACCTCCCACCAGGCCCCACCTTCAACACTGGGGCTTACATTTCCCAAACATGAGATTTGGGTGGAGACATATATCCAAACTATATCACATATGTTCTAAATAAGGCCACAGACAAACTGATCTACCTATAACACCACAGAGTCACGTGTCCTCAAGATAAGAGCACCAATTGTTCCAGCAACTTCCTGGTTTATGAATTCCGAGCAATCTCTTCTAAGAGCATCCTATAACTAACTTCTGCCCTGCAAACTCTATAGATATTCTTCCCAAGCTTCCACCTGTTGAAATGCCCCACACCTCTCCACAGTGTGACTCTCTCTTACTGCAGCAGCAAGGTAATAAAGCTAAGTTTGTTTGCCTCTGGTGTGTTCCTGGCAGTCTGTTCTGTGGGCTTTCACACATTTTGGCATACCAAGGGCTTGGCATGGTGCCTGGTACTAAGCAGGCATTCAGTAAATTGTCTTGAACAAAAGGATGGAGTAACAAGACTCTTTTCATAACTCAGGAGACCTGAAGAGAATTCTAAATAGACAGTTTCAAAAATATTAGGAGCCACATCTAACAGCCTTGAGAGGACTACGTATATAAGTTTCCAGGCTGTATGCCTTAATGAGCTATCATCAACTGAAGCTATGTAATCAAGAATGCTGATGAAAAGCCAGTCTTGTTGCTGGGCACTTCTACACATCAAGTATAATTCCTGACCTACAGGAAATTATAAACTAACCAAGGACACAAGGTGAAGAAGCAAGTGGACATGATCTGGGTTCCTACAGCACCGAGCATTGGATCTTGCCCATAGCTGTTGCTCACAACAATATCTTCTTTGGTTACTGACAGGGGTTTTACTCTGCAGGTAACAACTGGCTGAGAGTTTTTAAGCAGAGGCAGATCCTGATAAATATGACCTAGGTCTAGGAAGCCTACTGTGGCAAGAGGAGGCAGACTTGTTGGAGGTCATCTTGACAAGTCAGGGCAGAAAGAAGGTCCTTGCCTATGAAACTAACGGTGGAAAAGGAAGGATGTATCTTTCAGAGCTAGAAGAGACAACCATGGCAACTAACGGTCCTCCAGGGACTATGGCAGGCAGCAGAGTTAAAGATGCATCAATGTTACAACCACGGTGATTTGGAAAATAATCCTGACACAGACAAGAATAGCTGCAAAGGACAGAGATTATCTTTACATCAGTGCTAATCCCCATTATCACGGGCTTCAGGTTCTTAACTTAGGTTAAAGCACAAGCTAGCATGGCGTTGCATTAACTACTACCTGCCTGCTCGAACACTTTGCACAGGTCAGATCAATAAGAGCAAGATAGGCCTTGGTATCTACTTAGAGTCAGTAACTATGAGCAGCTTATGGATTCCAGCTACTCAGAGTCATGACATTCCTTTCACAAGCCATGATAGACAGATTTGGCTTTTTAAGCTTTGCTCAAAATTTCCATTAAGCTCATTTAAGCTCTGAGAGTCAAAGACTCTCAAACTTTATTTAAGCCAATCAGCCACTAGAAAGAATAGCTTTTGACCACTTTTTGACGTTTTAACTTAACATTTTGTGATATAAAGAGAGCAGGCAATATGGCTGAGGACAAAGCCAGGCCGGACATTGTTCCAGGCTAGGGAACAAAGGAAACACAGTGTAAACTAATGAACAATGTAAATACATAAATAATATTTTTAAAGAGCATGCTTTTATTTTTTTTTTCCTGGAACCTTTTAGATGAAGGTAGCTTTGCCCAAGAACCCATCACCAATAGGGGAAGAAAAGGTTGGGTTAAATAAGACAAAAACATCACTGCAGATAGGAGGCTGAGAAGCTTTCACTGTATCATGTTTAAAGACTTGATGCAAAGTACTTCAGAGAGGTAGTCCACCGGAAAAGGAAAATCAAACACAAATTTCTTTTCCCAAGAATGTAATCTTCTCGGCATGGCGTTTTGTTGCTCACTAAAAACTCCCTGCTAAAGAAAACATTTTCAGGTCGCTCCACTGAATCTGCTGCAACTGGTCTATTTTCAGCTCTATTTCTCTGAGCCTCGCAGCAGAAGTTCTTAAATGATCCTGGGACCAGGTTTGGTTAAAGTTGCCAAGAGCATTTAAGATCGTGTTGTTTTGCTTTTGTTTTCCAATAATCTACAGCTGGGGGTATGAGAGGCTACAGTGGATGTTTTTCCCAGAAACATGCCTTTCTACCACTGGGTCATCTGAGTCTATTTTCATTAAATAATGTATGCACAAATAATCAACGAACAACTGGAAATGATTATTTAGTAATTACATTTCACTCCAACAGAAATAGCCCATTAGGACAATAAGAGCATTCAGGTAATGACAGCCATTTTTAACTCTGAAAATGCCAGCTGGGGCAACCAATAACAGCTGTGCCATCCCTCCAGGCCCCTTGAGGTCAAATGCAGGCTCCACATTCTTAAAGATCAACACCTTTTTCACCACCATAATGAGGCTAAGAAAACTCAGGCAAACAGGGTCTTTATGCACCAGAACTTCAGAACAGGCTAGGGGAATAGCAAGTCATTTTAAAACAATAAAACTGACTCTTTTTTAAAAGATGGATTTACTCGTTAATTTAATGCATCTGCTTTGCATTTCCTGCAAACCTAATGTCACAAGTAATAATTTGGGGGGCTCAATTGCAATGGGCGATTTTGCTGGTATTCCCTGTCTCTCCCCACCCCACAATTCTTCCAGCCATACTCCACCTCTCACTGTCCCAAAGTTATCTACACTGCCATGACCCCTGGCTTCTGTTAGGTTTGATGAAGGGTAGCACCAGCCAAAGGTGGGGAGTGGGAGCAGTGCAATGGGGTGCTGTTTCTCCTACCCTCTCCACTTCTCTGCAGTGTCCCACAATGGGTATGTCCCTTCACAGCTCTGGCTTCTGCTCAGTGGCCCTTCCATCATGATTACAACCCTCATGGGTCTCCACAATTTGCTCCTCTTGTTTCTGTGGCCCAAGGATGGCGATGGCTTACCCCTGCTGCTAGTTTTTGGGAGCCAGATCACCCTCTGTTTATCTCTATAATCCTCCCCAGGGGTCTGCAGTAGTCCCTTCATTAGACTCTCTTCATTCAAACCCTCGGAGGCAGATTCAGTTTCCAGCCAAGACCCCAGTGTAACCAGTTTTTAAAATAAAGATAAAGGTGTCCCTTTCCTGGCTAAGAATGATGAGCAAACACAAAAGACCTATACCTATGAAAAATATGCATGAGTAAAACAAACTTCCACTAGCCTTCTCTTTTAGCAAACTTAGTGTATTTAATGTCAAACTTAATGGCAAAAAATGCAAATTACAGCTAATATTCCTCTTTTCTAACTTCTACTCCTGGTTTGAAATGAGGGGGAAAAAATCATACCCACTCACACTCACCATCAAAAAAAAAAAAAAAAAAAAAAGCCCAAGAAAGTCCAGTTCTAAAGACTAGTGATTCCACATAAGTCCCATGGATGCTTGAATAATATGAGCTCTTTAGAAGTCGTTACATGAAAAAGATACTTGCACACATATGTTTATACCAGCACAATTCACAATTGCAAAAATATAGAACCAGCCCAAATGCCCAACAATCAATGAGAAGATAAAGAAATTGTGGTATATATATATATGCATACATACATACCATGGAATACTACCCAGCCATAAAAAAGAATGAAGTAATGGCATTCACAGCAACCTGGATGGAATTGGAGACCATTATTCTAAGTGAAGTAACTCAGGAATGGAAAACCAAACATCATATGTTCTCACGCGTAATTGGGAGCTAAGCTATGAGGATGCAAAGGCATAAGAATGATACAATGGACTTTGGGGACTCGGGGGAAAGGGTAGGGAGGTGAGGAATAAAAGACTACACCTTGGGTACAGTGTACACTGCTTGGGTGATGGGTGCACCAAAATCTCAGAAATCACCACGAAAGAACTTATCAATGTAACCAAACTCCACCTGTTCCCCCAAAACCTATTGAAATTCAATAAAATAAAAGCAGCTATATGTATGGAAAATAAAAAAATTAATAAAAAATAAAAGTAGGCTATTATTCTCTAAAAATAAAATAATAACATTCAAGTGCTTATTCCTTTGCAATTACAAAAAAAAAATCGAAAAACATTTTTCTGAATCTTTTTCTTTAGTTCCTAGAGTTTGATTCACTATACTGCAGAAAGGGTAATCATCTCTCCTTTCAAAAACTGGAGAGTTGGGGGTGGAACCAAGATGGCAGAATAGGAACAGCTCCAGTCTACAGCTCCCTGCATGAGCGACGCAGAAGACGAACGATTTCTGCAGTTCCAACTGAGGTACCGGGTGTATCTCACTGGGGATTGTCGGACAGTGGGTGCAGGACAGTGGGTCCAGCGCACCGAGCGTGAGCCGAAGCAGGGCGAGGCATTGCCTCACCCAGGAAGTGCAAGGGGTTGGGGAGTTCCCTTTCCTAGGGATGACGGATGGCACCTGGAAAATCGGGTCACTCCCACCCTAATACTGCGCTTTTCTCACAGTCTTAGCAAACAGCACACCAGGAGACCATATTCCGCGCCTGGCTCAGAGGGTCCTACACCCACGGAGCCGTGCTCATTGCTAGCACAGCAGTCTGAGATCAAACTGCAAGATGGCAGCGAGGCTGGGGGAGGGGTACCCGCCATTGCCGAGGGGTGCCCGCCATTCCCAGCCAAAGCAGCTGGGAAGCTCAATCTGGGTAGAGCCCACTGCAGCTCAAGGAGGCCTGCCTGCCTCTGTAGACTCCACTTCTGGGGGTGGGGCATAGCCAAACAAAAGGCAGCAGAAACCTCTGCAGACTTAAATGTCCCTGTCTGACAGCTTTGAAGAGAGTAGTGGTTCTCCCAGCACACAGCTTGAGATCTGAGAATGGATAGACTGCCTCAAGTGGGTCCCTGAACCCCGAATAGCCTAACTGGGAGGCATCCCCCAGTAGGAGCAGACTGACACCTCACACAGCTGGGTAGTCCTCTGAGACAAAACTTCCAGAGGAATGATCAGGCAACAACACTTGCTGTTCACCAATATCTGCTGTTCTGCAGCCTCTGCTGCTGATACCCAGGCAAACAGGGTCTGGAGTGGACCTCCGGCAAACTCCAACAGACATGCAGCTGAGGGTCCTGACTGTTAGAAGGAAAACTAACAAACAGAAAGGACAGCCACACCAAAACCCCATCTGTACGTCACCATCATCAAAGACCAAAGGTAGACAAAACCACAAAGATGGGGAAGAAACAGAGCAGAAAAACTGAAAAATCTAAAAATCAGAGTGCCTCTCCTCCTCCAAAGGAATACAGCTCCTCACCAGCAACGGAACAAAGCCAGACGGAGAATGACTTTGATGAGTAGAGAGAAGAAGGCTTCAGATGATCAAACTACTCTGAGCTAAAGGAGGAAGTTTGAACCCATGGCAAAGAAGTTAAAAACCTTGAAAAAAGATTAGATGAATGGCTAACTAGAATAACCAATGCAGAGAAGTCCTTAAAGGACCTGATGGAGCTGAAAACCATGGCACGAGAACTACGTGATGAACGCACAAGCCTCAGTAGCTGATTCGATCAACTGGAAGAAAGGGTATCAGTGATGGAAGATCAAATGAATGAAATGAAGTGAGAAGAGAAGTTTAGAGAAAAAAGAATAAAAAGAAATGAACAAAGTCTCCAAGAAATATGGGACTATGTGAAAAGACCAAATCTACGTCTGATTGGTGTACCTGAAAGTGATGGGGAGAATGGAACCAAGCTGGAAAACACTCTGCAGGATATTGTCCAGGAGAACTTCCCCAATCTGGCAAGGCAGGCCAACATTCAAATTCAGGAAATACAGAGAATGCCACAAAGATACTCCTCGAGAAGAGCAACTCCAAGACACATAATTGTCAGATTCACCAAAGTTGAAATGATGGAAAAAATGTTAAGGGCAGCCAGAGAAAAAGGTCGGGTTACCCACAAAGGGAAGCCCATCAGACTAACAGCTGATCTCTCAGCAGAAACTCTACAAGCCAGAAGAGAGTGGGGGTCAATATTCGACATTCTTAAAGAAAAGAATTTTCAACCCAGAATTTCATATCCAGCCAAACTAAGCTTCATAAGTGAAGGAGAAATAAAATACTTTACAGACAAGCAAATGCTGAGAGATTTTGTCACCACCAGGCCTAACCTAAAAGAGCTCCTGAGGGAAGCACTAAACCTGGAAAGGAACAACTGGTACCAGCCACTGCAAAAACATGCCAAATTGTAAAGACCATAGAGGCTAGGAAGAAACTACATCAACTAATGAGCAAAATAACCAGCTAACATCATAATGACAGGATCAAATTCACACATAACAATATTAACCTTAAATGTAAATGGGCTAAATGCTCCAATTAAAAGACACAGACTGGCAAATTGGATAAAGAGTCAAGACCCATCAGTGTGCTGTATTCAGGAAACCCATCTCACATGCAAAGACACACATAGGCTCAAAATAAAGGGATGGAGGAAGATCTACCAAGCAAATGGAAAACAAAAAAGGGCAGAGGTTGCAATCCTAGTCTCTAATAAAACAGAATTTAAACCAACAAAGATCAAAAGAGACAAAGAAGGCCATTACATAATGGTAAAGGGATCAATTCAACAAGAAGAGCTAACTATCCTAAATATATATGCACCCAATACAGGAGCACCCAGATTCATAAAGCAAGTTCTTAGAGACCTAGAAAGAGACTTAGACTCCCACACAATAATAATGGGAGACTTTAACACCCCACTGTCAACATTAGACAGATCAATGAGACAGAAAGTTAACAAGGATATCCAGGAATTGAACTCGGCTCTGCACCAAGCAGACCTAATAGACATCTAGAGAACTCTCCACCCCAAATCAACAGAATATACATTTTTTTCAGCACCACACCACACCTATTCCAAAACTGACCACATAGTTGGAAGTAAAGCACTCCTCAGCAAATGTAAAAGATCAGAAATTATAACCAACTGCCTCTCAGACCACAGTGCAATCAAACTAGAACTCAGGATTAAGAAACGCATTCAAAACCGCTCAACTACATGGAAACTGAACAACCTGCTCCTGAATGACTACTGTGTACATAACGAAATAAAGGCAGAAATAAAGATGTTCTTTGAAACCAACGAGAACAAAGACACAACATACCAGAATCTCTGGGACACATTCAAAGCAGTGTGTAGAGGGAAATTTAGAGCACTAAGGGCCCACAAGAGAAAGCAGGAAAGATCTAAAATTGACACCCTAACATCACAATTAAAAGAACTAGAGAAGCAAGAGCAAACACATTCAAAAGCTAGCAGAAGGCAAGAAGTAACTAAGATCAGAGCAGAACTGAAGGAAACAGAGACACAAAAAAAAACCTTCAAAAAATCAATGAATCCAGGAGCTGGTTTCTTGAAAAGATCAACAAAATTGATAGACCACTAGCAAGACTAATAAAGAAGACAAGAGAGAAGAATCAAACAGATGCAATAAAAAATGATAAAGGGGATATCACCACCGATCCCACAGAAATACAAACTACCATCAGAGAATACTATAAACACCTCTATGCAAATAAACTAGAAAATCTGGAAGAAATGGATAAATTCCTCGACATATACACTCTCCCAAGACTAAACCAGGAAGAAGTTGAATCTCTGAATAGTCCAATAACAGGCTCTGAAATTGAGGCAATAATTAATAGCTTAACAACCAAAAAGATTCCAGGACCAGATGGATTCACAGCCGAATTCTACCAGAGGTACAAGGAGGAGCAGGTACCATTCCTTCTGAAACTATTCCAATCAATAGAAAAAGAGGGAATCCTCCCTAACTCATTTTATGAGGCCAGCATCATCCTGATACCAAAGCCTGGCAGAGACACAACAAAAAGAGAATTTTAGACCAATATCCCTGATGAACATCGATGCAAAAATCCTCAATAAAATACTGGCAAACTGAATCTAGCAGCACATCAACAAGCTTATCCACCATGATCAAGTGGGCTTCATCCCTGGGATGCAAGACTGGTTCAACATACGCAAATCAATAAATGCAATCCAGCATATAAACAGAACCAATGACAAAAACCACATGATTATCTCAATAGATGCAGAAAAGGCCTTTGACAAAATTCAACAACCCTTCATGCTAAAACCTCTCAATAAATTCGGTATTGATGGGACGTATCTCAAAATAATAAGAGCTATTTATGACAAACGCACAGCCAATATCATACTGAATGGGCAAAAACTGGAAGCATTCCCTTTGAAAACTGGCACAAGACAGGGATGCCCTCTCTCACCACTCCTATTCAACATAGTGTTGGAAGTTCTGGCCAGGGCAATTAGGCAGGAGAAGGAAATAAAGGGTATTCAATTAGGAAAAGAGGAAGTCAAATTGTCCCTGTTTGCAGACGACATGATTGTATATCTAGAAAACCCCACTGTCTCAGCCCAAAATCTCCTTAAGCTGATAAGCAACTTCAGCAAAGTCTCAGGATACAAAATCAATGTACAAAAATCACAAGCATTCTTATACACCAACAACAGACAAAGAGAGAGCCAAATCATGAGTGAACTCCCATTCACAACTGCTTCAAAGAGAATAAAATACTTAGGAATCCAACTTACAAGGGATGTGAAGGACCTCTTCAAGGCGAACTACAAACCACTGCTCAAGGAAATAAAAGAGGATACAAACAAATGGAAGAACATTCCATGCTCATGGGTAGGAAGAATCAATATTGTGAAAATGGCCATACTGCCCAAGGTAATTTATAGATTCAGTGCCATCCCCATCAAGCTACCAATGACTTTCTTCACAGAATTGGAAAAAACTACTTTAAAGTTCATATGGAACCAAAAAAGAGCCCGCATCGCCAAGTCAATCCTAAGCCAAAAGAACAAAGCTGGAGGTGTCACACTACCTGACTTCAAACTATACTACAAGGCTACAGTAACCAAAACAGCATGGTACTGGTACCAAAACAGAGATACAGACCAATGGAACAGAACAGAGCCCTCAGAAATAATGCCACATATCTACAACTATCTGATCTTTGACAAATCTGACAAAAACAAGCAATGGGGAAAGGATTCCCTATTTAATAAATGGTGCTGGGAAAACTGGCTAGCCATATGTAGAAAGCTGAAACTGGATCCCTTCCTTACACCTTATACAAAAATCAATTCAAGATGGATTAAAGATTTAAACGTTAGACCTAAAACCATAAAAATCCTAGAAGAAAACCTAGGCAATACCATTCAGGACATAGTCGTGGGCAAGGACTTCATGTCTAAAACACCAAAAGCAATGGCAGCAAAAGCCAAAATTGACAAATGGGATCTAATGAAACTAAAGAGCTTCTGCACAGCCAAAGAAATTACCATCAGAGTGAACAGGCAACCTACAAAATGGGAGAAAATTTTTGCAATCTACTCATCTGACAAAGGGCTAATATCCAGAATCTACAATGAACTCAAACAAATTTACAAGAAAAAAACAACCCCATCAACAAGTGGGCGAAGGATATGAACAGACAATTCTCAAAAGAAGACATTTATGCAGCCAAAAGACACATGAAAAAATGCTCATCATTACTGGCCATCAGAGAAATGCAAATCAAAACCACAATGAGATACTATCTCACACCAGTTAGAATGGCGATCATTCAAAAGTCAGGAAACAACAGGTGCTGGAGAGGATGTGGAGAAATAGGAAGACTTTTACACTGTTGGTGGGACTGTAAACTAGTTCAACCATTGTGGAAGTCAGTGTGGTGATTCCTCAGGGATCTAGAACTAGAAATACCATTTGACCCAACCATCCCATTACTGGGTATATACCCAAAGGATTATAAATCATGCTGCTATAAAGACATATGCACACGTATGTTTATTGCGGCACTATTGACAATAGCAAAGACTTGGAACTAACCCAAATGTCCAACAATGATAGACTGGATTAAGAAAATGTGGCACATATACACCATGGAATACTATGCCTCCATAAAAAATGATGACTTCGTGTCCTTTGTAGGGACATGGATGAAGCTGGAAACCATCATTCTCAGCAAACTATCGCAAGGACAAAAAAACCAAACACCGCATGTTCTCACTCATAGGTGGGAATTGAACAATGAGAACACATGGACACAGGAAGGGGAACATCACACACTGGGGCCTGTTGTGGGGTGGGGGGGCAGGGGGGAGGGATAGCATTAGGAGATATACCTAATGTAAATGACGAGTTAATGGGTGCAGCACACCAACATGGCACATGTATATATATGTAACTAACCTGCACGTTGTGCACATGTACCCTAAAACTTAAAGTATAATAATAAAAAAAAAAAACTGGAGAGTTAACAAAATGGAAAAAAAAGCACTGTTTTATCCAAACCTTACAAGGTAGTATATGTCGCTCTCAAAATCCATGATCAATTCTAAGACTGTATCTCAGATGGCACTTCTTTTCTTCAGTTTGAATATTTACTTATTTAGCTGGAAGCTATGGTTTTTCCTCATATCATTAACCCACTAAAAGGATATTTGTTGAATTTGCAACAAGTTGACAAGCTGTACAGTTTCCAAGGCTAAACGTAATGTTTTCATTGGTTCTCTTTTTTTTTTTAAAGTAAGCAATGGGCCCCTAATAACATAGTAGCTATAAATTAATAAACAGAGCACAAGTTTTAATCCAGGCACAGTTAACTAGCCAGGCTATCTCTTCTGCATTCTACTTTAAAACAAATTCTGGTTATTGTCACTTCATCTCCTCCCTAGACCTAGCCTCTAGATCAGTTCTCCACCTTTCTCTCCCCTCTCTGTGCCCGGGAACAGTATGGTCCATTCCCTGCCCTCTGGCTTCTTGTTGAGTTCCTCTAACAGGAGGCACCAGTAGAAGATCCGAGCTAGAGGAGGTAAGTCCAGGGTCTGACCCCCTCCACTCCTCTGTACTTCAGAGTCTGGTGGTTCTGACAGAAGCTGGTTCTCCAATGGCACATCTCTTACTACTGCTCCCGCTGGGTGGCTCCAACTCCTCTTCCCGCTTCCCAAAGTGAATCAAAGCTTTTTACTGTAAATAGTTCCTGGTTGCCTTAACAACCCTTATTTGTTCGTTTATTTCTGTCTACACTTCTGTAAATAGTGCTTTGTTACATTTGTTAACTTCTCTCCAGAGTATGCCTTATGTGTCCTGCTGGGTCCCTCAGTGATACCGGCATGACTTGGGATGAAGAGCACAAGGCACCGCTCAGGCCAGGGAAGTCCCTTATCAGCACCTGTGAGGTGTGCCCTGGCTTTGAAAGAGCAATGGTGTTCACTTCTAGTGTCTGAGAACCACCTGGAGAGCTTATTAAAAATGCAGATTCAAGGAAAGACTAAAAAACTATCGCAGATCCAAGGAGACTAAGGAGATATGAGGACTAAATGTAATGTGATAGCCTGGATTAAACAGAAAAAAGGGCAGTAGTGGAAAAATTGGTGAAATCTGAATAGTCTGTAGCTTGGTTCGTATTACTATACCAATGTTTATTTATTAATTTTGACAAATTATTTGGTCTATAAGAAGTTAGAAAAAGCTGGGTGAAGGAAATACAGGAACTCTTTGTACTACATTTGCAACATTTTGTTTCAACATTTGCAATATTTCTGTAAATATAAAATTATTCCAAGATAAAATGTTTACTAAGGGGAAAAGAAGCAGATTCTCAGGTGCCTGAATCCGAATTTCATCAGTTGATACATAAGCATGTGGCTTGAGGACTGAACCTTGAAAAGTACAGCTCTAAAGGACTTGGAAAATGTTAGCTCTGGTAGGGATAAGGTTGGAAACAATTGTTTGCTGACGCTAAACTACAGCATGATTACTTGACTATTTAAAGAAAAATGCCAAATGCAGCTTTGTCAAGGATCACCTTCTATTCCAGTTAATTAGAATGATTCATCCCTCGACCAGTTGCTGAATTTATTTTCATCCATAAAAACACTTGTATGTAGGTGCAGGTAATTATAGAACCAAACAAAGACAATGACACTAGAGTCCTTCTACTTCCTCCTCCCTCTGAGATTAAGGTTTTTTGCAGTGCATGTCCACACCCTCCCCCAAACTTTGAGTTTCCAAGAAGGCAGGGCCAACCAAACAGACTGACAGTGACTTTACTCATCATTTTCATGGTGGGTGTTCTGTTTCTGAGTACACTTTGAGCTCCCTGAAGGCAGGAGCTAGATTTTCAGTTTCTTTTGTGCTTTTCTACAGCCATTCAGTGTCCTTTAGCCAGTGCTTTTGGCAAATCAGCAACCTAAGCTTCCCCCTCTATACCCATATTTTTGCCTATTTATTGTAGATATAATTCTTCCATTCAACATTTTCTATGCCTTTGGCATGTGTAAGAGGTGGGATAAGCAGAGGTGAAAATGTTGACATTATTACTTGTTTCTTAGCAATGTTAATCGAGCACCTATTATGTGCTGGCCATTATTCTAGTCACTGAGGATCCAAAAATAAATAAGAGGACCTCCACCTTCAAGGAGCTGAAAGTCAAATCAAGGAGACAGACAAGCAAGCAGACAATTCCCAAACAATCTATGAGCTCTCCGTTCCCATACTCATACTTGGCCCATCATGACTGAGCAACCCTTAGGGACAGGAATAGGTTCTAGTTCTAGGTCTGCCACTGGTAAGAACTGATTTTTTTAAAAGGCACAAACTCTAAAATAATTAAGAATGTGCCACTCCAAAATATGCTGTTCTGGCATATTGATGACTCTGAATTAAAGGCAGTTAAAAAAAAAAAAAAAAAAGACATGCAAGATCATTCTGGCCTTCCTTCTGTTTCTTAAAAGCAGGAGATAAAACTCCCAGGTGAAAAAAATGTCCTCCTTATACCAGAAGGAAAGCAACATTCCTAACATCAAGGAAAAGAAGTTGAGGCCAATAGAAATCTGTACAAACAAACCTTGATAAACTCACCCTTATTTTCCTAGTTGCTTCTCTACCCAATTAACTACCCCAGACCAAGCCCCTTTGCCTTGACACCGTTTCACAATTTACTAGTCTTTGTCCAATTCAGTGTAGAAGTAACTGATTCTTACTGCTTCTTTGGGTCTTCATTTCCTTGTAAGGGCCCCTAGGCCACATAAAACTTGTATTAAATAGATTTGGGTTTCTCCTGTTTATCTGAATTCCCAAGCCCAGCTACCACCCCCACCTCCACCCCCGCCCCCCTACACACACACACACACACACACACACACACACACACACACACACACACACAAGCCCTAAAAGGGAAGAGGAAAAGTTTTGTCTCTCCTATACCTTCAATCCTCTAATTCAAAAAATAAAAAAGTGGAGAAGGGTAATTTTTAAAAAATATCTGTCTCTCTGCCTCACGGCATTGTTACTCCATTGTGGCTCAAATAACAATGGATGTAAAAGTGTTTTGAATACTGCCAAGTGTTATACAAATCTCAAGCAATAGAAATTAATGACTTAGACAATCCCTACCTACCAACTCTAAGGCAAAAAGCTGGTGGTCCAATGACCTTTCTATTAAGCACAAATTTCAGACAATAAGATTGTATAAAAAGCAATCCTTTCAAAGATTTAAGCTCTGTTGCTTTAGAGTTAGCAATTAATGAGAATTAGATTAACATCAAAGACCTGTGTCAGAAGGGGAGAGGTTGCCTGTGCACAAAGTGGACCTGCCATTTTATTCAGGGTAGACCTGTTTTTGTTTCCGTCTCCCTGAATAAGGAGGAAAGCTCAAGGTAGTTCAACCCTTCTCTGAAATTGGAAGAGATTTCTTAGCTGGGGTCCTTCATATTTCTATTTTATTTGAAAAGAAGCTTCCAGGTCAGAGATGAAAGAAAAGCTGCTACAAGTCAGTGCTGGAGCATATAAACCAGTGAGCAATTTTCAGCAAATATCTCATAAAAGATTATGCTTAAGAGAAGTTTTGAAGATCAGATTTGCTGTTTCAGGTAAATATACTTTTTATTCTCAGCCTGCAAGGTAGAAAATGTTCTATTGGAGCAGTTTACCGTCTTTCTGTCTGGAGAAATCGATGAGCTTCTAAGGGCTCTCTTTAGATGCCATGGTAACCACATGATTCAGGTCAAGTCTTTCATGTCTGGGATACAGCTTAAGGAATTTTAAAATGCTACCTCAGGAAAAAAGCTCTTACAGTAGGCACTGCTGGTATGTTCGAGCTGTACATGAGACACATTCACTTCAGGGGCACAGGCAACTGTAAGGCCCCACTGTGTCCCCCAGTACTGGGGAGCACTTGGGTAGCCAAGATGAATAGAAGACACTATATCGAGGGACTTACAGTGGGTGTTGTGGAGTCCTGATAAGATAAGTAAGCAACAACGAGGAAGGGGCCCCAGGTTGGGGAGGGCCCCACTGTGGGGAGAGAAATGACCAACTGTTCTGAGAAATAGCTAATCACAAACACGTAGCACCCTCCAGCAAGATGTTATAAAACTTCCCTCCAACCCTTGCCTCTTTGCACACAGCCCTTTCTCTGCTGTGCTACCCATTGCATACTTGCAACATATTTGCATACTTTCTCTAACAAATCTGCCTTTCTTTACCTACAACTGTCTTGGTAAATTCCTTTACTGCCCTTGCCACTGACCCCAAATAGTTGCTACCCCCAACAGGTGTGGTGCCCAGGGATCAGCAATTATAAAATATCCAAGAATATAGAGTAATTATGACATCATAAAGTCTGAGCTTTTTAAATTTGGTTTTTTAATTAAAATTTTATTCTCTAGTTTTCACTGTGACTTCAACTATAAAAGTCTTTCATGAGGATTACATTGGTTAAATATAAACATGAGAATAAGTTGAGTGTTGAGCAGGAAAACAGTAACAGGATCAGAAAGAAGTTTAAGCTGTTCATTTGGGCCTTCAAATACACTTAGCCTGAAAAACCAGGAAGAGTAAAAGGAGAGCTGTCGGCCTGTGGGAAAGAACAGCAACTTTGGCTTTACTGGTAAGGCAAAATCACCTCCAGCCTGTGGGTCTCTCTGACGTTTCCCTAGAGATAACAATTTTCCTTTACTTAAAAGTAATGAACAATTATCAGGTGATGGGGACTTCCTCTTCTTCATTGTGTTTGTGGGTGTTTATACCACATAAGATTACATCAGGAAACACTTTGGAGGTCACCATACACACTAACCAATGAGCAACTCAATCATTTCTATATATGTACAAGAAAGTTGATAATTTCAACCAAATGATCTTCATATATCCCATGAATAAGCTGTGAATTTCTTCAGGGAAGGATACACAAGAGAAATGTCACGTCTGGTTCCTTTTTAATCATGTAGTTGAGGAGGCAAAGACAGACCCACAGGAAACATGGACAAGAGACATTGTTTGATCTCTCTTGAAACTTACCTACTCTTCATTTCTTTCTTGACCTCACGGAGTCCTCTTTGACTTCTACCCATCCACCATATCCATTAACCACTTTCTCCAACTTTATGGTCAACCCCTACTCCCCCAACACAGACACAAATACACCTTGGTCTCCTTCCTTCTGTGCCCAATCTGAGAACGTTATGAACTCTCCATAGATCCTCAATATTCTTCTCCTCTTATCTTTTCAACCCTGGATCAATCCTGCATTCTTTACTCTCTGTTCCAACACTGATAACTCCAGGAGAAAAGCTACATCTTCCTCAAAGATCCCTTCGAGGAAGTCACGAGGTCTCACTTGAGAATGTTAACTTCCCAGCTAGGCTGTAAGTTTCTTGAGGACAGAAACTGTGTCCCATACTTCTTTGTTAAGACCAAGGGTACCCCTGAAGGCTCAATAAATCTTTGATGCAATGAATTAATGTCAGAAATAAGGAACTAGAAAGGTCAGTGCTCATTTGACAATCTTATGTATAAAACTTTCCTACCTAGTTTATGTGTAAATAAACACATAAAGTAGGTATGTGCTATTCCAAAATAATTCAAATTATTGAATTGAATTATATTCAAATTATAGCCTCAGAAGGGACTGCTACCTAAAAATCAGCATGTAAAAATTATTCTGTGGATTTCAGAGTTGTAAAACTCTTCAAATTTATCTTATAACTCAAAATATTTTCTAATTTAAGATCATCCTTCCTGTTAGTTAAAGCAGTGTAGTGAGATCTTACTATACTATATGAGAAACCACATTTAAAGTTTCACCAAATGGAAATTCATCTTCAGGTCCTATTTGTATCTCTCCCATGGAAAAACAAAAGGGTCTTTCCATGTTCGTCAGAAAGGCAAATATCAAAGGAATCCTGAAATATCTCATTTCAGGGAGAAGAAAGTCAACATTCTAATGAGGCAATGGCCACTGTGAGGTGTAAAGTTTCAATGGGACATTGCCCCGAAGGAGTCCTGGGTACTTTGAGTCCACACTGGGAATGCAGAATGCTCTTCCCTTAAGTCAGTGGCAAACTGGTCTCAGCTGTTGTGGGGACAACTGCTCTGCCAAGCAAACTGTGCTGCAGGTCATCAACCTCATACCAGCTTGGCAGGAACAAGCCCGAATGTCACCTGATTCTCCTACAAATGTAATAATATCCAACAAGCAACTGATTGGACAGCACACGATGTCATTTTCTCTAATTAAGGAACTCTCAAGAAAAACCAAAATAGCCACAGAGCACTGTCAGCAAAGCAATCAGTGGCAACAATTAGCTGTCAACTCCAACTCCCGGGCTGAGCCTTGGGTAGGGAGCTGGGCTAATTGCTAAGAGTTTCCAAATCAGCATTACATCAGGAGTCAAAGACGACAAGGACGTAAGGAGAGGCCAGAGCCTGCTACACACCAACAGCGCCTGCCTCAAACACTCCTCTAGTGCGGGGAGTAGCGGGATGTGTAATCACAGGAGCTACTGCCCAGTCATCTGCATTTGCTTGTTTGTTTGTTTCTTGAGAAGCAATGCAGAGGGATCTAATGATGAATCATGCAGTGAGCTTCTGAAACAGCTGAAGGCCTAGTGGCTGTGGTCCTTGCTGTTTCTTTACCCTGAGTCACCCTTCCTCTTTACCTGAAACAAGTCTACCCATTCTTTAAGATCTATAAGCAGTTCATGCCCATCTCCTTTAAAAGGGCTTCAGGACTGCAAAACACACATGAATTTTCCCTTTTCTCAGCTCCCATAGCAGATCACCACATTGCAAGGTCATTAGTAGCAGGAGTTGAGTAAACATATAAAGCAACTAATATAATACAGTTGTCACAATATGTAATAATATATAACAATCAGATATTTTTATATATACACACATACACTCACACACACACACAAATATATACCCTCACACACATACATACATAAGTATTAGAGGAAGCATCATTCTCTCCTTCTCAACATTCCTACTACCTAGGCACATAAAACAAAAACGTTTATCTTCTTGAAACTACTAGAAGGTGATTCTTCTACCTCACTACATCCCTCCATGCTCCCTCAAGGGAGTGAATTGAATTGCTGGCCTGAGAGTGTATAAGCACATGGTGGTCTAGGTACCTCCCCTTTTCTCTATTTCTGGTCTCAGCAGCTCATATTTTTCTTTTCCATGAAAGAAGATCTCAGCAATCAAAGTAATAGGAGATGTCATTGTAGATGAACCTGTTCATAATTTAAGCTCATTCTCCAATACAGCAGCACTGGTCCTACTGCTAATCTTTACCTCCCTGTTGGTCTGATGTCTACATTTAGTTCTCCATCCATAGCAAGCCCAGCCCCAATGGATTTAGCAGAAAGAATATGCCCAACTTAAAGACACATTTCTCATCCTCCTTTGCAGCTAAGGGTGACCATTGAGATTGTGCTGGAATTCACTGGCCAGGGCAACCAGAACAACTCTTTACCTGGGCTGACTCCACTGGGAGGCATGACCTCGTGCCCTTCTCTGGCTACCTGCTTGGAACACATATGTAATGGTCCCAAATTGAACAAGATATGTTAAAAAAAAAATTAATGATGTTGCCAGATGTTTTGACTTCATGTCTCTCACTAAGTGGGGAAAGGAATGAGTTTAAAATACCTGAGTCCAAAAACAAAAGGAAAGACAAAAGGAGAGCAGGTGCTTTAATCCAGAAATCACGGCTAGCATTTTCTATGGAATTAAAGGAAAGAGAACAGCTTAAGAATTTGGATAAATGTAAAATTAACCTTTATCAAGATTTGAGAAAACTAGAATTTTGGCAGCACACTCCCTTCACTGAATAACAAGATACTCAAAGTCAGGAAGATTAAAAAGTTGAGAGCTCTTGGCAAGAAGCTTGTCAGAGGAATGGGTCCTTGCTATGACCCTGTGGGCCAGGTTTTTGAAGCATCAATAGCAACTTCATGCAGGAACCTGTTTCTTAATCTGAGACCAATATGGAGAGGGCAGAATTGCCCTAGGAAGCAGGCTTCATGTGAGTCTCTGTCCATTTGGGCTGCTATAATAAAATACCATAGACTGCATGGCTTATAAGCAACATTTATTGCTCACAGTTCTGGAGGCTGGGAAGTCTCAGATCAAAGTGCCAGCAGATTCGGAATCTGGTGAGGGTCCTATTCCTGATTTATAGAATGGTGCCTTCCTGCTATGTCCTCACATGATGGAAGGGGCAAAATTCCCATAGGTTTCTTTTATTAGGGCATGAATTCCATTCATGAGGGCCCCACTTTCATGATCTAATCACCTCCCAAAGGCTCTCCCTCTTAAAACCATCTCTTTGGGGGTTGGGTTTCAACATATGAATTCTGGGGGGTATACAAATGTTCCCATCACAGCAATAGGTCTAAAAAGAAATCTCTTTATGAGAGAAAGCACCAGAAAATTCCCTGCTACAAGAAAGAGTTAATGTTTTTAAATGCTAGGAGCACAGAGCTCAAAAAAAAAAGTTGAAAAGTAATAAGTTTTAAATAAGCATATCAATGATAATTGTTCAACTAAATTGATAATTTAACTAGAAAATGCATTTAAATGCCTTAATTCTGTGCACTATACCCCCCACCCCACCAGGTTTTCCTTACAGTAGAGTTACCTTCACAATATTTTGACTTTGAAAGTTTTTAATCTCATTAAATACAAAGTCGACTGCAAAAAAACACAGAAGCCATGATTACATAAAACACTGCATCTAGTGCATTCTAGACATTCTAGTACACAAGAATTACTCGGGGATCTTGTTCAAATGCAGATTCTGATTCATCAGGTCTGAGATGGGACCTGTGATTCTCCATTTCTAACAAGATCTCAGTGGGTGCAGATGCTGCTGGCCCCTGGACCACCCTTTGAATACCAAGGGTGTACATGGTTAATATAAGCAAGCTGAAAGTTGAGGTGATGCTCCCGAGATGGCTAGGAAATCAATAAGTTGTGGAATTAGAATGATGTACTTCTCGACCCATAGACATCAGTAGTCCTTCTTTAAGATCTTTCATTGTGTACTCCTCTTCTGAGAAGCTGCAAACTTCTCCAGAATGCCCATTCTACTGTCTCATTTTTGTATTTTTTTTCATTTTTCTCTCTTTCTCATCACCCTATCTTGAAGGTATTTATGGCAGGGAGAAGCCAATCTTCCTCTCCCCCTTACCCCAGACCTCAGAATAAAGCTATTCTATTGCAACATTCCTGCCATTGTAGCCATGTATTTCCTGCAAAGGAACAAAGAAAAATGCCCAACACAGCCAACCCAAGAAAAGAATAAAATTAAAGTCCTCTCAGTTTTCCTATTAAGTTTTAGATTGTGGTTTTATTGCCTTCTTTTGATTTGGTTTCCATTCATTTTTGACTGGCAATTGTATTTACAACCAAAATTTTCCTTTAAGCCAGTGACTCTTAAAAAGTTGCAACACAGTTCTACATCCATGTAAGATACAGAAAACCACAGAGAACATCACTCTCATCCTAACAACAAGAAAAGCTTCATAATCAACAAAATAATACTTGTATTGAACTCATTAGAGAGCTAAGGACACAAGGCAACGAAGTGAACTGAGTTTACCAAGAGTGGCATGCCCTTCCAAGGAGAAAGGGGTCACACAAACTGTCCCCTTTGGCAGGGCATAGTAGGAAGAGGCAGCCATCATGAAAGCAGGAATAAGAAAACAGCTAAAATGTTAATGAATTTCTAAAGGGCAAGTGTGGGCTAGTATGACAGTATCCCTGGGAGCCTCAGAAACATGAGATGAGCCCCAGCTCTCTCTCAAGCTTGTTCCCAGGGTTCTGCAATGAACACTCATTAAAAAGAAGAAGGGTGGGGCTGGAGACTGGGGAGTTCTCCTTTTAGTAGGGCACAGGCAAGAAACTCCATCTACCTCCCAAACTTCATTTCATATTAAGCAAAAGCTTTCAACAACTGGTAGAGAACCAAAACATCTTCCTAGCCCCAAGGTCCAAGCAAAAATCCACTGATTCTTGGAAAGGGGTACAAGCAAAAGCCTGCCATCTGCCCTAAGGGAAGGACAAGAAACTTGCAGGTCCAGGATCCTGTGCTGACACAAATAAGAGGTCTGTTACCAGTAAGGGAGGGGCAAGAAACTCTCTCCCACACAAAACACTCCACAGATACAAGGCAAAGGTTGGCTGCCTTGAAGAGAAGCAGGAACACTAACAAAGCCCCACTCCCAAGGCCCAGAAACATAAGGCCTACCTAAGACTGAGGCTAGCCCAGGTGAACTGAGAACTCACCACCACTACCACAGCTCTGCCTAGTACAATGAACAAGAGCAATCTACTGCTAGCAGACGAGCACAAACATGAAGAAAGAGGTCCCCTTTGTGGAGCAAGGATGAAGAGTTTGCTGAAAACTGAGGATGGAGCTTAGACATGGAGAAAAACCCTCTGGCATGCCAAGCATAAGGTCACTGCAGTCCACCACTGGAGAACTTTGGAGTCTGTTACACTGAAGGTAACTATGGCAATCACAAATTCAACTCCATCCAAACTCAATACTAATTACCAATCTTGTTAACTACTAATAAGATTGACTCAACCCTTCATATCAACAATCTTACAGAAGAAAAAATATACCCAATTCTGAGTAACAATATTATTTACTTTATTATCTACTGCTCTTCTACAAACACTGTCCAACATGCAATCAAAATTACAAGACACTCAAAAAAGCAAAAACAAAAACAAAAAAACCCTCACCTCATTGTCAAAATAAAGCAATCAACAGAGCTGGAAAGAGAGATGGCCTGGATGTGAGAACAATCAGAGACTTTAAAATAGCCATGATTAATATGTTAAAGGCTCTCATGGAAAAGGAAGATAAAATGCAAGAAAAGATAAAGGATCTTAGATGAGAGAGAGAAACTATAGAAAATAAACAAACTTAAAGATAGATTAATAGAAATTTTATCCAAATTGAAATCGAAAGAGAAAGAATTTTTTTAACAAAAAGATCATGCAAGAGCTGTCAAACAGTATAAAATGGTCTAATATGCGTATAATTGGAGTACCAAACAGGGGAGAGAAAGATAGAGGTGTCAAAGTAATTAAAATGGGAAAAGAGTAGCTTTTTCAATATGTGATGCTCAAAAATTTAGACATCCATATAAAAAGTTATTCTTGACCCTTATCTCACAAAAGACATAAAAATTACCTCAAAATGGATCATAAAACTAAATATAAAGCTTAAAGCTTTAAAATTTCTAAAAAAAAAAATAAGAAAATCTTTGCATCCTTCATTTTAGCAAAGATTTCCTAAATAGTACTTAAAACTACTCTTCCAGGCTGAGCGCGGTGGCTCACGCCTATAATACCAGCACTTTGGGAGGCCAAGGTGGGTGGATCACCTGAGGTCAGGTGTTTGAGACCAGCCCTGTCTCCACTAAAAATGCAAAAATTAGCCGGGTGTGGTGGTGGGCACCTGCAGTCCCAGCTACTCGGGAGGCTGACGCAGGAGAATTGCTTGAATCTGGGAGGCGGAGGTTGCAGTGAGCCAAGATAGCACCACTGCACTCCAGCCTGGGTGACAGAGCAAGACTCCGTCTCAAAAAACAAAACAAAACAAAACAAAGTACTCTTCCATTTTTAAAAATTGATAAACTGAAATTCACCAAAATGTAAAACTTTCTACTCTTTGAATGAGACTTTTAGGACTTTTAAAGAAACAAACTAGAGACTGAGAAAAAGTATTTGCAAAGCACATATTTAATAAAGAGTTTGTATCCAGAATATATTCTAATTAGCTACATATCATTAAGACAAATAATTTTTAAATGGGTGAATGATTTGAACAGACACTTTATCAAAGAAGATACGCAGATGGCAAAGTAGGACATGAAAAGGTGTTCAATGTCATTAGGGAAATGAAAATTAAAGCTACGATGAGATAATGTTATACGCTCAAATTGCTAAAATTACAAACAATGATAATACCAAGTGCTAGAGGAGCTGTGGAACAACTGAAACTTTCATATATTGCTGATTGGAATGTAAAATGGCACAGTCATTTTGGAAACAGTTTGGGGGATTTTTAAAAATAGTGTTTAACATATACTTGCTATGCTTTCCATATGATACAATAATCCCACTCCTAGTAATTTACCCAAGAGAAAGGAAAACATATGTCCACACAAAGGCCTGTTCATGAATGTTTGTAGCAGCTTTATTCCTAGTAGCTAAATACTATAAACAACCCAAATCTTCATCATTTGGGGAATGGATAAACTTGTGGTATACCACACAATGGAATTCTTCTACTCAACAATACAAAGGAACTAACCACTGATACTTATAACAGCATGGATGAATCTCAAAAAAAATGCGCCAAGTGAAAAAATCTGAAACAAAGGCCACGTAGTATGTGAGGCCATTTATATATTCTGGAAAAAAGAGAAACCAGAGAGCCACATCCAGATTGTGGTTGTCAAGGGCTAGAGGTAGAGGGAGTAGATTTACTATAAAGGTGCACACTTTCAAGTGTTAGATACATTCTACCTCTTGATTGTGAGGTAAAACAATGATTACATACATTTTTCAAAATGCATCAAACCATGTATTTTAAGAGAATGAATTTTACCATGTGTTAATCATACCTCAGTAACCCTAACCAAAATAGACACATAGTGCTATGGCAAAAGAATGGTGCTTGGTCAACTGGATCTTCACGTGGAAAAAAATTAACTTTGACCTTGTACTTCACACCATGTACAATGAAATCAATTCCAGACATATTATAGATTGAAATGTAAAGGTAAAATAATATATGAAATTCATAAAATAATGAACTTCTGTTCATAAAAAAGAGTAAAAAGGTAAACCACAGAAAAAGAGAAGATATTTGTAACACATACATCCTACCAAGGATATATCTAAAATATATATTATTAAAAATGCCTACAACTCAATAAGAAAGACAATTTAATTTTTAAAACAACCCAATTTTTTCACATTTTTAAGACCTGAAGGGGCTTCTCACAAAATAAGATACCCAAATGGCCAATTAATATATGAAATGGTGCCCCACCTCATTAGTCTATAAGGAAATGCAAATTTAAACAATATGATGTTACTACATACCCACCAGAAGAGCTTAACTAAAAAAACAAAAACAGAAAACACCTTGTTTTGGAAAATATGTGGACTAATTAGAACCCTCATACACTCCTGATTGTGGCATAAATTTTTAAATTGATACACCATTTTTGAAAACTGTTTGATAGTATCTACTAAAGCTGAACATATGCCTGCCTTATGATCCAGAAATTCCCCTCCTGCATATGTATTCAACAGAAATACGTATATGTAACTAAAAACATAACAAAACTGACTCAAGAAGAAATAGAAAACCTAAATAAATCAGAAACTAAATCAGTTAGTAAAATTTCTTTCCTCAAAGAAAACATCTGGCCCAAACTGTTTTACTGTCAAGTTCCACCATACATTTAAGTAGCAAGTAATTCCAGTATTTTGAAAACCATTCCTGACAAGGAATATCGCAGAAAGATTTTAGTCAATCTCATTTATGACTAAAACTTAGCAAATTAAATCTAGCTAAGTATAGAAAAGATAACACATCATTACGAAGTTGGTTTTATCTCAGCAATGCAAGGTAGCTTAACATTAGAAAATCCATTAATGTAAACTAAAATTAACAAATGAAAGCATAAAAATCATTTGATCATCTCAGTGGATATAGAAAAGCATTTAATAAAATTCAACATGTATTTATAATAGAGACTTTTAGCAAACTAGGAATAGAAGAGAACATCTTAAGGTGATAATGAATATTTTAAAACTACTTCCATCAAATGAATGTACCATAATTAATTTAATACAATTTGCCTAGTGTTGGATATTTATATTCTCTCCTTTTCATTTTGTATTATTTTACTATCATAATGTATGCTGTGATGAACATTTTTGTGCATGTCAAGTTGCCAGTGCCTCAATTTCCTCATGTATAAGATGGAAATAAGACTCATAAGG
This sequence comes from Homo sapiens, assembly GCF_000001405.40. NCBI lineage: Eukaryota > Metazoa > Chordata > Mammalia > Primates > Hominidae > Homo > Homo sapiens. The sequence goes on from NC_000008.11 coordinate 102,020,134, forward strand.
CTAAAATGAGGATTACATAGAATGTTAGGCTTATGTATGTCTTAGGGAATCTTGGAAGAAAAGTGTTGTTTACAAACCTAAGAAAAACTTGTTCTATACTTACCTAGTGGTAGATCTCTCACAGCACACTGCAGGCTCAAGTCAGAAGAAATCACTCTGTCAAAAATAAAAGTATTGTCTTAGCTTATCAGGAACTAGGAAGAATAATTAAAAAGTCTAAATACATCTAATAGATGTATTTATAGATCTGTTAATATACATAAAATACAAATTTTAAGTCTTAGCATTGTATCACACTTTAATATGCCACTATTTCTTTATTATTGGTTCTACATTGGTTCTGATTGTTTCTAAAATCGGAATATAATATCTGCAGAATGCAATCAGTGATGGGGATTATTGCTTGCTCCAGGATTCCCTTGTATCATTTGCTATTGTCCGCTTATCCCACTTCAATCCCACTAATCAAGTGAGTATGACTACTACCATGCTTGCTTCATCTGACTGTGATATACAGCACTTCAGTTTTGCACAGTAGTCAGAGTGATCATTCTAAAATCTAAGCATAACATTCTTCTCCTGGAACCCCTTCCACAACTTTCTCTTCCCTGTGGATAAAAGCCAAACTCCTTGCCATGACATCTAAGGCACTTCATCATTTAACATCTGCCTACTTTTCTAGCCTCATCTCTCATCTCTGTACCATTGCCTGAGCTCCAGCTACTTCACACTTCCTTCAGTTCCTCCTCACCCCTTGCCAGCTCCCAGCGTTCATACACACTGCTCCCTTGGCCAGGACCACCTTTCTTCCTTCCCCACTCACCTCCACCTGACTAACTCCTACTTGTCCTTCCATTCTCCACTTAAGTGTTGCTCCTCCAGTCAAGTCATCTGCTACACTTGACCATCTTAAGCTCATTTATTAACACTCCCAAAGAACACTGCATTTTTTCTTTTGTAACATCATATATACAAATATACATTCAGTATTTCTTGTCTTCCCTGTAAGTTCACAGATCATGTCTGTGTCTTTCACAGCTGGATCCTCAATGCCTAGACCAGGACTGGTCTCACAGAAGAAGTTTAATAAATATTTATTGAGCAAAAGAATTAATAGAGCTATCCTCAGTCCTTAGCTTTCCAATTCATCTTTTGATTCATATTGATAATTTAATAAGCTTCCTACCATATTTCATTAATCAGGACTCACTCATTGTAGAAACAATACTATTTTATATACCAATTATAAAGAAAGAAATGGCACATTATAGTGTGATACAATGCTAAGACTTAAAATTTTTATTTTATACATATTAAAAGAGCTCTATTGGACATTTTTGGATTTGTATGATGCCCATAAAAAAGGAAAATATAAAGGTATAAGTGAAATAAATTGGCTTACGTATTCACATCCAGAACCACAGTATTAACAGGGTACCAGGCTGAGGTGGGTGGGGGTCAATCAGCCCATAGGCCTCTAGCCACGCCCTGGCACCAGGTGCCTCCACCATGGTGGAAGAGACACTTTCTGACCTTCCACTAGCCCGGTGAATGACAGTGTACTCCCAGCAGAGACTCTTCTCCCTAACTACTTTTTTGTCCTATTAAAATACCATTTTTAAGGACACAGTTTTTTGATACATAGAAGTTTCTTAGGCATGAGCCGTCACATTGAAGTAGAGAGGATGGGAGTGCCAGAGGTCTCCTAATCCCCATCCAGCACTCTAGGACTCAGGATCTCAGGTTGGAAATACTCAACCATGTCTGGGAACATGAGGAGGAAAGAGACACAACCGGAAAAGCCATAGCCCTCTCTGTGACTCAGTTTCCTCATCTGTAAAATGGACATACAGAATTAGATGATGTATTTGTACAGGGTCCCAGCAGAAAAGAGATGATACACTCAAATTGGAGCTTCAGTGCAGGGGACTATTTACAGGGCGTGAACAGGGTTAAGGGAACCACCAAGAGGTGGTGATGCAGGTGCCTCCCATTGGCCAAATCCAAATAGAAACCAGAGGTCGGGGAGCCCATTGATGGGATCCATGGAGACCAGCCTCCCTGGATCCAGAACAGTATGGAAAAGGGGGAGGGTGGGTCTGAAAGAACAAATGGAGACTCCCCAGCACAGATCATCTCTGAGTCCCCACAGAACTGAATAATCCAGTATTCTATGATCATTTCAGTAAAGCATTAAGCTTTGCAATAGCAAGAAGAGATTTATGTTTATTCCAAATACTTGAGGAAAACCCACCAGGATGCAATTTTTCATCATTCCATGTGCTTAGCTCAGATGACTGCACTCTCTTGCAGTTCTTGGAAATGGTTCAGATTGAGAACACTGCACTATACAGACCCTGTTTTTCTCTAATTGAGCTCTTAAAATGTAGGGGGATTCTGTTTTGAGCTAGTATTGAGGTGTCCCCTCTGGTCTCATCCTCCAGATCCTTTTCTTTTCAGAAACAGGTTCCTGCAGTGTCCACTACCTTACAGAAAACAGGTTCCAGCAGGAGCAAAGCAAAGGCTTTGACTTTCTAAGCCAAGCCCTTAGAGTCTCAGAACATAATCAACATGATGAACTAGAGCAATACTTACCACCCTTCCCACACATCCAGACCAAAAACCATTCTTTTCTGCTGGAAGAAGGTATGGAGAGAAAGGTAGAACTGTGTAGTCATTGTGGTTCCCGAGAAAGAGGCTTCCAGTGAATCCATTTGCCCCCATCCAAGCCAGTAAATGGTAAGCACCACATGTGTTCTTGTCCTCTTTCCCCCTCACAACTCATTTTTAGAACTCTCATTCTTTCCCTTGACTGGGCCAGTGCTCCAGGTATCACCCACCCCATCTCACACCCTCCCTTCAGTGGCAACCAAGTCCCATCAGCACTCTCAAGTCATGGGGTGCTTGGTCCTAGAGCCAAGGTATGAGATTTGTCATTTCAAAAATCAAAGATCCTTTCAAAAATTTCATTTGAATAAATAGCTGCTTCTAAAGAAGTTCCAAGCATCACCCGCCCTGAAGGCCCAGGCAGTGACGCTGACCACAGTTTCTAGCATCTGTTCTTTCCTGAATTTAGAGATGATGCTATGCTCCAAAGCACAGAGGGTTTTGCTGTAACCATTATACTGAAGCCCAACTAGGCAACACTGGCCATTAGAGAGATGTCATACTGTGCCGTGAAAGCACTCTTAGAATAGAGAGGAATCACACTGGGTTTAGAACGAAAACTCATTTAGAATAAAACAAAAATAAGTTTTCAGAGAAAAACATCTCTTTTTTTCTTTCAAATGAGTCAGATGATTTTTACAAAGTGAATGAAGACTCTTTGATTTCTGGCAAAGACAAATAAATAAACAAAAATAAAAGGAGGAGAGAGGCTGCCCATTCCCAAGGGGGAATCTAGCAGGGGCAGGGAATTTGGTATATTGACCTTGACCAAATTGTGTAAACTCTCTGTCTCATTTTTCTCATCTGCAAAAGTGCCAGGGATTTGGATTAAAACAGTTATTGAGGTCCCTTCCAGTTCTAAGAATATATGGCCTTCAAGCTAGGAAAGGGGCTTTCCAGTTCCGAGACCAAGGATTTGCCATAGAAAAATGAAGTAAAGAAGGAAGGTCTGCCATTATCAGCCAACCAGGGCTCTAGTCTGACAAATAACAGAAAAGAAGTGTTGTGTGGATCTTGTCATCGTGGTGCCTTGACCCGTCCTAGCTGTGTTTCCGTCTCAATGATAGGATACAAATGGGCTATTCCAGGCATCTCAAGAATGCCCCAACCATAAAAGGAATTCTCCTAAGTGGCCCCTCTGTGACATTACACAGAACTCCTCTTTACATGGCAGTTTCACCCAGCTTCAGATTCAACTCTAGATGAAAATATTACAATTGGATGATTTGACAAGTGCTGAATCTAATCCTTGTTGCTCTTTTGCCAGAGTTCTTATAAAGAAGAATGCCAGATGTTGTACTTGTATATTTCATGCGTAACTGAATGGGAAAAAAACAGAACACAGCAAACCTAATTGTAATATTTAACTGTTTTTGACAACCCACAATATAAACATACCAGAAATACCATATTTTCAAAACTGTGGCAAAGTCAAATGTCTCTCAAACACACACAAAAAAGCCTGTCATGAGTAATTCCGAATAAAGCAATCTGTCAGTTGTAAAATGCAAGTACTCCTTTATAAATAGTTTGCATGCTTCCAACTTGCTTAATAAATACCATGTTAATAGATCAAAAATATTCAGAGAGAACTTCTTCAAGCCCAGGAAACATGAACTAATCAGTTGCTTATGTAACATCAGGCTGGATCTCCCTTACCATTTACTGGGTATAAATCAAACTTATCAAGGGCACTTATCAGGGGCAAATCAAAACACCATCGATTGTCCAAAACAATTCCTTCTCTTGCTATCCGTTTCCACTCATCACATAGCCAGGAGCCTGAACACCATTTAATACTCCACTTTCTCCTCCTCTCATCAATAACCAAATCCTGTAGATAGTGCCTACTGAGGAACTTTGTCTTCTGGTCTCCACCCCATTTCCATTGCCTTAATTAAGCCTTCGTCCTCTACCTATTGGACAACTGCAAGATCCTCCAGCCTTCAGCATCTTCAAGTAATTCGTTCATCTTTAAGATTTCTCTTTCTCAAATACACTTTTGATACATCACCCCTCTGATCATACTCACCCTTCAGTGGCTCCCTGCTGCTTCTAAGAAGAACTCAAAATTCAACACAATGTCCTCCCTCACACCCCATATTCCAGCCTTGTCAAGTTGCTTTGTTTTCCAATTATCAGGATACTTTGTTCTCCATGTCCTAACAAACCAATTGCTCCCCATCCCAACTCCAAAAGAGCCCATGTAACCATTATGTCTTTTTCAAGAGGAAAACTTCTTCCTTGGGCCCTGTATGACCTGTCCCCTGCCTCTCTCTCAACCTGACACTACCCTCCTCCTAGGCTCGGCTCTAGCTGTGCCAGCCCTCTATAGGTTCTGCTTCCTTCCTCAGTGGAGACATTTCAACATGGAGGCCCCTCGCTAGCTACTCTTCATTCACCTAACTTGAACTCATTCTTCAGGTTCATTATTTGGCTTAAGGTCAATGTGACTCTCTCAGTGAGACCTCCCATGATGCCCACCCCAGAAGGAAATTTGGTCTTTGCTACATGCTCTGCAGTTCACTATTCTTTTCCTTCATTGCATTTATCACAACTGATGGTTATATATTTAATATTGAGGTTATGACTTCAAAGCTCATCACCCACAATGAATACTCACTTCTGTGAAGTACAGATGGTTCAGGTTCAAAGTTCATCCCCAGACTCTAGCACAGTGCCTAGTACTCAATAAAAGTTTAAAAATCAATGAGTGGTAGCTCCAGCCTTACTCCTTCTGTACATAATATTCTGTTCTCCCCAGCCATGCAGGTAGAAAAGTCCACTGCCTCCCTTGCAACTCAGCTGTGCCCTGAACAGAATTAAATTGGAGCACCCATGATATATAACGCATTTCCATCTTATTCTTTTTTCTACTAGACTACAAACTCCTCGTGGGCAAAAATCATGTTATATCTTTGAGGCATGTGGATCCTTAAGTATAACAAAAGGTGTGCAGAGGAGGAACGTATGTCTACAGGTATACATTTTGGAGGGTGCCACAAGGACAGCAGTGTATTAGTCCATTCTGACACTGCTATAAGGACATACTTGAGACTAGGTAATTTATAAAGAAAAGAGGTTTAATTGACTCACATTTCCACAGGGCTGGGGAGGCTTCAGGAAACTTACAATCATGGTAGGGGAAGCAAACACATCCTTCTTCACACAGCAGCAGGAAGGAGAAGTATGAGCAAAAGCAGGGAAAGTCCCTTATAAAACCATCAGATATTGTAAGAACTCACTCACTGAGGGTAACTGCATCAATGATTCAGTTGCCTCCCACCAGATCCCACCTACAACACATGGGAACTACAGTTCAAGATGAGATTTAGGTGGGGACACAGCCAAACCATATATCATTCTGCCCCTGGCCCTTCCCAAATCTCATGTCCTCACAATTCAAAACACAATTATTCCTTTCCAACAGTACCCAAAAGTCTCAATTCATTCTAGCATTAACCCAAAAGTCCAAGTCCAAAGTCTCATCTGAGACAAGGCAAGTTCCTTCCACCTATGAGCCTGTAAAATCAAAAGCAAGTTATTACTTCCTAGATACAATAGAGGTACAGGAATTGGGTAAATGCACCCATTCCAAATGGGAGAAATTGGCCAAAACAAAGTGGTTACAGGCCCCATGCAAGTCTGAAATCTAACAAGGCAGTAATTAAATTTTAAAGCTCCAAAATAATCTCCCTTGACTCCATGTCTCACATCCAGGTCATGCTGATGCAAGAGGTGGGCTCCCATGGCCTTGGACAGCTCCACATCTGTAGCTTTGCAGGGTACAGCCACCCTGTCAGCTTCCTTCACAGGCTGGTGTTGAGTGCCTGTGGCTTTTTCAGGCACACAGTGCAAGCTGTCAGTGGACATACTATTCTAAGGTCTGAAGAATGGTGGCTCTCTTCTCACAGCTCCACTAGGCAGTGCCCCAGTGGAGGCTCTGACCCCACATTTCCCTTCTGCACTGCCCTAACAAAGGTTCTCCATGAGGGCTCTGCCCCAGCAGTAAACTTCTGCCTGGAGATCCAGGCATTTCCATACATCCTCTGAAATCTAGGCAGAGGTTCCCAAACCACAATTCTTGACTTCTGTGCACCCAAAGGCCCAATACCACATGAAAGCTGCCAAGGCCTGGGGCTTCCACCCTCTGAAACAACAGTCTGAGCTGTACGTTGGCTCCTTTTAGCCATGGCTGGAGCTGAAGCAGCTGAGATACAGGGCACTATGTCCCAAGGCTGCACAGGGCAGGGAGGCCCTGGGCTTGGCCCACAAAACCATTTTTCCCTCCTAGGCATCCAGGCCTTTGATGGCAGGGGCTGCTGTGAAGGTCTCTGACATGCCATGGAGACATTTCCCCATTGTCTTGGTGATTAACATTCAGCTCCTCGTTACTTATGCGAATTTCTGCAGCAGCCTTGAATTTCTTCCCAGAAAATAGTTCTTTTCTATTGCAGCATCAGGCTGCAAATTTTCCAAATTTTTATGATCTGTTTCCTCTGGAACACTTTGCCACTTAGAAATTTCTTCTGCCAGATACCCTATATCATCTCTCTCAAGTTCAAAGTTCCACAGATCTCTGGGACGGGGCAAAATGCCGCCAGTTTCTTTACATAGCAAGAATGACCTTTACTTCAGTTCCCAACCAGTTCCCCATCTCCATTTGAGACCACTTCAGCCTGGACTTCATTGTTTATATCACTATCAGCATTTTGGTTAAAGCCATTCAACAAGTCTCTAGGAAGTTTCAAACTTCCATATCTTCCTATCTTCTGAGCCCTCCAAACTGTTCCAACCTCTACCTGTTACCCATTTCCAAAGTGGTTCCCTCATTTTTGGGTATCTTTACAGCAGCGCCCTACACCCAGAACAAATTTACTGTATTAGTTGATTCTCATGGTGCTGTAAGGACATATCTGAACCAGGTAATTTAGAAAGGAAAGAGGTTTAATTGACTCACAGTTATGCAGGGCTGGGGAGGACTCAGGAAATTTACAATCATGGTAGAAGTGGAAGCAAACACACCCTTCTTCGCACAGTGGCAGGAAGGGGAAGTATGAGCAAAAGGTGGGAAAAGCCCCTGATAAATTCATCAGATCTTGTGAGAACTCACTCACTATCCAAAGACCAGCAGCATGGGGGTAATTGCCCCCATGATTCAATTACCTGACACAAAGGGATTATGGGAACTGTAATTCAAGATAAGATTTGGATTCTGGATCCCAAACAAGTTTGAGGAAATTTGAATATGGACTATATTTGAGATGATTCTGTGAAATTATTATCTTAGGTGTAATAATGATACTGTTTACACAGAAAAATGTCCTTATTTTGAGGAGCATGTAGAAGTATTCAAGGGTGAAGTATCATGATATCCTCAGTCTATATTCAAGTGGGTCAGGAAACGAATATGAACAGTTATGCATACATCTTACTTAAACACAAACTTGAGTCTATGTGTATATACAGGAAGAAAGCAAGAGAAAGAAAGCAAATGTAGCAAAATGAAGAGAGTATGACTACGTACTATTTTCTATCAACTTTTCTGTAGGTTAATTTTTTAAATAAAAAGGAATGCAAATAAATAAAGCAAGCCTCTTTCACATGTGAACTAAATATTCTACACAATGCCCAAGTATACTCCTTTGAAGCTCTAAATGCACTAGCCACTGAGGGGGAAACAATGCCTGCAGCCTTCATGTTGGAAAGGATTGTTTATCAAACCCTTGGGGAACCCAACCTTCTGATGGGAAAATAATAGCCCCTGGGCAGTGCCATTAGGAAGACTATCTCTGGGAGGAATCAAAACTAATCTGGTTAGCATTTCCTGATGACCCAGGCAAAGTGGTCCCTGCCCCAACACAAGCCAGTCTCTTTTCTACTAATTCCTTTGCCCGCCATATGTGAATTACACTGCTCCTTGTGCTAAGTGACCAGAAAGTAAAAGATGAGTATGATGCAGCCCCAACCTTCTGGTCATTTATTCCAAAGGTGACCATTTAATTCATTGCCCAAACCAAGATAATTTTGAGAGTAAAGGGGGGTACTAGCCAGACAAGGTGCTGAGACAACAGGTATAAACTGGGAGTGTCCCAGGAAAATTTGGATGTATGGTTGTCACCCCAGAGTGGTGACAAACACATAAATAATAGCAACAACAGCTAACCACATAACAAAATAATATAAAGAAACTGTCAAGAAGACATTACCTGGGAATTCGGAGGAGTGATATTTCTTTGAAGGAATCAGGAAGGACTTCGTGGAGGAGGAGGAATTTTAAAATAATGATAGGATCTCTGCAGATAGAGATAGAAGAGAAAGTCATTCTGGATAGAAGAAACTGTGTGAGCAAAGACCAAAGTAGTAAAATGTAGGGTGTACCAGGAAGTGGAGGCAACTAAAATAGCTGATCTGAAGAGATGTCCATAGGAAAGACAGGGAAATGGGCCTGGAGAGGTAAAAATGGAATCACAGTGAAAAGTGTATACTTAATCCAACAGGCAACAGGAAGTCACTAAGTGTTTTTGGGGAGGACAGGAATAAGTCTGTGGCGGGCCTTGAATGTCAGGCAAAAGACTGAAAGCCAGAGAATCAGATCTTTTACAGAGGGAAGGGTCTTCTACAATAGAACTCATAAGTGAAAATCGATATTACCTAGCCTGCAAACATGAATGCTATAAGCCAAAAGAAATTGTCACAGACATTGATGTCATAAGCTTTTCAAAATCGCCTTTATTCTTTCTTGTGGGTGATTCTGTTTCATGTGCTGGGCCAAGTATTATTTCTCCTGTCAACGTTTCATCATAAAAACCTTCACAGCCCTATTTCCATAAAGTCGCTGTCACAGTAACAAAAATGAGAGAGTTAAAATGTTCAGAACTATCCAAGCTAGAGGTGAAAACCAAAAACACAGCATTCGAGCTGAAGGAAAAGCAGGTCACTAAAAGGGGAGGGATGTGATAAGCTTGCGGTCAGGACGAGAAATTACATTTTGAAGGCACAGCTCGCTTTAATGCAAGTCCTTCTACTGCTCTCAAAGAAGCCTGAAGCACTCTCACATTTAATAAGATTAATTATATTATTCCTAAAGTTTATTTATAGATCTTTACTGGGTTGCATAGAAAATTTCAGGGGAAAATGTTAAAAGGCGGGTTTTCAACTATTTTCAGTTTTATTCCAGATACTTGTCTAGACAAGAGCACATGCCTCCTAAAAGAATAAGTTATTCTAGAGAAAACTATTAATATCAGATCTTTCCGGAAAAGGTGAACAACACTGGTGAGGCAATCTCATTTCCAGAGGAGAATGGTTCAACAGGAAGCCAGCGTTCTGGTCTCTAAAGACAAAGCCAGCAATATTTGTAAACAGAAACCATGTATTCCCTTTCTATAGAGGGTGTGCCCCACTCTTCAAAACATATTCCCTGGTCATTTAAGGCCATGAATGAATCAGAGAAAGGCCTGAGCTGGAGAAGTAGTTCTTGATTTTTCAGTTCACAAGAGTTTTATATCCACAAAGAACATCCAAGAATAACATCCAGGAAAAAACAAACAGAAGCCAACTTTCAAAGGCTTCCACTGGTCAAAGATGTAATAATTTGAGCTTTCAGAAAGATAACTGCAATTAAATGGAACCCATTAAAAATGCTTAAGTCCACAAGTTCATGTATGTATATAAACCTTTGGAGGATGAAACAGAACCAACTTATTATTTTGAAACGTGGTCGATAAAAAGAATCAAATATTTATCTTGTCTCTCTGTATGAACTACATCACTGGGTAACCAAAAAGTAAATAAGGGGCTGGGCACAGTGGCTCATGCCTGTAATCCCAGCACTTTCGGAGTTGGGCGGATCACTTGAGGTCAGGAATTCAAGACAAGCCTGGCCAACATGGCAAAACCCCATCTCTACTAAAAATACAAAAATTAGCTGGATGTGGTGGTGCACGCCTGTAATCCCAGCTACTTGGGAGGCTGAGGCATGAGAATCACTTGAACCCACGAGGTGGAGGTTGTAGTGAGCCACGATCACACCACTGCACTCCAGCCTGGGCAACAGAGTGAGACTCCATCACAAAAAATAAATAAATAAATAAATAAATAAAATATAAAGTAGATAAAGGGGAGCAATTCTTTGTATCCCAAGTGATAAATGATAAAAAAAAAAAGTCAAAATGGAATATCATGACCTTAGAAACCCCAATAACTAAATGAATCTAAGCATTAACCATTGTTAATATTACAAAAAGACAAACAACACAAATGTTATGTGCTTCCTGATGTAAAAACACACCTATAATCTTGCCAAAGGAATTGCACCTGAGTTTGATCAAACCTCAAATTCCAGCCACCATGCTGCAGGAAATACAGAGGAACACAATGAAATGTACCGTAAGATTGCAATCAGCAAAATCTAGTCTATGAGAAACTCTACAAGTCACAAGGCTGGGTTCATCCACAGATAAACGATAAGGAAAAATAAAGGGATGGAGCAGGAAGGTACAAATTAAAAGAAAGGTATACCAACGTTCATTAAATGAGCAGAACTAAGCTATAGTACCTAGAGATGCATAGCTGGGCAACTGATATAAAAGTCCAGGTAATGGTTATTTATGAAGTGAAGGGGGTTATGATGGAGATAGGTCACACAGAAGAGACTTCTAGGGAGGCTGGTGAAGTTCTCTTTCCTGGCCTGAACGGTAGTTACAAATGAGTTTGCCTTATGCTAATTCATGATGCTACATATTTGATGTGCAGTGGAGGTTATATCTGTGTTTTATTTTATAATGATGTAGTTTGATTTAAAAAGAGTAAAGAAAAATATCTCCATCAGGCTCCTTGAAAACGTGAAAAATCTGATCGTTTTCAGAAGTATAACAGGTAAATAAGGCAATAATAATTCCTATTGAAGGAAGGTGAGCAAAAATATATTCAATAAATTGCTATGATCAATATTAGAAAAAAGTTAGCTAGGAATAAATAGGATTTGAGTATGAAAACATGAAAGGAAAGATGTTCATTAATCATAGAACTCCGTGGCCTCTGATCTCCCTGTGATCCCTGGAGGTGTAGTTCATTTCCCCATGTACAAAAGGGGATTGTGTACAAGCCTAGAGTAAGCCCTATGTAAGAATCATGGCTTAGAGTACTAGAGTTTTGGAGCAAAACCAGCCTCTTCTGCTAATTTTCTCTCTCTGAGTAACAGCTGCTGATTTTTCCCCTTGAAAGTATATTCTCAGGCTCTTGTGGAGACAGAACTCCTGCCCTAGGACACTTGATGACCATATGAGCTGAGCTGCCCACCATAAACTAACTGGTCATCATTTAATCCACCAAACCATAAAATCAGCTAAGTGAAGTCACACTCCGTCACCAAGTGGAAGTGGTGTATAAGATGGGTCTGTAGCAAGTCCTATGGATACAAGTAAGCCATATGATTTGATGGCTCAGATTCCTACGGCCACCTACTCCTGATACATTGCTTCCTCTCTCTCAAACCACACTTACGGCTTCAAAAGGAGTTCCCTGTAACCAGATGATGATAGCGAAAAAAAAGACTTGGATATGTTTTGCATATGATACTCCATTGTATAGCAGCAACAGCTAGAACTAAGCTGTTGTATATCCACTCAGGGATGGCCCTGAAAGATAGCGTAGAGAGAAAATCCTCCCAGTTGGCAGAACTTCATAACACATCTGGATATCTGTTTTGGCTAGACTGAAAGATGGCCAGAAGTACAAATCTATACTAACTCATACATAATGGATAATGATTTGGCCAGATGGTCATCGACTTGGAAAGAACAGAATAGAAAAACTGCTAAAAAAAAAAAAAAAAAAAAGAGGACTGAGGAATAGGCAGATGGATGACCTCTTAGAAGGGGCAATGAGTGGGAAATATTTGTATCTCATGTGCATGCTCACAAAAGGACGTCCACTGCAGAGAAGGCTGTCAATAATCAGGGGGACAAGATAACATATTCTGAGGATGTCAGCCAGCCAGTTCTTCCCAGCCACCCTAGTAACTTCTCCATGGACTTATCTTCTGAGTGGTCATGACAGTAATCAATGAGTCTATGTGTAGGCTCACCAAGTGAATCTGGCTAGCACCATTACTGTGTGTTCACCCTGCGAACAGCAGGGGCCAGCAATGAGTCCAGGTGGACTAGTTAGTCATGCTATGGTGCGTGAATTACACTGGATTCTTTCCAGTATGAAGTGGGCAAAGATTTGTTCTTAGGGAAATAAACATTTCCTGTGGATATGGGTTTGCCTTTTGTAAGTACCACCGATAACATACTTAGAAAATGCCTTATTTACCATTGTGGCACCCCTCAAGACATCACTTCTGATCAAGGCGCTAATTTCACAACAAAATAAGTGCAGCAATTGACTTGCAGCCACGGAATTCTCTAGTCCTGCCATATACTCCATCATCCAGAAGCAGCTAACCTGGTAGAATGATGGAATCACCTACTGAAGGCTCAATTGTCACTAACTGAGAGATAACCTCTTGAAAGCTTATGGAACTATATCTTACAGGATGTAGTACATGCTTTGAATCAACAACCCCTAGAGAGTGGTATTCCTCCCATATCTATAATACATGGGTCAGAGAATCAAAAATTAAAATGGGATAGTCTATTCTAACTATTATGCCTAATAAGCTAGTCACAAAATTTTGCTACCTGTGCCTAAGATTTTGGGCTCTGCTGGTTTAAAGTTATTCATTTCCAAGAAAATAAAAGTCAGCAGCAGAAACAAGAATGGTTCCACTGAACTAAAATTTGAGATTACTACTTGGTCATTCAGACTCCTTAAGCCATTGTACAAACAAAAATTGTTCTACTGCACTAACTGGGGTCCCAATTACTAAGCTAAAATAAGATTGTTGCTGGATAATGGAGGCATTAAGAAAGATGTCTGTAATCCAGAGGATTCTCTGGGGTGCCTTATTACTTCCATATCCAGTAGTAAAGTTAATAAAAGATTTCACTACACCAACAAAGGAGGGATGTCTAAGGACACAGACTTTTCAGGAGTAAAGATTTGCATCAGCCCTTCAGAAAAAGAATCCTCACCAACCAAGGGATTAAAGAGAAAAGCATATGGGAGTTGATACGGGAAGAAAGAAGACATATAGATATAGATATATATAAATGTAAATCCTAGCTCTTTCTCTTTCTTTCTTGCTCTCTCTCTCCTCCCTCTAAATACACACACACACACACACACACACACACACACGCAGCTTTGTGATCAGTTACAGAAGTAAGGGCTATAGCAACTATGTGTATTTTCTTCCTTGTACAGATTTGTATATAGAACTCACTCTCCCCTTTTTCCTTTCCCCAAGTGTGTCTGTTATACAAGGAGTGTGTCACATAAGTTAACTACAAACTAGGTGGTTAACTTTACAATTTAGTCTTTTAAGTTACATGATAAATGAGATTTTGATTAACCTGTAAGGGGAATTAACATCATCAACATATAAATGTAAATGCACCAACTAATGGCACTTCTTATCCCCCTTATCAGGGAACTAGTGAGCATGCCTTCATTTGTGCAAGGGATAATTGCATCAACAGAAGCATTATAATGTTGCTGTTGTTGCTTTATCAAGTTTATATATGGGTGGAGGGCTGTGTATGGATGAAAAAGAGACAAAGGGGTGGACTGTGCCTAACAGTGTATCGCCAACACAAATTCATATTCATCCTTATACCTTCCTCTATAGTGATGGGGAAAGAAAGCAGCATGACACATTTCTCAGAATAACTCACCAATTGGCTTCTTATTGGGCTGTGTCATGGGGGCACTAGCAGGAAATTGTAAGACCGGAAGAAGGGAGGAGTGTTTTTGTTTCTTTGGGCTTCTGGCAGTGCCTTCAATGGCAGTGGCAGTGATGACATCATGGTTGGCTAGCGTGGGCTTCTGGGCTGCTGCTCAGGATCCTTGATTTAATAGCAGAAGTGGACCGTGACACAACTGAAAGCAGGGACTGTCTTAAACGTACGCGTCCCCTACAGTGCTTGGCCTAGGGCTAACCTCATAGTAGGCACATTTATAAGTGCACAGTAGTGTTCATTGTATTCACATTGTTGTGTAACAACCCTCTAGAACTTCTTCATCTTGCAAATCTGAAAGTCTATACCCAATAAACAACAACATCCCTTTTCCCCCTGCCCTTAGCCCCTGGTAACCACCATCCTATTTCCTATTTCTATGAATTTGACTACTTCAGATAAGTACGCACATGGTTTTTAAAAACTCACGTAAGTGTAGAATCTCCAAGAGTTGAAAACGATATTAGAAGTAATCTAGTGCAAGGTCTCGCCCAGTGCATGGGCCCCACCTTTTTCCTCTTAAATTCAGTAATGTACTTTTTGATCACCTGGTCTCTGCTGGAAGAATCTCGGTGACTGCTTCAAAAAGGTGAGCCATGCTATGGGTGGACTCTTCCTGTAATAACAAAGCTCTTCCTTATATTAACCCAAAATGGTGACCTTTTACCCATTGATATTGGTCTATTTTCCAGAACAGAACACATTCCCTCCCTCTTCCAAAGTTTAAATGTTTTTATGTTATTTTAAAAACATATTTTTATCACACTTGTTTTAGCCTGCCATGAGACAATGATTCACATGGAGAAAATCAGAAAACACAAAGAATATCAACTTCTGTTGAGATCCAACACTCAGCAACAGTGTACTATGTAGCCAGAGGTCTCCATAGTCCAGAGAAAGGCAGTAGAATCCAGGAACTAATTAAAACAGTGAATCAGCGTTTGTTCCTGAAGCCCTCTGCTTGACTAGGGTATTAAAAATGAATATTCTTCCACATGTCCATGAGATTACTGACAGTTTCTCATTAGGTAACTACTTGTCTCTTTAATGAACCAAAAGATTCTCTCCCAGGTAGTCACAATATTTACCACAATTGCAAAGATAAAAATTTTCACCAAAATTTCATTCGCAAAAGCCTCCTCATTCAAAATGATTTCTGAAGTTGCAGAGGCAGGACATAGTCATGTTCTTGCAGCATTTCTAGTGACATTCATGGCAACCCTTTCCCCAACTAACTGCATATGTTACTTATATCACAAAATTATATTGTCGCTATAGAAACATAGCCTAATAATAATACTAAACAGTTTGAAGAACACAGAGACTGTGACAAAATATCTCTAGTAGAAGATCAGAAGCTGGTCAGGAATGGTGGCTCACACCTGTAATCCCAGCACTTTGGGAGGCTAAGGTAGGAGGACTGCTTGAGGCCAGGAGTTCAAAACCAGTCTGGTCAACATAACAAGGCCCATCTCTACAAAAATAAATAAATAAATAAATTAATTAATTAATTAAATTAGCCAGGTGTAATCATGCCCACCTGTAGTCCCAGCTACTCAGGGGGCTGAGGCAGGAGGATCATTGAGCCCAGGAGTTTGAGGCTGCAGTGTGCAGTGTCCTGAGATCTAACCACTGCACTCCAGACTGGGTGACAGAAAAAAAATAAATAAATAATACTTAATATATATATCACTATATATATCTTTTTTCACTTAAAAGAGAAAAGTAAAAATAAGTAAAGTTCAGGAAGCAATAATTTATAAAGAATAAATGTAAACTGCTAAACATATGGAAAAATACACATCTAGTTTGCAATCAAAGAAATGCCAATCAAAACAACATAAGAGGCCGGGTATGGTGGCTCACGCCTGTAATCCCAGCACTTTGGGAGGCTGAGGCGGGAGGATCACCTGAGGTCAGGAGTTTGAGACCAGCTTGGCTAACATGGTGAAACCCCATTTCTACTAAAAATACAAAAATTAGCTGGGCGTGGTGGTGCATACCTGTAATCCCAGCTATTCAGGAGGCTGAGGCAAGAGAATCCCTTAAACCCTGGAGGCAGAGGCAGCAGTGAGCTGAGATCATGCCACTGCACTCCAGCCTGGGTGATATCTCAAAAAACAACAACAACAACAAAAAAATATAAAATATAAGATACTACCATTGCCTTGACACATGAGGATAAGGGGAAACAGACACTCAATACCACAGGTGGAAGTACAAATTGGTCAACATTTTATAAGATTAATTTGCCAAAAAAGTAACAGAAATTTGAAAAAGATTAATATATTTTGATCCAGAGGCTTTATTTCCTGGAATGTAACTTAAAGAAAAAAATTTTTAGTCGGCACACAAAAAAGCATGTGTAAGCGTTGTATAATCTGTAATAATAAAAATTGGGAACACCTAAATATCAAACAATGGATAAGTTAAATAAATTACATCTCCCTCAGAAGATAGAATTGTACGTAACCACTAACAAAAGCAAGCAGTTATATGGCACTATTAAATGGCAGGCTCTATTTTAAGCAACTTATAAATATATTAACTTACTTAAACTTTACTATAATTCTATTAGATAAGTACTATTATTGTCCCTATTTTACAGAGATAAAAGAAAGGCATAGAAAAGTTAAGTAACTTGCCCAAGGCCATGAAATCAAATAGTGTTAAGCCAGTATTCATTCAAACTCAGGCAATCAGGGCCCAGATTCCATGCTCTTAACCAACATACAATTATACTATAGAATATTTAAGAACATGTTAAAAATCTCAAAATATACCTGTAAAATGTTTTTAAATGAAGCTACCAAATTATAGTTCGTAGATGTTGTATACATTTAGTGTGTGTGTAGATAGACATAATACACATATCATACATGTATTATATATGTCAAAATATCAGGAGCTATCTCCTAGAGATATAAATAGCAGGAGCTATCTCTAGGTGTTGAGATTAAGGGCATTTTTTATTTTCTCCTTTCTTCTAATTTTCCAATTTTTTTTTTGATTAACATATATTACACTTACAATAACAAATACACAAATGCTCTTGGTACCAATTCTTAAGTATTCCTGATAGGCCACTGCCTTCAGCCTAGAACTTGAGAGGACCCAGTTCTTAGCATGCCCATCTAGGAACACACTGAAGCACACATTTTGGCATACCTCCTTTATTACCATGAGATGTAGGGTTTGCTTTCATGAAGAAAACAAAAGAGTAAACAATCCTGGATCTGAACTGATAGCACTTTATAAATAAAAGCATTTTACATCAATAAAAGATTTTTATTATTTCAATACCAGAGGTTTCAAAAAGCCCACCATGTATCCAAATAAGGTGTCTTTATTTCCCCCCTTTCACTCATAAGTCATCTCAGTTTATCAGTTTGCAGGAATGTAAGCTTCACACACAAAATTCCAGTCTGGGAAGAAGAATGCTGCTTATTACAGGGTTTTATGCCACATGACTCATTGGGATTTCCTGACGGCCTTTGCCTTACTATACCAAATTGACCCTGGAGCTCCTAATGGTGATTCCCAGCTGCATCAATTTTGAGATTTACATTGCCCCTAGGAAAAGGACAAGTGAGATGTGACAGAAATTAAACCAGTACCTTCCCACACAGACTCTGCCCACGCCACGGGGAAAGAAAACAATTGCTGATGGGTCAGCAAGACAGAGGCAATAATTATATTCTCTCAAAGAACAATCCCTGCTCTGGATAAGACAGGCTTATCACACAATGCTCTGCATGGGGCTTGCAGAGTCTATGAGAAACACAGCGAACCTGTAAGCCAGCAAGGATGCTGCATCAACTTTCATCAGGATCAAGTCCAGGAAGTGCTTTGGCAATTTACACCACCTGGCATTTGGTGGCCTTGATTATTCCCATAGCAGCAAAGTCCCTAGAAGCCCTAAGTGGCAGGGCTCCAGCTTCTGCAGCATTCACCAGAATAGCACATGAATACATTTCAGTGGCATATCCATATTCATTAGTAACCCATTCCACAATTTTCCCACAATTCACTTTAGCCATGTGGCTGAAACCCCCAGGAGCTTCAAAAACACAAGCACAGTGGGCAGAATTCTAGAATGGCCCTCTGAGGTACACATCATATATCATCACTTCCCCTTGAGTGTGGGTGGAATCTGTAAGAATGATAGGATGGTCACTTCCTCAATTAGGTTAAATTATATGGCAAATGGTGATGTGCTAGTCACTCCATACTAGCCAACTAGAGAGGGATCAGAAGTCAGAGAGACACACACCTGCTGGCCTGGAAGAAAGCAAACATCTGTGTTGCAACCTGCCTATGGGGACTACTTGGCAAGGAATCACAGGAGCCCTCTAAAAGCTAAGTGAGGACCCCAGCCAACAGCGTGCAAGAAAACAGGGACTTCAGGCCTACAACTTCAAGGAAATGAATTCTACCAACAACCAGTAAGTTGCAAAGAGGAACTTGAGCCTTGATGAGGATTCACAGGCCCTGCTACCTCCTTGATTTCTGCCTGGTGAGACTCTCAGCAGAGGACCTAGCTAGCCTGTGCTAGGTCCTCTGTACTTGGACTCCTGACCCCTGGGACCTCTGAGATAATAAATGCATATTGTTTAAGCCAAAGCCCCAAAATTGTGGTAATTTTCTTACACAGCAATAGAAAAGGAATATAATGATGATTGTTAGAATATGGGTTGCTGATGTTCTTTATCACACTTGCATTGTCTTCAGAAAGAAATAACACAGTTTAGAGGGAAGACATTTGTATCTATAACATTCACCCCAAGGAGCCTAAGAGAGAGCAATCACTGACATTTGTCTAATAGTTTGGAGTTTATTTAACTTTCATATACAATCTCATTTGAATTTTATATCATTAATATGATAGAGCTTGGGAAGTAGTGAATAGGAACTAAGATTCTGGAGCCAGACTGCCTGGGACTGGCTCCCTATTCTGCCACTTACTAGATGAGCTCAGTCCAGTTCCTTGACCTCTCTGTGCCTCAGTTTACTCATCTGTAAAACAGGTGCTATCATTTGAATGTTCATCCTCTCTAAACCTCATGTCAAAATGAAATCCCTAGTGTGGTGATGTTGGGAGGTGGGGCCTAGTGGGAGTGTTTGGAAAGGGGGTAGATCCCTCATTAATAGATTAATGCTCCCCCTCAGGTTGAGTTCTTACTCAGTTCCCACGTGACCTGGCACACTACCCACCCCCAAACACTTCCTCTCCCAACATGTGATATCTGTACATGCCTGATCCCCTTCACTTTCTACCATGAGTCTAAACAGCCTGAGACTCTCACCAGATGCCCAATCTTGAACTTTCCAGCCATCAGAATTGTAAGCCAAATAAACCATTTTTCTTTACATATTATGTAGCCTCAGGTATCCCTTTACAGCACACAAAAGGAACTAAGACAACAGGGATGCAATAACATGTACTTCCTAGGGGTTTGTGAGCATTAAATGAGTTTACATACATAAAGTCTAGCTTATAGTGAGGATTGGATACATGTTTATTGCTATTTTTATCAATGACATTATCTAAACAGACCAGCAAAGAAAAACTGGCTTTGCTCACTTCTTATTGTAACATGCTACTACAGTTGAAATCTAAGGTTTGAGACCAGCCTGGCCAACATGGTGAAACCCCATCTCTACTAAAAACACAAAAAATAGCCAGGCATGATGGTGCGTGCCTGTAATCCCAGCTACTTGGGAGGCTGAGGCAGAAGAATCACTTGAAACCGGGAAGTAGAGGTTGCTGTGAGCCAAGATTGCTCCATGGCACTCCAGCCTGGGTGATAGAGTGAGAATCCATCAAAAAAAAAAAAGAAAAGAAAAGAAAGAAATCTAAGGTTTCAACAGATACTGCAATAAAGAGCTTGTGTATCAACCTAGAGAAAGGTAACCTGTAGCTGGGAAAGAACACCCACTCAGCCTCTAGCTGTTATCCTGATTAGAATGGGGGAAAACAGGCAAGAATGAATGAGCTTGCTGCATACTCCAGAAAGGATCCTGGGATGAGCAGAACTATGGTTGCTTCCCAACAGGATTCTGGGTTTGAGATGAGGACACAGACCCAAGTGGGTTCCTACCACTATGATCAGCATTACATAGCCTCCATCACAGTCTTGAGCACAAACAGGCATCCATCTTCATAACAGAGCCAGACTCATAAAATGACACTTTCTAGTCAAAGATTACACCACCAAGCCAATGGGAAGCTCCCTATGCCAGGGTTGCTGTGGTCTGATGGGCGAGTTTTGGTTTCTGGGCGCTGATGTGGTTATACCCTGTAAAAGTTTAAGGGGTGGTTAGGTTACAGGTGTATTTTCCCAGTGCAATTTTCTGTCCTATTAAAGTACCATGGGCCAGAAGACCTTCTCAGTCATCTCTCACCTATTCTGCTAATTTCTCAATTCAGGTTTTAAAGAACAACTCTTACTGGTAGGAGAAAATAGCATATCTGAGCAAATATCTACTTATCTCCTTTCTTTTATTATCTGCACTCTTTTGTCTCTATTCCTCACCTTTGCAGCCTTTGTGCCACATAGTGACACATGCCCAATGTCCCCTTTCTATCTTATCAAGTATTTCCAAAAGTCACTCCTCCTCAACAACAACAAATCATGGATAAAAGGAAAGGAAAGTTACAACTAAAAACACTTGACCTTATCTCCCAATAACTCAAAGGCATGTTGGTTTATTTGAGACAGTTTACCTTAATTCACACTGGAAGATGTCCTAGAAGATCCAAGAAGTGAAGCCCAAATGCCTGCAGGATGTGTGCAGTTAGCATGCAGGAACTGCAGGATCTAAGGTGAACCAGAGGAGCTGAGATGACCTGCCTTTTAAAACTCTGTGCAGACCTAACAGAATGGCCCAACACAACCCCCACAGTGAACCACGTATGGCTGGGGCCACTCACTTGTAATGACCAAAGGCCTAGAGAGTAGGAGGCTCTTTCAAAGCCAGTTTGATACAGGGAATGCAGACACTGAACAAAGTCAGGAGGAGCTCAAGAGAAAGTCAAAGCAATCAGAACTGCTTTCTGAAAATTGCCATCCTAGTTGATTTTTGAGCTCAGAATTCTCCACTTGGCCTGTCCCAGTCCAAAAGGGAAGCTGGAACCACACAGCAGTCTGAATGCAAAGGCAACAATCAAGAGGAAATGCCTCAGCTGCTAGCACTCAATTAATGATCTTGGATATTTTGATCGAAGAAAAATGTTTTCTCTCTTTAACCAAAAAAGCGAAATCACCTACTATTATAGAGTGGGTTTTAAACCATTTGGCAGCAAGCTCCACCCATCAGAGCATTACCTATTGGGTAGAAGGTTTTTAAAACAGGCTTTTCCCCAAGGAAGAATTCCCTGCTAAAATCCCTTGAGAGCAAATGTTGCCCTAGCAAAGCTTGGTCTAGGCCTAACAGTACACACAGTCCTCAAAGAGTTTGGTGTACTTGTTATTTGTATAACAGGATGCCAAAATGGGAAATTTTTATATCTCAGTTTAGAGATTAATAGACTCCAAGGCAGAATTTCAAAGTTAATGAACAAGAACCAGTTAGAAGACAGAGACCTCTCAGCCACAACAAGAATATCAAAGTCAGAGACAAGAGAAAATCTACTAACAAAAGAATATGTGAGAAGGATTTCTTTGGAGAGAGCTGTACTTTAACCCTTGGGAAAGGTTTAGGGAGCGTCTATTCTCACTTCAAGCCAGGTGAAGGGGAATTCAGCGGGACCACTCAGAGAGCTTCACATGGGGCTCCTACAGTTTGGAAGACTTTGTGGATGCAGATCCTAAAGCAGGTGATACACTGCGGCTTCTGACATGAGCTCAAGGAGAGGTAGCTGTGTTGGAATCCAAGTTTCTGAGTGCAGAGGATGCCTGGATGTGTCCCACAGACCAGAAGTGAGCCACTCACAAGAGAGCTGGTGTGAGGTCACATCAGGTTATGTCTTGTCGGGTCTCCTGGACATTTCATGAGACCCCCAACTAATGAAAGCTAGAGGTGACTACCAACCAGACTCCTTGGGGTGAAGAAGGAATCAGTGAAGACAGAGGGCACATTATCTGCATCGCAGAAGCTAGAGATGAAAACACCCCATGATCAGGGTGGCAAAGGGTAAGGGCAGAAAGCAGAGGGGGTTGGGGGATGTTAGGGGGTGGGTAGTTTCTGAAAAATCCACAGAAACATCCAGAAGGAAAAATGTTACAGGCACCTGCCAGGCCCAGAGAGTTCAAGGCTATCTAACAACAGTGACACCAAATCAAAACTTCTGGCTCCCCTTATCTTTCCATTCCAATGTGGAAGAGCCAGATGCAGTCCAGTCTTGTATGTAAAAGGAAGAGGAGAACATGAAGAAAGTAGCCAACATACCACTCCAACCAGAACAGCTGAGATTTATCTTCAATCTGCTCTGTCGATGCATTAAGACCAAAGTATAACCTCACCTCTCACACAAGGAAGTCATTCGGTCACATGGGCTTATTCATATTTGAACTTCACCTAACAGTTATGAGCAGTTAACTGTATTTCCCAATTCATGCAGGGCTCATGTGTGTTCTTCACCCATTTCCATTTGAGGATGATAATTTGCTAAAGTTTAAGCTTTGGAAACTCTTCTTTAGCATGAAAGAGATTCGAGTTTTTAAAATTTGTTTAGTTTTTTGTTTTGTTTTGTTTTGTTTTTGGTGTTCTTCCTGCTGCCTTCTGTAATTGTTTCCATAGAGTTGACGGCTCTCTTGCCCTTAACACAGCAAGCTTCTGTATTCTTGACTAAACATTAATAGACTGACATTAATAGGTTGAAAATCTGGATGCAAGCAAAATGCTGTAACATAAAGGCTGTGGATTTGGGGGCATGGAGAAGGAAAGGTCAAAAGAATTGAGACTATTAAGGAGTGAACTAGAATGGGACTTGAAGTATAAAAGGTAAAATGTTAGGCGGTTAGTTAGGAGCTGTTCATCTCCATTACAGACAGGAAATGAAAAGAAGAGGAAGAAGAAGAGAAGGAGGAGGAAGACGAGGAGGAGGAGGAAGAGAAGGGGCAGGGGACAGGGAGGGGGAGGAGGAGGATGGGGAAAGGGAAGGGGAAGGGGAAGGGGAAGCAGCAGCAGAAGCAGCAGCAGCAGCTGTATGTGTTGTATTAAGTCAGGCTGGCGTTAGGGGGCTTGGAAGGAGAAAATTACATTACTGCTCGTTGTCTTTGCTTCCCTCTCCCTACCTGAAGTAAAGGCCAAGCCAGAAAGAAGATATCTTAAGCCCTGAGACAAGGACTCTGGTTACATTCTTACGGGGAAGAAAAACAATTTAAGCATTTTTTCAAAGACTCTAGTTTGCCTCAAATTCTTGAAATTCAAATGGTATTAGAATCTCTGAGCACCAACACATGAAATTTTAACATATGTTCACTTACTTGCAGCCAGTGATGACCTTCATTTTAAGCAGAATATGTTAAAACAACACTTGAAACATTACTACATGTATTATTTTTAAAAAGTTCTTTTTTGAGAATTTAAGTCTGATAAATTTAAGCCTAACAAAGACTGGAAGAAACAGAAGAAGAATTTGGAAAGATAATTGGAGATGCTGTAAAGTTATTATTTATGAATAAGCAAATAAAAATAGTTAATCCTTGCTAGGGAATGTGAGGACACACGGAAATGGGTTTAGGAAGAGAGGCACATTTGGGAAATTGCTTCTCTGGGCTGAGGGAAACCTTAGCATAACTTCTACAGGCATGAGAAGGGTGAGGCCATATTTCATTCCACAAATGGAGTTAGCAAGCAAGAAGAGAGATGGTATGACACTATTGAGCAGACATTTCTGCGTCGTTTCTACCAACCATTTCTAAAATCTCAAAGACAAAGTTCACCAGTGTTTATTGAGCCTATAACGCGGTAATCACTGAGCTAGAACCTGAATGCTAAGATAACTTTCCAGTTAGATAATACATTCCCCAAAATAATTTAGCATGTGATAAAAATTATTCCATGGAGAGTCAGAAGGGACTCAGAGAGGTGTCCAAAGGCTTGAGGGGGAGACTTTAAGAACTCCTTTAACATTTCTGGATGATCTTGTTTGTGCCACAGTTAAGAGCATATGGTTAAGAGCATAGCTCAGGAGCAGGTCTACATGGGATGAATTCCATGGTAGCTGTGTGAGCTTGGGCAAGTTACTGGTCCTCTCCAGGCTTCAGTTTGGACACCAGTAGAACAGGGATGCTAGCAGGACCACTAGGTGGAATCCTGTGAGGATTCAATGCATTAGTAGGTGGGAAGTGCACAGTAGGTGCATTTAAGTGCAATGGCCCCTGGCTGGACAACAGCTCTACAAAAAAAGAATAAAGGAAATCAAGAAGAAAGCCAAGACTAAAAAGGTTAGCAACTGCTCAACATCACCCTCAAACCTATTTCTAAACCCAGGGCTTTCTACAGTAATGCACTGCTGCCATGAGACCAGGGGCCCATAACTAGAAGGAATCAAGTTTAGTTTCATTTCCTCTTGCCATGCTCTATGACAGGGTCATTAAGCAGTAATCAAGTGGTTGAGAACTGCCTTGTTCTACAGGGTCTTAAAGTATAACATGGTGATTCTAGTCCATTAACCCTAGAGGCAGTCAGTTCAAATCACATCTCAACTTCTACCAGCTGTGTGACCTTGGGAACTGCACTTTAACCTCACTGAAATGCACATAGCTCACAAATAGACTAGGAATGTTATGCACCTACCATACCGGGTGCTTATGAAAATGAAATTAGAAAACGCTTACATTTTATTCTTTATTACATAACTGAATTATATAAAGCATTTTCCAAATAAAAAATAATTTGTATTTAAAAAAAGAAAAAGTACTGGTTTATGGTAAACAGTCAAGCTGTAGCTGTTTTTGTCATCATCACCATTATCATCACCAACACAGAGTTCAACTAGCCAATTGGTACTTGAATTTCCTCTACATCAGTTGCTTTTAAACATTTTTTTTAACACAATCCACGGAGAACAAAAAAATTCATTGTGACGCTGTATGCCCATACACGTATATTTAAAGCAGACATTTTATAACACAATATTTTCCCTTAATACATGCAATGTATTTTCCATTCTATTTCACTTCATTTCACTTTTTAAATGTTGGTCATGACCCACTAAACTGATTCCATAATCACCAATTGGTTGCCACCCACCATTTAAACAATGCTATGTTGCATCGCTTCTGCCAACCATTTCTAAAATCTCAAAGACAAAGTTCACCAATGTTTATTGAGCCTATAATGTGGCAATCACTGAGCTCGAAACTGAATGCTAAGATAACTTTCTAATTAGATAATACATTCCCCAAAATAATTTAGCATGTGATAAAAATTATTCCATGTACATTGTAAATAAGCAACAGTTATTAATTTTGCTTTTTCAGATCACAGTTAATGTTCACCAATTACATTAAAGTAATTCATTGTTGGCTGGATGTGGCCTGAAATTGCATCAAGTATCTATAAACTCCGCTTCACCAGTTGAGAACAATATATGATAAACTCTCCCAGGTCCTTAAATGGTCCCACTAGAAAAAAACTCAGCCTGTTGCCAAGATGATGCCAGGCTTTCCTTTCCTTTACCATATCTCACAATTCCATATATGTTTAAGCTTCTCTGGCAGAATCAGACATTCATGCTCATGTATGTACTCTCCATGCATATTCTGAGACAACTTCTACAAATTAGAAAAGCAATAGCAATGCATTTCACTGCCCAATTAATTTTACCAGCTAGATAAACATCTAATCTTCTAGTCATTTTTTATTATTATAGGTTTATCTTAATTCATCTCACAATCAGTATTTTTATTTTTATTTTATTTTTTTAGACATGGTCTCACTCTGTCACTCAGGCTGAAGTGTAGTGGTGAGAGCTAGGCTTGCTGCAACCTCTGCCTCCCAGGCTCAAGTGATCCTCCCGCCTCAGTCTCTCAAGTAGCTGGGACTATAGGTGTGCTCCACCATGCCCAGCTAATTTTTGTATTTTTTGTAGAGATGCGGTTTGCCATCCATCTCAAGCAATCTGCCCATCTCAGCCTCCGGAAGTACTGGGATAACAGGCTTGAGCCAGCATGCCTGGCTCACAATGAGTTTTTTTTCCTTTTTTTTTTTTTTGAACTTTTATTTTAGGTTTGGGGGCTACATATGAAGGTTTGTTACATAGTTGTTACATAGGTAAACTCATGTCCTGAGGGTCTGTTGTACACATTATTTCATCACCCAGGTGTTAAGCCCAGTACCCAAGAGTTAACCTTTTCCGCTCCTCTCCCTCCTCCCATTCTCCACGCTCAAATAGACCCCAGCGTCTGTTGTTTCCTTCTTTGCGTTCACAGGTTCTTATCATTTAGCTCCCACTTATAAGTGAGAACATGTAGTATTTGGTTTTCTGTTCCTGCATTAGTTTGCTGAGAATAATAGCAGCATTGGTGTTCCTGCAAAAGACATGATCTCGTTCTTTTTACATGGCTGCATAGTATTCCACGGTGTATAGGTACTGCGTTTTCTTTATCCAATCTGTCATTGATGGGCATTTAGGTTGATTTCATCTTCATTGCAGCACTAGCCATAATAGCACAATGAGTATTTTTTAAATGTTATAGAGGTGATATCTGACGTGATATTAGTTCATTAATTAGCTGATATTTGAAAGACACTCTTGGCTTATGAATTTCCAATGCCATTGATATACTCTAGAGCAGCACTGTCCATGAAAGCTTCCTGTGATGATGAAAAGGTTCTATATTTTCACCGCCTGGTATGGTAGCCGCTAGCCATGTGTGGTATTGAGCCCTTGAAATGTGGCTAATGCAACTGAGAAACTGAAATGTTAGCTTTGTTTTAGCTTAATTAATTTAAATTTCAATAGTCACATGGGCCCTGCAGCTATTTTATTACTGCAGATCTGCAGCATTTATCATAGAACATGCTAACGATCCTGGTGAAAGAAAATTACAATAAAAGGTACCGTTTATTGAGCATTTATCCGGGACCAAGCATTAGCCTAAGCCTTTTTTATACACTTTATGTAATTTACTTCTACGGACAATCTTACCTAGCAGGTACTATTATTATTCTTCCCATTTTTTCAGGAAAATCTGTAATACAGGACCCCTCCAGTTCTAAAACCAAATGTCTCTGTGATTTAAATAAAAGGGTTGAGATCAAGAGGTTTGGAGAATCTCTGTCCACTTGAGGATATGATGCTATTTTTACATTTACTTAAGATTTATTCTTACCAGCTTTTGAGAGGGTTTGAAGGGGCTTATAGACTAGATGGTGCTTAAGACATTTAAGAATCATAAAGAATAAAGATCACTTGGGGAAAAAATGATGGAAGAAAGGTCTTTAAGCACCCAATTTCTGAGTCAGAAGATTGATTAAAGCTTTCCATCTAAGGCAAAACATAAAAATATAATTAATTAACTAATTACTAAAAATATTGGAGCTTTAAGTTATACACAGAATCTGTTGTTATTTATTTCTTGACCAAGAAATCAATCAAACTGGTGTGGAGGCTTCACCAAAGATACGGGATTGCTCAAGTAATTCCTGTCTCTCTCTTCCTCCATAAAAGCAGACTATTGCCGGAAAATATAACTCAGTAAAGGCAATTCTCTGAAAAGTTCTATCACCCCAAGACTCACCTTTTGATAGCATATTAGTGTCCCTTTGTCCATCCAGCACTAACTCAGATGTGGCTTCCCTGACTGGTCCATGGGGAATGGCCTCTTGTGTCTACTGCTGCTGCTGACCACTCAGAGACTCTTTCTCTGTACTGGAATGGGGGTTCACAGCCTTCTTCACCAGCAGAACAGGAGAAGAGTAAATAACACAAGAGGCCATTTGGCTACGAGCAGGCTATTTCAGCCAACATGAGAAATATCTATAGGGGAGAACTGCATGTTTTCATTTACTTGCAATTGAGCTGAATTGCTGTGTATACATGACATGTATATGTGTGTGTGTCAGAGGTTTCATTAAATGTTTCGAATTTGTTTGTGGGTTTTGCCTCCTTATGTACTTTCTTCTATTTGAAGAAGAGAAATAAGCACCAAAAAATACATGCACACACTTCTACTTCAAAACAATGACTTCAGTGGGACTCTGTAAGGAGAGGTGCCTTGTTTTCACCAGCTCAAACAGAACTAAAGACTTAGTTGCCTCTTACCCTTCAGTACATAGCTGCCTCTAACTCAACTTTTCCTTACTACTTTCCTTAAACTTGTGGTAGTGGGAGAGTTAGGATAAGGAGTGCAAAGCCTGTAACAGCCTTAATGCTCCTCCAATTCCATAGGAAGAGAAAAGGAAAAGTTTATAATTTGTCTGCTTATCATATGTGAGGCACTTTATGTATCTTAATTTAATCCTCACAGATCTATTAATGGTAGGTATGGCCTTTTCCTCCATTTTAGAGATGAAAAACACTGAAGTAAATCACTCAGGATCCCACAGCCAGTAGCCATCTGTATCCATAGGTCCGCATCTGCAGTTTCAACTAACATCTGAGGAAAAAATAGTCTTTAAGGGACACGAAATCCGAGGATGCAGAGTGAAGGAGGCAACTTTCCACATGCACAGATTCCAAAGGGCCAACCGCATGGATCCAATCCCCCATGGATATCGAGGGACAGTGGTACGCATTTAAGTTTCCTCTATGTCTTTTCATGGCTTGATAGCTCACTTCCTTTTATCGCTGAAAAAATATTCCATTGTATGGATGTGCCGTTGTTTATTCATTCATCTACTGAAGGACATCTTGGTTGCTTCCAAGTTTTGGCAAGTATAAGCAACGTTGCTGTAAACATTCATGAGCAGGCTTTTTAATATGCTTCAGTTTTTGATTCATTTGGGCAAATACCAAGAAATATAATCGCTAGATTATATGGTTTGAGTATATTTAGTTTTGTAAGAAACAAGCATCCTGTCTTCCAAAGTGGCTGTACTATTTTGCATTCCCACCAGAAATGAATGAGAGTTCATGTTGTTCCACATCCTCACCAGCATTTGGTTGGTGTCCCGTGTACTGAATTGTAGATGTGCAGTGGTATCTCATTGCTGTTTTAATCTACAGTCCCTAATGATAGATTATGTTAACCATCTTTTCATGTTTGCCCTCTGTATCTCTTCTTTGGTGAGGTATCTTTTCAGACCTCTTGCCCATTTTTTAAAAATTGAGCTGTTTTCGGCCGGGCGCGGTGGCTCACGCCTGTAATCCCAGCACTTTGGGAGGCCGAGGCGGGTGGATCATGAGGTCAGGAGATCGAGACCATCCTGGCTAACAAGGTGAAACCCCGTCTCTACTAAAAATACAAAAAATTAGCCGGGCGCGGTGGCGGGCGCCTGTAGTCCCAGCTGCTCGGGAGGCTGAGGCAGGAGAATGGCGTGAACCCGGGAAGCGGAGCTTGCAGTGAGCCGAGATTGCGCCACTGCAGTCCGCAGTCCGGCCTGGGCGACAGAGCGAGACTCCGTCTCAAAAAAAAAAAAAAAAAAAAAAAAAAATTGAGCTGTTTTCTAATCATTGAGTTCTAAAAATTCTTTGTAGATTTTGGATATGAGTCCTTGATCAAATAAGTGTTTTTCGAAGATTTCTTCAAGTCTGTAACTTGTCTTTTCATTCTCTTAATAATCTCATTTTTGAGTAAAACAGTCAGGACATAGTCATGTATTTATTTTGGAATATTTTAAACGAACAGAATTAATGTTATGTAATTGATACTGCAAGGTGAAACACTAAAAAGTGAAATAACTACCCATTATGCAAGGTTGTTATTTACTATATGTATTAAATAATGATATTACTTCAATAATATGCTATAGGGCCTCTCAGGAGAAGACAGAAATGCAGCACTTCCAATTTTTTTAGGGTCTCATTCTATTAAACACACTAAAAAAGATGACAAAAATTATACTATATTTATATTTTTAATATAGTATATACTTTATATAGCATACATTATATGTTTGTATATATAGTATATTCTACCATTTATGTTTGTATATATAGCATATACTATATATTTTTGTATATATTTATATATGAATTTTATATAATTTATATATAAATATATAATTTTATTTTTAATTTAATTAACTAATTTTTAATTTAATTAATTTAATCATTTTTAATTTAATTAATTTAATCATTTTTAATTTAATTAATTAATTTAATTAATTTTTAATTTAATTGATTATTAATTTAATTTAATTTTATATATAAGTATATAATTTATATATAAATAAATTTTTGTATATAATTTATATATACAAAAATATCTAGCATATGCTATATATACAACATATATAAAGTAATTTTTTTATATAAAATCATCCAAAAAATGTCATACATGTTTATATACTCTCATTTGGAAGAAATGTCCAAAGCCTGAATGTGAGGTCCAGGCCAACTCTCTCTGCCCTGTCTCTCAACCCCCAATAGTGTCCTTTTTTCCCAGTCTTGTTTTGACCTGCTTGTAAATTTTAGTTGGCCTCACTGATTTTCTGGAGCCAGGTGCTAGGTTTGGATCCTGGCTCCACCCCTAGGATCGGTGTGACCCTAAGCAAGTCATCTAACCTCTTAGTGCCTGAGGTTCTATTTACAAAATGCAGCTAGTAACTCCTGCCTAGAGTGCCATAGGGAGGATCAATGAGCTAATGTGTGGAAAGGACATGGACAGGTCTCAGTACGTGGTACCTATTGAGAGCTCAGTATGGCTGGACCGCAGTAGCCTTTGCGCTCCCCAAAGCAATTCTCACAGTTTCTAATCCTGTCAATTTACCTATTCACCTCAACTGTTCTTAAAATTTTTTACTCATTTTTTTCATTGTTATAAAAATATAAAACTGCCTTTTCTGCACAATAATTCTTTTCTTTCGTCAACTGGTTTACAAAAGGTGAATGAATGAATCTCAAACTCATTTACATGGATGAATCTCAAATACATTCTGCTAATTCAACTGCTGCTGCTTTTCCAATGTTCCTGAGCTGACATTTGCGTTATTCAGCAGCACGGTACTCCGAAGGGCAATAGCCTTGAACCCTTTCAGCTCATGACCAAGCTATCAGAACACAGAAGTCCAAAATCACAGTGTGCCATGCAAAATCCAAACTACAATGTACCAAGTTTATCACGTTTCATTACTTCAGTATGTTTAAAACACAAGACTTCTGGAAGATATTCGTCTAAGGTATTTATTCTGAACAATAACAAGGAACTATGCTGAAAAAGAAATTTCAATAAAAACTAAAGTAGAACTTCAAATGGACAGAAGAATGCACATTTCCAAACAGCGACTTGCCCAGAGAATGAAACCCACCAGACTTTTTCCATCTACAAAGAAGCTGAATGTAATGTTCTTTGGGTTTTTATCAACAGCCAGGTAAATGGGAAGAATCTCTCAGAAGCACTTTATGAAGTTATACAAAGAACTACTTTTAAAGCATTTCATGGTTGGCAGCTTAAGATAATATTTTTTTTAATTTTTAAGGAAAGGCTTCTTAGTTCTTCTGATGTGTTGATAACATGTGCTGCAGATCTCAGTAATTGCAGCAGATCAATTTTGATGACACAGTTGAAAATATTACATCCTAAGAGCATGGAAATCCAAAGGAAAAACCCTCCCACTGGGTTAGGCACATTTTATCTAATGCATTAGGACCTAATGAAAATCACACATCACACAACTCCATTCACAGGCTCCCTCTTGACTGCCTGGACAGCAGACCCACCTGCCATGACAATGTTTTGGTGTCAACTCTGAAGGCATCTGCCTTTCTCTCATAGAGGACTTCTCCCTCTCAAAAGTATTTTCACTTATGTTATCTTAGAAGGTAAGGAGAGCTTGAAGTGGTTAAATCCACACATAATTCAGGAACTTTATTTTCCTTAAAGACTTCCATCTCTTCCCCAACCTGGTAACAGTTTCCAAAATGGACAAAGCTGAATCTCACCTCTTCGGCTTTGTTTTCCCACATTTGAAATGAAACAGGCATGAAACTGGCCAACTTTTCCCGTAAAGGCCAGAGAGTAAATATTTTAGGCTTTGCAGGCCATTCCGAGTCTGTTGAAATTACTCAGCTCTGCAGTTGTAGCACAAAAACAGCCACAGAGAAGACACAAATGAATCAGTGTGGCTGTGTTCCCACAAAATTTCATTTATGGACATTGAAATTTAAATTTCCTGTAATTTTTATGTATCATGAAATATTATCCATCTTTTGATTTTTTCCCCAGCCATTTAAAAATGTTAAAACCATTCTTAGCCTGAGGGTCATACAAAAACAAGTATTGGGCCAGACTGAGCCCACAGGCCAGAGTTTGCCCTAAAAGAAATCTCAAAACATTTCATAGTCACATATAAACAGGAGCCAGATCCTTCTACTGGAGTGAACTGTAGAATCCCACAAGGAGACAAGCTCCCAATTTGCAAATATAAAGAGCAATATGCCCAGAAACTCTTTGTCTGTATGTTTAAAAATTCACCATATGTCATAATCTCATTTCATGTCTTATGAAATTCAGACCTAATGAAGAAATCTTGATTTTTTTAAAATCTAATTTAATATGTCCTCTCAACATTAAGAGATGTTTAAATAGTATGTAAATACTGATATTAAATATGTATTTGGTATTTTAAATATAGATTTAAATAGTAAATATTTTTAATTGGAATATTTAAAAATGTCATTTCTATTCTTAACTGGCTATAAAAAGCAGTTAAGTAGGAAGAGAGGTGCTATGAGTAACACCGCTTGACCACGTACCATACATCAGGCACTGGATTCAGCATTTTCCGTGTGTGATTCATTTAATCCTCACAGCAGCTTTGTGAGGCCACTCATTGTTATTCTCATTTTACAGTGGAGCAAACCGAGACATGAAGCTAATACACAGTGGAGCCAGGATCCCAGACAATTCAGCTCCAAAGCTGGCAACGTTAACCACCTAGTAATACTAACATATACCAGAGGAATTAGATGTCATTTCTCTTTGACTTTGAATCAGTAATCTTTTAGGATTTCAATGGCCTCTCATTTTTTATGTATTTTTACTTTACTTTTACTGACACACAAA
The DNA here is from genome assembly GCF_000001405.40 of Homo sapiens. Classification (NCBI taxonomy): domain Eukaryota; kingdom Metazoa; phylum Chordata; class Mammalia; order Primates; family Hominidae; genus Homo; species Homo sapiens. The sequence goes on from NC_000008.11 coordinate 102,053,768, forward strand.
TGCATATTTTTAAGGACTCTGAGTCTTAAAATTGATTTGCCAATTTAGATAAAATATATATAAGGAAGCTACCCAACTATGCACAAAAAATCTTAACTCTTTATTCACATATAAATCGAATGCTCTCCCAGTTCTATACATATGTGATTCTTACACAGTTTGAAATGCTTTACATCTTTCTTTCTAACGTAGTAGAATATGTCAATCTATACATATGTGATTCTTACACAGTTTGAAATCTTTCTTTCTAACATAGTAGAACATGTCAATGGTGATTTTCCTCACTGACCTTCATGGCATCCCATACAGGTAAAGAACTAAGATAAAAGCAGAGTCAAATCTTTCTTTCAGTCATTCACTCACACGTTCAGTCAGAAACACATGCACTGAATATGCTTACCATGTGCAAGCCATTGTCTCAGGGGCAGGGAGGTTTACAAAATGAATAGTGTCCCTTGATGGTTAATTTTACATGTCAACTTGACGAAGCCACCATACCCAGATATTTGGTCGAACGCCAGTCTAGATGTCACTGTAAAGGTTATTTTTTTGGATGGGATTAGCTTTTTAAATCCGTAAATTAGAGTAAAGCAGATTACCCTTGATAATGTGGGTGGCCAACTGCACCACTACACAGTATATTCAGGTAAGAAACTTGCACCTGTACCCCCTAAATATATAAAAATAAATGACTAAACAAGATAATGTGAATGAGCCTTGTCCAATTAGTTGAACTCCTTAGGCAGAAAAGATTGAGGTCCCCCGAGAAAGAATTCAGACCGCCTTTAGACTTTAGCTACATCAGCTTTTCTCTGGGTCTCCAGACTGCTGGTCTGCCCTACAGATCGCAGACTTGCTAGGCTCCATCTGATATGTCTCTCTCTTTCTCTTCCGATAGATAGATAGATAGATAGATAGATAGATAGATAGATAGATAGATAGATAGATAGATATCCTATAGATAGATAGATAGATCTATAGGATGATAGATATATATTGATAGATGATAGATGATAGATAAGCTCTATCTTTTTCTCTATATTTCTATCTCTATATTTCTTCCTCTGTCTCTATATCTCTGTCTCTATATCCACACACACGTCTTATTGATTCTGTTTCTCTGAAGAACACTGACTAATACAAGTCCCCTCAGAACCATCAGATAGGGTGTGGGGGTGGTATTCTTAAAATTCACCCAGTGTCGATGAGATGTGGACAGAGGGCACTCTCTCAGGCTGCTGGTGTGAGTAGAGATGGTGCAGCCACTGTGAGGAGCAATCTGTCAATATCCAGGTCACTCATCCTGTGACCTGGCCTCAGAAGAGCAACCCGGAAGGACTACAGAGCCAAACCCACTGGGAATCTGCTGAGTGGACCAAAATGATTGCCAAGTGCATTTACACAAAGGCGCCACTCGGTGAGACAATTTCAAAACTATCTCAAATCATTCAAGAATGAGAGACCTAAGTCACATTCATGATATGAAAAAAAAAAAAAAAGAAGAAGAAGCCGGTGGGGCCATGCCTAGTACTTTGGGACTCCATTGCCTCCTAGGGAGGTGCAGCCACTGCTCCTGCTTACCAGCCACCCCAAAATGACCTGTTGTCCTCACAGCCAGAGCAAAAAGCCTACGTTCACGACATAAAGAGAAGAAAGCCCCTAGAACAGTGTCTTCATATAAGTGCTTGACAAATATTAGCTATGATTAAGGACATAAAACTATACATTTCACTGTTTTTATTTTAAGCAACTTGCTACATAAAATGCCTGCCTTCTTTCTAGCACTTCTACCCTGCATATGGTGGTGCCAAATGAACCCTTTTGATGGAACTAGCCAGTTCTGTTGAATAGTCCATTGACTCAGACATAGCTTGATTTACTCTTTTTCCACCAAATTAACAAATGGTGGATATTTGTCAGTCATTAGGCAGTTGGTAAGAGGACCACTCTCACTCTTAAACACAAAACACACAATTGTGTGAAATTTCACAATGAACAGTTGATTACAACAGAAGTAAACTGAAATCGAATTTCTTCCTCAGCTTTCTTATTGTGTTCTTTTTATTTCCTAGTGGGTCTTGATGAACTAAACTACTTTTAAAGCCTCATTTTTCCTGCCTCCTACTATAGATCAAAACAGAGCCCTTCAAATTCATCACAGGGAGCTCATGGTCGGCACAAAACAAACACTGAGAGGTATGTTTCATTACATCCTTAGTGATCTTTTAGAGTGTCATATAATGAATAACATGGATTTCTGGAAGGTAACTTGGCACTCTTCCAGAGGTCAGCCCGCCAGATTCATTTCTAAAGCTTTAACATTTTCTATACCTTTGAACTAAACAATTCCACTTCTTAGAAATTATCCAAAAGGCAAAATAATATCATAAGACATATGGAATGATTTAACTGCATTATTTCTCAATTTTTGAGAAAGAATTTGTGTAACTTCTCTAGTAAGAACAATGGGGCTTATGTTTGTTTTTGCTTGTTTATGTGTGTGTTTTAAGAGCCTGAGCTTTAGGGAGAAGCAAACTCGAGTCAGAACTCTGAGCCTACCCTTTTAAATAGCCACAAGATATGAGGAAGTCACCTGGCTTCTCTGAGTGCCAGCTTTGGGATCTGCAAAATGGCGATAATATATGCCTCCCTCAATGCTCATTACAGACCCTTGCACACCTACATTTCAATAGTAATAACTAATACATGCAGTCAGTGTATTTTTGAAGGAATGGGTGGATACACGATTGAACAACTGAATAAACCATCCAGAGTCTCTCCATGGAGCTGGCTGGTCATGGTGAGGAGGCCAGGCTGTCCCATGGACTAGAGTCCTCCATCTTGGCCACAGGTTTCCTGAGCTGAGAGAAATCACAAGGAGCTATCACCCCTTCACCCTCCCTCACTGTCTGACCAAAGACTTGTTCCACTGTCCCATCCAGTTGATGAGACTTAAAGTCTCTTTAGAGAAAGAAGGCTAAGGCCGTACACCTACTGTGTCCAGGCAGTAGAGCTGGAGCACCTCAGTTAGTGAGCAATTCTCATGGCTCAGGACTTCACTCTGTTTCTTAAACACTGGATGAAAATAGGATTTACATCACTGAGTACTCATGCTGAGAAACAAGACCACAGGCTATGCAGCCATTATTTCAAGTGCTTATCTTATGTTAGAGATACAACCTCTGCATTTATTGAGAAGAAAGTGGAGTCTGACAGTAACTGCTACAAAGTTTTCACCAAGAGCCCTGACAGCTGTCCTTCAAACATTCCTAACAACCCTTATGATCAAGTGAAAACTCTTAAAGTGACCTGCAAAGCCTTTTGTAATCTGCCCCTGCTTACTCCTCTGGCCTCATTTGTGGGCACCTCATGGTAAGACACACCAAAAAGTCTGTAATTTCTCTACTCTTCGTGCTCCCCTTGCCTCTGGGCCTTCGCACATGGTTTTCCTTCTGCCTGGAACATTCTCCCTTCTACTTGGCTAGTTCATACACACACACACACACACACACACACACATATGTACATATAGATAGATAGATATTTCTCATCAGTCTGACTCCTGTATCTCTTTCTTAATTAGTTATAAACTCAAGCAGGAAAGAAGAGTGCTATTTATAGACTTCTTCAACTTACGACCTCAACATCTGTGAGTATACCAAAGAAGGTTTGTAATACACAACTAGGTATTTAATAGAAGTTGTCTCTGGGTATGTTTGGCTGTATTTTATAGTTTTCCTGTTAGAAATATATATTGCTAAAATTTTCATGCTCCAGTGTCTACTGAAAAATAACTGTTTCATTTTACATTTCCACCTGCCTTGATGAGCTAGGATTTAAATTCAAGTCAGTCTGCTTCCAAAGCCCATGCTTTCACTATGTGACCATATGATTTACTATTCTTCCCAGTTTGGGTTAAAATTACTTCTTTTAATTCCACACTCTCCACATTTATCTCTCAGATCCATCTTACATTCACTGCCTAACTTTCCTTTCCTCTTATCCTTTCCCAGGGGTGAAACTTTAAGGGAAAAATTTTTGAATAATAATAAACTACTCACATTCAAGGTACTTTTGAGGCATGAAGCACTTGAATACTAAGCTCTTAGAATCTGAGCTTTTAATACAATAAAATATTCGCTGGAGATTGGATCAGAAAAGGGTGTGTAGGTTACAGTCAATTTAAAGTCCACTATTGCTCAGAGAAAGTATTCAATAAATATCAGCTGATGAGCATTTGAAGATGCATTCCAGAGCACTAAGGAAGATAATTTTCCAGCTGAGAGACTTCAATGTTAGGAGACTTAAAACAGCCAGCAAGGTCTCCTTTTATGATATGTCATCTTTAACTGGGAAAGCAGCTAAAAGAATGAGGACACAGGTCAAACAATATGGTTAGAAAGGAAGGTGAGCAAGATTTACCATTATTTTACCGCACAGGGACACTGTGTCCATCCTGAATGCACCCCTCAGGCAATGAGAATATAAAGTTTTTTACTATAACAATTCAATGACTAGTTGTTTATTGAAAAGCGTATCTATTGCACCCAAACTCCTGTCATTCACAGTGGCTTACCCAATAAATTTCTGGGTCAGTGAGTTAGACAGATAAATAAAATAATAAAAACTAGGAAAAGAAGAAATGGAATGTTCCCACTTACCTATACCTGTCCCTGTGGGCACCATTCATTTTTCCCCCACAAAGAAAGAAATTCCTTCTCTAAAATAGTCAATCAACAGAATTAAGTCAGCTGCTGATATTTTTAAAACTCAGACCTCTGCTGAGAGCATCGCTGTTCCATTTTGCCACACACCGTTTCCATTTCTCAGCTGTACTCTCTCCCTCGCTCTTGGCCTTGGCACAGTTACACTGGGCTTTCTTTTTCTTTCTAAGACAGTCTACACTCTCAGGCATCCATGGTGGCTGCAGAATAATGGCCCCTGAAGATGCCCCATGGCCTAATTCTCAGAACATTGTGAGTATATTTCTCCACATGGCAAAAAAGGACTTTGCAGTTATAATTAAGATAAATGACTTTGAGATGGGTAGATTATCATAGGTTTTTCAGGGTGGTCCAACCTAATCACATGAGTCCAGAAAACCAAACAAAAGTCAGTGTGAGAAGCACTCTGTCCACCGTCACTGTCTTTGAAGATGGAGGAGGGGGCTACAAGGAAAGGAATGCAGACGGCCTTTCTTGGCTGAAAAAGGCACAAAAAGGGATTTTCCCCTAAAGTCTCCAGAAAGAAATGCACTCTGCCAACATCTTGATTTTAGCCCAGTGAGACCCATGTCAGACTTCTGATCTACAGTTATAAATTTGTATTGTTTAATCTACAAGTTTGTGGTAGTTTATTATAGCAAATATAGTTCCGTATGTATTCCCCTTTACCTAGAACATTCTCTCCTACCTCTACTACATGGTAAATGTTTCATTCCTTTCTGCTCCTCAGATATCATCTTCTCCATGAAGACTTTCCAAGGACATCCTCTTGTAAGGTTCTCTGATGGGCTATCCATCCTCTTTGCTCCCAAATCTTCATATATTCACCTCAAGTGGGTATATTGTGATTATTGTTATAAACAGAACTCCATCATCTCCCTGTACTACATATCTTTAATAGCAAAGACCATGTGTTCTCATCTAAGTTCAGGGTCTAGCACATAGCAGGCAGTCCCTGATATTTGAACGAACAAATGGATGAAAGGATGTTTATAACACTCCTAGCTACAGACTGGAATTCTGAAAGACGTCAAGGCAAACATGAACAAAATCAGGCTATAAACATGTAAAACCATTAGTAAAATATCAAAATAGGATCTAAACACTCATTTTTCTAGGTTTACAATACTGCATGAATCACTGCTATGCTACAGTAACATTTAGGAAAGGAAAAGATTGAGTATTTAATGATCTCATAAGAATTATCTGCTAAATTTGTTAACTATTAGGTAGGAGGGGAAAAGTCTTCTTTTCTTTGGTGAGCCCTGAACACCCCACTCCCTGTCCCAGTCTTAAGTGACAGATTTTGGGGTTCTTGGTGCCTTTTAACTATCTAAAGATAGGGCTGTGGTTCTCCAACTTTGCAGGCATCAGGATCCACCAGAGGGCCTGGTAAAACACAGCTGCCAGGGGGCCTACCCTCAGAGTGTCTGATGCAGCAGGTCTGGAGTACGGCCGTGAAGTTTTTTGTTTGCTTGTTTTTGTTTTTTTGTTTTTGTTTTTGTTTGAGATGGAGTCTCACTCTGTCGCCCAGGCTGGAGTGCAGTGGTGCAATCTCAGCTCACTGCAAGCTTCGCCTCCCAGGTTCAAGCGATTCTCCTGCCTCAGCCTCCCGAGTAGCTGGAACTACAGGCATGTGCCACCATGCCTGGCTAATTTTTTTGTATTTTCGGTACAGACAGGGTTTCACTGTGTTAGCCAGGATGGTCTTGATCTCCTGACCTTGTGATCTGCCCGCCTTGGCCTCCCAAAATGCTGGGATTACAGGCATGAGCCACTGCGCCCGGCCTGAAGTTGTATTTCTGACAAGTTCCAGTGATACAGAAGATGCTGGTTAGAGAACATACTTTGAGAATCAATGTTCTAGGGCATAGATCACCCTGGATCTCTGGTTGTGACCACTTCTGGCTTCTCTGGACAGCCAGTCTGAGACCTCACTTCTGAGTCCAGGCACTGGCTGGGCGAGGTAGGATTAGGTAAATACTAATTTCCTTCCTCCCTTCCCTGACCACACAGAACTATTTCTGATGGAACCAGACCCTCATTTAGCCTCAGGTTTCCCCATGCTTATTCCTTTTCCATTGACAATGGCAACACCTCTCCTTTGACTGAGCCCCAGAGCTTGATGATTAAAACAGATCAGCCACAGCATGTGGGCCTGGGAAGCACAGGGCTGCCAGGCAAGTACGGAAAATTCAACAGATTTGAGGGCAGATCTGACAAGATCGCATTACAATCGGTCATCTGTGTCCCGAGTACTTCAGGCTTTAACTCAATCAGACCAAAAAAAAAAATTCACTTCTTCACCAGAAGTAAAACATTGTTTCTAGGCAAGTGGGAAGGCAGCTAAAAGAATGAGGACACAGGTCAAACAATATGGTTAACACTTCCAAAACATACCTAAAATTCTCTTCCATCTCTGCATGGCTTGGCAGCATTATTTACATCTGGAAACAAAGCGACAAAAGCCGCTTTTCCTCATTTTCCACCATTTAGCTTGATCGTGCTCTTTCAGACTTAGAGATGTCCCAGACTCCCGCCCCCACAACACATCCCACACCCAAACAATCTATTCCTTTCTCCCCTCCCTAAAAGTGAAAACTCAGTGAGATAAAGCAGAGGTTCTGGAGAAAGAACAAGGAATCCCATCCAGAAGATTACAGTGGGTCAAGCTGAGTCTCTACAGAATGACCATCTGCAGAATGAGCAGGGAGAAAGCATCAGCTTCTCTCTGAGAACTGCAGACACCCACTTACGGGTAGGAGCCCCCCAGGGTGAATGGATAATCTCTTTTATGGCTCTGATGGACATCCAAGTACTTCATGACTGTGTCCATAGGGTTACCCCAGCAGCCCTGGACCACTGACATTTGGGACCTAAACAAAAGGGAGTTGGTCACCAAAGCAAAAATATTCCAAATTTCACTGCATTCCAGAGTGCAACAGATTATTTTTCAAACCGCCTGCTGTTTGTTACTGCCTACCCAGCACTGGCCTAGACAACTCCTTCAAGTTAAATCTGAAATGGGCTTTGCCGCTTTAAGGCCTCCGAGAACTGAATATAATATATGCAGCTGCATTTCAGCCCTGCTCTCCATGAAATAAGAAATGTGAAATTTTGCTGCTGATTCCCAATAGTCCTAAATTCATAAAAATGAACTTTTGCAGTCATTTGAATAATATTTTTAAATGTATTCAACACTGCTTTCAAATTCCCTTCCCAGGACTGTGTTTTCATTCCAGCCCAGCCGCCACAGACCTCCATACTCGGCAGAATTTTCAGCCGTGCATAAATATAAGCGCATCTACCCTGGTGAAATTTCACGTACACACGGAGATTATTTTTAGTTATGGAACCCAGTCAAAACTTTGTATAAAGCAAAATCAACCAAGAGCAAAATTGGTAGACAAAATGATGATGTTCTTATTTTTTCATCTATTTTTATATTCTTTCTAGACATTTCTAGACATGAGTCAAGAGAAGCAAATGCCTTAACGAAGGCAATTTTGATGATAATGGTGACAACATCACTAGCCAAGTTATTCCTTGACTTTTTGGTTAAATATAAAATCCATATGTAGATAAGATCACATCTACCTATATGTTTCACTTTTCAAAAATGTCGAAGTTGGCTGGGCACAGTGGCTCACGCCTGTAATCCCAACACTTTGAAAGGCTGAGGTGGGAGGATCACTTGAGGCCAGGAGAGGCTGAGAGGAGAAGATCCCTTGAGTCCAGGAGTTCAAGGTTACAGTGAGCTATGATCGCACCACTGCGCTCCAGCCTGTGTGACAGAGCAAGCTGCTGTCTCAAAAACAAACAACAAAAGTCAGAGTAGAGGTAGTCCGCCTTTTTGAAAAAAGGAAAAATAAAGCTTTCATCAGATAAATAGTCAAGCAAAAATTATTGAACACCCACCAGAATGGAAGCCCCCTAAGGGCTGAGACTTGGTCTTTGTTGTTCACTATTGTAGCCTCAGCACCCACCACAATGACTAGCACATAGTAAGTGCTCAGTAAATCCTGTGCTCACATGCTCCAGGGTGCGGCTACCTCATCAATCAGCCAGTTATTGCCACAACAATGCTGTGTGTCACACAACCACAGAATCTCAGTCTCACACAACAATAAACACTTATTTCTTGCTCACAGATCTGTCGGTTGGCTAGAGTTTAGCTGATCCAGGTTGACTGAGCTGGATTCAGATAGGCTCTACATGTCTGTCATCCTCTTTGAACCAACAGCATTTGAAACATGATCTTCTCCTAGAGAAAGAGAGGAGTACAAGGGGCCAAGCCAATCCACAAGCTCTTATAAAGCCTCTGCTTTCATGTCAGGTAATATCCCACTGGCCAAAGCAAGTCACATGGCCAAGCCCAGCATGTGTCCCCTCCCATAGAGGTGGGGTCAGAGAGGGTGCAAATATCTCCCATAGGCTAGCATTTCTAAAACTTGAATAAGGTACTTTCCTTTTAAAGAAAAAAAAATCCTCAAGGACCTCCAGGGTTGACCAGTTATTTTTATTATAACTCACTTAAATATATAGAAATACAAAATGATTTATATGCTTGTAGTCTCATACCACTATAAAATGAATGCACTAATTAAACCCAAAACTGCAAAGCCAATAAAACTCAAAATAACATTAGTGGCATGTAAAGGATTATATTGTTTTGCTGAAACTAAGTTGCTGCTTTCAATTTGAATACGGTGCCGACTGCAATGGCCCAGATTCCCTTGCATTCATCATGCCTGAGCTGCCACGTGCTACATAAAGACCCCATTTCCCGAACATTTTTCTCCCTTCTAAAAACAGCACTCTGTGATATCATTTGGCCTATACTTGACGCAGATGCATTTTTTTAATTAAGCCTATTTTTTCTCATTAGACCATGACAATTAATGAATTTCAACTCAGGACCGACCAATGCTCCAGAAAATCCAAATGCACTAAAAATGAATGAATAGAGGAATAGGTGCTTGTGGTATTAAGCATCATCCAGATGATCTGGAATAAGTAGATAAAGGGACATTTTTTTAAGATCATTATTTAAATGAAACTTCAAATTTTTCCATCTGTTGCCTCCATGCTGTTATGATTTCTTCCAGTCACAGTTGCCAACATGTCCACTACAGCCCCAAGGAATGCTCTAAAAGCTCAAAACTACTCTTGAAAGCCTGTCTCAAAGGAAATAGACCAGAAAGATTAGGAAGAGGGAGGCCTGAGAAAGCAAGCATCATTTCATAGGGTGGACAGCTGCCAGTTTCTGCCTTCCCAGCATTCACACCTGACTTCCTTTAGTGACCTAAAGGGATGGGCAGAATGACCCAGCCAACTTGCTCTTCCAGGAAAACTTCAGGATGGAAAACAGCTCCTGCTTCATCCTGAGGTGAGTCCCGAAAAGACTATCCCTAATTTCCCAGTATTTAGAACCCCAGAATTGCCCCACTTCCTTTTGAGACCAGGTCCATATACAATTCATGCTTTTCCCTCAATCCTGGGAACTGCTCCATGGCCTACCAGTGGATTCATTTTTGGCTTAAGTAGCCAGAGTTGGTTTCTGTGCCCCAACTGATAAATGTTCCAACATGAATTTCTAAACATAAACAACCTCAAACAAGGCAATGATTACACGAACAAATGCAACTGTGTTTGCCTTCAGGTTCCCAAAACAGAAGTGATCTCATCCCCAAATGCTGTTTATGCTGTATATTCAGCTGTCACCACCCTGGAGTTAACCCTTCCTCATCTATCCTCCAGCCCCAGAGCTCTGGGAATATCTACATCAAGAGGAGAGAGTACTAACACCCACTCCCCAACACTGCCAGGGCTCAGGGGAAGGGCCACTGGATGCTTGTACGAGTCAGGTACATGCTCCTTTAACCCAGCCCCATGTCCCTGAAACAGGTGCCACCAGGGCAAGGCAGGCTGAGGGAGAATGAATGGATGGCTCCCCACACCTCCACAACACCACTGGGCCCAAGTACACCAAATACAAATAAAACCTGCTGAATCACTTTCAGTTCTTTCGTTCTTTGTATGAACATCATTCACTCCCTTTCTCAGACACTTGTTGAGCCCCTTCTACTTCTACAAGTGATGCAGGTCCAAAACAAACAGCATTCCACGACAGAGAGCCCCTTGGGGATGGCAGCTAAAGCTTATTAACCTCTGAAAGCTCAGGGTCAAGTGCAGTGTCTACAGGTAGCAGCTGCTCCATGAACCTGGTGTTCTAATGATATGAAATGTACAAAAATCACATACCACACAGGAATGAAAACTTTCTTCACACCATGTTTGAGCCAGTGTGCAAAGTTGAGTGTTATCAGCGGGAAGCACCCTAGATGCTGTGCTTTATTCTTTGGCACTTTGCTCTTCCCTAGGTGTCTCCCCATCCACTCATGCCCTTGCTCATTCAACCAGGATTTATGGGAACCCCAGTCCTGCTTCTCTGACATGTCTTCAGTGGAGTCCAGCCTACAATAGAGTACGAGATTTGACAATTCTTCTCACTTTGGCAAAAAAAAAAAAAAAAAAAAAAATCAAGAAACCTCAGGCAATGGACTCTACAGCACAGGAGGAACCAAAAAGCTAAAAAGCAGTAGGGGCTTTGAGGGCTGAAGCAGGAGTGGAGAAAGAAGAAAGAAACAGTTGGAGAGATGTTCTCCAGGCTTGAAATAGAAATGCTGAGCGGCTGCAACAGATTTCGATCTGCTAATCTGAAAAGTCACATTACTTGGTCCTGATGTGAATCAGTGAAGGCTCTTTTTTTTTTCATATCTGCCCATATATTTCCACTGCTCCATACGCAGGCGCCACCACCCAAGGAAGCCGCTTGCCTGTTACCTCAGGGCAGAGTGACAGCGGGCAAAGCGGGGATGTGAACAACTCCAGGCACTCAGCCTTCTGTCCAAGCTACCAATAGATCCCCAGGAATGCTTGCTACAAACCTTTGGGAGGTTATTCCTCCATGAATGAATGCTTACAAATGAAACAGAGGCCTTTAATACATTGCAGCGAGAGACACAAAGGTCAGGGCATTGAGGCTGCACATTTTTAGAATTCAGCTTTCTTTGTTCTCTACCACCTGCATCCTCCATCCAACGTCATCCCAATTTTAAACTCCCCAGGGCTACAGGAATTTGCTATTGGAGGCATTAATATTACAAATATCACAGCTATGCTGCCTCAAAAGTAAAATTTTACTCTGGGCAAGGTGGTGTGTACCTGTAATCCCAGCACTTTGGGAGGCTGGGAGGATCGCTTGAGGCCAGGAGTTCAAGACCAGCCTGGGCAACATAGCGAGACCCTGTCTCCAGAATAAACATTAAAATAAAGTAATAAATAAATAAAATTCTTGCACATTTCCATACCACATTTCCAAGGAGACAAGAGTGGGTTGTGGGTTTCTTGACAATTTTTATAACTATATATGATTTTATAACTGTATATGATTTTATAACTATATATGGCTCTCAATTATTCATGAGAAGACAATAAGTAAGTCTTTAGAAAACCCTTAGGATTTTTTCAGCTATTAGTTTCACCCTCCTGGACCCAACTCACAGCGCTAACAAGTAGTAAAATGAGCCATTTCTTCATTCCCCACTTCCCCGGAAGGTGAGGCCAGTCAATACCGAACTGATGAAAAGGCAGGCAGGCAGGCAAAGCCTGGAGGGAAATGTCACAGGTCATGTGCTCCACAATTGTCACAATAACTTTGAACTAGAAATAATTTTTGTCCCCAAGAGAGCCACTCCCTCCTCACTCAGTCTTCCTGAAATATATTTTATGTTCTGGTTCTCATTTCCTAGGATCTTATTCATTTGCTACCAGGATCAGCATACGCTTTTTACCCAAGGTAAGAGAAGGTTTGTATCTCTAATACCATCTAGCAGTTATTCAAGCATTTGTTCAGTAATTCTAGAATCTTATTGCATTGCTCACAGTCGGCACTCACTGTGTGAGTGGCACGGTGCTGGGCCCAGACAATACACGAAGAACAAGATGATTGAGGCATAGCCTGGGAGGCAGCCATTCATGACACAAATAGCTATTTAGTGACCATTGTGATGTAGCTTTAAAAGAATACAACTTGTGAAATCCATTTCCTTTCAAGACCTGCCCTTAGAGAAGAGAGGGAAAACCCGCAGCAAGGCAGGTGTGTGCCCACAGGTTAACGTGACTTGGGGCACGTCTGAATAGGAAGCTTCCACCTAATTCTTTTTTGTACTCTGGGAAAGCAGCATGGGCTTTGCACCAAAATGCACTAATTTATGTTAAATCAAAATATTGGGGAAAACTCTTCAACTAAAGCACAACATTTCAGAAAGAGAGTGTGCACAGCCCCACTCATGAAGGAGGCAGTTGGCCTGACGTTGTCCTTGATGTCATCCTTCCATACCTCTGGTCACCTTCCAGCTTCCTCTAAGCTCTACCCATCTCCATTTGCCTCTGGACACCTACCTCCAAGCTCATTTCTACTAATTCTAACAGAGATATTGGGTGAAAATGGCCTGGTTCAGAATTGTTTGCATTTTAAAGGAAGATTCCAGAAGACTGAAAGAAATCTTTCAGATTCTAAAAATGGAAATGATAAAATTATCTCCTTGACCCATCAAACCACCTCCAATAGAGTCCCCCAAACCATTGCCCATTCCTAACCCATGGAGAGAAATGGGTCCACCTGTTATATGTGCAAACCCTGAGTCTGTGTCTTATTTCTATGTGTGCTCACTTCTAGCACGCTGGCCTCTGAAGCACCTGAGGTGACAGGGAAACATGTGAAGCCATTTTAAAACAACAACTGAATCCAAAGTGGCAGCCTGTGTCAAGATATCAAACTCAGATCAGTTATCACTGAAACAATGTTACTCAAACACTTAACCTTGCTGTTGTTGTTTACTCATCCTTCAACTGTATACTTTTAAAGTGATACAGAATCAGTCTTGTCCCAAACACACACACACACACACACACACAAAACTGTCCTTATATGACCTTGACATAATTTTAGCAAGGACTTTCCAGGAAGAGAATCTAGTAAAGCACCAGTAGGCATTATCTTTCTGAATCATCATAACTGCCTCTTGCTACCACAGAAAACGTAATTTTTGAAGAATGGGAGAATGTAAGCCAGATTCAGAAAGTTAAACATACACCTGTGGGGCAGCCTCAGCAGTATCATTTATACCCTCTGGAATTTGTAGCCCCAGAGTCCATTCCAGATATTATTGCAGTAACACACCTCACTATCCTGCAGCAGGAAGCAGGCACCCCACAAAAGTGGGAGCAGGTAGAGAATAAAGAACTAAACTGAATCACATCTAGCAAACAGACTTCCCCTGTCGTATTCTCCCAAGCCCTGTTTTTCCTGCCCTTCTCTCTTTCCTGGTCTAATACAATTATTTTCCAACTGGCTTCACAATGCCAGAACTCTTTTCTCACAGGCTCCCCCTTCGCTCTGTTCTGTTGAATTGCATTTCCATTTCCAGTCCTCCAGTTCTAACAGTCTGGGTCTACACAATTGGCTGTGTCTTCCAGTGTTTCACCCACAGACACATGAGAACTAGTTTTGCAACCTACCACCACCCAAAACCCAAAATATTTAAAGGAGAGTGAGAGAGAGAGAATACTTCGTGTATTTACATGCAGGAGTACACCACAGTAGAAGCATATCAGGAATCAAGAGGCTGGACACCGACTGACAGGCACCAGACCAGGAGTGATCAGGGAGATCTCGCGCTCCCCCACTTAACCCTCCTTGGCTGCCCAGTGCACCTGGAAAAAATTCCCCCTCCCTCCACGGCCTACTCTGGGTGTCCTGGCCTTTACCTCCATCTCCAGCCTCATTCACAGCATCCGCTATTTCTCTCCCCATGCTCACGCCACTCTGGCCTCTCTCCTGTTTCTTGCGTAGGCCACGCTCTATCCCACCTCACGGCCTCTGCACCTGCTGTTTTCTCTGCCTAGAATGTTCTTTCCTCTGTTCTTCACAAGGCTTGAGTTGCTATTGTCTCAGGTGTCAGCCTAGAAATCACCTTCTAATCCCCAGAAAGGCCACCCCTGGCTACCCAGTTTAAAGTTGCCTGCCTACCCCTGCCCACACCCTCTAGATTCCACCAGTCTGTTGATTTCCTCCATTCTAGCTCTTACTTCTGAAATAATCTAGCTTTTTAAAAAGCATTTCTGTCTTGAGCACTGCAATATTTCTTCTTTTTTTTCCTCTCTTGGGTAACACTTGAGGAAGAACACAGTTATATTTAAATGTCTAGCTCATAGTATTTGCTCAATAAATATTTGCACAACAGGATACTTAATATGTGATCTATATACACAGTGGAATACTGTTCAGCCTTAAAAAAGAAGAAAATTCTGTCATTGGCAGCACCATAAATGAACCTGGAAGACATTATGCTAAGTGAAATAAGCCAGGCACAGAAAGACATACACTGCATCATCTCACTTACATGTGGAATCTAAAAAAGTTAAATTCATAGAAGTAGAGAGTAGAATGGTGGTTACCAGAGGCTGGGTGAGGGGAGTGGAGGATGGGAGAATGGGGAGATGTTGTCCAAAGGGTGCAAAGTTTCAGTTAGAGAGAAGGAATAAGTTTTAGGGATCGATTGCACAGTATGGCTAATAGTTAATGATAATGTATCATATATTTAAAAATTGCTAAAAGAGACTTTAAATGTTCTCACCACAAAAAAAAAAATGATAAATATGTGAGGTGATGGATATGTTCATTAGTTATATTTAATTTTGCACAATGTAAACATATATCATATTGTATCCCATTATATAACATCACATTATATCCCATAAATATAAATAATTATTATTTGTCAATTAAAAATAAAATAAAATTTTTAAAGATGCACAACAAATAGTGTTGACAATGGAGCAGGTAAACAATACTCTTGATTTGATGCTGATGAGAGTATCAATTAATTTAGATTTTCTGCAGGAATGTTTTGCAATATGAATCAAAAAATAAAATGTACAATTTGAGTCCTAGAATTCCACTCCTAGGAGTTATCCTAAGGAACTAATCAGATAAATGCTCAATATTTATGTACAAGGATATCCATTGCAATATTGTTTATAATAGTAGGAAAAAACCCTAAACAAAAATATCTGTCAACAAAGAACTGGTTATTTTATGGGCATGTGTGTGCACACACACACAGAAATCCTAAGTAGCTATTAAATTAAAATAATGTAATTCTGTATTTCTTGACATGGACACATACCCATAACATAGATTGTTAAATGACAGAAGCAGATTTCCAAACAGGATATATAATATTTTTTTAAGTTTGGAAAGTAATTGTAATTAGGCCTGGTGCGGTGGCTCGTGCCTGTAATCCCAGCACTTTAGGAGGCCGAGGCAGGCAGGTCGCTTGAGGCCAGGAGTTCAAGATCAGCCTGGGCAACACGGTGAAACCCCATCTCTACTAAATTACAAAATTTAGCCAGATGTGGTGGCACTTGCCTGTAATCCCAGCTACTCAGGAGGCTGAGGCACCAGAATTGCTTGAACCCAGGAGATGGAGGCTGCAGTGAGCCAATATGGCACCACTGCACTCCAGCGTGGGTGAGAGAGCCAGACTCTGTCTCAAAAAAAAAAAAAGTAATTGTAATTATTTCATAACAATTATAATTATTTTATAACAAACAATTTTACTATTTCTAGATGGTAGGAGTTCAGGTGATTGGGGCAAATAGAAGCATTCCACTAATAATAGTCACAAAATTACTTCTAGAACACTGTTTTAATGTCAATATGTAAATATTTAAAAGAACGACATATATAAAGTATTTGAAAAATTCAAATATTTGAAAAAAGTTATCACTCTGCATTTATATTATTTAATCCAAATTTACAAGAGTATTCATTTTTGATTTTTCTCTTTTCTATTATTTTCTGTCACTTTCATTTTTTTCAAGATGATCCATATCTATTCAACAGCAAAAACATAATTAGCTCTTTCATGGGGACTGCTCCCTGGAAAAACCAGACAGCAATCCCTGTGGCCATGAAGTCAAAACTGCCTTAAATACTTTACAAATCTACTGTTTAAATGTCTAACAGCATATCTGCAGCTTGCAAAGAAACAATGGAATTACCTCCTTAGAAAATAACTCATCATGCATCTTTCAGCCATGTGGACAGTGAAATCTATAAAAAAGAAATAACTACTGCAACCAAATGCAAAAATAGGTATCAATGTCCAATCACTTATTTTCCTCCTACCTTGGGAGTTATCTTAGCTCATGGGCAGCCAGTTCACAGTCCCATGTGTCTTCAAAACTGGCAAGAATGGCTGCTTACCGGGAAAAGACCATCACCCATTCACATAAGCCCTCATCCTCACCCCTTAATACGACTTCACTCACAAACTCCTAGTGTATAATAGAAATCTAAAAATAACATTGCTTTTTGGAATTTAAAGACTCAAAGTTGAAAACTTCCCAGGCTTCACTCCAGCAATATTGAAAATGCAGATTTTTTTTCTACACCAACAGAAGCTTGGGGAATTGGGACCAAAGGCAATGAGGTTCAGGGATCCATCTGCTCTGTGCTATCCTGGGGAGAAGCAGTTACTGCTATTTTGGAATTCTCAGAATGCTTAGTAAGAGTCTTATAAAAGAACGCAATGAACACTAACATAACATCAGTGTAGGATCCAGGAACCAGGAACCACAAACCAAGCAGAATGGCCTGGGAGAGTCTTGAACACACCTGTGGCAATCCTTGCAAATAAAAATGTATCAACTCATAAAAATGGTTTTTAACCAGTATCCTTTTTCTTGGTATTGGTTCACTGATCATATACAATAGCAAATTAAGGCTTTAATGTCATTGTTTTCCCCTTCATCATTTACATAACCAACGAAAATTCTCTTAGCCTTTTCGATGTTTAAAGCACTATGCTAGGGTTTTGCCTCAAAGCATCTTGTCTCAGGCAGCTTACAGTCCGAAGGGGAGAAAAATGTATAGAAGTTATGCAATAAGGTTTAAAAAATGAAATAAAAGGCATACATATTAGAAAGGAAGAAGTAAACCTTTATTAGCAGGTTACATAATTATATATCTAGCAAATCTGAAGAAATCTATCTATAAACAACTACAAGAATATGTGAAGTAAGGAGAGAAACAAAATAGAGTTAGTATACCAAAACAAATTGTATTTCTATATACTAGCAATCAGCAATCAGAAAACGAAATTTTAAAACAATAAATACCATTTACAATGGCATAAAAAATCAAATACATAGGAATACATTTAACAGAAGATATGCAAGACCCCTACATTGAAAACATTGCTGAGATAATGAAAGAAGACCTACATAAATGGCAAGATATACAATGAACATGGATGAAGATAGCAATTCTCACAAACTGACCTATGGATTCAACACAGTCCCAGTCAAAACCCCAGCAGGTATTGTTTTGTAGAAATTGACAAGCTTATTCTGAAAATTATGTGGAAATTTAAAGGATCTGAAATAGCCAAGACAACTCTGAAAAAAGAAAAATAAAGTTGGAGGACTTAAACGGCCAGACTTCAAGACCTACTATAAAACTATAGTTGTTAAGACAATGGGCAAAAAACTTGAATAGGCACTTTATAAGAGCAGATATCCAAATAGAAATTAAACATATGAAAAGGCGCTCAATATTGTTATTCATCATGGAATTAAAACAACATGCCTCATTAAAATCACAATGAAATACCACTACACATATCATAGAATGAAAAAGATGCATACATCAAATGATGGTGAGGAATTTCCAGCTGGGGTGGATGGGAGGGGCAGCACTCAGCAAGAGAATCACATTTAAAACGACCCTTAAAAGAGGGGAAAGATTCGGCTGTAGGGAGAAAGGGAAATTAAATCAGATTTGTCAAGAGAAATATATCAGGTTTAACCACATGAAATTTCTGATAGTCAACCATTTTTCAACCTTCCAAAAATGACAGTATCATCTGGCTAAGTTTAACACAAAGACAACAACAGAGTTTGTGAAGGGCAGCTCTTTGGGCCCTCCGCTACTTAGAGAAAAGAAGAAAAGCCAGAGAGAGAGCAGACAGATGGAAGAAAGCAAAATAATAATAATAATAATAATACATTTAATAGGCTTTATGCACTTTGGGAAATGTAGTGCCTTAATTAAAAATCATCTAATTAAACACTCTTGCCCAAGGAGCTGACAATTTACATAAGCTATACAAAGCCAAAATACATACAAAAAGTTTTCAGTATCACAATCATCAGAGAAACAAGCATTAACCATGGGACACCATTCGAAAGATTTTTCTAAATAATTGTATATTTTTCTGGCAAGGGTTAGAAAAACACTCTCACACATTTTTTTCATAAGTGTAAATTCATACAGACTTTCTGGAGAACAACTTATCTGTATGTGTAAAATTCTTAACATTTTCTATATCTTGTGACTCAGTAATATCACTTCTAGGAATTTATCCTAGGAATGTATCATGTACATAATAAAAAGTGCACATAAATATGTATGTAGAAAGATATTTTCCACAACTTTATTTATAATATAAAAGATATTAAAATAACCTAAATGTCCAATAATAGGGAAATTTAGAATATTGCAAAGTTATTTTTTAAATCACCCTTTTATAGCTGGGCATGGTGGCACACGCCCATAATCCCGGCTACTCAGGAGGCTGAGGAAGGAGAATTGCTTGAAGCCGGGAGGCAGAGGTTGCAGTGAGCCAAGATCGCGTCACTGCATTGCAGCCTGGGCAACACAGTGAGACCCCGATTCAAAAAAATAAAATAAAATATCACCCTTTTATAAGAATATTTCATGACATATAATTATATAAAAGAAAGCTCACAATAAATCTCGTCTTTAAAATGACATTTGGAAGTTGTCCTGTTTTTGATGATGAGAATATAGAGATAGAGAGATATACCTATATACCTATATATAGATGTAACATGATCGGAAAGAAATTATATGAAATGGCAGAATTACAGTAAAAATATTTTATGCTTTTTTTTTTTACTATAGCATGGATTACCTAAAATTTAAAACAAAACAAAATATATATTATTTTTAAAGCTACTTGTCTCAAATTGTCAAGCAGCATACAAAGCAGTCCACAGGGTATCACATGGGCTGCTGGCACATCTCCTAAAAGGAGTGTACAAAGATGGGTTTGCCATAAAGCTTCAGGAGCTTAAGCTTCAGGACCCTTTCTGAGGGCACACAAGCCCCTTTGAAAGCCCTAGGCAGGGTCCTAATGCTGTACCTTCATGGTGATTTTTTAAAATGTTTGCATTAATAAGGTATTTCAACAGCGACTGGTTGAAATTGCTGTCTCTTTTCACCACAGGTTCTCCTTTGTTCTCACATAAGGTAGCCAGAGTTGCACTAGATGTTTTTGGAATCTGGCAGTTGAATTGGAACACCTCGAGTTAGAGGTTTTGCAGGACACCATTAATGAGTTTTGTGATCATTTCTATGTGTAGTTAAGTGATTGCTGTCTGTCCCATGGTATATAGGACTTTCAGGAACGTTCCTACCACCCACTGTGCTGATTCACCCAGTGACATTTACTGACGGTACAAGGCGAGAAGACATGAACAAGTCCTCAGGTGTCTAGCACTGAAGTGGCAAAGGAGAAACAAGGTTTGAAATGTACAGAGCCAGAAGCTAGTCTATGGGAAAAAATCACCCAATCATCAGATGTGGTACAGAAGGTCCAGCTTTCATCAACATCTGCTCTCATTTTTTCAGGATTTGATGGGACAAGTGGTACAAAGGCAGAGGGTTGGTTAAGCTATCAAGTGGACTAAGAAGGGGAAAATGGCACCAGAAGTACAGTCTGGTATCTGTGGGTTGCTTCTCTAATAGCAATCCACCCTCTGGGCAAACTCGCATTCTATTCTATAAAGTTCTCCCAGTCTTTATCTCAGAAGTTCCTGACATTGGTGTGACAGCTGATTCTGAACCCCTAGGAGACTGACCTAGCTTCCTGTTGGCCATATTCTCTTCAAGATCTTAATTTTTGTGCCCCAAACCCAGACTGATGACCTGTATACTTTTTGACTGGTTTTTGAGTCTCAGAAATTAGATTTATGGCCATCAACCCTGACTGCACTTGATCAGCAGCTCTCACGTCGGTTCCACAGGAAATCCTCCACCTCTTCCTGTGGGCATATTTACTTCCACACAATATTATTACTGATGTGTATACAGGTTTACATCTACTTTCTTCTATAAAGAACTTGAAGATGCTTGTAAAATATATGCAATAAACTAGAACAGTGGTTTTTTAATCAATTTAGGGTATATCAATTATGATTCCATTCAGCTGTGACTTTTTAATCAATTTTGGGTGGGGCCATTATGATTCCATTCAGCTGGGAACTTTGTTGTACTGCTCCATCATTTCTTCTCATGTATGGCTTCTTTTCCATAAGGTGATAACGTGGCTGCTACACCTCCATGCATCACAGCTGCATCCCAGGCAAAAGGAAGGAGGAAGGGGAAAAGACAACATCACAGACTTCTGCTTACTTTATATTGGTCAGAACTGTGTCCCCTGGCCAGTTAGCTGTAAGACACACTGAGAAACTGAATATTTAACGGGGCCTATTGCTCTGAAAAAACTCAGATTTCTCTTAGTAAGAAAGAAAGAGAACATATAACAAGTAGACAACTCACAGCAAGTGCCACACCAAGAAAAGTCTAAACCTCATAGATGTTACCAAAAGGAAATTTTTCCCTATGTGTCCATGAATATTTATGGAAACATAACTATAAAACTATAGGATTACATTTACATAATACTATAGGATCATAGTAATGTAACAGGAGGTTCAGCTCTCATTGAAATCTTCTCTCATTTTCTCAGGACTTGATGGGACAATAGTGGTACCAAGGCAGAGGATTGTCTAATACTATAATATTATACAATGTGTGCTTGTATAATACTATAGAATTATGTAGGTCTGATAAATTAGAATAATCTGGATAATTATTTATTGCATCTCTTAGGGTTTTCTTTTTCTCCTTTATAGTTCTCCCTTCTGAGGTTCCTTCTTATTTAAATCAATAGGAGAATCTTAATAATAAACTTAAGAGACATTGGCAAGATGAATCAAGACTCATGAAAATGTTTCCACGTTGGCTAGGTGCGGTAGCTCATGCCTGTAATCCCAGCATTTTGGGAGGCCAAGGCAGATGGATTACAAGGTCAGGAGTTCAAGACCAGCCTGGCCAAGATGGTGAAACTTTGTCTCTAAAATATACAAAAAAATTAGCCAAGCACGGGGGTGAGCACCTGTAATCCCAGCTACCCAGGAGGCTGAGGCAGAGAATTGCTTGAACCAGGGAGGCAGAGGTTGCAGTAAGCCGAGATTCCACCGTGGCACTCCAGCCTGGGTGACAGAGCGAGATTCTGTCTCAAAAAAAAAAACAAACAAAAAACTGGAAACAAAATAAATGTCCCCAAAGAGAATATCAAATAAATTATGGTCATTCTAATCTATGAAATAGTATGTAAAAAATAAAACTATTATGAAATATTATAAAGGAATATAAAACTTGTGTATGCTATCATTAAAATTCTAAAAATACATATAAATAGTATAAAGACCAAAAAGGAATAAAAAAATAACATGTTTATTATAAAACATGAAACGTGTTTATTAAGAAAATGTGTTATGAAGATTTTCCCTCTTTCTTTTCTCAACTTTTGAAATGTTTTTAAAATGTTTGTAAAATAGTCTGCTAAGAGAACACAGGTGACTTATTGTTAGTAACCAAGTCAAGCTAATGAGTGACACACACAGGCTTGCGGAGAAGAAAAATCAGTCTCATTCTCCCTGGGCAGATGCTGAACCACCTGCCTGTACCGGTTATAACAGAAAGCCTCCCTAAAAATAAAGCCAAGAGGTTGGGAACATAGAAATGGAATAAGATTTTAGCAGCTACATAAGATTTGCCACATCTCAAGGCCATTAAACTCAATCATGGGAGTGAAAAAGTCAACTCTATTTTCCACAGTTTATATGTGAGAAATAGAAGCTCAAAATGACTCTCCAGAGAGAATGCATCCTCTCACAGCAAAGAGGATCTAGGGAACCAACACAAAATAATACTTGTATTCACCTAAGAGGCTTCTGGATTGAATAAATCCTCTCTGGCTGCATCTTTAACCATGTACCCAAATGCTGGTGAACAGGTAACTATAATTACCTAAATAATTACAGGTAGCTATAATTACATAAATAATTACAGGTAAGTATAATTACCTAAAGCAAATAGCACGCCTTCCTTCTGAAATGACACACACTTGAAGTTGTTTTTCTAATGGTGATGGTAGACTTATACAATTGCCTACACTTGTGACCCTGCTGGCCCTGTGGCCCACCCGTGACTCACACCTGCACAGTGACCTGTGGCCTAGGATTGAGAATTCTGCTTGAGGCCAGAATGAAGCAATGCTATATCATCTTCCCCATTCACGCCCCTTCCCTTACAGGCCCTTCCTGAAATCATGTAGTCTCTCTTCATCAACAGCTAGTCACATAACTCCCCAAATTAAGTAATGTTCTCTATTCTTTCCCTGTCTCTCCTTTGCAGAGGCTGGTGGAGGGGGTGGGGTGGAATTGCTAGTATGAGCCTCCTGGGATGCCTTAGCACTACTTGGGTGAAAGGTTCATTCCAACAAAACTCATACCAGATTGAAAGGATCATTTCCCCACTGCCTGGAGAAGAACTGACTGTGATGATCACCCCATCCTATGGTTCCTCCACAGGGTTCAAAATACGGAGGCCGCATTGTGTCCATGGATGGGAGCATGGAAAGAAACCTTTAAAAGCTGGACCAAGAAAGGAAAGAAGACAGAAAAGTAGGAAGAAATCCTGATACTGGTGGTACCAAATGCCTCTGAAATTGTTTCGAAAGTAAAAGTTAAGAGGGAACTAATAAAAAGTCTGTAAAAATGAGATAAATTAAAAGAAAGATATGATAGAGAGAGAGAAATAATATCCCTTAACAGTCTGTCAGCAAAATTTAAATTATACTTTAGGCAAGTGTTAGAATGCCTGCCCGTCCTATCCCTTCCCCTTCTCATGAAATCTGGACTGCCCACAAACTTAGTAGACAGCAGGCCTCATACCCCCATTCCCTTTAGCGACTACTGATTGGGCCAAGGACAGACAGCAGACTGGAAGGGGCCCTACACCTTGGTGGGCCAGATATCAGTTGAATTCACTGTCTCTGGAATTTGACCTCTTACCTGACTGGCTGCTGCTCCTCGGTTCTCTTTGGTGGCTCTCCTCCTCATCTCCACCTCTAGATATCGGGGTACCCCAGAGATTAGCTCCAGGCCTCCTCTGCTCTATACACATTCTCTCTCTGGGTGATTCTAGCTACACCTCTGGCAAAATTTAGCTAATCTCCAGTCCTGACCTCTCCCCTGCTCCAGATTCAAATATCCAAGTAGCTGCTTGACAGATTCATTTGGAGACCAGGTAGGCACCTCAAAACTTAACGTGTCCAAAACATGAATTTATTTTCTCTCCTCCCTCACCCCCATCCTGACCCTTTCCCTGTCTTCCCTCATGTCTACAAATGGCCACCCCATGCAACCAGTTGCTCTGGCAAAACTTAGTCATCAACCTCAATTTATCTCTTCTTTTTATCACACCATGCCCAACTCACCTACAAATCCTGCAATATCCCTACACAGCCCCTTCTCGCCAGCTCCACTGCCACCACCCTAATCCCAGCTGCCATCACCTCTCAAGGGGATTACTGTAATAGTCAGCTACCTGGTCTCTTTGTTCCTACTCTTGCCCCTCTACATTCTATTTTTCACACAGCCACCACAGTGATCTTTTAAAAATGTGAATCATGATCAAATGTAACTCCTCAACTTAAGACCCTTCCAATCAATGGCTTTTTATTTCGCTTAGAAAAAAAGTCCAAATGTCTAACCATATTACAAGTCCCTTTGTGAGATGTCCCTACCTCTTGCCTCTCAGACCTCAAATCCCACTACTCACCCCTAATTCATTATGCTCCAGCCACTGTGACTTCTTGCTAATCTTTCAAAGCACCACCTTCACTCCTCACACACAACCTTGACTCATGCTGGCCTCTTTGCCTGGAATTGTCTTCCCCAGATCTTCGCATTGCAGGCTCTGCCCATGATTCAAGTCTATTCAAATGCTCCTTCGACCACTTTCTTTAAAGCAGCATGACATTCCCCCATCCAATTACCTTATTACCTTATTTTATTTTGCATTCACTCATCAGTATCTGAAAGTGCACTGTTTATTGATTGGTTTGCTTTTTATCTGATTATTGCCTGAATCTTCCACAGGAGACCAGGGCTTAAAACAGTGCCTGGAGCACTGTAGGCGCTTATTAATACTTGGTAAATGAAGGAATATGAGTCTTAGCATCTACAGGCAGTCAGTGGTGAGTTGTAGACTGCAGAGATCAGAAACATGCTTGAACCTAGTGGAAGAAGCTGGCTGAGAAGATACAGAGAAGCCAGAAAACTCCTGCCACTGGAGACCACCGCTTCATTTCTAGTCATTTCCTGCTGCAGTACCCATGAAGGCTGGCTGCATTGCAATATCTGTGTTTGGGAGTTCGCTGTGTCCTTTCCATGAAACCCCCTTTATCTCAGCTAGCTTCAGTGAGCTTTAGCTTTGTGCACACAAACAGCACTGAGTACCAACTTAGACCAGACACTGCAGAGCTACCAGCCGGCCTTGTTATTTGTTTCTTTTCTAACCCCAAACTAGCAAACGCATCCTGGCTATGTGAGCTGGACCAAAAAGGACACTCTGCACAACCACCGTATTTTCCCCGTTTTCTAGGGAGAGAAACTGAGACCCACAGTTGTGTGTGTCTTTCTCATGACATCTGCTAGCACCTGGCAAAGTCAGAATTTGCAAATAGGAAGGATGAGCACCTCCTGTCATGGAACATGATCTCTATACATGGAATCCACTCTTTTGGAAGGCACATGGCAGCCTTTGCTGTCTATAAAGGAGGAAATATAAACGACTCTGTTGCCCATAACCCAGTTTTTATTAACTACGGCTTTAAAGTGTCAATGTGCATTTCTTTAAGAGGTTATGGGCATAGCAACAAGGAGCCCTATGTATAGCAACAACTGCTGTCATTTTAACAGTCCTTTTCTCACGCACCTCCCACAGCTAATCACTTGACAGCTTTAAATGAATATGAACTGCAATGCATAATTAATAAATTCAATTATTTTCTCTTTGCACATCTGAACACATAAAGCAATCTGCCAACATTTAAGGAAGTCCCATCATGCTACAAAGCGTAAAGTCATATTTCAGGAAGTGAGAAATTAAGACACAAGGATAATGGCAAATTTGCCCAAATATTATAAAGCACATCCAGCAAAGTGCCACAGCAACGAGGCAGAACTACTGATTCTTCTGCCTCCAATTATTCAGGCCTTGTCAAATAACAGGGAAGACGTGATTGCAAACACACAGCCATTTCACTGCACTTCTCAAGCCTTTTTAATAAAAATAGATCCCTGCTGCCACTTACCTTCTTAAAAAAAAATCCGCCCAAGGAAATATAATTCAGTTATCTTCCAATGACTTCATATGAAAGGTTAATGGCACAGTGTGCTGTTGGCAGCCAGCGGTGTTTGCTATTTCGACTTCTCACTTAAGAGTTCCATTATTCCGTACAACCCCAAGCAAATGCCTTTATTTAAACCACCTCCAACCAACCTTTATAGCTTAATGCTAGGTTCATCTTGACAGCTTCCTACAAGCATTCATTTCAAGACTGGCCTGCAGAATTACCCAAAAACAATATACCACGGCACACCACATTTTTTCAGATAGCACAAAGGGAGCGGGAGGCAGGCCAAGTATTTTACTGCAGATTTTAAGTGCTGGCTCCTGGGCAAACTATTGTTCTGTTCCTGTCAGAGCTGGTCATAGAACTTCAGGGGACCTCAACCCTATGGGATTAACATATTCTTGTCAGGAGCTGGTTAGGGAGAAGGAATTTAACAGGTGTTCCCACTCATCAAAGAGAAAGCCTTAGGAGATTCATTTTACTCAGAAGGAAGGCTCTCAAACAAAAGTGTGGGCTCTGGGGAACCTCTGGGAACGCTAAATGTTCTATGAAAACTCTGCATGGTGGGCATGAGGGCTTGGGGCTCCCATAAAAACTGTGATTGCAAGGAGACAGAAGGGCTGGCGTGTGTCATACCTAATCAATGGTTCTTGAATTATACAAGACCAGTGGGCTCTGAGGCTCCAGCTGGTCTGGGTCTCCAGCCCACTCATTTAATAGTGAGGCAAAGCCTCTTAGAGTGTGCAAAGGCCTGAGGGTTTGAGACATGGGAGAAGTTTTGATGCCAAATAAGGTTTGAAGGAAACTTTTTGTTTGGTTGGTTGGGGTTTTTTCCCCCAAAGTGTGGTGTCCAGCCCATCTGCATCATAATCACCTGCAGCACTTTGTAAATGTTCCGATTCATGGACCCCTCTTTTTACCTTCTGAATCTAAATCTCTGGGAGGTGGCTTTGTATAAGTTCCCCAAGTTCGAGAACTACTCCCTTAAGAACAGAAGCAATAAAAGGGTTCTTTTATGACCCTTTCTGTTGGTGGCTCTTCTCTTATTGTGAAAAACAAAAACGAAAAGAACAAAATATTCAAGCTTTTAATAATGTTAGAAAACGTACTGTTTATCATAATGTCAAAAAATCACATGACCACAATATAACCAGCCTACAACTGGGTCTGCTTAGAATTCAAATATATTTACACATTATTTTTGAGGTTAAACCTCTTTAATGAGTCATTTTGTTTTCACTGTCTCAACAAAGCCCTTTTCATATAGAAAATTGATCCTTAATGTCGTTGGTAACACACTGATGGAAATAAAAGTATGCTGTGGCACAAACGGGCCCTGGGCTTCAAAACAGTTTAGCTCATTTACGCCTATTTCTGATTTAAGTCAAGGAGAATTCAAATAATGGTAAAAAAAAAAAAAAAAAAAAAAAAAAAAAAACCCCAAAAAAAACTGGCTTTGCGCATGCGCACTTTACCTCTTCCGAACTCTGCAATTCTCCCATTAGTTCAGTCCATCAGCCTGCGGACTTAAGCCAGACATCGTGCTGACATTTAAAGATGATTCCTCTTTCGTCATAAAAAGAAACACAGAACATCGTTTGATAAACATAAAAATTAAAGAGCTCTGCTGGCAGTCCCTTTACAAGGCACTGGAGAAACCCTGGGTTGGGCACGACTGGTGCTTTTACCAACACAAGCCTAAGGGACCCCTCTGGCTGCTGGATTAGCCCTAAAGGCAACCATTTGGTTTACCGGTGTAAATATGAGCTATTAGTGTCTGGTGGTGCATTAGAGTGGCCCCAACCTACTGCTTTGCCTCGTAACAAACTCACAATGAAAAGAGCAGAGTTGAGTGTTGTATTTACACTGCCTGACTAAATTTGGTTTCATAGCCCAACATCCCCCTCGCCCCTTCCACAAGGATACTCATTAATGCTGCCACAACCAAGTTAGTGGCTTGTTTTCTACCTCTAAGAGTGCAAAAAGCAATAAAAAGGTGTCAGTATTTGTCCTGAGAGACTTTCTTTTGGTGCTTATTATTCTCAAATAATAGCCCTTTCAATGGGCAGTTATTTGAGAAGCTCTCTCTTTTTTTTTTTTTTTTTTTTTTTTGAGAGGGAGTCTCGCTCTGTCGCCCAGGCTGGAGTGCAGTGGCGCAGTCTGGGCTCACTGCAAAGCTCCACCTCCCGGATTCACGCCATTCTCCTGCCTCAGCCTCCTGAGTAGCTGGGACTACAGGTGCCAGCCAAAAGCTCTCTTTAAAGGTATGATTGACACCTGAGCTCTCTGTCCCTGCCAGAAATTGATACAAATGAAAGGAGCTTCTTATTGCAAAATTTCCCAGGATCCTTCTCTAACTAAAATACATGTGGAGCATCCACAACCGGCCACCTCCAACTCCCATTCCAGATGGTCAAATATGCAGCATCCACAAATGCCCCACATAGAAAACTTACCCCTAGGCATTGTTTAACATTTGCAATTACTATTTCCTCAGTCATGGCTAGAATCATTATTTTTCTTTATGTTAGAGCATCAGGAAAGAAATCACCAGATTTTTAAAATTGAAAAAAAGAAACAGGAGCGAATTTTCAAGACCACATGGTGGTTAAATAGAAGCCTATTCACTTCAGAAGATTTCCTGGCCGTAAGAGGCTGAGCTCTCCCCCACCGCAGGGCGCAACTGTAATGGGGCTGCAAATTCAGGTTAGCATTAGGTCTGCCTCTCAGTCCCTGGCTAAGGCCATTCCTACCAGGGTTCTGACTCAAATAATTTGCCAGTCCACGGGTGAATAATGCAACAGAGAGCTCAGAACAAAAAGAAGAATTACTACTGAGATGCAAACGTCTCCTCTACCTAGTTCCAAAAGGGCAAAAGAAAAGTCAATTTGTTTCACTCCTTGTATTTATTAACAGTGATTTTTCCTTCAGTAGATAAGGAATGAGAAAATAACTACAGGAGGCAACACTCATAAAAGCAAAATATAACCTCAGTGTCTTCCCCATGGATGAGTTCATAAAACCTGACTCAACCCTAAAATGGTAACTGGCTCCATAACTTTGACTCTGAAATTGTCTAATTAAATCTACAAACTCAAGCCAAGAAGACCTTTTTCTTGAATTGAAATAATTTATAAATAGCAGACCAGTATTTCAAACCAGCTCGGCATGATTTTGGCTTATCTTTGGCAATAAGCAGACCATTCTAGAACACCCTATAAGCCTTCCCATAACCAATTAAAGCTTGATGGCTGCAATTATAAATATAAAAGAAAGGTGAAATGCCTCTGTGAATGGGGATAATGAATCTTTCCTGTGTAGAAGCTTAGATTACAACTGGGTGATCCAACACAAGGCTAAAGGGTTCCTTTATTCTTTTTATCTTTAACTTTTTAAAAAATTAGACTAACATGTATGTATTATCAAAGTCAAAAAGCACTCAGCCTGGAAACAAAAAGAGCAGCCAATTTTGCTCCATCCCTATCCCCTCCCAGTCTCATTCCCTCCAAGTAGGCACTCTCAACTCTTTTTAGCTATTCTCTATGATCATAATCCCCACATTTTTACATTAACTCTTTCATTGCTATTGTTTGTTTCCTTTTTCCATTTAGACAATATCTACTTCCTGCTGTCAAAGAGTTATCACCTAGCTGTTGCATAACTTTCTCCCATTTTCTGATCCCATCATCACCTCTATATAGTCACATCGCTATTTTGATTAAAGCAATACAGTATTTACATTGTTACGACTATGATTCCAGACAGCTTTGACCAAATTCTGCCTCCACCAGGCACTGGGTATGTAACCTTGTGCATCATTTTCAACAAATGTAAAATGACAAAAGTATCCACACCTACCTCATGGGCCTGCTGTGAGGATTAAATGAATAATTATGTGCCAACATTTACACAGTGCAGGTGCAGACTGAACACTCTCTAAATGCACAGTCAGAATAGATTTCCTTTCTTGTTCATGCCTTTTCTTTTGCCCTGGCCTCATTTTTCATTTGCTTAATTTTCTACATTACTTTCACTTATGTATCCTGAAAACAAAACCCTAAAATTTCTTTTATTACAGATGTTGTTACCACTAGGGAATGTATTCGAATCACACAGCACCAAAGTAGGTTAATGGCCGCGAATCTGTATGAGTCTGCAGCAACTTCACTTCTTGCCTCTTCAGAAGAAGTAATTTGACTGAGGGGCATAAGGCAAAGTGAGAGACTGGGGCAAGTTTTAGAGCAGGAATGAAAGCTTATTAAGAAGTTTAGAGCAGAAACGAAAGGAAGTCAAGTACACTTGGAAGAGGACCAAGGGGGCGACTTGAGAGAGTCAAATGCATGGCTTGAACTTTGACCTGGAGTTTTATATGCTGGCATGCTTCCAGGGTTTATGCCCCTTCTCCCCTGATTCTTCCCTTGATGGGGTGTTGTCTGCCTGCTCAGTGGCCTGCCAGCACTTGGGAGGGGCGCCACACGCAATGTGAAATTATACACAAGCTCACTTGAGGCGTTTTTCCCTTACCAGCAGAGTGTTCCCAGAAGAAGGTCATATACCAGATAAACTCCACCATTTGGCCTCTTAGTCCACAAGCTTGAACCCGCCCAACTCCGGAGATCTTATCAGGAAGCAGCTGATCACCACTTTCAGGTGTTTTCTATCTATTGGAAGACTGCCTTTCCCTGGTGCTGCCTGCAACCAATTACTATTTTAGTGAGACAGTTTAACAACTCCCTGACCATCACCTGATGGTCTCCTGACTTTCCCGGTTGGGTTGGTGGGGTGGGAAGAATAGAAGTTCTGGGAAAATGAGTAAAATTCACAATGGGTGATTGGCAGGAACTTGTCTTGTTAAGAAATCTGCAGGTGTCCGTATCTTTTGATTTGCTAGTCAATTTCCCCACAGAGCTATTCCCCCATTCCTGCAGGGTCTGTACATGCACACGCCTGGTTGGATGGAAGGCAGAAAGTCTCACCCTAGATCTTCACTTAACTTGGGGTGTCTCAACCTCAACACTATTAATATTTGGGGCCAGGTAATTGTTTGTTGTGGGGATGTCCTGTGCATTGTAAAATATTTAGCAGAACTCTGCCATCTACCCACTAGATGCCACTAGGAAACTGCCACCCAATTGTGAAACAACAAAAAATGTCCCCAAACATTGCCAAACGTCTTATTTGTCCCACATCTGGGAGTTCCCAGTCACCCTCTCTAGACAGTAAACTCCTATCTATGCAGCATAAACAGTACTTCCCTAGCATGATGATGGAAGAGAGGGGATCTTTTTTAAACAAATCTTCCTATCAACCCTACCTTTAGAAGTATCTAGTGCTGGCTAGGCATGGTGGCTCATGCCTGTAATCCCAGCAATTTGGGAGGCCGAGGCAGGCAGATCACCTGAGGTCAGGAGTTCAAGACCAGCCTGGCCACCATGGTGAAACCCAGTCTCTACTAAAAATAAAAAAAAATTAGCTGGGCATGGTGGCAGGTGCCTGTAATCCCAGCTATTCAGGAGGCTGAGGCAGGGAGAATTGCTTGAACCCAGGAGGTTGCAATGAGCTGAGATTGCGCCACTGTGCACTCCAGCCTGGGTGACAGCAAGACTCTGTCTTTAAAAAAAAAAAAAAAAGTATCTAGTGGCACCAATATTTGAGCCTGTCTGGAATTTTGTGGCAAAAATTAGCTTGCTTATAATTGGCTTTAGGCTTTTAACCAAGCAGAAAAAGCTAAAACTCAAGTCAATTACCATTCATCCAACTGCCTTCCATATTTCAAAATTTTGTTGACTCTCATATATGGTCATCTGATTTCCTATTTTCTTTGTCCTTATGAATTTATGCTGCTTAATCTTTTTTCCTGACATTTTTGCAGTGTTAAGGATGGGAAAGAGTCAGCAGTAAACATTGCATTTGGGTACCATGTTTAAAACATGTTTAAATTTGGGCACCTAAAATTTCTCAATTATTTCTCAAATTCTAAATTTGAGAAATTAAAAAAGCTAACAATTCTCATACAGTCAAGGAAAACATCACTTGAGCATTGCTCATCTGAGTGCACAAGACTGTACAGCTCTTTTGTGCACATTTTATCAAAATACCACAGTGTATGATTGGAAAAATATATGGAATTACAAATATTGCACTAAGACTAAACCAGGACAAAAATATCACAATCCAGGTCTGGTGATGTTGGGGTTATTTTGAGATTAAACAAACCTGTAGAACAGAGGCCTCTTATTCCCAATGAATCTAATGTAACCACTCTTTTTCCATATTAAAGATGAAGTTTTATATCTCAGAAAGACACATCTATACCATCATTATCTCCCAAAGTCAAGTGGCTCCAAGAATCTGTCCACCTAAATCCAGCCACTTCTCTCCATACCCATAATTACCCTCCTCTTGAATCAAGTCACTATCATCTCTTGCCTGGACTCCTGTCTAGTC
Organism: Homo sapiens; assembly: GCF_000001405.40. Taxonomy (NCBI): domain Eukaryota; kingdom Metazoa; phylum Chordata; class Mammalia; order Primates; family Hominidae; genus Homo; species Homo sapiens. Next base: position 102,086,586 of record NC_000008.11, read on the forward strand.
TGCCACTATTCAGTCCAGTCCAATCCATCCTCTATAAGTGTAATTTTTTCAAAGAGCAAATACAATCATTTCTCATGCTCCCACACCTCAACCCTGTCAGAGGTGTTTGAACCAGAGCAAATCCTTCTTGAATAGGGGCTTGGTAAAAGGAGGCTGAGACCTACTAGGCTGCATTCCCAGACTGTTAAAGCATTCAAAGTCACAGGATGAGATAGGAGATCAGCACAAGATACAGGTCATAAATATATTGCTGATAAAACAGGTTGCAGTAAAGAAAAGCCAGCCAAAACCCACCAAACCAAGATGGCAATGAGAGTGACTTGGTCGTCCTCACTGCTACATTCCAACCAGTGCCATGACAGTTTACAGATGCCATGGCAACATCAGGAACTTACCCTATATGGTCTACAAAGGGGGAGATATGAATAACCCACCCCTTCCTTAGCATATAATCAAGAAATAACCATAAAAATGGGCAACCAGCAGCCCTCAGCGCTGCTCTGCCTATGGAGTAGCCATTCTTCATTTCTTTACTTTCCTAATAAACTTGCTTTCATTTTACTCTATGAACTCACCCTGAATTCTTTCTTGTGTGAGATCCAAGAACCCTCTCTCAGGATCTGGATTGGGACCCTTTCCAGTAACATCCTTCTGGCAAACCATGGAAGGGACTGTAGTGAAGAAACCCCCCAACCCAAAGGCTAATTTTGGGTAAGTGGTGGGGTCTGGTAACATCTTTCTGGCAAACCATGAAAGAGATGATACTGAAGAACCCCACACCCCCCAACCCAAAGGAAATAGACTGCAGCACTGATTGGCCGGCTTTGGGTAAGTGGTAGGGCACCCAGGTAAAGGATGGGATTGGGTTAGAGACCCAACTTAGGGGAGTTAGAGTCTCTCCTAAGACAGAATGGGTTAAAGGCCCCTCTTAATAAAAGGCAAGGACGCTTGACCAAACTTGGGTTTGAGGCCCAACTTAAGAAGGTTAGAATCCTTCTTAAGATTTAGAGGGTCAGTAAAGTTGCTTTCGACCAAGACCGGGTTTGGCACTATGGGATGTTAACTGCTATTCTCTTTGGATTAATCTGCCTTGCAGTCTTTGCTGACGGCTATGGGTGACAAAATTAGGGATGTACAAGACCATGGGACATGAGTTTTTTCCTTCCCAAAAGAGGAAACTTGAGAGCTGATGAGACTGCTGGAAAAGATCCCTTCACAACTGACAAGCAGCTGCCTGAACTTTTGAGAAATGGCTGGGTCTTTCTCTGGCCTCCCTGAGCTCTTCACCTTCCCCACCCTGCCTTAAGCAATGCTTTCCTCTCTCTCTCTCTCTCTCTCTGCAAACTGGTTAAATGAATGGTAAAAAATACTGTTTATCTCCTCTGTAAAGTTTTGATTAATGGGAAAAAAAAGGATTTGTGAGGCTAATCTTAAGCTGCAGCAAATCTTTTGCGCTTTGTGATATGAATTTGTCTTTCTGTATCTTTCTGTCATAGAGAGGGTTACCTTAGGATAGAACATGGGCTTAGAACCCCATAAGCCCTGCTTTCAAGATGGCCCAGGAAACTGGTCAGTCATGTCCTTGGGAGCTTGACCTTGTAACCATGTGGCCATGCTTTCTCTTTTCACAATGGTGGCCCAGTTTCAGGGTTCAATTCCTGGCTTAGGGAGTGAGTTATTCCTGATTTAATATCTGCATGACCTTTACCATTTTTTATTCTCTTCCCCTCCACAAACTGTCTTGAATTTCCTTTCTTAGAGTACCTGTGAGGTTACTTTTAGTAAAGTTTAAAAGCCAGAAATATTTGCCATTTGGCCAGGCTAAAGATGAATAATAAAAAATTCAAAAGGACGTTTTTAAAGACTGCTATGGTTAAAAGTCAGCTTAATTAAAAGTGGGTATTCAAGTTCTAACAGCCTGGAGTTCCTTGGGAAAAACACAGGAGGTGCCATAGATCCTGTTTTCGGGGAAAAAAAAAAAAAAGAACAACCTCTGTTTTCCTCATGGAACCCTAGAAATTAAAAGTAGATAGATCTCCAGGAATTAAAAGTAGATAGATCTCTTTCAAAATCTAAGGCTTTGTTCTGTTTTCCATTGCATTATCTGATGTTTTTGACTAAAACAAAAACAAAAACAAAAAACCTCTGTTTTCCTCATGGAACCCCAGGAATTAAAAGTAGATAGATCTCCAGGAATTAAAAATAGATAGATCTCTCTCAAAATCTAAGGCTTTGTTCTGTTTTGCATTGCATTATCTGACATTTTTGACTTTGGGGAGCATCAGAAATTACTTCAAATTATGAGACAGTTCTGGTGTGTAATAACTAGGTAGGAAATGTCCTTTTGGGGATGGGCTGATTCCCTCTTTTTAGGATCCAGAATCTGATATAAAACTGGGACCCTTAATTTTGGGGGAGCTATTTTGCCTTCCAACTGTGTTTGCTTATTAGGCCATAAAAACTACATGCTTTCCTGGCCCTGGGGTCCACCCTGAAGCCAGTAATTCAATTAAGAAACAGGCAAATAGGCCGGGTGCAGTGGCTCACGCTTGTAATCCCAGCACTTTGGGAGGCCAAGGTGGGTGGATCACAAGGTCAGGAGATGGAGACCATCCTGGTTAACATGGTGAAACCCCATCTCTACTAAAAACACAAAAAATTAGCCAGGCATGGCGGCAGGCACCTGTAATCCTAGCTACTTGGGAGTCTGAGGCAGAAGAATGGCATGAACCCGGGAGGCGGAGCTTGCAGTGAGCTGAGATCACGCCACTGCACTCCAGCCTGGGCAACAGAGCAAGACTTAGTCTCAAAGGAAAAAAAAAAAAGAAAGAAAAAAAGAAAAGAAACTGGCAAATGAAAAATATTACAACTACTAGATCTTCTTCTGTCTGTATATTTCTATATGTTGTGTGTGTGGTGTTTACATATGAAAGAGCTTTAATTGGCTTAAGAATAATAAGAGCTTAAATATTTTAAAAGTAAAAAGCGTAATGCCTTTTAGTTCACATGACTTTAGTAATCTTTGGAAAATAAAAACAGTTTTACATGGAAGGTGTGTAAAGAAAGTGAAAGGTGTTTTTGGTAAAAAAAAAAATTATAAAAAGTAATGGGAATGTGGATTTTTGGCCTAAACTAAAGGATTAAAGGGTTGTTTTAAGTTAGATAGGATAAAGCTGAAGGTTTAAACAAGTTGTAGAAGGTTTGTGAAAAATTTATCTCATAAAGGAAATTCTGTGTGTGAACTAAATTCTGTGTGTAGCTACAGTTAAAAGGGTATTCAGTTTTTCTGTAAATTAAACATTGGACTAAAAGCACAACAGGTTTTCCTTGAAGCACTAATCTAATCTGCTCTTTAACAAAAACTTGTAAAGGGTTATAAAAGGTTTATAAGAATCTTATCTTATGGTCAAACTGATTAAAATTGGATAGATTTGTCTATAAGGTTTTATTAAAAATTGGGGTTGACATTAACAGTACACTAATATAAAGGTGAAAATTGGCTTATTTGGTACAAAAAGCATATGGAAAGCATTGTGAAATATGAAATAGTGTTTGGCTTTCTTTGGGTTGTATTTGCATAAATGTGTTATTGGTATGTGTTCCAAAATTATGAGAAACTCCTATAATTCTGATATGACTTAGTGTATGTTATCAAAGTTATAATTGTTATGTGAAATTGTTATATACCACAGAAGTAACCAAATTTCCTTATTAATTGTGGCTTTAATAGTGGCTGTCCTAAAACTTTTTGCCATCCACAGATGATTATTGTCTTGTGTTGATCCTCTTCAAAAGGTGGTTTATAATCAGCTACAGGACTTTGACAGACATTCTTAAATGCAAGTTTCTGATAACTTCGGAGACTGTGAGATTAGAATAGAGGAAAAACTTTCAAGACTCTCATGGAGAGCTCAAACGTTCATGATAGAACAGGAGTTCTGTTCAAGCAGAACAGGAGTTAACGGCAGGGACTGAACTAATAAAAAACTGAAGTAATCTTTTTTTTACTTTTTTGCTTAAAACGTTGCTGAATCTTTTTGTTTTCCAGAGCCAAGAAAACTTTTCTTTTGAGCTATTTATAGCTTTTAACAACTGAGTAAAGTATACTTCTGTGAACAAAATTTGGATCATATTTGTTTCTCTCTACCCAATTTCTCCAGAATTTGGAAACTAGTTGTGAGTATTCTTAATTATGGCAATACAGTTATTTGCATAAGTACAATAAGAATCTTTTTTCTTTTGTAAGAGGACACAATTGGAGAAACTGGTTATTTTACCAAGGCGTTGTCTGGAATGGCGTGCTTTCCTTTAAGGAATCAAACTTGACTTGAGCCAACATAGAGCCATTAGAAGCCCCTTGGGAAAACTGGTCTCATTCCTTGTCTACAAACCGTGTACAGGGTTCCTGACCTGTGGTAAGTAAAGAATGTCACTTTCTAACAGGCCCAGGAGCCCCAATTTATCTTGGTACCTCAAGAGAAGAGGAGTTTACCCAACTCATAGGTATTTGAAGGTACAAACCCACAGCTGGGCTTGGCTTTAAAATAAAAAAAGTCTTATCTGAGATTCTGTCTATGGAACAGAGTTCCACTGAAGCCAATTTAAAGAGCTTATGTGAAAAATAATTATTCTTGCTGCACTTTATACAAGTAATCATGCCAAGTATAATAAAGCAAATCAGTCTTACCAGGATTTGTTGCTAGTAAAAATGGGAAACTGGAGAGAGAAAAAAAGAAAAATTATGTTTCAAGAACTATGGTACACCTGTTACTAGATTTTAGTCTTAGTTGTTTTTGAGTTTGTTTCTGCAACTTAGGCTAACCTTGCTTATTGCTGTGAACCAACCAATGATCTCTGACTGCTGCTCAGAATAAACAAGAGGGATGGGTAATGTAAAAATCTGAATCAATATTCTAATTCTAGGCACATTGTAATCATCTAGCAACCCCATATCAGCATGGTTTCAACAGTTGGCCAGTTCATGGAAAGCCTTCTTATTTAATTTACTTGGGATAATTTTACTTATTTTGCCTTACTGTTGTAGAATATAGTGCTGTTGTACAATATAGTGCTGTTGTACTCTGTGTAGGAATGCAGGATAAGCTTACTGAATGTTTTCTTAAATCGAACAATTATTAATCTTCCAGATATCACCTTTTGTTGAAACTTGGAGTTATGAATGGCCCTCACCATACTAATGCTTTCTGACTGAGCTTCTCTCTACCCCAAACACAAGAGACCCTAATAGTTAGGCAGGAATATCATTGCCCCTATTTAGCCTGAAGAAGTTACAGAAGATGACTCTTTGTCCATTTACAACTCTTAGGATTAAGGGTTCTTTTATAAAAGGGAGGGGGAAAATGTCAGAGGTGTTGGTACCAGAGCAAATTCATCTTGAATAGGGTCTGGGTAAAATGAGGCTGAGACGTACTGGGCTGCAATCCCAGACTGTTAAAGCATTTTAAGTCACAGGATGAGATAGGAGGTCAACACAAGATATAGGTCATAAAGACATTGCTGATAAAATGGATTGCAGTAAAAAAGCCGGCCAAAACCAAGATGGTGATGACAGTGACCTGGTCGTCCTCACTGCTACATTCCGACCAGGGCCATGACAGTTTGCAAATGCCATGGCAACATCAGGAACTTACTCTGTATGGTCTACAAAGGGAGGCATGAATGATCCACCCCTTATTTAGCATATAATCAAGAAATAACCATAAAAAGTGGGCAGCCAGCAGCCCTCGAGGCTGCTCTGCCTATGGAGTAGCCATTCTTTATTCCTTTACTTTCCTAATAAACTTGTTTTCACTTTACTCCGTGGATTAGCCCTGAACTCTTTCTTGTGTGAGATCTAAGAACCCTCTCTTGGGGTCTGGATCAGGACCCCTTTCTGGTAACACCCCCACCTTAAAACTCAGTGGCTTCCCACTGCTATTGGAAAGAAGACTGAAGTCCTTAATATGCCTAACATATCCCCACATGTCTGGTCCCTGCCTCATTTCATAATATGCTTCCTCTTGCTCCCTGTGATCCTGTCACAGCAACAAGCCTTTTTTCATGCTCCTCCCACATTGACCTTCCCTTTGTACTATTCCTTCTTCCTGGAATGCCTGGAATTACTAGAATGCTATTTACCCACACATCCCCTTCAACTACTTATTTCCTACCTATCCATCAAATCCCAACTCATCCATGGAGTCAACAGCCTTCCTTAGCTCTACAATTAAGACAGTTCCATTTTTCGCACCTCTCACATCATTCCTTGTTATCACAATAGGAATTCTTTATGTCTTCAAGCACTTCTTTGACTTATGCACCTCTACGCCTCCATTGGACTATAACTATATGAGAGCAGGGACTATGTCTGTCTCCCTCATTGCTCTAACCGTAGAGCTTTGCACATTGCCAGATATTTAGTAGGCACACAAAAGTCACTATTTACACCTGTAGATCCAGCTTCTCAGGAGGCTGAGGAGGGAGTATCACCTGAGCCCAGTGAGGTTGAGGCTGCAATGAGCCATGATCACACCACTGCACTCCAGCCAGAGCAACAGAGTGAGACCCTGTCTCCAAACAAAAAAAAAAAAGTCACCATTTGTTGTATAACTGAATGACTTCACTAAACGCTGAGGAATTAAAGAACTATCCTAGGTGCTCTACAAAGAACTACTCTTTTTGTTCTTTAAGAGTGACTGTTTTGGGGTCTGAATAATAGTTTGATTAGACAGTAGGAAATGCTTTTCATCATGAAGGGGGTTATCAAATGCATTGAGAGAACTGACTCAGAGATTGCTAGCTGCCAACATATCCCTTCTCTCCTATCTACATTATTGAGTAGCAAAGTGCCTAGCTAAAAATATTTACATTCCCTCAGCTTTCCTTAAAGGTAAGTAAGGTTGGTAAGATTAAAAAACAAATAAAGCAAAAACAGAAGGTAGGTTTTGGGTAAAGATCCTCAAGAGGATTGACTCAGCTAGGAGGGATGGCCCTTTGCCTCTTTCTTCTTTTCTCCATCTTTCTACCTGGGACATTGGCTTGAGCTCCAAAAGCCATCTTGGACTATAAAGCTGTCTTAAGAACAAAAATATGCAGTAAAAATGGAACAGAAAACCACAAGTTTCCTGGGTCCCCAGTGACCAAAACATAGCCATACATTCCTTGGTCTTACTACCTGCCAGTATTTTTTCTAAGAGCAAATAAAACACACCCTTGTGCTTTTGAGCCACTGAAGTCAGCTCTCCACCCTGCAATCAAACACAATTCCTAACTGATGTGACAGTTAATGAAAAGAAACAAACTCTGCCCTTAAATACCTTAATACCCTACAAATTCCTGAAGATAAGATAGATGAGCCCAGAGTGGCAAGAATTCATCAGGGTTAATCAATTCCAGTCACATCCCTAAGGCAATTATTTATAAATGAGCCAGGGTATTTGATTATCTATAAAGTATCCAGTGATGGACATTTCACCACCCCCTTCATGATGAAAGGCATTTCCTATTGTATATCCAAAATTATCAATCACACTCTAAAAGGATCACTCTTCAAATACAAAACTTAGATGATGTTCAGACTGGCTAATAACCTTAATATTAGCCAGAGAGTTTTTACTTCTAAATTCTATTAAGAATACTATGAAATTTGCAACTTTATTTACATGAAATCAGCTCAATTTAAAAGGGAAGTAGGAAATAGCATTAAATGAGCACTTAGTCTGTACCAGGCACTGTACCAGATGCTTTGTATAAATCGTCTTACGTGAACCTCCCAATAGCTCTGTAAGGTAGATACTGTACTCATTTTATAAATAAGGAAACTGAGGACCAGAAAAGGGAAGTGATCTGCCTAAGGTATCTCAAACAAGTACTAAGGCTGGGATTTAAACACATCTGCCTCCACATCCTGTACTATTTCCACTACTCCATTCTGCTTCGAAGCCAGCGATTGCTAGTATCTTGAGTGTGTGGTTGAGATCTCACTAAGTCCTTTTAATGAGCAAATGCTCTTCTTCATGGGATTTACAGTAAGACATTCTTATGGGCTGAATTTTATCTTCGAAAGTCCTAACCTCTAGTACCTGTAAATGTGACCTTATTTGGAAAGAAAGTCCTGATAGATGTAATCAATTAAGATGGGTTCATACTGGATTAGGGAAGTCTCTCATTCAATGATTGGTGTCCTTATAAAAGGGAAATCTGGACCCAGACATACAGAGATAAGAATGTCATAGGAAGATGGAGACAGAGATTGGAGTGATGTGTCCACACGACAGGGAACACAAACGATTGCTGGAAACCACAAGAAGCTAGGGAGATGCAAGAGAAGAGTCTCCCCTAGAGCCATTGGAGGGAACAGGGCCCAGCTGGCATCTTGATTGCAGGCTTCTAACCTCCAGAGAACTGTAAAGGAATACAATTCTGTTGTTTTATGCCACTCAATTTGTTCTAATTTGTTGCAGTAGCCCTGGAAAACTAACAGAAAAGTTAGCTTGGACTTCAGCCTGCCTTGGCTTTAGCAATAACGTATGTTTTGTTGAGTATAAAGTGAGGCCCATGTCACATGATATGGGGGTGGTACTATGGTCAAATGGAGCTGGGAATGTGTCCAATACTTCCTCCTGCCCCATCCAGGAAGACACTGAGAAGGGTGCGAGAGATAGAGGGTGGCAGATGGAGTGAGGGAGGCAGGACCACATGTGGTGGGTGGCTTGTGCTAAAGAACTGAGCTGGGCCAGTGAGATGTGAATAAAGAACACGTGTTCTGATGGTGAGGCAGGAGCCCTCATTACTTGATCTAAAGAACTGAACACCTCATTTTTTTCCAATTGCCCAAAATGAGGCCATAAAAGGTAAACCAACTTGGACCTGTGTTTTGATTTTGAGCATCTGTTAGGCTCGGACCAGCTAAAACCCATTGACTAGGGACTGGCTCCAATTTTATATTTTATACAATGCCAAGGACATTGTTAGTGGGTTCATTAAAAGGTTCAGTTAACTGACACGAATGCTTAGAAGCATTGGGGAGATAATTACTCAACGTGTACACCCTGAAATGTATGAAATTATTAATAATAGAAACCCAAGCCAAGACAGTATTCTTGTTAAAATGAAACTAAGTAGGAGATAATGGAAGTGAAAGGTATCTGAAGATGGTTTTTTCATTATTTGGCTTACCTCATGGTGGAAGCACCCATTTCAAAATAGTTTCTAAATGTATGTGTATAAACATTTCAAAGACAATAATTGTAACAATAGTTATAACATCCTGTTAGACTAGTCACCTTTCAACAAAGCCAGTAAGCCAAAATAAATAAATCTTGCCAAAGCTTCTCTCTTATCAAGGTGAACAACTCATTCCAGTTTACCTAGGAACATCCCAGGTTTAGCCCTAAAGGTCCTGCATCCCAGGAATCTCCCCAGGCCTGGGTAAACCTGAACATTTGTCCCCCTGCCTCTAATAATGAAGAGCATGGTCACATGAGCAGGCACTAAAGGGCAGAAAACTGATCCAAAGATCCAAAAGGTAAGTTCAAAGAAGAATCTTATAGGGTAAATACTGGTCCAAGGGATGAGGCTAAAACAAGGCCAGCAGGCTGAAGAGCAAAGATCAGTTTTCAAGAGCACTCACACTGGCTTCTCACAACCACAGGGTTGGTTTCTTCTAAGGCCTCTCTCTTGACTGTAGGTGGCCTTCCTCTCCCTGTGTCTTCACGTTGTCTCCCCTGTGTGTATCTGTGTCCTAATCTCCTCTTCCGATAAGGACACCAGTATTGGATCAGGGCCCACCAGGATTGAGGCAGGAAAATAGGGTCTGGAGGCAGGGAACCTAAGACCATTTCATGCTGACTTCCTAGAACTGAATTGAAAGGAAAATCCTAACTTTCCAGCCTAAGTAACAAAAGGACCAGAGACTACTCCCTTTGCAAACCCCCACCTTTTCTGCACAGCAGATGGGAAATTGAAAGTACCTCTGATTGGTTGATTTTTGCAACCAATCAGACATTTGCATAGGAGTGTGACCTTTGGAACTTCACTTCAGCCTCTGGTTGATTGCTTTCTGCAACCAATTAGACTGACGGCGGGCCACCACTTCATTTACATGAGGTGAGCACCAAGTGGTCAATGGGAAACCCCTAGAGGGTATTTGGACTCAGGAAGATTCTGTATCTGGGCTCTTGAGCCCCTGTGCTGGGGCCCACTCCCACCCTGTAGAGTGTGCTTTTGTTTTCAATAAATCTCTGCTTTTGTCGCTTCATTCTTTCCCTGCTTTGTGCATTTTGTCCAATTATTTGTTCAAAATGCCAAGAACCTGGACACCCTCCACTGGTAACAAGATGACCTCATTTTACCGTAATTACCTCTTTAAAGACCCTATCTTCAAATATAGTCACATTCTGAGGTACTGGGGGCCTAAGACTTCAACACAAGAATTTTAAGGGGAAAGATACTAAACATAGTGGATGACTTCTGGGAAATACAATTACAGCCCTGAAAACATGAGCATCACCAGAAGTCATGTATGTTAGAGGTTTAAGAAGACCACCAGTTCCCAGATAGCTTACCTACATTTCATAGTATTCGTTTACCTAAGTCCCACAGCCTAAACATTTTTAAAAAGTGAGACTAACAGTTAGGAACCACAGAGGAACTAGCACAGGAGAAAAAAAAATAGTGAAAGACAAAGAATCAGTTCATTCATGGCATCTAACATTCACACTGCACTTGATAGTCTGTGAGCATTTTCCACCTATTATTTCATGCATCTGCACAACAAGCCTGTGAGCCAGGGTCCTTACTCACAACCAAAGTCCCCCACACCCAGTTCCAACCACGCGGGTGCTTAAGTGCATGGTGACCATATTATTACTTGCTTTTGGCTTTGTGCTGTGTGGCTTGCTCTGTGGCTCATCATAAGATATTTATTCCAGATCCCTTCCCGGTGAGACATGTAGATGCTGTTTCATCAGAAGTTGCGTGGGTCATGAAGCCCAAGGCCAGCAGTTCTGGATGCCTCCATGAAGCTGGATATTGCTTACTTGTTAGCATCCCTCTCTGGCAATCATCAATAACCTCTTTTCAAAAGTACCTCCTTATACAAGACTCTTATCAACTGATTTCATCATTTTTAGCACTGAAACCTTGGTCTTCCTGCTCTCTGCTCTGACAGCATCTCTCTGATAACCTGAGAAATCAGAGTTTCACCCCTGAAACTAAACAGGCCATTATTTCCTAATTTTAAATGATGACATGACAAGCCTTCACCCTATCTGTTTCTTATTTCCTTGAACTCTCCCACCCTCACCAGCAGCCAACACAAATCACAACGCAATGCAAAGGCCAGGCCACAGAACACGCTGTGAATCGACAGTTTCAGAAGACGTCATTCACACAATGTGCAAGGCACTTCCTGCACAGCCATCTCTGTGCCCCTGCAAAGGGCATGTGGCATGAGGCAGTAAAATAAGTATAGTCTGTGTTTGGGTATGAAAGGTGGTGGGTGGGGCGTGAATACATCCAAGATATGCTTTAGGACTAAGTCAAAAGAGAACTGAGAGTGAGAAAGAAGATTGGGATGACCTCCAGTTGCCCATCCAGATCCCTGGAGACTGATCTTCATGTGCTAAATTAACTATGTCCCCTTACCTCTGGCTTCTAGATGGGCTGGGGTAATGGGAAGGACTGCAGAGGGTGGAGGGTGGGATGAGAGAGCAATTGGGGTATTTATCCTCCCCATTTCCTCCTCACCAGGCCCCAGTTTGACAATGGTGCATTCCTCTAACCCCAGGCTCAGCTCCTGCCAGTCTTCCCTCTCCAGCTAATCCTTTCTCAAGGAACTCTTCCTCCCCGGCCTCTTCTGGCCTGAGGATTCTAACAGCTTCCCAAGTTGCTGGCCCTGGGGGGCTGCATCATCCCTCACTGGTTTCCCTTAACCTTGCTGACCCCATAGAAATAATTCTTCAATTAAACTCTCTTAAATCACTCCTTATACATTCATTTAATCAGCAACCATAATTGAGCAACTTTGGTAGGCCTCGTGTCATTCACCCTAAAAGAAACAAGGATGAATAAAACTGGTCTTTCCCCTAAGAGAGTTTTGAAGCATCTTTTTTCTTCTTCAGACATCAGACCCTGCCTTCCCTATGAGGAGGGAGGGCACCAGACCCTGCCCTCCCAAACACTTGGAATTTAACCAGCCACTCCTCAGTTTCTTGTACCATGATGGCCACATGAACTAGGTTTGGCCACTTATGATACTCATCCCCTGCCACAGTGATTGGCTCAGGGATGAGCATGTAACCCAACACTGACTTCATCTCTCACTGGTAATTTTGTCAGAGCTACTATAGAAGTTTTTTTCCTTTTTCTAAGCTTGTTAATTGTGAGGGTGTTGTGAACCTGGAGCTGTTGATGGCCATGTTGGCTTCCCTATTGGAGAGAACCAACTGAGAATTCGGTCAACACAGATGAAAGCAGAGATGGGAGGTAGAAAGTGTGAGAAAGACAGGTTCCTAACATTCTTTGTATACCTTGATCCAAATGGATCTGAATTCCATCTCTGGAATGTTCAGTTATCCAAGCTATTTTGTCTAAGCAATTTGAGTTAGATATCTGTCTCCTGCAAACAAAACAGTCCTGAGTAGTAAAAATGGCCTCCTTTACTAATCCATGCTACACCAATAGTCCAAGGCACCAAAGACTTGTCAAGGGAAAGAATTCTTTCACACAGTCACTAACAGTATCTTTAGAGAATGGGGAGCAGGTGGAAAAGAACATTCCAAAGTGCAACACACTTAGATGAGACAAGAATGTTAGATCTTAACTTTAGGGATTTCCCCTACATGTCTTGAAATTTAAATGTATTCATTTTAACATAAGTAAACAGGGAGAGCCAAGTCCTTATCAAGAGACAATATGCCCATATCAAGATATACAATTGATCCTTAAATCTTGACATCAAGATTTTGTTCCCACAATAATGAAGTTGAATTGCCATGTGCTTCTGTCAGATAATGACATTTAGGTTGATGTTGTCATTAATAAAAAAAAAAAAAAATCAGAAATAGCAATCTCTCAGCTGGGCACCGTGGCTCACGCCTATAATCCCAGGATTTTCAGAGGCCAAGGTGGGTGGATTGCCTGAGGTCAGGAGTTTGAGACCAGCCTGGCCAACATGGTGAAACCCCATCTCTACTAAAATTACCCAAAAAAACCCTATCTCTACTAAAATTACCAAAAAAATTACCAAAGCAGTGCACACTTGTAATCCCAGCTACTCAGGAGGCTGAGACAGGAGAATCACTTGAACCCGGGAGACAGAGGTTGCAGTGAGCTGAGATTGCATCACTGCACTCCAGCCTGGACAACAGAGTAAGACAGAGCAAGACTCTGTCTCAAAAAAAAAAAAAAGAAGAAGAAGAAGAAAAAGAAATAGCAGTCTCTGAAAACTAAGAGCAAAAACTTTGTTTTGTCCTTTCCATTTAATACTCACTGAAAAAAAAATCACACTTTTCCTAGCTTAATGCAACATGAAAATTCAGAAATAAAACCTAAATTATTTTCATATTCCTCATTTATCAACACTTACAACAAAAGGCCTCTTCAGCATACATAGCACACAAACCAAGATGAACAAGTTTTGTTCAGATCAAAACAATCAAATATATTGCAAATTTCTTCCTCAAATAGGAGCTTTTCATAACTAAACTCAAGGAGGAATAAATCACAAAATGTTATATCCAGATTCTTTTATTAATGTGACATTAAATCTTGAAAATCCCACAGCAACTACTTTTAACAATTTTAAAGAATCCAAGTCATTTTCATGAGATGTCTTTTTCAATGTTTTTCAATGCTTCCTCAAAAGTTAATTATTTAAGCTGAAGTCCTGGAATGTTTAGGCTTTGGGGCACCACTGAGAGAAACAAAAGCTGGAGTTACAAGAGCAGAGCTGGGAAATTTTTGAGAAAATCGTCAAGAAACATAAATGCTTGAGGGACTCAGAGAGTTTACACACATGTTCACGGCAGCATTATTCACATTAGCCAATAGGTGGAAGGAACCCAAACGTTCACCAACAGATGAGTGGATAAACAAAACGAGGTATATACATACAGTGAGACATTATTCAACCTTAAAGAGAAAGGAAATTCTGACACATGCTACAACATGGGTGAACCTTGAGGACATTATGGTAAGTGAAATAAGCCAGTCATAGAAGGACAAATATTGTATGATTTCATTTATATGAGGTGCCTAGAGTAGTCAAATTCATAGAGCAGAACGGTGGTCGTCAGGGGCTGTGGGGAGGAGGAAGTGGGGAGTTGTTGTTTGATGGTAAGTTACAGAGTTTGAGTTGGGGAAGATGAAGAAGTTCTGGAGATGGATGGTGGTGATGGTTGCACAATAATGTGAATGTACTTAATGCCACTGAACTGTACATTTAAAAATGGTTAAAATGGTAAAGTTTATGTTTTGCATATTTTATACCACGACCAGCAACAAAAACCCTCAAAAATGCTTAAAGGAGCAGGCAGACATATGGGCACGTGAAGCCAGTCAGGATGTGTGACAGACAGAAGGGTGAGGACCAGTGTGCACGCGTCCTCTCTAAAGAGAACACGCATCACTCAGCTCTCCAATTGCTGTCAGGCAGGAACTGGACCCAGTATTATATGTGGATATTATGATTTTTCAGGAGAAGCCTGAAATCCGCATTTTTATAAAATATCCTCTTTTTTTTAAGTTAGCAACAAATTTTAAAAAGTTTTTAAAACACTGCAAGTCAAATAAAGGGTGTCTGCAGGCCTCTAGTGGACTACCTGGTTTAGTGGTGAATTAGCAGCCCTCTATAAACGAAGGCTGCATTGGATCCAGGGCAGAAAGCCGAGTCCTAACAGTATTAGCTTGTGCAGGCAATTATTTCCAGATTGTGTTGCTGTATGCATTCACAAAGGAAGGCCTAGGAATATATCGCAACCATAACCTTATTCTCGGAAGCTTTGAACAAGTGGAAATGGGGTGTTTTATGTGTGTGTTTTGTTTTCCTTTTGTGTGGCTAAAATGAGAGCCTTTGGAATTCTTGTATGTATAAGAACAGGCTGTTCATTTATTGACCAGTGTAATAGATTCCCACATTAGTCTCAGACTAGAAATGAATGCCCCTTTGAAGAAAGGGTAGAATAATAAAGATGTGAACAGCATTTATCCAAATTACATGAAGGGCAACTTAGCAGTATTAACACCTCTCACTCTTACAAATGGGGCTGTGTGGGAGCCTGAATTTTAAAACAAAATCAATGTTTTAATTTTCTATCTTATGGAGTTGAAGCTGGGGGTGGGAGAATGACTTCTAAATAATAAAGCATCTTATAACAAACTAACATGAGTTGTAACTAAGTAAATGCAACTCTGAAACAGAACTCATAGCTCTTAAAACTCATCCTCTATTCTTCAAAATAATCAATTTTATTTGTAGTGTTTTTCTTATTATTGCTATACTGTAAATGAAGCACATAATGTCTTTTGAGTAAGAATGTGATGTAATTCATTGATTGCTAGGCAATAATATTCAATTCATTTTAACAAATGTATATTGAGCACCTTTTCAATGCTCAGAATTGTGATGGGCACAGCAGGTAATACAAAAAAAAATTGTGTCCATCCTCCTGTCACAATTAACGCTCCACCCAACAACACAGCTCACATTTCAAATACGGCAACGAGGAAAGCAAACGTGAAGCAATTAGCGCAGAGACGGAGGCAGAAACTACCCTGCAGCTCCCCTTGAGTTCCACAGGGAGGAAACATTTTGTGCCCTAATACCCCTAACCCTTGCTGGGGGTCCCCTTGTTATGGCACATGCGTCAGAGCTGGCAGGGACACCAGAGGACATGGAGCAGTCTTCCGCCTTCAGATTTGGTATTTATTGCACAGATGAGGTATCTGAGGCTCAGTTAAGGGATTTTTCCAAAGGCACCTAGCAAGTGGAAAAAGGGAGCAGAACCCGGAGCCCAGCTTCCGAGGCATGACCCCCCAGCCCCGCTCCACTGCCCATTGCCTCAGCAGCAGCGAGCGTTCTTCCTCCACTGCCGAAGCACTTCCTGAGCTCCTCCTTCTGCACACCAGGCTCTGCCCAACCCCAGCGGATGTCTCGGATGCAGTTCGTTGCATTTATGAAAGTTTAATGGCAAGATCAAGGGAGAGGAGAGAGAGAGGGGTGGGTGAGCTCTCGGTTTCCAGCTGGGCCTCCCAATTCTTGTGCCCCTCAGGGGTCACTACAGGTCCAAGGCCTGGTCCTCAGCTCTGCACATGCAGGAATTTGATTTTATCAGTTCACTCGGGAGTGATGAGACCCTAGGGGACCAACTCATGCCAACTAAATGCTCAAGACGCTGATTGATAAACCAGAAGGCCACTTTACTTGAGTATCCTGGGAAACATATTGTCGGGTGGATCCAGATATGCTTCTCTTGGGTTTTGAAGTCCTTTTGGGGAAACCAGATGAGTAAGGGGAGACTCTGTGGAAAATACAGACTCAGAGGAAAGGAACCTTGGTGGACTCAGCTCCACGCCAACCTCCCAGCTGTCCCCGTGCCTTCCCTCCCCTCTACTGTACTTGCCAACGATTGCCACCTCTCTTCTCCCTAAACACACTCTACCCTTTCTCTGCCTGTTCAAATCCTATTAATAAGTTAACACCTAGTGAGTGTTTGCTTACTACAGGATGGGCACAGTTCTAATAGTTTTATATAATTTCCCTAACACCCAATTCTCTCTTAAAAGAGAGAATAATGACAGTCCATACCGCACAGTGTTAGGAAAATTATATAAAACTATTAGAGATAAAGGCTCAGGAGGGTTAAGTAACTTGCCCATAGTGACGCAGCTAGCAAGACACCACCAGGATTCAAACCCAGGCAGTCAGACCCTAGAGCCCATGTTGGTTGTTTTTGTTTTCTTTTCTTCTCTTTTCTTTCTTTTTTTTGAGACATGGTCTTACTATGCCACTCAGCCTGGAGGGTGGTGGTGCAGTCACAGCTCACTGCAGCCTTGACCTCATGGGCTCAAGCAATCCTACTGCCTCAGCCTCTAGAGTAGCTGGGAGGCACTCTGACCCCCTCAATGCCTATCTCACTGTTGTTTGCAATTGAAAAACCTCAAAACAGCATGCGAAGAAATAACAATTGTTAAATATGAAAGTCAACATTACATGAAAATCAACAGAAGAGAAACATTTTGGCATATGAGGGGACTTTTTTAATCCCTTAAATACAAGTTTTTAAATAAGTGAGAAGGCAACTGCCTGAAAAATTTGATAGGCAAAATAAGCTGATAATTTGTTCCAATGGACATCTGGGATCATTGTAGCAGGTGGAGTAAGCAAAGAGACACGGCAATTCTGTTAGTACAAAGTTATATCTACAAATACACACACGCATACGCATACAAACACATACACACAAACTGCTACTGAACATCTGAGGTCGCGTAGCCTCAAACTATATCCGCACGCGTGAAGACTTGCTGGTTTAACCTCCACACGACTTCAAGTCCCTGATTATATACTTGGTTCCTGATTATATAGTTAAAAACCAAGCAATTATTTCCCAGTGAGTATTAAGATCATCGATATATAAACTGGGGATTTTAATCATTAGCTAAATAAACTGGGTTTTAAATCCTAGGCACTGTGAAGGTTTACACAAAGCCTGTATGTAATTTACCAAAGTCATTTTAATGCCAGAACAGCTTAGATTTCAAATAGGGGGCACCTAGCAAGAGCCCTTCAAGTCTTATCCTTCTGCTTGATCAAAAAGTAAAGACAAAACCATCCTGTGATTGTTTTTCTCAAAAAGTTGCAAATCCAATAACCATTTTCTTTGACTTAATATCATCATCTTTCAGAATTATAACCTAAAAAAACCACAGAGGATGTAGGCCTACCCCTGCACTTGGGATTTCCTAGGTCTTTAAATTTGTCACATAAGAATCAGCCTGTGGTCCAGTCTGCTTTTCCTGGGCCCCAAAACCTTTATTACAGCTGTCCAGTTATTTGTAATAGACCTGCAAATGTTCAGTAGCGATGTGGGTTGTTTTTGCATGGACAGTATCCCTTCCCATTTCTTGTAATACTAACATGTCAATTGTCACGGGAGACCACACTCCCCCATTCCCAGTCCATGTGCTTCAATGCATGTGTGGGGAGTGGAAGGAGATTTAACCCCTTCCCAGGGATGGACAATGACCCAGGCCTGACCAATCAGCTTGCCTGCCATGTTTGGTTGAACAATAGGCATGAAACCAATTCAGGGCAATGAGAATCAAACCTGGGAACTTTGCAGTAACTATGGGGAAAGAGAAGCTCTCTGCTGGGATTGTTCAGCGAACAGATAAGCCTGGAGCTTCTGATGGTATCTCGATATAATGTAGAGAGGACGTGCCTGAGGATAAAATCAATCCAGAGGAACACAGAGCCAAGAGATAGATTTCTGATAATATTGCTTGAGACCTTGATACGGGCCAGCCTTTGCCTTTACAATCACATGAACCAATTAATTTGATTTTTTTTCTAAGCCGCTTTGAATCAGGTTTCTATCATTTGTAACCTAAAGAGATACAGACTGTATAGCTATAGATACATACAGATTCTTTTAAGTTGAAACTTTGTAAAGATAACAAAAAATGTTTATCACAGTATAAAATGAGTTTGTACCAGAGATGTTAATTTCCTGCTATGAACCACTTCCCATTCCAGTGTGCACTGCCTTTCCCACAATCCCCTGCTCAGGGAAATGGCCACCAATGAAACTAAGATAAACAGCAACACAAAGGCAGGTAATTATTTTGCTGCCCGGGCTCCAACAGCTTGTGTTGCCTTTCTCAGTGAGCTGGACTAATAGGAATCTCTTGCTTATAGATTTATGCCAGGACATGCTGAGGGAAATTGAAGTCTCATGGTACAGACTTATGGGTTTGGTTGACCCTTCAGGGGCCATACGTAAGATAAAGAAACAAGATAGGACAGAAGAAGAGGGGCTAATTGAGCAGAGACCACATGACCTCTGAGAAAGAAAATGGCTCCATTCCCGATTTTCCAGTCCCTTGTTTTGAACCCCATGAGGCCCAGCTGTACTTTGATTCACTGTCATGGAATCTATTCCAGGAACAGGTCTAGAATAGTGGTTAGAAATCATGGCTCCAGAGTGACCTGCTGGGTGCGACTCCTGACTCCCACTTCGCACACACCTGCCTTAGAGAACATCCTCTATGCCTGCTCCTCCATAGTAAAATGGGAATAATAACACACTACCTCCCAGGATGGGCGAGAAGATTCCGTGAGATAATATACTCGGAACAGTGTCTGGCACATAGTGAGGTCTGAATCAATGAGAGTAGTAGTCATTGCTACAAGAACCTCCGTTACTCAAATTAGTTTGAGTGACATCCTAGTCCTTTACCACCAAGAGGGCACATCTAGAACAACAATTTTTTTTTTTTTTGAGATGGAGTTTCACGCTGTCAACCAGGCTGGAGTGCAGTGGCGCAATCTCGGCTCAGTGCAACTTCTGCCTCCCAGGTTCAAGCAATTCTCCTGCCTCCGCCTCCCAAGTAGCTGGAATTACAGGTGTGCACCAGCATGCCTGGCTAATTTTTTTGGTATTTTTAGTAGGGGGGGTGGTTTCACCATGTTGGCCAGGCTGGTCTCAAACTCCTGACCTCATGTGATCCTCCAGCCTCAGCCTCCCAAAGTGCTGGGATTATAGGCGTGAGCCACCATACCTGGCGGAACAACAATTTTCTAAATAGTTAAGTATAAATATATTTTTACACAGTACGTGTAAAACTATTAGCATATAGTATATATATATATATATATATACACACACACACACACACACACACATATACTACAGCTGTGCGTAGCACAGGAAAGTGTCTCAGATGTGTGGACACATCCCTGTTCTCATCCTTATCCTGCAGCGTGCCCTGATCCTCTAGGGTCCTGCACTGAACCTTCAGGGCTGGTTAATTTCATATACAAGGGCTGACATGACAGCCTCTAAGAGTTCTCTCTTTGTCTGCAACTGCTGGAAGCTTGGCCTCCTCTTAAATTGCAGTCTATAGCTCTAGCTATTTCTGCAGCTTCTTGTTCTTGTAGGGGAGGTGTCCTGTGTGTAATGCATGCACTCTGCAAAAAAATGCAGAGGTTGTGGAATTAGGAGAGTTTCTATAGACCATTCTGTCTTTCGGTATGTAGACAACAGCTAAGCCCAATCCATAAGCTTTCTTTCATTACTCAAACCACTCTCCTATGACACTTCCTGTGTCAAGTGGGCCCACCCCTTCTGAGGTTGGAAAGAAAATTCACCTGAGGCTGGAGGGTTTTGATTCTTCTACTGCTTTGTCCCCTTCTGTGAAAACCACATAAGTAAGTTCACAGACTTTGTCCCTTTCCAAGTAAGTACTATTTAATCATTCTGAACTGCTGATGTATGCTTTCCAGCCCTTAAAAAAAAAACTGATTTTACTAAAGATGATATAAATCAACTTGCAAAGAAACTTTTTAATTTAAAAAATTATTTATCTACAGCCTATATATGTGTGTACATATATATATATATATATATATATATATATATATATATATATATACACATAGAAATATTCTTCAAATCTGTTCCCCAAAATGCATTATGAATAAGAGGCACACGAGAGTCCTAAAAAGGAACAAATTTGGATTTCTTAAGGAAAAAAGTAAGAGTCTTTAACAATGGCCCTGATACATTTTGTTTGGCATTCTTTTCTAAAAGGCAATAATCAAGGAATTAAATCTATATTCCTCAAGGCCTTTCCCCCACCCTTCTGGTAAAATCAAGGTATGAACTTTTTAGTATAATTGCTACTCTAAAAATCAGAGAACTAAAGTATTCTTACAGCTACAGAAGAGGGCTAAGGAAAGAAGGGCTGAGCTCATTCAGCACACTACCAAGTCCCAAGTAAAGGGACATTCTCATGTGGGAATAAGCCAATTTTTGACTTTAGAGACAGTCCCTTGAGTTACAAGCTGATCGTGTCCTAAGTTTCTTTCTAACCTGAAATGTTCAGAATTTAGAATGTATTCTCCTCTAACAGCAACATTGTAAGCACTGACTTATGTCACCCTAAAGAAAGCATTCCTGAGAAGTCACATAGTTTTGTCTTGAGGGTCCTGCCACAACTTGTGTCCTTCTTTTATGGAAATGCATTTAGAGTTCCAAATAAGACATAGCGTCTCAGTGCCTCTGACCCTACAGGACTGTCACCAATGCCAAGACGCCAGTGGTGGCCAAGGCCTGTGTCCTTCCCCTCACCCCACCCACACTGACCTGCAGAGGGAAATCTCAAAGGGCAAGAGTAGGGGCAGGAGGGGCCCTTCCTGCCCCTGCTCCTGGTCCCCACTTGGCCGCCAGCAGAGAAGGCAAAAAGCAGGAACTAGAGGCCAGCAAGGTACAGGATGGGGGAGGGAAGGAGACTTGGCTGAGACTTGGGCAGGCCAGCTCCCCCGCCTCAGCTGGGGACTGCCTGTGCTCTTAGCTTTCATTTCCACTGTGGGTTGCTAAGTGCTATACATAATGCAAAAGTAAATAGTTACACAGCACAGTTTGGCATACACAAAAACACACATCAATCAGCCAAGGGGGGAAAAATACTCTCAAAGTTTCTAGGTTTATTTTTAGATCCTGGTTGACCAGTCGAGTAACCTAAATGCCCAAAGGAAGAGAAGTTGGGGCTGAAAAGTGTAGTTATTTAGAAACAGAGGACACTGACACTGAAGATCTCTAAGACCATTTGAGCTTATCAAATATGCATCGGTCAAGTCCTCAGGTGTTTTAAATGCCTCACAGTAGTTCTCTGAATAGGAAACAGCACGCAATGCACTCGTGAGACTTGCTGGACAGAAAACATCCTCCGTCATTGCAACCAAGGCAGCCGAGTAGATGCAACACAAAATATTGATATCCTTTTGTAAAAGTCTAAGGACGATAGCAGGAGCTACAACAATACTAAAGTAATTAGTAAATTCTTCAAGGAGAGGAAAAGTGTTTTTTTCACCTTGTATTTCCCACATCTGACATAGTGCCTTGGACAGAGCAGGTTCACAATAAATGTTTGTTAAATAGGAATAATAATAATAATGCTCCTGGAAGAGCTCCCTTTTTAAGATTCTACTTATAGTGATCAAAGTAGCTAACCAAGATTACAGTTTCAAACACAGATTTATCACTAAGAAAGGGAATCAGAAGGACGACCAGAAAAACAGACAGAATTACATAATATAATGAACTATCGGATTGGAAAGCAGGAATAACCATGCGTGAATCATTGAGATTGGCTCAGCCTCGTCCCCTGTAAAATGAGATCGTATCTGTGGCCCTCCTACCTCACAGCAATGCAGGAGTGATGAAAATGTGAAATCGTTAGCAGAAGCACTCTGAGCTTCTCAGACCGCACACTCCCATGGCATCCTGATATTCAAGTTCAAGGCAAAGATCTGGGGCCTGAGAAATCAGGTTATTCTCAGTGTAACTACCTAATTCCAGGTAAATGCAAATTCTTCCCTCCCTTAGAAAAATACTCTCCTGATTATTTGGTTTATTAGCTATAAACCACTAGTTTATAGCTGAAAAAAATGTACACATAAAAGGTATAACTTGCTTTATGGAAATGAAAGGTTTTTTTTTTTTAAGCCTAATTCTATAAAGGGTGATGGGACAATTCATCAGTAAGTTAAAGGAGAAAAGCAATCAGTTTGGCCCCTTATTTCCTCCTCATCCTACACAAAAATAAATTATAGTTGGATTAAATAATGATTTTTTTGAAAGTTAAGAATTTTTTAAAACCAGCAGACAGCAAAGCTGAGTAGCAAACCCTGTCAAAGTGCAGAGCAGGCTGTCCCATCAGTGGAATAAATTTCAGGGAAACATTTGCCCACTCGCCAGTGTCAAACTATGTCAAATGGGCAAGTGATATACTAATATTTGGGGAAATATTTGTAACAAATGTGCCAAAGACATTTTATTATGATAAAGATCTTATGTCCACAATATATATTTTAAGCAAAAAATAAAGCAAGTTACAGAATAATATGTATACTATGACTCATAATATCAAGCCCCCTTTGTATCTTTGAAATGAAGTGTATTTGTGTGCACACATAAATACAAGATACTATAAAGTAAAATAAAATATGCACAATATAGAAAATTAGAAAGAAGAAAGAATCACTCTTATTTCAAACATTCAAAGGCATCCTGGAGTATTTATTATCATTACTTAATATAGAGTTTTTTTCTTAGTTATGTAGTCATATTTATCAATTTTCTAAATTATTTTTTCACTTAACCCTACGTCCCAAACATTTTATCTTTTATTCTGCAATCTTTGTAGACAATGTTTTATTGCATATATAATATTTCATCTGAATTACACCCAGATCTTGTAAAGGTCTCCTTGTGGAGAAAGGTAGGGAAACACCCAGACCTTTAACACTGGCTCCCTGGAAGAGGAAACGAGCCATCAGAGCTTTTTCTTTGTGGATCTTTGTCCTGAATTGTTTCTCTTGTTATCACAACCATATATTACTTTTAAAATTTGAAGGAAAATTTTTTTCATTTTAACTGATATGAAAAACATCAAATGGTAAAGAACATGTAACTGAAAATTAGGAAGAGAAGAAATGCAACTAGTATATAATAATATAAAAAAGAAATGTTCAGCCTCACTAGTCATCAAAGAAATACAAATGAAAAGAAAGTATTTTGGATTGCTTAGGACAGTCCCTATTTCTGCCTGTCGTTTTGCTGTAATTATTAGAAAGCACTCCACTTTCACTCTCAAAACTGTCCTGATGTGAACAATAAATTATATAGTCACCCTAGATTTAGCCAAGAAATATTTCTTGGCCAGTTATGATGTGCTACCTACTAGGCTGGGCACTTAGATTAGTTAGTGAAAGTATTTTGAAGTGATGATGGTCAATGCATGGTAAAAGAAGATGAAATCGACACAGTCTCACAACATGAATTGCTCTAACCCATTCGGAAAAGTAAATTGGCTTTTGCTAAAAATGTGTTAAGACTTTTTAAATGTTCAAACCTTCAATCTATTAAATTCACTAAAACTATATCCTAGGATATAATGTTAAAAGGAGAAAAAGGTTATCGTACAGAAATAATAATAGCAAAAAATGTATAATAAAATGTTGACCAAATGACCAAAAATAGAATGACTAAGTAAACTGAGGTATAATCCATTCAATGAAATATTACATATGCAATAAAACATTGTCTACAAAGATTGCAGAATAAAAGATAAAATGTTTGGGACGTATGGTTAAATGAAAAAAATAATTTAAAAAATAGATAAATATGACTACATAACTAAGAAAAAAACTCTATATTAAGTAATGATAATAAATACTCCAGGATGCCTTTGAATATTTGGAACAAGAGTGATTCTTTCTTCTTTCTAATTTTCTATATTGTGCATATTTTATTTTATTTTATAATATCTTACTTTGATAATTGTGAGGACAATGATACAGAGGGAACAGCACCAAAGGTCCAGGGAACATATTCTTTAAATGTCTTCCTGTTGCTTTCCCAAGAAACTTCAGAGGCTAGAATGGACTTCTGGTTCTCACTGCTTGTCCTTTGGCCTGGCATGGAAATGGTCATCATGGCTTCCAAAGGGTGAGGCGGTGGGAACTCAACATCACTGACTTCCCACATCCCCAGCCTCCACTTCCAACAACTGAGAAAATTTAGATCATATGTCTAAAGAGATGTGTGTGTGTGTGTGTGTGTGTGTGTGTGGTGTGCACATGTGTGTCTGAGTGTTGCTTCCTCTCTCCTTCCCCTATCCTCAAGGGCAGCAAGACAAACTCCAGAGCAATGGTGCAGCAATCTGCCTTTAAAAATACAATAACAACGCAAAAGAGTGAGAGCCAAAGGAACCCCAGCCAGAGCAACACCCCAATATTAAAAAGTTTTAAATAACAACACGTTAAAGTCCATCTCTCCTCTCAAACTTGCCATATAATCCAAATTACTCATCTCGGATCTCTAACTGCAGTATTTAAGGCCCTATCTCAAATATTGGAATTAGGCTAAATATCTCCCCTCCAAGCACATGCAACAGTCAAATAAATGTTCAAAATCTCTTACATAACACTACAGTTATGTATCACACATAAATGATACATACATCTTCACAAAAATCTTTACGTAAAAATAGGGGAAGAAAAGACCCCAAATATTAACTCTGGCTGCCTTTGAACATTTGAATTATGGGTGATAACACTACAGTTATGTGCCTAAAACTGCTAGGGTAAATTAGAACTTTTTAATTTCAATATTACTATAAACACACCCAAGGATGTTCACCACTGAAAGAAATTCTTTGAAATGTTTATAAAAACAAAAACATTTTAGTAAAGAAAATAATGATCTCCCTAATTTATCTCTTTAGGAAATTCAAATATTTGTGATACCTTGTATGAGATTATTTTCTGAAAGGTAGGGTGCACCTGTACCTCTGGTATTAAGAACAGCAGCATCAGCACTTCTATTGGTGAGATGCTGCATCTTCTCCTTGCATGTGTTATTCTACTTAACCCTCTCAACCCTCACAGTAACCCCATAAGGCAGGTACTATTATTGCTTCCGTTGTCACCTGAAGATACAAGCTCCAGGGGCCTCACAGCTAATAAGTGGCAATACTAAGACCAAAACCGGATTAATCCAGCTCCAGAAGGGATGTGCTTTTTCCAGCAGAGAACAACAGATTGCCTCCACATTCTTTTTTTATACCAAAAATATCCCTTGCCTAAGCTTGTTTTAGACAAACTGTGATAAAAAAAAAAATTGTTATCAACTAACCAAACAAATTGGCTATCAATACACATTTAGCTATTGTGAATGAAGAAGATACTGAATGACTACATCAGTTTTCAAAAAAGTTATCCAGTCCCCAAATTAGAACTACAGGAAGGAAGCTGCTATAGTTTAAATAAGGTTGTTTGTCTCCACCAAATCTTATGTTGAAATCTGATCCCCATTGTTGGAGGTGGGACTTAATGGAAGGTGCTTGGGTCGTGGGGGTGGGTGCCTCATGAATAGATTAATGCCCTCCCTGGGTGGAGGAGGGAGGTAAGTGAGTTCTCACTCTATTAGTTCAGTGGAGAGCTGATTATTAAGAGCCTGGCACCTCCCCCTCCCCTTGCTTCCTCTCTGGCCATGTGATCTCTGCACGTGCCAGCTCCTCTTCACTTTCCATCATGAATGGAAGCAGCCTGAGGCTCTCACCAGATGCCCAATCTTGAATTTTTACAGACATCAGAATTATAAGCCAAATAAACCTTTTTTCTTTATAAATTACCCAGTCTCACTTATTCCATTATAGCAACGCAAAATGGACCAAGACAGAAGCTATGAATGCCCTTCAAACAATGGAAACAGAAAAAAATAAACCAATTAAGTGGTCTAGGAGAGAAAAGGAAAGGTATAGACAGACCTAAAAATAGTTTCCACCTTATCTCTGTTTCAGTAATAGCAGATTAGCACATATTCTCTTGGAAATGTCACCCAGGCAACCAGAAATACAAAGACAAAGATGTTCCAAAAAACACATGTATATAAATCTATTTTTGCCATCTTTAAGCATAAATGATCACTATAGCAAGAAAGACAATAATTAGGAGATTATCTTTTTTAAAAGCAGGCACAGAAGAAAGTTTATAAATAGGTACCTAGTGTAAAGCAGGGTAACAAAGTGTAAAAGTAGGTCTCTATCTGATAAGAGGCCCTGGCCCATTGCCTCAAATTCAGGCCAAGAATCTATTAGAAGTGTTAAACATATTTTTGCCTATGTTTTTCAAATCTCATGTTTTTATTTCATAAACCAAAGGCAGACGAATACAAAATATGGTAGGCCGGCAAATTTTAAAAATGTATTTTGAAAACTGCCTTAAGTCCCACTTAAGTAGAATAACTATGTTTCTTTACCTGGATTGCCTAGGACAGTCCCCATTTGTGCCTGCTGTTTTGCTGTAATTACTGGAAAGTCCTCCCCTTTCACTCTCAAAAATGTCCCAATGTGAACAATAAATTATGTAGTCGTCTTATATTTAGCCAAGAAACATTTCTTGGCCAGTTATGATGTGCTACCTACTGGGTTGGGCACTTATATTAGTTTTTTAAAAGGTATGTAAGATAAGAACAATTTCAGAACAATCTACTTGAAAAGACAGAAATAGCACCCCAAACAACCGTGAATCAGTGAAAACTTGATAATCATTGGTGTAGTCTAGGCTGTCAGTGCCTTAGTTCAGATCAGAGAAGAGTAGCGAGTGTATCCCCTCAAGGGGGTCACTCCGTAGAACTAATGCTAAAAGCAGCAATGCTTCTCGAGCACTTCCTGTGTGCCAGGCACTATGACAAGCATGATGCCCACGTGATCTCGCTTCATGCTCAAAACAGCCCTGTAAGTGAAGGGCTGTCATTCGCTCATTTTATGGATGAGATGACTTCCCCAAAGTCAGGCCAGAGAATTCAAATGTCTAGCTCTCAAACATACGTTCTCCACCACTGTAGATGTGGAGGTACTGCCTTCTGATCACCCATCCCTACCAGGAGCTGGCCCAGCAGAGTCACGTGTTATCACAGCCATCAGCTTCTCTCTTTCTGCCCTGCAGCAGAGCAAGCTGTGGCCAAACTCTGTCCAAGGGTTACCAAATCAGTTAAAGCCCAACCAGAAAACTAAAGAGGCTGCTCTTGAATCCTACAGAGGAGTCCTACTGAAGAGGCTATTGAGAAGAAAGTCATACAGGGGTTCAGGAAAGCAATGAAGGATGATGCAGGACTCTAAGGCTAGTAATAGCAGGAAGCCATGACCACCCTAGGCCTGAAGGCATGAGGGGAGGAAGTGGCTGAAGGAACCCAAAGAGGGTGGCGATATGGAGAGGATAGCTGCAGGCGCTGTGGTCTTTAGCACACACACACCAAGCTGCAGCTTGCAACCCAGTGGAGGGACAGGGGAATAAATACCCTACCTCACTCTCCTCCCACCCTCCCGTCTCCTGCTGATTTCTGGCCAAATTATACCAGAAGTCAGAAGAAAAGATGGCCATTGACGCCAGTGGTAAAGATCACCTCTTGGGGCACAGAGCCAGGTGGAGAAGGGAGCCAGGGATGTGGAAGGGCCAACAGGAGATATCCAGGCCTCTTACTGCCCTTGCCCTACAGAAGAGCTGTGCTCCAACCAAGGCAGAGGAAACTGGCCTGGTCACTCTTTGGGAGTTAAGGTGCCAGGTAGGTAAAAGGACACCATCCTCAGCATATGCACAAAGCCAGGGCCAGTTTCATGAGCATGTGACCTGTGCCATCACACAGGCCCCATACTCAGCAGGGCCCCATGCTGGCATTAATCCTCCACTAGCACCATCTTCAAATTCTTAATTTTTTTAAACAAAGTTCCCACACTTTCATTTTGTTGTGAGCCCCACAAACTGTGTAGTTGGTCCCCTGCAAGGCAAACCTTTTCTTCAGGTAGTGAGACTAAATTCTGTAAGTATCACAGTATTCCGATACACTGTTAAAGCAAAAGGATCCAAAGTTAATATTAACCAGAGTAACAATGATACAGTAGGATAGGTAAGATGGTAACATGAAGGGGCACTTTACCTTTTTTTCTTTCCTTCCTCTCTTTTAAAGTCAAACTGTAAAGCAGCTGAGAAACCAAAATTAGCTGCCCCCTAGAGAGAAACTGACCTTAATTACACCTGCTACTCCATAGCACAGACTGAATGGATTTTGGCTCTTCCCCAGTTAATGCGATCAATGCAGACAATAAAACAGAATAATTGATGCCCTGGAGTGGACTTTTCTGATACACCTCATTTGATGGACTACAGTCATCGAATTCTCCAGGCCATTGCCAAAGCTACTCTTTACCTTGCCTTATGTGCCCGATGTACACAGGCCCTACTTTGGGGCTCACTGTTGAAAATACATAAATAAAAGACGTGCGGATGGGTCAATGGCATTCACAAACAATATTTGTAGTGGATGCTTCCTGAAGCATGGGCTTAGAAACTTGAGTCTCTGCTGCTTCTGCTTCCCTTTCCTGAAAGACTCCAGCATCCTTAGCCTTCCTCTGAGAAATTATATTTCTAAAAGCATCTGGGAAAGCCCCAGGTGAGAAGCCTGAACAGGACCAGTGGCAGCTCTTTTTCCCATTCATTTCCTTCAATGCCATCCAGCAAAGCAAAGCCCAGAAAACGTTTAGCTGAGACAGGGATCAAACTGGCTTCTGACAGCCTCTTTCACACCCCTTTATTTCAGAAGTAAAGGACGGTAGATTTTAAGTGTTTGTTTATTTTGTTGTTTAAAGTTAGAATAAAGTTGCAAATGATCAAATCAAAAGCATTTAGAAAACCTCTACTGTGTCAGAAGGGGAACATCACACACCGGGGCCTGTCGTAGGGTGGGGGGAGGCGGGAGGGATAGCATTAGGAGATATACCTAATGTAAATGATGAGTTAATGGGTGCAGCACAGCAACATGGCACATGTATACATATGTAACAAACCTGCACGTTGTGCACATGTACCCTAGAACTTAAAGTATAATAAACAAAAACAAAAACAAAAACAAACAAAAACAAAAACCTCTACTGTGTGTCAAGGAACCTAGAATCCAGACAGTAAATCAAATCTAGGGGCACCGTAACAGAGTCAGAGAATCCATAGTTGCCGTGTATCCTAACTACTGAGCTCTGTCATGGATTGAATGGTGGTGACCCCCAAAAAAAGTATGTCCAAGTGTCCAAGACTTTTTTGGGTTTCTTTTGTAGGGTGGTGGTGTTGTTGTTTTGAGACAAGGTATCGCTCTGTCACCCAGGCTGGAGTGCAGTGGGGTCAACATGGCTCACTGCCGCCTCCACCTCCCGGGCCCAAGAGATTCTCCTACCTCAGCCTCCCGAGTAGCTGGAACCACGGGTGCATGCCAAGAGGCCTAATTTTTTTTCTTTTACTTATTTTTATCTATTTATTTATTTTTTGGTAGAGATGGGGTCTCACCTTGTTGGCCAGGCTGTTTTTGAACTCCTGGGCTCAAGCAATCCTCCTGCCTCGACCTCCCAAAGTGCTGGGATTACAGACATGAGCCACTGGGCCTGGCCATAACCAAGCTTTAACCCCCGGAACCAGTGAATATGACCTTATTTGGAAAAAGGGTCTTTGCAGATGTCATAAAGGATCTTGAAATAAAATCATTCTGGATCACGCAGCTGGGTTCTAAATCCAGTGACAAATGTCTTTATAAAAGATGCGCAGAGGAGAGACACACAGAGAAGAGCAGGAAGCAATGTGACGTGCAGCGCAGCTCTAGTGATGCAACCTCATGCCCAAGAATGCTGCAGCTACCAGAAGCTAAAAGAGGCAAAGGATGAAGTCGCCCCTAGAATCCCTGGAGGAAGCACGGCATTTCGGCCTCAGACTTCTAGCCTCCGGAGCCGTGAGAGGATAAATATCTGTTGCATTCAACCACCATTTTGTGGTCATTTGTTTCAGCGGCCACAGGAAACAAATATAAGCTTACAGCCCCATCTCTCACCTGTGGCCTCAGCTTCACAATCTCCGGCCAGGGACTATATGAAGCCTTCCAAAGCAGCCCATTCCGTGTTCACAGTAGGCCTAGTTCTGGCCCCAGATGAGTCTAATCCCTTTCCCTCAGTACAGTGCTTTCATGTATGTGAAGAAAAGAATATAAAAGTCCCACAGAGCGATTCCAGGCCAGAGAGTCCCAGCTACTGTCCTCGGCATCCGCCAGCTCATGAGAAATCCCCTTAACTTGTACCAGTCAGGGCAGCACAGAGGGAACGATCCTCTCCCTTCCTTTGAACAGTATTCTCTTATTGCAGCCCAAGGTCTCACTAATGTTTAAACAGCCAGGTGACACTGTCAACTCCGTTGGCACTTTCAACTCAAAAAAAAAAAAAACGCAACTTACATCTTTTTCATGTGTAGCAAATGTGATTCAAGGACATGTTGTCACTCCCATCAAGTATATGGAAAATATTCTTTTTATCTAAACACAATGAATCAAGTATGAAATATGCCTGCAAAGTACATTATTTTTGTAAAAAGTGGGGGATCTGAGCAGGCACCCACACCACCTATTGACAGCCAAGCCAAGTTTGTACACATCAGATTATTTCCAAAGAACCAAAACACACAGGTTGGGGAAAACGTAACCTTCCAGATCCAGCTGCATATACAGAAGAAATGTGCTGATGATCTCTGATTATTTGTCAGTCTTCAGATTTCAGCTCCATAACCTGCACTAGCTCCCAATGTTGGTAAATCATTCAACCTCTCAATGCCTCGGTTCACTTACCTGTAAATTGGGGATAATTAGAACACTACTTTGTGTTGGCTACTATGGACTACAAGATAGTCCCACATCAACAGGCCTTCTTGCTGTCTGGCTGTGGCTAGTTTGGCCAATTGGGAGGCACCAGCACCAGATCAGAGAGTGGAAGAGAGTGGCTGGGGCCTTTATCCACCTGGATGCCTCCCCACCAGGCCACAATGGGCAGTAGTCATATTCCTCTACTGAAAACCACAGCTCCAGCCAGCAGCCCTGTCCCCTGAACAACTCCAGAAACTGCTCTCTCACCTCATGCTGTCAGGGCTGGGTAGTGAAGGCTTGCATGCACTGCTGGCCACTTCTGGTGGGTTCCCTGATCTTACCCGCACCTTTGTAAATAGTCCCTTCATTAACTTTCCTCAGTTACTGCCTTCTGAGCAGTTCATCCGCCTCCTTATGGGATGCTGGAGGAGGAATCTTTCATAGGATTTAGCAGAATTAATCAATACTTGAATCGCCTTTAGGCATTTGCTAGCATGAGTGCTATTATTAGCAACAGTAGTCTACTTCTGTGAGGAATCCTGGGCCATGAGATCTCTCGATGCCGTATTTACATTTCCTCCCCAAGTTCAGTACCATTTACTAGAGATAGACATATTTTCAGTTGTACAGATGTGGGGAAAACTATTATGTTCTCTCATCTAAATAATTAAAATAACTTCTCTGCTGCTTTCCTCTTCTCCCCACCCCCTCTCTAACGTCCAAACCTTCCGATCATGCCATTATCACAGGCAACAAATATCCAATGGTTCCCCATGACCCTAGAATGAAGTTTAAACTCTACCACTATTTCTCACAATTCAATTCCAACCTACCTTCAAGAATGTGTTCAACATTTCACACCTACTAGCATGGCTATTATATTAAAAGAAAAAACAGAAAATAACAAGTGTTGATGGAATCCTTGTGCATTGCTGGTGGGTATGTTAAATGGTACCACCGTGGAAAACAGTGGATGTTCCTCCAAAACTTAAACACAGAATTGCCATATAACTCAGCATTTCCACTTCTGGGTATATACCCAGAAGAACTGAAAACAGGGAGTTGAACATATCACTGTACACCCATATTCACAGCAGTGTTTTCACAGTAGCCAAAAGATGGAAGCAACCCAAACGTCCATCAGCAGATGCATGGATAAACAAAGTGTGGTACATACATACAATGGAACAGTATTCCACCTTAAAAAGGAAAGAAATTCTGCCCATGTTACAACACGGATGATCTCTGGGGACATTATTATAAGTGAAATAGGCCAGTCACAAAAAAGACAAATACCTTTTATATGAGGTACCTAGAGTAGTCAATTCATAGAGACAGAAAGTAGAATAGTGGTTGCCAGAGGTTGGAAGGGAGGAGGAGATAGGAAGTTAGTGTTTAGTGGAAACAGAGTTTCAGCTGGGCAGGATGAAGAAGTTCTGGAGATGGATGGTGGTGATGGTTGCACAATAATGTGAATGTATTTAAAGCCACTGAACTGTACGTTTAAGAATGGTTAAAATGGTCAATTTTATGTTATGTATATTTAACCACAGTTTTTTAAAAGGTTGTATTCAAGAAATATTTATTGCTTGCCTATGGCACAAAGCACTGTACTGGGGCTGCCTCAGGAAACAAAATGCAAGACCACCATCCCCAGGAAGGGAACTTACCTCCTGCACATTCCCCTACCTGCTCCAGATTCTAGTCAATCCCTTCCCTAATTATGTCTTGCACTTTCACATTAGAATATAAATTCCTAAAGACAGGGGACTAGATCTTATTCAGCCTGTATCCCTACAACCTAACAGAATGCTGAGCATGTAGAAACTGCTCAAGAATATTGGTCAAATAGTTGAGTAAAAATCCAGGCAGAGACGTCTATGTCATTTTTCTCATGTCTTCTAGCCAGTCAGAACTTAAAATTTCTTGAAGTTATATAGCTATACTTGCAGGAATAGAGAGGCTAGAGCTTCACACTAAGCTCACTAAACTCACTTTAAATACTCTGTTCACAAGTAATTCTACTAAGTGCATAAATTGTGGATTTCAGATGAGAACTCCACTATTTACTGACCATGTGACCTTGAGCAAATTATTGCGTGCTTCTAACGCTGTTTCTCTTATCTATGAAGAGGGAATGCTAACAGTCCTATAGTGAACATCTGTTGCTTTGCAATCCAAAATCCAGGGGCTCATCTCTTGGTGAGAGTATAACAATTTTCTGCTGAAGAAACACCCCTGCTCCTATTTCTCAGCCCGTCTCTAAGGATGAAACATGTGACATGTGATGAAGCCCAAGCCTAGTAACATGTGGCACCCTGGTCACAGGAATAGACACAGGACCCAATCAATGCTGACGAGCCAGAGTAAGTCATTGTGAGCAATGCCGGGATGGAGACTTCCACTTTCTGGCTGGATTTAAAGCCCAGACTATGTAAGGTCTGGAGCTCTTCCAGCCATCCTACAACGAGATGGGGCCTCAATGAGATGGTACTAAAAATGGTGCCGACTCCATGAAAGCAAGCTGAGAAAAATAGAGAAATGAGGTCCCGCTAACAATGTTTGAGGCCTGAATCAGGCCATATCCGAAATGTCTTCCTCTGGACTGAGGAGTTATCAGAGCCAAAATAACATTCCTTTTTTGCTAAAACAGTTTGAATGTTGGGGTTCCTGACACAACAGAATTGAGTCCTAAGTAAAATATCTCCTGAAAAATTATCATAAATGTTAAATGAGGTATTCCATGTAAACCAGGGCCACATAGTACACACTCAATAAATGCCAATATCAATGTTAACTGCAGTGATTGTTCATTGTTGTGGTAGAAAGTTCCTGCCTTCTAGGGACTTTTAACTCATGTGCTCTATCCCTGATTTCTGTCTTCATTATCCGCAAATGATATTCTCTAGGATAGGAATGGTAAAGACTATTCCCTAATCCCATTCCCTAGCAGACAGACATCACTAGTTGACCACAGCACACTTTCTTGCTGAGCCCAGACCCAGCCTTGGATTCCTACTGGACCCAGATTTCCAGGCAGCCAGTCAGATGATGTGCAATATGAAACCAATATGTCTCAGCTTCATTGCAACAGTTGGCAAAATTTTCCTATAAGGAGCTAAGTAGTAAGTATTTTAGACATGGTCCCTATCACATATTCTTCTCCGTGTTTTGTTGTGTTGTGTTGTGTTTTTGTTTACAACGCTTTAAAAATATAAAGCTCATTCTTTGCTCTCGGTTGTACAAAAATCCCTTCTCTAGAGCTTTGAAGCCAGACTCTGGGGCTGCCTCAGGGAAGCAGCAGCTCTTATCTTCCCGTGCAACTTCCTGGGACCCCAGGAGTTGGAGAGCTTGGAGTGGGTGCCTGAGTCAGAAAAGTACCCTCTGAACATACTGAATAGTCCAAAAAGTAACAAAAGAGCTTTGGTGACTGCAGATTTCCTGTTATCATACCAATACCAGGCAATCTGAAATTCACATTCTGAGGGATGCTATACATAATTCAAGGAAAAGCTATAAAACCCATGTGTGTTATAAACTTCACCTCTGCCTCCAGAACCAAATTCACTGCACAACCCTTTCAAAAAATTGGACCTCCATCCCCTACAGCCACATCTGAGATGCCTGACCTTTTCATGAGAGAAGTAAGGAAAGAGAAGGGTTCAGATCGTTACATTTCTTCATTGTTAGTCTGCCCCTCACCATTAAAAGGACACACCTCGAGGGCAAGGATCCCATCAGTTTCAAGACAGTATGCCACATTTCTTTTGACCAACTCTTGATTCCTTAGTATTTCCCAAGGTTTTTTATCGTAGAGTGTTAGATATAAAGCTTGGTTTGGTCCTCCTCTCTGTCTATTATTCTCTGTGTTTGATTCTGGCTTTAGTGAAAAGGACTGGATTTTGTTTGACTGATGTTTGTTTATTCATTCAACAAACATGTACCTACAATCAGAATCCATCTCTCAAGGCACATGCAGGTGCCTTGATACATAGATACATAGATAATGTACATAGAAAGATACATAGATAATGGTGCAGAATGATGCGAGGGCTACATCCAGGGTAGCATGGCACCTCTGGGAGGGGGAGTGCCATGCAGCCTGCTGGAAGGCAGTGTCGCAGCAGCTGAGCTGCCAAGAATGCATAGGAGTTGACCAGACAAGGAAGGTTGGGGAGATGATAGATGCTGCGACTCAGTGGCTTGAGCAGAGGCTACGTGGGGGGAGGCTTGGGAGATGAGGTTAATGAAGAGAGAAGGGTGGGACCGTGAAAGTCCCTGGAGTGTGAATTCTATCCTGAAAACCACAGAAAACCTCTAAAGGAAATTAAGCAGAATGACTGGCTTAGATTTTTGTTTTTGGAATGAGTGTCCACAGTTTGGAGAATGGACTGGAGTAAGACGGTCCTGATTGGGAACAACAAGCTCAAAAGCAATTGGAACAATTCAGGCAAGAAGTGCTGAGAATATGAACTAAGTCAGTGACAGCAGGAACTGAGAGAAGAGGGCGTATAGCAACAACAACAAAAATAATAAGAGCTCACATTTATGCAGCACTTACAACAAGGCATGATGCTTAGTGCTTTCTGGGTATTAACTCATTTTATCTTCACAGTAACCCTGAGATAGCTTTGTTATCTATTATCAACCTCATGCCTCACATCAGAAAACACAGTAGAGGTTAAGTAAGGACCCCAAGATCCAGGAGCTATTGACGAATGAGCCACAGCTCAAACCCGGCTGTCTGGCTGCAGAGCCCACACTCCTAATGTCCATATTGGCAACTCTCCTAATACAGTTACAGACAGAGGGTCTACAGGACTGGACACTGAATGGTTGAGACAGGGGAGACTCCAGGACAATTTCCAGAGATCTGGCTTGGGTAGGTAAACATGTGAATTTCAGTTTCTTGAGCCTCCTCCCCAGATCTGTCCTTGCCCCGCTACCGCAAGTACCCACACTCCCACCATCACACCACACCCCCTCTCCTTTGTAGTCTGCATCAAGGCCTTTGGCCATAAAACACGGGGATCTCCCAATTGGAGTGAA
Organism: Homo sapiens; assembly: GCF_000001405.40. Lineage (NCBI taxonomy): Eukaryota > Metazoa > Chordata > Mammalia > Primates > Hominidae > Homo > Homo sapiens. The sequence goes on from NC_000008.11 coordinate 102,123,089, forward strand.
AAACCTCACAAGCATTTCCACTTAGGTCTGAGAAACCCCTGACAGCAAACTCTGCTCTTGGTAATACAGTGGCTTAGGTCTGTTATTTTCAAATCAGCCAGAAGTAGGAAAACTTTGAGCGAGCTTGTGTGGTTTCCTTCTGAGAGAGTGAGACCTTGGCTGCCTACTTCTGTGTTTCACCGTAGCTGCCCTACGGAACAGAACATAGACCTTCTTGCGGGGCTAGCGTGTAAGCACAGCAGCACACCAGCCGCCTCGCCTGCGGCCTCCGACAGACCCGCAGGAAGAAACTGACCCTGGCAGGAGCTCTGCAGAGCCAAATGGCATTCTTTCTCCATGCACAAAAGTTAAAGCAAGCATCTGCAGCATTAGAAAAAAAAAAAAAAAACTTGTGTATTTCCTGCGGACAGGGAGACCTCCTGCCCCTCCCGGGCTGATACAACCCACTTTGCACATCCTGCTTCTCTGGGAGCTAAAAATAAATCGGTATGCACTGAAAAACACTCAAACACATCTCCCCAGCACACCCTTCCCAAGTCCTCGAGCGCAAGGGACACGAATCTTTCAGGTCCTGAGTCCAAAATGCAGACCACTTCCTCGTCCGTGTTCAACCAGCGCCTTTCGGCCTCTCCCTTGGCCCCCTCCCCAGACGCCCACGCCCCGCACTCGCCTCCTGTGGCCTTTCCGGGCAGACTCCGCAGGCCCGGGATCCAGCGGGTGCCCCGGCCCCCGGCCCCGGCCCCGGCCCCCGGGGCGGGATGCTCCAGAGGTCCCCGGGCCGCCAGGCTCACCAACGCCCCCTTCTGCCCAGCGCGCCCCATCCCGCCGGCCCCACGCGCCTCTGCGCGGCCCTCTGCAAAGTTGCTCTCTCCTTTTCTGCCGCCCACCCTCAAGGTCTGTAATTTTGTTTTGTTTTCCCTCAGAGGCACTGGGGGAATGACAGAGGAATTGACAGGGTGAACTGCACCCAGGAGGGAGCTGCTGGAACCAGGTTCCCAGAACCGCGCGCTCCTCGAACCCACCCCTGCGCCCGCGGCGCACCGAGCGCACGGGTCCCCCCCAGCAGCCGCCCCCGGCACACCCGCCCCGGCTGCAACTCCGACTCCGCTCTGGCTCCCGAGAAGCGGAGGGAAGGCGCTGCGACTCACCGCCTCGGCCGCTCCCAGCGTCTGTGTCGCTTCGGGCGAGGCGGCGGCAGCAGCGGCAGCGCCTTCCCTCCGCCCGCCTCCCCCTGGACAGCACCGTCGCCAGCCGCGCCCCCCTCCCCAGCCTGGCTCGCCGCCTCCCTCCTCGCGGCCGCAGACCCCCTCTCCACTGCAGCCCCGCAGGCAGCCTCTCCGGCGTGGGCTTCACCGCGGGGTTGCAGGGGGGCCAAGATGAGGCGCGGGATTTGCAGGTGCAGTGGACGCCCCCCCCCTCCCCCGCTTGCCCTGGTGCAGCCTCCGGGCGTGTCCCCACGGTGCCCCATAGTCCTAGCTCACCGCCCAGGCCTCTAGCCAGCCTGCACTGCTACTTTCCAAGGGGTGCCATCTGCTTGCCTCCTCGGGTCCTGGGAGGTCAGATTCAGCCTAGAGCACCTCCTTCCAAGCTTCGATTTGAGGGGGGGTCTGGGGTCCCTGCTCTACCGCAGTGAAGTTCAAGGGAGCCTTGGAAGGCAGTTGAAAAGCTTCTCAGGTGGTGTCCTCTGGACTCTTCATGCCCACAAGGTGGGAGGGGGGCTGCTTTTGTCTAACTAGTGCTTTCTCTACCCAAAGCCTTCTGTAAACTGTCTAGGAAAAGCTTAACAAAAAATCCGGAGGAAGACATCTAAGGGGCCCCTCTCCTGCCCCTCCTTCCTCCCCTCAAATTTTTCATCTCGTGTGGAGATAATGAGAAGCAAAATGTCTTGTCAATTCATTCACCCAATATTTATCGAGTACCTGCTGGCTGCCAGCACCTGTTTCCTGTCTTGCTGTGTCGTCCACTCATGGCCTCTCAAAAAGCCACTGTAACTAACTCCTTGTGCTTGTCAACCCTGGTGACATTTCCAGAACCCGCAGAAGGTCTCAAGAGCAACTCAAATTCATCAATTTAAAAAGTTGCTGCTTAAAAATAACAAGGCTGCAAAGGCACCGTGACCTGGCCTTCCTCGTTGTAATGTTTGCAAAATCTTTTAACATGACTGGTTATAGAAAGGACAGTTACATTGAGGTCCAGACAGCTGCCAACTCTGATTTAAACACCAAGTAAAAGTTTCATCTAATCAAAAGCACCCTTTCCTAGCTCTACCGGTTGCCTTCAATTGTAAAACAAAAATTATCTAGGAGGCTGTTAAACCATCATCAAATACTAAAACCTTTGCTTGCATTGGGTTAGCAGGTTAGCCCAGCATTTCCCTTCCTGGACACACAGGAGGAGAAATGCTGGACTAATCTGCTAATCCAATGCAAGCAAAAATTTGCATTGGAAAGTTGGATTTTTTGGTTTTTGGTTTTTTCTTTTTTCTTAATACTAGGCCCGACCCCGAGAGAATCTAATCTAATTGTTAAAAAAAAAAAAAATCCGGGGTTCAGGGGTGTCCAGCTTTGTATGGGTATTTTTTTCACATGGGCCCCAGGAGACTCTGATGTGTGGCCAGGGTTGGAAACCACCATAGGATTAGCCAATCATCAAGCAGGGCCTAAGGGAACGTCCCGTTGATACAGCAAAAGGTCTGCACAGGTGTTGCAAACTCAAATGTCCCTGAAGGATAAAAGCAGGTGACAAAGAAGTAACTTAAGTGGTTATACAGGGACAAACTGAGAAGGGCACAATGGCCCTGAAAAAGGCAGCCTCATTTTTCTACGTGGGAAAAGAGGGTCCAGTGTGGCCATCAAGTCGGGGTATTTTATTTTATTTTGGTTTGGTTCCCCCTGCCCCCAAGAGAAGCCAGAAGTTCACGTTTAATGTGAACTCTTCTAATTTAAAAATATTAGTAACTTATTTTTTAAATATTTTAAAAAATTTTAAATATTTTTTAAATATTTCTCTATAAGCCAAGAAAATAAGAATTTGTAGGCCACAAGTGGTCCCCTGGTCATCGGTTCGTCACCTGTAGTCTGGACAGATTCTGTGCATAGGAAGCAGTTAGGAAGGTGCTTGGGGTGGGATTCCTCAGAGAGAGAGGTGATTTTAAAGTCCACTTTATCTACTTTTCTTTATTGATGTGATTTTTCTTTAATGATCTCTACTGTTAAAAAAAAAACAGTTTTGCTGAGGTATAATTCACACATCATACTATTCACTCAAAATATGCAATTTAATATTTTTTGCATATGCAGTTAGTTGTACAAACTATTACCATAGCCAATTTTAGAACTGATTTTCATCACCCCATAAAGAAATCCCACACCTATTAGCACTCATTCCCTTCTTTCCCCAACCCCCAACTTCCAGTGACCACTTATCTATTTTCTCTCTATGTAGATTTGCCAATTCTGGACATTTTATATAAATGGAATCATACAATTTGAGGACTTTGTGACTGGCTTCTTTCACTCAGCTTAATGTTATCAAGGCTGTCTCATGTTGTAGCATGCATCAGTACTTTGTTCCTCTTTATGAACAAACGATGTCATTGTATAGCTCTATCACATTTTGATTATCCATTTATCAGTTGACAGACATTTAGGTTGTTTCACTTTTTTACTATTGTGGATAATGCTACTATGAACATTTCTGTTCGAGTTTTTGTGTGGATGTACATTTTCATTTTTCTTGGGTATATATATAAATTGCCAGATCACATGGTAACTCCACGTTGAACATTTTGAGAAATTGCCATACCTTTTCCCAAACCAGCTGCACCATTCTACATTCCCACCAGCACTATATGAAGGTTCCAGATTTCTTCCATATCCTCGCCAACACTTGTTATTTGCCACTGAAAAAATCATACCATCCTAGTGGAGGTACAATGGTATCTCTTTTTTTAAATTTTTCTTTAAGTTCTGGGATACATGTGCAGAATGTGCAGGTTTGTTACATAGGTATACATGTGCCATGGTGGTTTGCTGCACCCATCAACCCATCATCTAGGTTTTAAGCCCCACATGCATTAGGTATTTGTCCTAATGCTCTCCATCCCCTTGCTCCCCAACCCCCACAACCGACAGGCCCTGGTGTGTGTTGTTCCCTCCCTGTGTCCGTGTGTTCCATGTGTTCTCATAGAGTGGTATCTTATAACATTTGATTTCCATTTTCCTAATGGCTCATGGTGTTGGTCATCTTCATGTGTGTATTGGCCATAACTTCTTCAGAGAAATGTCTATTCAGATCCTTTGCCCATTTTAAATTTGGTTATTTATCATTTTATTATCCAGGTGTGAGAATTTTTTTATATACTCTGGATATAAGTCCCTTATCAGATCTATGATTTGTCAGTATTTCCTCCATTTCTGTGGCTTGCCTTTTTATTTTCTTGGTGCTGTCCTTTGACGCATAAAAGTTTTCCATTTTGATGAAACACAAATTATCTGTCTTTTCTTTTGATGCTTGTACTTTTAGTGTCATACCTAAAAGGCTTTGCCTAATTCAAGAACATAAAGATTTATGTCTGAATGTTGGGCCCTGCTTTTTTTTTTTTAAGATGGAGTTTCACTCTTGTTGCCCAGGCTGGAGTGCAATGGCATGATCTCGGATCACTGCAACCTCCGCCTCCCAGGTTCAAGTGATTCTCCTGCCTCAGCTTCCTGAGTAGCTGGGATTACAGGTGCCCGCCACCATGCCCAGCTAATTTTTGTATTTTTAGTAGAGACAGGGTTTCACCATGTTGGCCAGGCTGGTCTTGAATTCCTGACCTCAGGTGATCCACCCGCCTTGGCCTCCCAAAGTGCTGGGATTACAGGAGTGAGCCACCCCTCCTGGCCGGGCCCTGCTTTTTTAAACGCTCTTTCAACAGTGTGGTATTGAAAACTGGGAACACTGAGACAACCGGCAGTAAGTCTACATTCAGAGCCTCCCACCTCAAGAGGTCTCATTTGCTGGGACAGTTCTCTCACCACCTCATTTGGTCAACTTTGGGCACTGACTGGCAAGTTTGTGTCAAGCAAGCAACTGAATGTATAGATTTTAGACTAGCCAGTCCAACAATGGCAAGTATTCATTCTAAGGGCCTCCTGTGTGCTTAGAGCTGCTCCAGGCTCTCAGGATATAGCACTAAACAAGACAGACAGGTTCATGCTCTTGTGGGCCTTAAAGTTTAATGAGAGAAAAATAAATAGAGCACATAAGACATATATTAGATGAGTGCCTATGTCAGTAATTCACATAGAATGATTGATGGAACAGCTGAGGAAGGAGCCAGGCAGGGGAAACACAGTGCAAAGGCTCTAACTTGGGGGTAGGTTGGGGGGAAATACACAGCTTATTCTGGAATCCAGGAAATCAGATGTGCTAGAGCTTGGTGGGGGTGCCTTTGGCTGAACTCCCCGCAAGCAGAGCCTGAGCAAAAGTTTAGGCATGAACAGTGCGTAAGGAAGTGAAATCACAGGGGAGTAGGACTGAGAGAAAAGGGAAGTGAGTCAGGAGAAGAGGGAGAGCAACTACAAGGAAGTGCATTCCGTGGCTGGGCATTGCCTCTCGAGTCTGCAGGAGCACCAAGGGTTGGTCAGGAGGCAGTATGGGGGCATTACTGAGAGTTTAGGAGGGATCCAAGAGAAAGGCACTGATCTATGGTCTTCAGAGAAACAATGTAATGCTTCTGAAGTTCCAAACATCTGTCGGCAGTGGAGGAAGACTACTGGTGTGGTTGGAAGAAAGAAAACTTACTAGCAGGCTCCCTTCTCCCGTTAGTCAATTTAGTCTCCCATTAGTTAACTTAGCCCTCCTAGGTTGCATTTGAGTGGCCACAAAGTAGCTGCCTGGACAACATCAGGGAAGTCCCAAGGTGGAAGGCAAGGCATATGACAGGAGGTGAGGCACTGCTGGGCTGGCTGTACCTGAGAGCGCCCTGAGGGACTGGGAGCAGCAGCCACAGTGAGCACCTCAATCCGAAGTAGTAGCAGAAGTAGCAGCAACCCGGCCCCCTGAACACAGTGATAGTACAGACCACTGCTGGGTTTGCTCTAGCAAATTGGTGCATTATCATCTATCTTAGAGGATGCATAAAATGAGCTTAATACAGTGGCCAGAAGGGAGAGTAAAAAACAAGGTCACAGAGTGCCAGGGCCAGACCATGGACTGTTTCGCAACCTGGGATCAAGAACATAAAATTTACTCTCAGTTGGAATTTATTCTAAGAACAATGCAAAGTCATTGAAGGCTCCTTTGAAATGTATTTTTTTTAATTGACAAACAATAAAATTCACTTTCTTAATAAGCAGTTCTGCTTGTTTTAATAAATGCACGGTTGAGTAGCCATCATTTCTATCAGAATTCAGAGCACTGTCACCCCTCCAAAAATGTTACTGCCCATTGTAGTGAAGCCTTTGCCCTAACCCTAGCCCCTGGCAATCACTGATGTGTTCTTTGCCTCCGTGGTTCTTTCTTTTCAAGAACGTCAGATCAATGAATCATATAGTATGTAGCCTTTCAAGTCTGGCTTCACTTAGCATGAAGCATGTGTTATTCATTTGTGTTGTTAAGTACATCAATGATTTATTCCTTTTTATGGTATGAATGTACCATAGGTTGTTATTCATTCACCAGTTGAAGGAAAGTTAGGTTATTTCCAGTTTGGGGCAATTATTAATAAAGCTACTAAAATAATTGCCTACAGTTTTTTCTGTGAATACAAGCTGTTATTCCATTTGGTCAAATATATAGGACTGGCATTGCTAGATCCCATGGTAAGTGTATAACTATGATATATATAGCTAAACTATATATATCAAAAAGACAGAAAATAACAGATGCTGGCAAGGATGGGGAGAAAAGGGGAATGCTAATACACTGCTGGTGGAAATATAAATTAGTACAACCACTATGGAAAACTGCATGGAGGTTCCTCAAAAAATGAAAAATAGAACTACTATATGATCCAGCTGCTGGGAACATATCCAAAAAAAAGGAAATCAGTAAATCAAAGAGATACTTACACTCCTATATTTACTGCAACACCATTTCACAATAGCCAAGGTATGGAATCGACCCAAGTGTCTGTCAATGGATCAATGAATAAAGAAAATGTGGTATATATACACAATAAAATATTATTCAGCCAAAAAAAAGAATGAAATATTGTCATTTGTAGCAATGTAGGTGGAATTGGAGAACATTATGCTAGGTGAACTAAGCCAGACACAGAAAGACAAATACCACATGTTCTCACTTATATGTGGAATCTAAAGCAATCAAACTCATAGAAGTGGAGAGTAGATGGTGGTTACCAGAGCTGGGAAGGGGAGGAGTATGAAAGGAGGCTGGTTAATAGGTACAAAAACACACTTAGATAGAAGTAATAAGTTCTAGTGTTCGATAGCACAGTAGGGTGACTATAGTTAACAATAATTTATTATATATTTCAAAATCATTAGAAGAGAAGATTTGAAATGTTCCCAACACAAAGAAATGATAAATGTTTGAGGTGATGAATATCCTAATTATTCTGGTTTGATCATTACACATCGTATACCCGTATCAAAATATCACATGTACCCCATAAATATTTAAAATTATTATGTATCAATAAAAAAGAAACTGACAAACTGTTTTCGAAATTGCATTTCAACAGCAATATATGAGAGTTGTGGTTATTCTTTTTAAAATTGTATTGTAAATTGATAAGTTATAATCATACATATCTATGGGATACAAAGTGATTAATGTATTATGATTTATGAATACAATGTAGAATATTAAATCAAACTAATTAGCATATCCATTACCTCAAATACTTATTTTTTGTGGTGAGAACATTTGAAATTTACTCTCTTAGCAATTTTGAAATGTATAATACACTATTATTAACTATATTTGCCTCAACATGCAACAATAGATCTCAAAAGGAAAACTTATTCCTCCTAAGACTTCATATTCTTTGATTGTCATTTCCCCATTCCCACCCCCAACCTTGATAACCACCATTCAGTTCTCTGCTTTTAGGAGTCTGATTGTTTTAGGTTCTAAATGTAAGTGAGAACATGCAGATTTTGTCCTTCTGTGCTTGGCATATTTCACTTAGCATAATGTTTTCCAAATCCATCCATGTTGTCACAAATGACAGGATTTCCTTCTTTTTAAAGGCTGTATAGTATCCTATTATGTATATACTTGTATAGCACATTTTCTTTATCCATCTCTGTTGATGGATGTTTTGGTTGATTTCATGTTTTGGCTATTGTGAATAGTGCTGCAATGAACATGGGGGTACAAACATCTCTTAAACAAGTTAATTTCAAATAGTTTGGGTAAATACCCAGAAGTGAGTTTGCTGGGCTATATGGTAATTCTATTTTTAGTTTTTAAAGGAAACTCCATATAGTTTTCCATGATTGTACTAATTTATATTCCCACCAACAATGTACAAGGGTCCCCTTTTTTTCACTTCTTTGCCAATATTTTTTTTTGTCTTTTTGATAATAGCCATTCTGATAGGTGTAAGGTGATACCTCACTGTGGTTTTAATTTGCATTTCCCTAATGATTAGCAATGTTGAACATTTTTTCATATTGCTATTGGCTATTTGTATGTCTTCTTTTGAGAAATGTCTATTCAGGCCCCTTGCTCATTTTAAAATCACATTATTTGTCTTCTTGCTATTGAGTTGTTTGAGTTCTTTATATATTTTAGATATTAATTTCTAATAGATGTACGGCTCTCAAATATTTTCTCCTAATCCATAGATTGTCTCTTCATACTGCTGTTTCCTGGGCTGTGTAGAAGCTTTATAGTTTGATGCAATCCCATTTCCTTATTTTTGCTTTTGTTGCCTGTACTTTGGGGGTCAAATCCAAAAACTCATTGACCAGACCAATGTCATGTAGTTTTTCTCCTATGTTTTCTTCTAGTAGTTTTATAGTTTCAAGACTTATGCTTAAGTCTTTAATTCCTTTTGAGCTGGTTTTTGTATATGGTATGAGATAAAGGTCCAATTTAATTCTTCTTTATGTGTATATCCATTTTTCCTAATACCATTTATTGAAGGGACTATCCTTTGCCTATTGTGTATTCTTAGCACCTTTGTCAAAAATCAATTGACGGTACATATATAGGTTCATTTTTGGCTCCCCATTCTGTTCCATTGATCAGTGTGTCTATTTTTATGCCAGTACCTTGCTGTTTGAATTATTACTTTGTGGCATAGATTGAAAGCAGATAGTGTGAAGCCTCTAGCTTTGTTCTTTTTGCTCATGATTGCCTTGCCTAGTCAGGGTTTTTTATTTGTGTGTGGTTGTAAATGAATTTTCTTTACCTTTGTGTTGTGCATTCTTCATTCTGAGACCCAAGTGTCCTTGTGATATGATTAGCCATCATCCAGAAAAACTTATAACCCTCATACATTACTAGTGAGATTGAAAAATGGTGTAGCCACTTTGCAAAAGTATTTATTAGTTCCTCAAAATGTTAAACATAGAGTTACGATATGACCCAGTATTCCACTCCTAGGTATATAAAAAGAAATGAAAGTATGTGTATTAATCAGGATCCACCAGAGGGACAGAACTAATCAGCTACATGAAAGGGAGTTTATTAAGAAAAATTGGCAGCTGGAGCCAAGATGGCCGAATAGGAACCGCTCCGGTCTACAGCTCCCAGTGTGAGCGACGCAGAAGACGGGTGATTTCTGTATTTCCATCTGAGGTACCGGGTTCATCTCACTAGGGAGTGCCAGACAGAAGGCGCAGGACAGTGGGTGCAGTGCACCAAACGCAAGCCGAAGCAGGGAGAGGCATTGCCTCACTCAGGAAGCACAAGGGGTCAGGGAGTTCCCTTTCCTAGTCAAGGAAAGGGGTGACAGACGGCACCTGGAAAATCGGGTCACTCCCACCCCAATACTGCGCTTTTCCCACGGGCTTAAAAAACGGCGCACCAGGAGATTATATCCTGCACCTGGCTTGGAGGGTCCTACGCCCACGGAGTCTCGCTGATTGTTAGCACAGCAGTCTGAGATCAAACTGCAAGGCAGCAGTGAGGCTGGGGGAGGGGCGCCCGCCATTGCCCAGGCTTGCTTAGGTAAACAAAGCAGCCAGGAAGCTCGAACTGGGTGGAGCCCACCACAGCTCAAGGAGGCCGGCCTGCCTCTGTAGGCTCCACCTCTGGGGGCAGGGCACAGACAAACAAAAAGACAGCAGTAACCTCTGCAGACTTAAATGTCCCTGTCTGACAGCTTTGAAGAGAGCAGTAGTTCTCCCAGAGCGCAGCTGGAGATTTGAGAACGGGCAGACTGCCTCCTCAAGTGGGCCCTGACCCCTGACCCCCAAGCAGCCTAACTGGGAGGCACCCCCCAGTAGGGGCAGACTGACACCTCACAGGGCCGGGTACTCCTCTGAGACAAAACTTCCAGAGGAACGTTCAGACAGCAGCATTCGCGGTTCACGAAAATCCACTGTTCTGCAGCCACTACTGCTGGTACCCAGGCAAACAGGGTCTGGAGTGGACCTCTAGCAAACTCCAACAGACCTGCAGCTGAGGGTCCTGTCTGTTAGAAGGAAAACTAACAAACAGAAAGGACATCCACACCAAAAACCCATCTGTACATCACCATCATCAAAGACCAAAAGTAGATAAAACCACAAAGATGGGGAAAAAGCAGAGCAGAAAAACTGGAAACTCTAAAAAGTAGAGCGCCTCTCCTCCTCCAAAGGAACGCAGCTCCTCACCAGCAATGGAACAAAGCTGGATGGAGAATGACTTTGACAAGTTGAGAGAAGAAGGCTTCAGACGATCAAACTACTCCGAGCTACAGGAGGAAATTCAAACCAAAGGCAAAGAAGTTGAAAACTTTGAAAAAAATTTAGACGAATGTATAACTAGAATAACCAATACAGAGAAGTGCTTAAAGGAGCTGATGGACCTGAAAGCCAAGGCTCGAGAACTACGTGAAGAATGCAGAAGCCTCAGGAGCCGATGCGATCAACTGGAATAAAGGGTATCAGTGATGGAAGATGAAATGAATGAAATGAAGTGAGAAGGGAAGTTTAGAGAAAAAAGAATAAAAAGAAACAAATAAAGTCTCCAAGAAATATGGGACTATGTGAAAAGACCAAATCTACATCTGATTGGTGTACCTGAAAGTGATGGGGAGAATGGAACCAAGTTGGAAAACACTCTGCAGGATATAATCCAGGGGAACTTCCCCAATCTAGCAAGGCAAGCCAACATTCAGATCCAGGAAATACAGAGACCACCACAAAGATACTCCTCGAGAAGAGCAACTCCAAGACACATAATTGTCAGATTCACCAAAGTTGAAATGAAGGAAAAAATGTTAAGGGCAGCGAGAGAGAAAGGTCGGGTTACCCACAAAGGGAAGCCCATCAGACTAACAGCTGATCTCTCGGCAGAAACTCTACAAGCCAGAAGAGAGTGGGGGCCAATATTCAACATTCTTAAAGAAAAAAATTTTCAACCCAGAATTTCATATCCAGCCAAACTAACCTTCATAAGTGAAGGAGAAATAAAATACTTTACAGACAAGCAAATGCTGAGAGATTTTGTCACCACCAGGCCTGCCCTAAAAGAGCTCCTGAAGGAAGCACTAAACATGGAAAGGAACAACCAGTACCAGCCACTGCAAAATCATGCCAAATTGTAAAGACCATCAAGGCGAGGAAGAAACTGCATCAACTAACGAGCAAAATAACCAGCTAACATCATAATGACAGGATCAAATTCACACATAACAATATTAACTTTAAATGTAAATGGACTAAATGCTCCAATTAAAAGGCATAGACTGGCAAATTGGATAAAGAGTGAAGACCCATCAGTGTGCTGTATTCAGGAAACTCATCTCACGTGCAGAGACACACATAGGCTCAAAATAAAAGGATGGAGGAAGATCTACCAAGCAAATGGAAAACAAAAAAAGGCAGGGGTTGCAATCCTAGTCTCTGATAAAACAGACTTTAAGCCAACAAAGATCAAAAGAGACAAAGAAGGCCATTACATAATGGTAAAGGGATCAATTCAACAAGAAGAGCTAACTATCCTAAATATATATGCACCCAATACAGGAGCACCCAGATTCATAAAGCAAGTCCTGAGTGACCTACAAAGAGACTTAGACTCCCACACAATAATAATGGGAGACTTTAACACCCCACTGTCAACATTAGACAGATCAACGAGACAGAAAGTTAACAAGGATACCCAGGAATTGAACTCGGCTCTGCACCAAGCAGACCTAATAGACATCTACAGAACTCTCCACCCCAAATCAACAGAATATACATTTTTTTCAGCACCACACCACACCTATTCCAAAATTGACCACATACTTGGAAGTAAAGCTCTCCTCAGCAAATGTAAAAGATCAGAAATTATAACAAACTGTCTCTCAGACCACAGTGCAATCAAACTAGAACTCAGGGTTAAGAAAATCACTCAAAACCGCTCAACTACATGGAAACTGAACAACCTGCTCCTGAATGACTACTGGGTACATAACGAAATGAAGGCAGAAATAAAGATGTTATTTGAAACCAACGGGAACAAAGACACAACATACCAGAATCTCTGGGACACATGCAAAGCAGTGTGTAGAGGGAAATTTAGAGCACTAAATGCCCACAAGAGAAAGCAGGAAAGATCCAAAATTGACACCCTAACATCACAATTAAAAGAACTAGAAAAGCAAGAGCAAACACATTCAAAAGCTAGCAGAAGGCAAGAAATAACTAAAATCAGAGCAGAATTGAAGGAAATAGAGACACAAAAAACCTTCAAAAAATTAATGAATCCAGGAGGTGGTTTTTTGAATGCATCAACAAAATTGATAGACTGCTAGCAAGACTAATAAAGAAGACAAGAGAGAAGAATCAAACAGACACAATAAAAAATGATAAAGGGGATATCACTGCCGATCCCACAGAAATACAAACTACCATCAGAGAATACTACAAACTCCTCTACGCAAATAATCTAGAAAATCTAGAAGAAATCGATAAATTCCTCGACACATACACCCTCCCAAGACTAAACCAGGAAGAAGTTGAATCTCTGAATAGACCAATAACAGGCTCTGAAATTGTGGCAATAATCAATAGCTTACCAACCAAAAAGAGTCCAGGACCAGATGGATTCACAGCCGAATTCTACCAGAGGTACAAGGAGGAACTGGTACCATTCCTTCTGAAACTATTCCAATGAATAGAAAAAGAGGGAATCCTCCCTAACTCATTTTATGAGGCCAGCATCATCCTGATGCAAAAGCCGACAGAGACACAACAAAAAAAGAGAATTTTATACCAATATCCTTGATGAACATTGATGCGAAATTCCTCAATAAAATACTGGCAAACTGAATCCAGCAGCACATCAAAAAGCTTATCCACAATGATCAAGTGGGCTTCATCCCTGGGATGCAAGGCTGGTTCAATATATGCAAATCAATAAATGTAATCCAGCATATAAACAGAACCAAAGACAAAAACCACATGATTATCTCAATAGATGCAGAAAAGGCCTTTGACAAAATTCAACAACACTTCATGCTAAAAACTCTCAATAAATTAGGTATTGATGGGATGTATCTCAAAATAATAAGAGCTATCTATGACAAACCCACAGCCAATATCATACTGAATGGGCAAAAACTGGAAGCATTCCCTTTGAAAACTGGCACAAGACAGGGATGCCCTCTCTCACCACTCCTATTCAACATAGTGTTGGAAGTTCTGGCCAGGGCAATTAGGCAGGAGAAGGAAATAAAGGGTATTCAATTAGGAAAAGAGGAAGTCAAATTGTCCCTCTTTGTAGATGACATGATTGTATACCTAGAAAACCCCATTGTCTCAACCCAAAATCTCCTTAAGCTGATAAGCAACTTCAGCAAAGTCTCAGGATACAAAATCAATGTACAAAAATCACAGGCATTCTTATACACCAATAACAGACAAACAGAGAGCCAAATCATGACTGAACTCCCATTCACAACTGCTTCAAAGAGAATAAAATACCTAGGAATCCAACTTACAAGGGACGTGAAGGACCTCTTCAAGGAGAACTACAAACCACTGCTCAATGAAATAAAAGAGGATACAAACAAATGGAAGAACATTCCATGCTCATAGGTAGGAAGAATCAATATCATGAAAATGGCCATACTGCCCAAGGTAATTTATAGATTCAACACCATCCCCATCAAGCTACCAATGACTTCACAGAATTGGAAAAAACTACTTTAAAGGTCATATGGAACCCAAAAAGAGCCCGCATCGCCAAGTCAATCCTAAGCCAAAAGAACAAAGCTGGAGGCATCATGCTACTTGACTTCAAACTATACTACAAGGTTACAGTAACCAAAACAGCATGGTACTGGTACCAAAACAGAGATAGAGACCAATGGAACAGAACAGGACCCTCAGAAATAATGCCACATATCTACGACTATCTGATCTTTGACAAACCTGAGAAAAACAAGCAATGGGGAAAGGATTCCCTATTTAATAAATGGTGCTGGGAAAACTGGCTAGCCATAAGTAGAAAGCTGAAACTGGATCCCTTCCTTACACCTTATACAAAAATTAATTCAAGATGGATTAAAGACTTAAACGTTAGACCTAAAACCATAAAAACCCTAGAAGAAAACCTAGGCATTACTATTCAGGACATAGGCATGTGCAAGGACTTCATGTCTAAAACACCAAAAGCAATGGCAACAAAAGCCAAAATTGACAAATGGGATCTAATCAAACTAAAGAGCTTCTGCACAGCAAAAGAAACTACCATCAGAGTGAACAGGCAAACTACAAAATGGGAGAAAATTTTTGCAACCTACTCATCTGACAAAGGGCTAATATCCAGAATCTACAATTAACTCAAACAAATTTACAAGAAAAAAACAAACAACCCCATCAAAAAGTGGGCAAAGGACATGAACAGACACTTCTCAAAAGAAGACATTTATGCAGCCAAAAAACACATGAAAAAATGCTCACCATCACTGGCCATCAGAGAAATGCAAATCAAAACCACAATGAGATACCATCTCACACCAGTTAGAATGGCAATCATTAAAAAGTCAGGAAACAACAGGTGCTGGAGAGGATGTGGAGAAATAGGAACACTTTTACACTGTTGGTGGGACTGTAAACTAGTTCAACCCTTGTGGAAGTCAGTGTGGCGATTCCTCAGGGATCTAGAACTAGAAATACCATTTGACCCAGCCATCCCATTACTGGGTATATACCCAAAGGACTATAAATCATGCTGCTATAAAGACACATGCACACGTATGTTTATTGCGGTACTATTGACAATAGCAAAGACTTGGAACCAACGCAAATGTCCAACAATGATAGACTGGATTAAGAAAATGTGGCACATATACACCATGGAATACTATGCAGCCATAAAAAAATGATGAGTTCATATCCTTTGTAGGGACATGGATGAAATTGGAAATCATCATTCTCAGTAAACTATCGCAAGAACAAAAAACCAAACACCGCATATTCTCACTCATAGGTGGGAATTGAACAGTGAGAACACATGGACACAGGAAGGGGAACATCACACTCTGGGGACTGTTGTGGGGTCGGGGGAGGGGGGAGGGATAGCTTTAGGAGATATAACTAATGCTAAATGACGAGTTAGTGGGTGCAGCACACCAGCATGGCATGCATGTATACATATGTAACTAACCTGCACATTGTGCACATGTACCCTAAAACTTAAAGTATAATAATAATAAAATAAAATAAAATAAAATAAAAATTGGCTCACATGAGCACAAGGAGAAGTCCTGCGATAGGCTGTCTGCAAGCTGGGGAAGAAGGCAGTAGAGGCTCAGTCTGAGTCCAAAAGCCTCAAAAGCAGGGAAGCTGACAGTGCAGCCTTCAGTCTCTGGCCGAAGGCCTGAGAGCCCCCGGCAAACCATTAATATCAATCCAAGAGCCCAAAGGCCAAAGAACCTGGAGTCTGATGTCTAAGGGCAGGAGGAAGGGAAGGAAGCACCCAGCACGGGGAAAAAGATGAAAGCCAGAAGACTCAGCAAGCCAGCTTATCCCACCTTCTTCCACCTGTTTTGTTTTAGCTGCACTGGTAGCGGATTGGATGGTGCCCGCCCACATTGCAGGTGGGTCTTCCTCTCCCAGTCCACTGACTCAAATGTCAATCTCCTCTGGCAACATCCTGAAAAACACACCCAGAAACAATACTTTATCAGCTATCTAGACATCCTTCAGTCCAATCAAGTTGACACCTAATATTAACCATCACAGCATATATCCACACAAAAACTTGAACGTAAGTGTTCACAACAACATTATTCATAATAGCCAAAAAGTGGAAACGAATTAAATTTCTATCAACTAACGTATGGATAAACAAAATGTGGTATATCCATACAATGGAATATAATCTGGCTATAAAAAAATGAAGTACTGATATATGCTACGATATGGATGAACCTTAAGAACATTATGCTAAGTGAAAGAAGCCAGTCACAAAACACCACATATTGTATGATTCCATTTATATGGATGGAATGTCTTGGACAGGCAAATCCATAGAGACAGAAAGTAAATTAGCAGTTTCCTAGGGATGAAGGGGAAATGGAGAATAACAGCTGTGGCTATTGGATTTCTTGTTGGGGAGATGAAAGTGTTCTAAAATGGACTGTGGTGATGATTGCACAACTCTGAATATATTAAAAACCACTGAATAACACACTTTAAGTGGGTGAATTGTTTGGTATGTGAAATATAGCTCAGTAATGCTGTTTTCAAAAAACATGTAAATAACTATAAAAAAGCATTTTCAAACTATACACTCCTGTTCACTCTAGCTTAAAACAACAATTCTCAGTCTTTAGATCCATAGAATCACCTGGGTGTCTTGTTATACTGCAGGTGGTAACTCCTTACCTCTGGATTTGGGCCTGATATTTTGCATTTCTAACAAGTTCCGAGGTAATGCTGGTATTTCTTGTCCAGGAATCACACTTAGAGTAGCAAAGGATGTTTGAGACATTTTCCTCTCAGGATGGCATACCAAAACCTCTGTAACAGGAGAAAAGGCTTAGGGAGGGGGGCTGATCAGTAGAGAAAGTTCCCAGCTGCTTTTCATATGCTCTCTAAATTGAACATGCCATTTATTAGAGGTTTGAAAACAGCTGGACTAAAATCTCATCAGAATCACCTGGGAGGATGGAGCTGTGGTGATGGTGAAGCAAGAGAGTTTTCCTGGGCCACAAAATTTCAGTTCCCTATACCAGAGATCTCTCCCTGGATACACGGGTTAGGAGGGTACTTTGAGTTGCCTCTCTTGAAGAGAGTAAGGGGATGTATCTTCTAGGTGTTTTAGAATTAGTATTCTTATTAATAAAAAGTACCCTCACCTACCCCATAGACAATTCTGTTGTTCAGATAGATTTGGAGCCCACCAGTGTAGAAGGCTTCTTTGCTCCCTTCTGGATCTTAAATTCTATGAGACAAGATCCTTTATTCAGCTCAAACATTTACTCTGTTTTCTGTATGACATGCATAATTTAGGGCCCTCTATCTATAGGAATCGAAGCTTAGTACATACTTCACCAATCATAAGGTCTACTGAGAGAGACTCACACATAAGCCTATGTTACATTGCAGGGAAAATGCTCTAATATTCGTATGAACTTGCTTCTACTTATTCTTAATTTCCTAATCCTTCAAGGAGAGGAGATCTGCACCCTGAGCTCTAGCTGAATCCATGGTGCCTTAGATCAAAGCTACATCCCTCATAGCCACATAAAAGCCAATCTTTGCTGAATTTTGCCCACAGAAGAGTCTTCCTCTTATGAAACCTCAGAATTTGTAGACTCCCTTTGAGATAATTTAAGCCTAACATCTTAATGAAGACTTTGGAATTTCCCTTTAGATCTCTTCTTTCCCCTTCAGTTTACAGGCTCTATAAAAGGAACCTATTGCTTTTAAATGTCTCTTCCTTTATCTCCATTCAAGGATGATCATATCTCTACATCCTACATCTAGATTATGTTTTTTTCCTACTACATGTGTATTTAATAATATCTCTTCGTCTGATTATAGCTCATGCTTGCTAGCTAAGGATACGCTGACATACCCCACCAAAGTCACAACTTCAGTATGTGGAGGGGAGTAGAGAGGTTTTCATTAAAATGGATTGTCCACTGTCATAGCACAGTACTACTTCAGTACTACTCTTCATCTCCAAAGTATGGATGTGAAGAAGCAGACCAGTAATGTTGGCAGTGACAGTTGATCAGTTATCTTCCAACTTCCAGTGTGTCCACTGATCATTTTATCATCTTTGCAGTTCATCTTACAAGCCTTCAAAACATTCTCTAGGTATCTTGTATGTGGCACTCAGAACAAAGTGCAGTTCTCTGCAAAGATCCTTCTGACAGGCAGCTGAAGGTCCTGGGCACCAACCTTGAGGCCATCGCAGTATGCTGGAGTCTTGAGAGCTGATTGTTGAGTAGTCAGGAATTTTGTGTCCAACTTTAAAAAAATTGAAATCATACAAAATATGTTCTCTGAGCATAAAACAGAATTAAACGAGAAGTCAATCACAGAAAAATCCCTAAATATTTGGATTTTTTTTTTTTTTTTTTTGAGACAGAATCTTGCTCTGTCGCCCAGGCTGGAGTGCTGTGGCATGATCTCGGCTCACTGCAACCTCTGCCTCCTGGGTTCAAGCGATTCTCCTGTCTCAGCCTCCCCAGTAGCTGGGATTACAGGTGCACACCAGCACACCTGGCTAATTTTTGTATTTTTTTAGTAGAGACAGGGTTTTGCCATGTTGGCCAGGCTGGTCTTGAACTCCTGACCTCAGGTGATCCACCCACCTCGGGATCCACCCACCTCCCAAAGTGCTGGGATTACAGGGGTGAGCCACCACACCTGGAAATATTTGGAATTTAAGTCTCCCAATATTCAGAAATTAAACAACACATTTATAAATTACCTATTGGTTAAAGAAGTTTAAAGGGAAGTTAGAAATGTTTTGAGGGAGGGGTATTGATATCTCTGACTGTAATTGTGAATTTGTCTATTTGTCCTTGAAGTTCTCTCATGTATTTTGCTTCATGCATTTTGAAGCTCTGTTATTAGGTGCATAGACATTTAAAATGTTTATGTTCTCTAATTGACCAGTGTGTCATGATGAAATGATCCTCATTACTCCTAGTAATAGTCTTTGCTCTGAATCTACTTTGTCCAATATTAATGTAGTCACTCCAGCTTTGTTTTATTAGTAGTAGCATCATATATTTTTAATCTTTTTACTTTTAGCAAATTTGTATTATTATATTTAAATTTGGTTTATTTTAAGCAGGATACCATTGAGTTTTGCCTTTTTATCCTGTCCGACAATCTCTGCCTTTTAATTAATGCTTAGATCATTTCCATTTAATATGATTACAGATATGTGTGGGTTTAAATCTACCATTTTGTTCCTTGTTTATTATTTGTCACCTCAGTTCCTATTTTGTTGTTTTCTGCCTCTTTATTTTTTATTATTCCATTTTATTTTCTTTGTTGACTCATTAGCTACACCTTCTTTTATTTTATATGATTGCTTTTGTGATTTTAGTGATGGCTTTAGTTATTTTGTTACTGAATGCCTTTTTTAGTGATGACTCTATCATAGTAATAATATGCCCTCAATTAATAATAATATACACTCAAGTAGTAATATACCACTTCACATATTGCGTAACATTACAACAATGCAGTTATATTTCCCCTTCTCAGCCTTTGTACTGTTTTTATACATTTTACTTTTACATATGTTATAAACCACACAACCTAATGGCATTATTTTTGTTTAAAATGGTCACTTATATTTTAAGATATTTAAAAAATAAGAAAAATATATCTGATATGTACCCACATATTTTCCATTTCTGGTATTCTTCAGTCCTTTAAATAGATCCAGATTTCCATTTGGTATCATTTGCCTTCACCTGAAGTACTTCCTTTAACACTTTCTGCAGCAAGTTTGCTATTAATACATTCTTTCACAGTTTATATGTCTGAAAAAGTCTTTATTTTGCTTTCATTTTTGACATTAATTTTTGCTATGTATAAAATTCTATTGTCAAAATGGTTGACAGTTTTTCTTTTAGTACTTTAAAGATGATCCACTGTCTTCTGCTTGCATTATTTCCAACAGGAAGTCTGCTCTCATACTTGTTCTATCCATTGTGTGTCTTTTTTTTTTCTGGCTAATTTTAAGGTATTTCTTTTAATCAGTAGTTTCAAGAAACTTAAGATGTGCCATCGTGTAGTTTTCCTCAGGTTTCTTGTATGTGAGGTTTATTTAGTTTTTTCAATCTGTAAGTTTTTCATCAAATTTGAAAAACTTTTAGTCATTAGTTTTTCAATATCGTACTCAACCACACACACACACCTCTACTTTGAGGACTCAAAATACACATGTATTAGGCTACTTAAAGTTGTCCCACAGTTCACTGATGGCTCTGTTTATTTATTTATTTATTTATTTATTTATTTATTTATTTATTTTGGTCAGTGTTTTTTCTGTGTTTTGCTTTATTTTCTATTGCTATGTCTTCAGGTTCAGTAATCTTTTCTTCTACAGTGTCTAATCTGTTTTAATCCTGTCCAATGTATCTCTCATCTCTAAAATTTCACTTTGAGTCTTCATATATTTTCTGTGTCTCTCCTTGACATGAATACTTTTCTTCTATATTCTTGAACATACTGGAATATATTTATAATGATTACTTCGATATACTTGTCTACTAATTCTATTACCTTCATCATTTCTAGGTCTGTTTGTATAGTTTAATTTTTATCCTCATTGTAAATTATGTTTTCCTTCTCCTTTGCATATGCCTGAAAATTTTTATTGGATGCCAGACATTGTGAATTTTACTATTCTGGGTTATAGGTATCTTTAAATTCCTTTAAATAGTCTGGAGTTTTAAGTAACTTGGTAACAGTTTGATCCTCTTAAGCTATGTTTGGCAGGACAAGAGAAGTATTTATTCCAGGCCTAATTTTTTCTCTACTACCAAGGCTAACACTTTTAACTACCCTGCCCAAAGCCCTGTGTATTGCAAGGTTTTTCCACCCTGGCTTGGGGCAACATGAATTATTTTCATCTCTGTGTGAACTCTAGGGATTGTTCCACCTGTTTTTCTTCTGGTGGTTCTTTCCCCAGCCTCGTTTTCTTCACATTCGTGCTGTAAGCAATACTTAGCT
Organism: Homo sapiens; assembly: GCF_000001405.40. Lineage (NCBI taxonomy): Eukaryota > Metazoa > Chordata > Mammalia > Primates > Hominidae > Homo > Homo sapiens. The sequence goes on from NC_000008.11 coordinate 102,144,400, forward strand.
GAAGTCTCCAGAACTCCGGGAATCTCTTGAGCTCTCCTTCTGGGAAGCTCTCTTCCCTCAGGCATACTGCCTTAAAAATTCTAGTCGTGTTTTATCCCCTCCTCCCAAATTCTCAACTCTGTCTCTTCAAGTCAGAGAGAGCTTTGAGCTCCACTTGGGTTCCTCCTCCTTGAGCTTTGGTCTGGAGACTCTCCAGGCAGTAAGCTGGGGTAGATCATAGGTTCTTTTTGTTTGTTTATCTTCTCTGGGAGATCACTCTCCTGTGCTTTCTGTTCTGTATGTGATAACTGTCATTTTCATATACTTGTGCTTGTTTTTTAGACGATTGGGGCAAGAAGGTAAATTTAATCTCTGTTACTTGACTATGGCCAGAAGTGAGAGTCTCGTTTATTATTTCAAACTGAAAAAATACTTGCATATGGTTTTTAAAAAATTAGACAATACAAAAGGGAATATGTTAAAAAGTAGGTCTTCCTTATACCTTATGCCACTAATGCTCCCAATTCCCTAATCCCTTCCTTTTCAGATGCAGTAACACATTTCTTATAAAATGTTTCATAAATATTCTATGCATCTATTAGCATATGTATGAGAGAATACTATACACAACATTCTGTAGCCCCTACTTTCTTATGCTTAACAATATGTCTGGAGATGGTTCCATATGTGTGCACATGGTTCTCTTTATTTTTTATGGCTGCAGAGTCTTTCACTGTATGGCTATAATATGATTTATTTAACCAGTTCCTGATTGACGGATATTTAAATGAGTTTCCAGCCCTCTACTATTATAAGCAATGTTATAATGAATACTTTTGTACATAAATCTTGGGCACATATGACAATACCTTCTCTTAGTCCTTTTGGGCTACTACAACAAAATACCATGGACTGAGTAGCTTATAAACAACAGAAATTTATTTCTTACAGATCTGGAGATTAAGAGGTCTTGGATAAAACTGCCATTAAATTCAGTGTCTAGTGAGGGCCCATTTCCTGGTTCATAGATGACACTTACTTGCTGTGTCTTCACATGGTGCGGCAAGAGTTCTCTTATGAGTTCTTTCCATAAGAACATTAATTCCATTCTTGAGGGCTCCATTCTCATTACATAATCACCTCCCAAAGGCCCCACCTGCTACTACCATCACTTTGGGGATTCAGATTTTACCACATGAATTTTGAGGAGACACAAACATTCAGACCATAGCATACCTGTAAGATAAATTCATAGAATTAGAATTGCTGGATCAAAAGGACTATGCATTTTACAAATAGGATAAGCAGAGTTAAATTGTCCTCAAAAGAGACTGCACCAATTTACATTCCCATCAACAGTGTCATAAGAGAGAGGCTATTTAACTTGGATGTTGCATAAAATAGGAAACAAAAATAGTAAAGATTTGAGTAACGACAGGTTGAGCTCAGTGTTTCCACAAATCTTAGAAAGTAGGAAGGGGAAACAGAAAGAAAGGAAACAATGAATTTCAGGTTGTGCGATTTAAATCAGGTTATGTTTATGATAAAAATGTATAATAGATAATTTTCCCCTTTTAAGTGTTTTTAAAATATGCATGACTGTCAAAAGTAGAAACTATAACATTGTCTGGTAGGGTTTTCAATGTATATAGATTAATACATGTGAAAATTGTAACATAAATGGTGAAGAATAAAGGAAGCTATAAGGTTCAAAAGTCTCTATATTTTACCCAAAGTGATAAAATGTTAATTATTATTATAAAACAAAAGGTTAGAAATGTATATTGTAATTCTTAGAACAACCAGTTTTTATTTAAATGATACACAGAGATTTAGTCAAAAAGCCAATAGATAAACTTAAATGGAATACTAAAAAATTTCAAAAACTCCAAAAAAGACAGGAAAGAGGGAAGGAGAAAAAGAAAACAAACAATAAAATGGTAGAACCCAGCCAAATCAAGAATTACAAAATGCAAATCGTTTAACACACTAATTAAAAAACAGAGATTATCAGATTGGATAAAAAATAAGATCCAAGTAGATGTTCTTTACAAGAAACTCATTTTAATATAGTGACGTGGATACATTAAAAGAATGGAGCAGTTTTAGCTGTGACATATAAAGAAACTAGAAGTCATCACTCCTGTCTTTACAACAAGAAAAAAGTAGAACAAACTGAAAATCAATGACTTTTTTTTGACCCATCAAAGAACTGAGGTTGCAGGGCAAACCATCACCCCACAATTGATAGAGGCAAATATCAACAATCACAGCCCAGATCAGCTGACCCAAAGCAGAAGTTGCTGGAGACATAAACTACAAGAGCCTGATCTGATCAGGGAAAAAAAAAATTACTAAACAACATACCCCTTAGCCTTTTCTTCCTGCAGAGGAGTGGGAAAAGCTAAGAAACACTTTTGAGGCCACAGCCCAGGGACACAGGCCTACAAAAAAACCGAGACTTATTATAAGATTATAGAATGCTTCTTATTTCCACACCTTGCCACCTTATCAACAGAGTTCTAGTAGAATAAGAGTAGACTATAGTTGAAAGAGCTGCAAGGTGAGGACTCTATTTAAGGAGTTCTTGGAAAATTCCAAAGACAACAGGAGAGACAAAAACAAGAACACTAGAAGAAATTGAAGTCTCTGGCACTTACAGATTCAGCAAACATTAACATAAAACCTCATATTAAAACTTGTTTGCCCAAGATCTCATTATTCAATACATCATGTCTGGCTTTCAACAACAACAAAAAAAGTGCAAGCCATGTGAAAATGCAAGAAAAAACACAGTCAAAGCAAGCAACAGAACAAAGACTTACATCAAGATACTGGCAGGGTTGACTTCTGAGACCTCTCCTTTGAGCTTATAGATGGTCATCTTCCCTTTGTATCTCCACATAGTTTTCCCTCTGTGTGTGTGTCCCAATCTCTTTTTATAAGGATATCAGCCATATTAGAACAGGACTTGCCCTAATGACTTCATTTAACCTTAAGTATCTTTTTATCCGTATTGCCAAATATAGTCACATTCCAAGGTATAAGGGTTAAAACTTCCATGTATGAATTTTGGGGAGACACAATTCAACCCATAACAAGGGACATTCTACCAAATACCTGACCAGTATGTCTCAAAGCTGCCAAAGTTATGAAAAACAAGGGAAGTCTGAGAAAATGTCAGAGTTGACAGGAACCTATGGAAATGTAACAACTACATGTAACAGGGTATCCTAGATGAGATCCCGGAACCAAAAAAAGGACATTAGGTAAAAACTAAGGTTATCTGATTCTCATTAGTAATAATGTGTCAATACTGGCTCATTAATTGTAACAAATGTACCATACTAATGTAAGATACTAATAAAGGGGAAACTGGGTGAGGGATATATGGGAACTATCTGTACTATCTTCTCAATTTTTCTATAAATCTAAAACCATTCTAAAAACTAGAATACATTTTTTTAAGGATGGAAAAAGATATATTATGCTGGAACTATTTTCAGATATCCAACAAAGAGTTCTAGATAGAACATAAAAAGAACCATTATACTTCAATAAAAAGGAACTTCAACTTAAAATATAGATAGCTCTTCCTGGAACAGTCATGCTCTGCAGCTTCCCAGGCTGGGCTGCAAACATATTATAAAAAATAAAATAAAATAATAAAAAGTATATGGACAAAAGAGTTGGATTGGCATTTCACCAAAAGAATATATATATGGTAAATACATATATCATAAGATACTTAATATCATTAGTTATTACAGAAATGTAAACCAAGATTATATACCATGAGATACAACTACAAACTCACTAAAATGTTGTAAATTAATAAAACTGAACATATTAAATGTGAAGATGTAGATCAACTGGAACTCTCATTCATTGCTGGCAGGTACATAAAATGATACAACTGCTTTTTGACAGTTTCTTAAAATGTTAAATACATCCCAATTATATGTCCCAGACTTTCCACTCCAAAATATTTACTCAAGAAAAATAAAAACACGTGTCTACAGAAGGACTTATATGTAAATGTTCATAGCAGTTTGATTTGTAATATCCAAAAACTCAGAACAAACCAAGTGTCCATCAACAGGTGAGTGGATAAAGTATGATAAAGTATAACTAAGGAATAAAAACAAACTATGGATACATGCAACATGGATGAATCTCAGAATCATTATGCTGAGTGAAAGAAGGCATACCATCTAAAAAAAAAAGAGCTTATCTACATAAAATACTGGAAAATACAAACAACCTATAATGGCAGAAAGCATATCAGTGCTTGCCTGGAGATGGATAGGAGGAACAGGAAGGAGGAATGACAAAAAGGCACAAGAAAATTTTAGAAGATGGTGGTTCATTGTTTTGAGACAATAGTTTCACAGGTATATAAATATGTCAAAACTTCTCAAACTGCACACTTTGAATAGATGCAGTTTATTATACGTCAATTATGTCTCAAAGCTGTTAAAAAGTTTACTAATAAATCATCTTTGAAAAAAACAAACTAAATATATAAATAGATTTCCATAGCCGGGCGCGCTGGCGGGCGCCTGTAGTCCCAGCTACTCGGGAGGCTGAGGCAGGAGAATGGCGTGAACCCGGGAGGTGGAGCTTGCAGTGCGCCGAGATCGCGCCACTGCACTCCAGCCTGGGCGACACAGTGAGACTCCATCTCAAAAAATAAATAAATAAATTAATTAATTAATTAATTAAAAAAAAAAAGAATTCCAGTATCTAATTAGCAAGAGCCTTCAAAATACGACTATTTTCTGGGAAACAAAATCTGCCTTCAAGGCATGGCATTTCTTCCCATCGCATGGGTCTCCCCAGACACTCCTGGTAGCCCAGCTTCTTCACCCTAACCTTCACTCATCCCCTCCTGTTGTCCCTCCACCTAACCAGATCTCTCATCTTTCAATGCCCAACTGCCAATTGAGCTTGCTCCCTCTGAACTGCCTATAATTCTCATAGCCAGTCTCTCACATTATCTAATGTAACTGCTTCCTATCTTGCACTAAGCTCTAGATACAGTGAATGCTCAATATATATTGAATGGGAAAACGAGCTTGAATCATCAGTTACATGATTATTACTCTTATTTTTTTTATTAGATCATAAACTAATAGTGGCCTAGTGAAAAATAATTATTTTTCTGTATAAGGAAACTTTACACTATAAATGTGTTAAATCCTCCCAGATTCAATGCAATCCCAAGTTTTGAGAGTTTGATTAACTTAAATCTAACCGAAACACTTCGGGTAACAAGGATTTCTCTTTTTAATCCTTGGAACTAGGTTCTTCAAACTAGGATCTTAAAATGGAGAAATCAATGGTATCAATCAATTTAATGGAACTGGGTTCCTGAAACTAGGTTCTTAAAATGGAGAAAAGATTAGCGAGTAACCTGGGGCCAAAAGATGTAATAAAATAGCTAAGGAAAAGATGGCACAGAACCAAAACACAGCAGTGGCAGTGGGAAGAGAAATAAGAAAGTGAATTCAAGAGATAGAAGCTTTGAAACTAAATGGTGGATGGAGGCAAAAGGACGCATCAAGGAGAGCAGTTTGGGACACAATTGGTTCTCCATGTACATTACTTTATTGTATCCTCATAGCAACCCTGTGAAGTACTATTGTCTCCATTTCATAGATGGAGAAACTGAGGCACAGAAGCATTAAGAAACCTGCTAAGTCATACAACGAGTAAGATAAACAGGGCACTAGCATGATGAGAAAGGAACATAAGCAATATGGCAGACAACATAGATTGTTTTGGCTGCTCAGCACCTACCTCCCTGCTTCTGATAACAATTCTAAAAGAATTGCTATGGGGATGCTGCACCTTCTCTATTTATATCCCATGCACTTCATATGACCCAAAAGTGGACATGCTGGGTATCACCAGCATTTGCCTTGCAATCGTTTTTTGGCAAATAACCCAAGAATTGGCATGGATGGGGAAATGACCCAAGTTCTTTGAAATCTAAGAGATCTAGATTCAATTCTAGAATTTTCATTTGGACTATCAGGAAAGCAGGTACTCTTTTTCTGCAAGGAGGAACATTTGAACTGAAAAGCAGTTCTGAGTTCTGTGGTTGTCTTGCCCCATAAGAAGAAAGCCTAACAAAGAATGAAACCAACACAGTGGAAGTCAGATCTATGAGATGGAGAGAAACCAGATTCTAGTGACATTATCCAAGCCACTCTATCCAGCTTTCCTTGGAGCTAGATTAACCCTACACCTTCAACAATATTCGTAAGTTATTTTTTTAGTCAAGTAGTTAGAGTCGAGTTTTCTGTCTCAGCTTCAACTTTGACCTGAAAGAGCCCTACCTGATAGATAAGGGTTTCTCTCTCTGGATAGAAATGACTTGAACATGCTTTTAGGTTGAGAGGAGGCTAGTTGAGTAGGAAATTATTTAGAAAACAGTAATATAAGAAAAGCTTTATTTTACTTGCTTATATATTTATTTAGCTCTGGGTAGTACAGATTGTCTTATATTTTATTCCCACTATGTGTACATCCTATTATCATCCAAGGAAAGTGCCTCTGAGGCAAAATAAAAGCTCAATATCCAAAGAATGATTATACACCATGGTCTACTCACTAAAGGCAAAAATCATTTTAAAACATCTTTTTTAATTTCTAGGACTCCTTCATCTCATGTATTCACATGGCCAGCTCCCATTTAGCTTTGAAGAATTAGCTCAATGGTGTCAAACTCTGGAAAGATGCTCCTTTAATTTTCCTCAACCCTATCTTACGAGCTAAATTAGAGGCCTCTATTTGATGTCCCATGTCTAATGCTTATGAGGATCAGAGCAATTTTAACAACCACCATAGAATCACATGATTGCCAAACCTCCAGACTCGATGAGCCCCATTAAACCATGATGGAGACACAGTAAATGCAAGGAAATCAGAGTGGAGAAGAAACTGTGTTACCGTTACCCTCCCAGATAGCCTCTCTCAAACTCTAAGTATGCTAATGAAAGAACCTGTAATTTGCTCCTCCAAAATAACGAAGAGCATTAGAAGTAACTCACTTTCTCTTAATGTTTAGGGTCTGTTTTTATTAATGGCATTTTTGGTCTGACTATACTTATCAAGCTTTGAGGCTAAAGGGAAAATAAGTTGTGCCTAATTTACATGAAGATAGAGGCTTAGGGAGGAATGCTTTCATCTGACTGCATGCAGTATAGTGGAAAGAAAGGATCAGGCATGTACATGCAACCCTACATTTCTGAGTTTTTACTTCTACTCAGTGTGCTTTTGAAAATCAGAACTGGTTAGAGAAGGGAGTTAAACCAACTAACACTGGTCTCTGCCATTCTTTACGAGTTGCCCTTTCAACAAATCTCCTTATATTTTCAAGGGCCTGAAGAGCAATGGCAGAAATTGCAAGAAGCCTGGCAGGATGGTGACATGGGATGCAGGCAAAAGCAAAAGTAAAATTCATAATTGAGTTACACGTGGAAAGTTAGAAAATTGCCCACTTTTAAAAGTATTTTAACTCCCTCTGTCCAACCATTATGAAATCTAGGAGCCACCTGCAAACTATGTGTTCAATTGTTTCCTTCAAATTGACTGTTTCCTAAATCAGTCAGTTTTAACATCCATTACCATTAGCATAGAGTTTGAGAAACTTAGATGTCTTTGAGAAGACATCCAAAATGTGGCAGAATATGACACATGATAATATGTGACACTGACTATGTGAATTATCAAAGGTGAGTACAGTTCTATTTATTCTGCTAAAGTATACTCTGCAGAAATTGTTTATTGAGATGAACTTGGAAAGCAAAGATAAACTATGAGTGCCATCTCTCTAAGCCTAGGTCCTCTGGAAAGATGAGCCTGAGGCAAGGGTGAAGGTATAGATGCTTTCATTGAGAGGTGCAGGCCTAGGAGGAAGTGAAGGAGAAGAAAAGTGGGAGTGAGACAAAGAAAGATGTAAAGCAAGGCTGGATTACTGTGCTGGCTAATCCTTTACAATGAGTCACAAAGAGATGTAGCAGGTCATTGAGCAGGTTAATTTCCTGGAACTATGGGACTTTTCTGAAAGGGCTTCAAAGAAGAACTGTACTGCAGAGAAATCTATAGAAGGGAGAAAGGAAATAGAATCTATCTGCCCAGTTTCTGCATGGCTCCCATTTCCTATTGGTTAAGGTTTACCCCATAGGCAGCTAACTCCCCTACATTGCCAGGCCATGTCATCCAGCCACCTGGTGGCCACTGGAAAATCCAGATTCCACATCCTGCAAGACACCATTCCACTCAGGTCTAGAAAGAGAAGGAGTGACTTGTCGCATGTGAGCTGGTGGAGGGAAGGTACATGAAGCCCTGGGGCTCCAACTTAGGGGACCTGCAAAGGTTTTCGTATTCTCCCTTTAAGATGTGTCCCTGACCAAGGCTGCATTGGGGCAGTTCAAGTTGGAAAATATGTCAGACAACAAACACTAAAGGAACACTCATTAGAAATTTACTTAGTATTAACATAGGTTCTGTGCAGGATATTAAGATGTTTGTAACTCAACTTTTGCCCTTAAAATAACCAGACATGCATAGAGATCAGAGCTCTGGGCTACTAAAGCTATTAAGATTTCCAGGGCAGGATGCCTAAGAAGAGGCAGCTGCACATGGGAAGGGCCCCAGAAGTACGCATAGGATTCACTGCATCTCCTTAGTTATCTAGTGCTGCTCAACAAATTACCCAAAATGTAGCAGCTTAAAATAACACTCATTTATTATCTCCTGGCTTTTGTGGGTCAGGAATCCATTCATGGCTTACCTGAGTCCTCTTCTTCAGGAACTTCTACAAGGCTGAAATCTTCCAGGGCTAGGGTCTCACCTGAAAGCTCAACTGGGGAGGATTCTCTTCCAAATTCACTTTCTTATTGTTGGAAAGATTCAGTTCCTTGAGGGCTGTTGGACTAAGTGCTTGTTCCTTGTTAGCTGTTGGCTTGAGGCTACCCTCAGTTCCTTGCCATATAGGCTTCTTCAACATGGCAGCTTGCTCATCAAAGCCAACAAGTCTGCTAGCAAAACAGAAGCGATGATATGTTATAACCTAATTACAGAAGCAATATGCTATTACCTTTGTTGTATTCTGTTGATTAGAAACAAGTCGTTAGGTCCAGCCCATACTCAAAGGGAAAGGATTCTTTCTGTAAGGGCATGTAGATCAGGAGGTGGAAGGACCATTGAGAGCCACCTTAGAAGTCAGGCTACCATAGTTGGACTGCAAGACAAGATTACCCAGGGCCCTGCAAAGATCACATGTTATAGGGTTCAGAGCTAGGGAAGCCAGAATGAAAAGACGTCACTAATTGCTAGAAAAGCCCTGAATACTTCAAACTTAAACAATACACTTATAAATAACTCATAGATCAAATAAAAAATTACCAGGATAATTAGAAAATATTTTGAACAGAATAAAGTATATAAAAGTATAATATATAAAAATCTATGGGCTGTAACTAAAGTTATAATAAAGGAAAAGTAATAACCTTAACTGTTTATATGAGAGAAGAAGAAAGGTTTAAAATTAATGAAATAACTAAACACCTAGAGAAGTTAGAAAAAGATAAGCAAATTAAACCTAAAATAAGTGGAAAGATGAACATAATAAAGATACAACAGAAATCAATGAAATAAAAAACAGAAATACAGAAAATTAATAAGATCAAAAATTGACTCCTTGTGGCAGAATTCATAAACCCCTAGCAAACCTCAAGAGAAAAATAGAGAAAAGGCAAACTGCCAATATCAGTATTCAAAGAGGATGTCACTACAGAAACCATGGCATCAAAAGTATAGTATAGGAGCAATATGAACAACTTTGTGCCAATAAATTCAATAACTTAGATAAAATGAACAAATTCCTTGAAAAATTCAACTTATCAAGTAACGAATATGTTACATCACAGAAGATCCCCAGGGCCCTGTTTGGCACAAGGTCTGAAACAGGGAAGGGAAAACTGCAAAAAATGCTATAAAGCAAGCTCTTTAGAATAAAAAGAAATGGCATCATATGGTAATTCAGATATACTGGAAGGAATAAAGAGCACCAAAAATAGTAGCCTGTGGATGAATATAAAAACTATAGTCATTGGCTGTGGGGCTCAGGTGCAGCCTGAGCTGTTGGTTCTGCACTGAGATGTTCCAAAGCATTATTAAAAATGTTTGGATCCCCATGAAGCCCTCCTATACCCAAGCATGCCAGGAGATTTGGGTAGGAATGGGGTTGATAAGCATTATTGCTTATAAAATCAGAAGTGCTGATAAAAGAAGTAAAGCTTAGAAAGCATTGAGTCTTGCATCCGCTCATGGTCATTACTAACCAGTTTTACTTAGAGGAAACATCAGTCTGCCTGTAAATTTACACAAGCTGTGCCAGATAGGAACACAGAACATTGCTGTACACTTGCATAAGTGTGGTCTATTTCATGGCATGAGTAAGTGTATCTGTGAGATGCAACACTAAAACAGACTACATGTTTTTTCTTCTCTTAATTTATGTGAAAGACATTTGACCCTCTAAGGCAAACATCATTACACAGGTTGTTAGGTTTAAAATTTATGTCAAAATTATATGATTCCATTTGTATGAAATGTTCAGAATAGGCAAATCCATAGAGACAGAAAATAGATTAGTGGTTTCTAGGTGCTGGGGATAGAGAGGAATAGAGAGTGAGTACTAATGAGTATTGCCTTTCTTTTAGGAGTGAGAAAAATGTTCTGGATTAAATGTTCTGGTTTTGCAACTTTGTGAATATAATAAAAACCACTGAATTATATACTTTAAAGGGGTGAATCATATATATGGTATGTGAATTATATCTCCCAAAAATGTAAGTAGATGCAATATATATGAAAAAAAGCAAAAAGGATGAGAAAAAATTGCAACTACATTATTGCAAGTTTTCTGTATTTTTCCTGAAGTAATTCAGTATAACGTCTAAGAAGACTATAAGTTAATGATGCATATGTAATCCGTAGAGCAATCAATATAAAAATAAAAGTAACTATAGTTAAAAAGCCAAAGCAAAAACCTTCTGCTTCCAATTATGGTAGAGTAACAAGGACTAGACTTAAGCTTTTTTGGTTGGAAAACTGAACGTATGTAACAACTGTTTCAGACATTGGACAATTGACAACACAAGACAGTGATCCATGAAAAAACAGAAACAGACAACCGGGCCCCATACTGACTGCAGCATTTTGCTTGAAGTCAATTTCTAGGTTATGGGTACAGGTAGGAGGAGTCATGCAGAACCTGGTAGCCTCATGAAAATGAAGAGATGGAAATGAGAGTTTGGGGAGACTGAGCCAGTTGGAAGCTGTGGGCCAGGATCTGGATAGGAGGGAGCTAAGAAGATGAGAAGACCCGGAGATTTGCATATAGGTCTACTTGAGTCTGATGAGTGCTGGATTATGCAAAAGAGTGAAACATCACAAGACAAAGTAAAAAAGAACCAGGGAGTTGTAAACATAGAATTCCCCAGAGCTCTCACATGGTAAAAAGACAATAGCTCTGACCAGCCAGGGTGGAGAGTCCTCAGTGGTTACCCAGGGAATTCCTAATCACAATGCAATCTGATCGAAACTGTGGCATCTTGCTTAATATAACAAAATAATTAATAGCAGTGCAAACAAAATTCACCAGTCCATAAAAAAAACACAAATACACAGTGAACATGTGGCGTTTAAGAAAAGATCACTTATATTAGAAAATGTATTAATATAATTCACCATATTAAATAGATCAAAAAGAAAAATCACATAATTGATTCCATAGATGCTGAAAGGCTTTTACAAAATGTAAACTCCATTCTTGATATTCCAAAAAACTCTGGATAAAAATACATACATGCTTCCTAAACATGATAAAATATGATTTCAACTATAGTACCTTGCTTAATGAGGAAACACTAGATATATTTATATTAAAGACAGAAAGAAACAAAGACAGAAAAAAGACAATCATATCCTTTATAACTATCACTCTACATTGTTCTGAAAAATTAAACTAAAAAGGAGAAAAATACAAAAATGTACAATAAAGGAGGAAGTAAACGTATGAGAATTTATGGATGTGATATAGTTGTTCACCTAGAAAACTCAAAAAGAATTAACTGAAAATTTAAACTACAAGCTCAAATGGAAATATTTTTGCAGTTCCACAAGATATATTTTTTTACATTTTTTAGGATTCCATAGGAAGACTGGTAAAACATAGCAAAATATTTAGGGTTTTTAACTTATTTTAGTTATAATTTCATGCTCATTATATTTAGGTATCTCCCCAATATCTGCAAATAATTTCCAGCTATCTTTGACATATTCCTAAAATGAGAGAGAAAACATTTTAAAATCTCTTTTCTGTACCACTGAGCAGGTAAGAAAATAAAAGACCTTCTCAGAAGCCAAAAATAAGGAGAAAGCCACGAAGTGAAGGAAACCAGTGGCTGCCCTGGGGTATTCCCCAACAGTGGTGGCTTAGAGTTTCAGTTTTTTGTTTTTTGTTTTTGTTTTTTGGTTTTTGGTTGTTTTTTTTTTTTGAGATGGAGTCTGGCTCTGTCGCCCAGGCTGGAGTGCAGTGGCGCAATCTCGGCTCACTGCAACCTCCACCTCCGAGGTTCACACCATTCTCCTGCTTCAGCCTCCTGAGTAGCTGGGACTACAGGCGCCCACCACCACGCCTGGCTAATTTTTTGTATTTTTAGTAGAGATGAGGTTTCACCGTGTTAGCCAGGATGGTCTTGACCTCCTGACCTCGTGATCCACCTGCCTTGGCCTCCCAAAGTGCTGGGATTACAGGCATGAGCCACCATGCCCACCTGAGTTTCAGTTTTAATAGTTCACATGAAAATAAAGTCTACAGCCTGCACGAAGTGGAAAGAAATCAAATCAGACCTTTGTATCAAGTCAAGATCCCCAAAAGATGACATTCACTGTAGAAGAGTTGACTAGAAAAGAAAAAAAAAAGGTGTTCCACATAGGCAGATAAGAAAACTTGCTTGTTCTCTTAAGTCTTATTTTCTTAAGAGGTAAGTTTGACATCTTGCTTAAAAATTCATAACCACAAGTTACCCTGTCATAAGTTTGGGGCTGGAATCCAACCTACCTGTAAAGCCAGAAAAATCCAAGCTGAGAATGTATCATAGCATAGGTCCGGATTGTTAGTGCTGCCAGGTGTCTGGAGATAGCAAGCCCAGTTCCTCTGGGGAGAAATGTCCTGAATTCAGGCCTCAAAGAATAAAGTTCCGAGTTCAGTAAGTTTACACATAGACATGCACAATGGAAATAAGCCATCTTGAATGAGAGTCAGCCTAGGTAACAAATAGGGTGAAGACCACAGAGACCACAAACACTGAAATAATCACACAGTGAGGATAAAATTAGGATACTTAATGTGTGTAAAGAAAGAAAGGAGGGGATTGAAATTACGGTATTAGAACAAGAGTTTTTAAGTGACCAAACTGATCTGAGAAAAGAAATAAAACTTCTAAACATAAAAAATGTACTAATTGAATTTAGAAATCGCTTGGATAGTTTGAATCACCCATTAGGCACAACCAAAGAGTAAACTATTAAGCTGGCAATACCACTAAAAAAAAAAATAGGGTCTGGGATCCTTATATTAATTTCTAATTTAGACATGAAACTGTGTATTCACGACAATAGGACAATAGTGATGAAAAGATGACCACGGACTATGGTAAAGACAATTAGAGATCCACCAAAAAACTGTCCCCTTCTATTGAATGCAGGGGTGGTTGAGAGTCCACTGTTCAGATAAAGCTTAAATTTCTAAGTTTCTGCCCTGCAACTAGTTGTGTCCATGTGGCTAGTTCACTCTAAGAAAATACAAAACGAAATGACATGTAAAACTTCCAGACCAAGGCTTTTTTAAAGTGGAGGTACCCCCTCCATGTCCTCTTTTCGTTGCCTCCAGCTTGCAGGTGTAGATGCTGAGCTGTAGGAGATGGTGGAGCCAGAGATGGAAGCAGCTCCGCTTTATCCTGCTTTGTTTCCTCATAGCATTTGTGACCATATGACATGGGATATATTTATGTATTTATCACTTATATCCCCACATTCAAGTGTAAATTCCATGTGAGTCAGAACTTGATTTCGTTAATTGCTGTATCCCTGCATCTAGCATTCAGGTTAGTACTAGCACATGTTAGAGATATAATAAATATCTGAGTGGATACAATTGTTTATAAGCCCCCCGCAAGTGGGTCTTAGACAGCCAGGCTGGTGTGCAAACTACTGGTGAAGCTCATATGAAGTAAATTCTCCAATATTAAAATACGGGCTTGGTACAGCATTTCTCTGCATGAGCTCTGTTTGCAATGGCATCTGGGAAATAGACACCATGAAAGTCTACCCTTTCAAAGCCAGGGCACCAGCTCTGGGCACCTCAGGGAGAAGAACCCCTGTTCATTGTGTTCTCTGTCTGGTTTTTCAAGGCTACCACATACCCTGTTCTTGTCTGGGTGGGAATGTGACTGCAGCTTTGTAGCCTTTGTGAAGGGAGGTGTGCCACTTTGTCTCAGGAGCCAGAGTTTGAAGGAGAGTTCAGAGCTTGCTGTGTGCTACTTTCTTTGGTTGTGAAATTGGTCTCTTTTGATTTCTAATTTTCTAATTTGGTAGTCTTAAAATTTTAATGATGTACCAGAAGTAACAAAGAATGGAATCATGCTGAATAGCAGCTAGGAACAATCAGATAAATAATACTTTTTATGTGTTTGGAGCCTCATTGTTTACAAAAGGTTTTCTCATATTTCATTGTACCTAGAACTTCTCAACAGCCCTGTGTGAAGACAGTGACCCCATTTTGCAGATAAGGAAACTGAGGCTCACCAAAGTTGGTTGTCTTTTTTAAAATGGCACTGTTGATGAGTGGTAGTGTTGAGACTTAGCCCCTTCTGTTTCCAAATCTCAAGCTATCTCCATTACACCATTTAATAAGATTGAGGAGAATGAACTTGGATCTATGTCACACACCATATGACACAATGTCAGTACCATCATCATCCCTCTAATATCTATGGGACATTTATTTTGTGCCAGATTCATGCTAAGTGTTTTACGTGCATTATCCAACGTAATCCTCACAATGACCCAAAATGGAGAAACCATTATTTTCAAAGAGGAAACTGAGGCCAAGAGATTGAGGAATACTTGCCCAGGTTACAAAACCGGGTTGAGGCAAGAGTGAGTTATAAACTAAGTTCTAATTCCAGACCACAACCTCATCTTTTCTCTACTGAAAAGTTGGTGTCATAAAGACAAAACATTAATGTCACAGAGGTTCAAGTCCTCATCTTCTCTTTCTTATACTATTAGGAAAGTTCCTCTTCAAACTTTCTCCATATCTGAAGTCCCCTCCCTCAATTCTGTCTCCATACTAAAGTCTCAGTCATTCTTTCCAAAAGGCAACTGAACAGGGAGAATCTGCTATTTGAAAAACCTCCACTAATTCCAAATCATCTCCTGATGAAGATCAAACTCCATAATATCTTACTATATGCCTTTCACAAATGAGTCCTAACCTGCTCTTCCAGGTGCATTCTGGCAGCTTCACTCTGCTCAGCCTACATTTTCACCATGGTATTCTCAGATTTGTCTCTTTTTATACAGTGCTTTTTCTGCCCGAGATGCTCATATCTGTCTTCTCTATCTGGCAGACCTGTACTCACTTTCTTTTGGAGTAGAGATGTCTGTGGTGGTTATCCTGCACCTTTCTCACCACTGTATGTGTGATGTATGGATAACCATTTTAGTTCAAAGATCTCTCCACCCCTGGGAGCTGCACCAAAGAGACCACACCCAAGGAGCTCTTCATTTTGAATCAGACCTGCATGATAAGCCTCTGGACCTTGCAACAATGCCACAGTGGAACATGACTTTTGGGAAAGAGATGAGTATGACTTTGCATGTGGGAGAGACATTCACTGTTTTGGCCACAGGGCTGGCTATGGTACATATTTTCCAAAGATCATCATAATTGATTTCTCCTTGACTGGTGTGCACATTTCACTCCTCCATCAAAATGTGGAATTTCATTTCCCCTCTCCTTCTAACTTGGCTGGTTCTATGGCTCTTTTGACCAGTATAATGTGGCTTTTGACCAGTAGAATCTATTACTCCTGAGTCCAAGCCTTAAACTTCCATTTCACTCTTCTTATAGCCCAGCAGCTTTATTATGGAGGCTCAAGCCACATAAAGAGGCCACAAGGAGAAAAACTGAGGTATTCTATTTGATAGTCTCAGCTAGGATCCCAACCAATAGACAGTACTAACTGCCAGCCATGTGGGTGAGCCATCTTGGATGTTCCAGCCTAGTTGAGCACTAAGATAACTCAGCCACTGCCAACATTACAGGAAGAAACTTCCAGCTGAGCCCAGTCAACCTAAAGAATTATGGAATATAATAAAGGATTCTTGTTTTAAGCTACTAGGTATCGGGGTAGTTTGTGATGCAGCAATAGATACCTGAAACAAACCACGATGCCTAGAACAGTTCGTGGCACTTAGTAGATGCACAGAAATTAGCTGATAATGAATAAATGAATGACAGTAGTAAGTATATTTGATTTATTTCTAAGTAAAGGCTTCCAATGACCCTGTCACCCTAGCCACAGCTCATTAGGCCAGTCATGAACGACTGCCGTTATTGCAACTTCTGCAATGTCCAAGGAGAAGAGCTTAACCCAACATAGCCAATTGTGACAACTAAAGCAATCAGATCCTCTGTTGAAGAGTCATAATGTGAAATACACAAAAGAAGTCAGCAGTTTGTAGTAGGATGAAAAGCTGCAATTCTTGTACATGTGAGCAAAACCTTGAAGCCATAGAGGTCGGGAATCAATACAGGTCCTAAGGCAATGGGATCTATGAAGCAATGAAAGCATAAGACACATTTCTGAGATAGGAGGAAGAGTAAAGTATAGGCAATTGGTAACCTAGAGAAGTGGTAGAGATTACAGAGAGTAGCTGAGACACCATAACCGCAAAGCAGTAGAGTAGAAAGTAACAGATTTTGCTTCTTAGAGGAAAACCAAATAGGTCAGTTGCTAAAACCTAAATTATATTCTAAAGGATCAATTCCTCTTCTTCCAAAAGCCCTAGGCATGCAACTACTCTGTCTTTATTACTTCCATATGGAGTCATAAAATATAACCTTATCACATGAGGAAACCTATGCATATCATGGTTCTTTATAACTTGAAAGGATCTTTCCCAGGTGTTCTATATATGTTTGCTAAACTGAACTGGATGAATAAATGTTTTTCTGGGAAGCTATGGGATACGAAGAAATTTTTTTGAAATCCCATCTGCATGATGACACTCAATTTATGCTTTGTAATAATCAGTATTATACTATATTGTGCTGTGGTGACAAATACTCTCTCTCATCTCAGTGGCTTATGTCTCTCACAAAATCTGCTCCAGGTCTGGGTAATCATAGGGCAGCTACCCTCCATGATGGCTCAATATCTCCATATCAACTTGTACTTTCATGATAGCTGAAGCACTGCATAGCAGACACTGTTGAGGCCACACCCTCAGTGACATTCACTTTAACCTGCCAGTGGCCGCTTTCTTCAAACACCTATGACTCTTTGCTCTAATAAGTGGTTGTCTAGCTCCAAGAGCATGCTTACAGGGAAAACTGGAAGTGCTAGAGAATTATTATGCCCAGAAGCAGCTCTCAGCCAGCAACAGATAGGGAATCGGTGGATAAGTACCTGAGCCTCAATTGGAATAATTCTGCAGCAAGTTCTACCCTGACTCCAAGAGTTCCCCCGTAGTGTTGAAATCCAGTTGCCAATAGCAATTTCTGGCTTCATAAGGCACCCTTTGCTGGCTTCCTTTCCTTGCTTGTCTTACTTCCCTGTTCCCTTACTGGTGTTTCTTCCCAAACTATTTGCACTCAAATCCTTGCCTCAGGGTCAGCCTATGGAGGTACCAAACCAAGACATGGGAGAAGGAAGCCCTAGAAAATTGCACCAACTATTAAGAAGCTACCATCCAGAAGTGACACTTCTGCTTACCTATCTTTGGCCAAAACAAGTCATCTGACCATGCCTAACTGTAGGTGGGTGGGAAAGGCCACTCCTTCCTAGTATCTTCCAGAAGTAGGAGGGGCCAGTGATAGGTGAACCAGAGTTACTCTGCCACATACTTTTTGCAAGGTAGAGAGAACGTTCGAAAGGAGTTAGAACTTCTGTCTCATGACTTAGTTTCCTCAACTGACCTGACACTCTGAGAAGGAGGGTGAGGCTGTTTTTAACCCCTGGAGGGCTTACTTCCCCTTCTTAAAGAGAGCCCAAGCACATTTATTTTAGAACACAGGAAAGCAAGCTGAGAGGGCAGTTAAAAGAGAGACAATAGGTAGTAAAACAAGAACTTAACAAAGGTCTGGGCAGCATGCCCATAGCCATGACAGTATGTCCCTTTGGTTAAAGGCACAAGTGTAAATGTTGTCACCGTTCCATCCTGGCGAAAGACAGAGAGTGTCTTTTAACATCCACAATTATTTATTTTTTGAACATACTAAATAGTTTTGTGCCTGGCACAAGATTAAAACCTGGAGATGCAGAGATAAAAACCCAGTTCCCAGGGAATACACTCTTCTGCCTGAGAAAGGAGAGTAAACAACATCCAAACAGAAGATACGATAGATCTGAAAGTGTGGAAGTTTTAAGAAAAAATGTGTTGTAAATACTCTAAATTGCACTCCTTTTCTTTCCTTCCCTTTATGGCAAAACTTCTTGAATGCATTGTTTAAGTGTATTAGTTTTCTATTGCTGCTATAAAAAAATTACCATAAACACAATGACTTAAAACAATACAAATTTATCATTTTTTAGTTCTGTAGGTCAGAAGTCCAGCATGGGTCCCACTGAGTTAAAATCAGGGTGTTAGCAGGGCTGCGTTTTTGTTTGTTTGTTTGTTTGTTTGTTTGTTTTCTGGAGGCTCTAGGGGAGAATCTATTTCCTTGTCTTTTCCAAACTCGAAAGGCTACCCACATTCCTTGGTTCATGGCCCTCTCCTCCATCTTCAAAGCTAGTAATATTACAACTTTTTGAATATTCTTCTGTCATCGTTTTTCTCTCCAAACAGACTGAAAAGGTTCTCTGCTTTTAAACATGTATGTGATTAGATTCGGCCCATCCAGATAACCCAGGATCATTTCCCCTGTGCCCTAAATCACATCAACAAAGTCCCTTTTGTTATATAAGCTAACCTATTCACAGCTTCTGGGGTCTAGTGTGTGGATATCTTTGGGTGGCCATTGTTTTTCCTACCAGAATACACTAAACATTTTAAAAACACACCTTACTTACCACATTTAAGGAGAGAATACATGCACAAAGTCAACATTCAGAGTGTAAAGATGAACAATTCACAGACTTGGATTTACAGACAATGTGTCACCAGATGGAAGAAAGAACATTTTTGCTTGCAATTAAGGAAATGCACATTTAAAGCAACTTTAATGCCATTTTATACCTTATACACTAGCAAAAATAAATAATAATCTTAATAATCCAATGTGGCTTGATTAATACATTCCCTGAATGTGGCTTCAGGGAAACATATTGTTGATGATGCTGTAAATTGTTTTAATCTTTCTAAAAAGCAATTTGGCAATAAGTAACAAGTTGCTCATGTCTTTTTTCCAAATAATTCATCTTTAGAGATATTGACCTAACTAAATGACCTCAAAGAGAAAACTTTAGAAGCCATTGGTCTAAACAAGCCTTCACAGTCACATTATTTATAAGAGAAAGAAACTGGAAATAACCCAAATGTCCAAAAATAGAGCTACAGATGAGCAAACTGTGACATATTTACATGATGGATTGCTCTATAATCATTAAAAAGACAAGTTTATGGATTATGTTGACTCAAGATTATGTGGGCTTGAAATATTATTCATAAAAGGGCAGAGTACAAAATAGTAAGTGCATAGCTATTTCAACTATACAAAAATATAGTCTGTAAATTATAGTTAATAATAAATAGGGATGAAATAATTTAATATTTAGTATGTTTTAAAACTAAGTGCTCATATTCTAGTTTAAAAGGATGACGTGGATATTGTGGTGAATTACTAGACAAAAGTTATTTAAAGGAAGTTAGACCATACACATTTATGTATATGGACTATACCTATGAAGAAACATTGACAGGGACCTATAATGTATTCAGCCCTACTTACATGGTTCATAGCAAGTAGAAAAGAAGAGTGAGATATAGGGCCCTTGGGCATGATAAACATTCAAGAAACAAAAAGGGCACAAGAGATGACAATATAGACATTTTTTTGGTTCAATTCTATGGAAAAGACAAAATCTAAAGGGTTTTTAAATTGAGTTTTCAGAAACTCTAAATTTTACAAATACTAGAGTTCTCTGAGACATTCAGTGAATGGAATTAGGCTTTAGGTAATGATTAGGAATCACTGACATTTAACTATTTTATTTTTGTAAAAATGCTTATTTTTAACTACTGTTTTTATTTGACAATGCTCTTTTAAAATTATTGGACACCATGGAATAGAACAAAGAAGAAAGTAAAGGACATCTCCTAAAACTCAATCCCAGTCCCAAGAAATAATCCCTGTTAATATTTTATAAATGTCATTTTAGCCAGGCTCATTTAGTCAGGTTCAACCAGAGACACAGAACTGGTAGGAGATATATAGCAATAGATTTTATTGCAGGGAAATGGTTTACATAACTGTAGCAGCTGGCTAGATAAGCCGGAGATCCACAGGACAGGCCATCTAGAAGAGCAGAGCAGAACTCTAGGGCACAGGCAGAAGCAGCTGAACACGGGCAGAATTTCTTCTTTTTCAGGGAAACCTCAGCTCTGCTCTTAAAGGCCTTTCAGTAGAATCAGACCCACCCAGGTTACCTAGGAAAATCTCACTAACTTAAAGCTAACTGACTATGAATTTTAATCATATCTAAAGAAATACCTTCACAGCAATACCTAGATGAGTGTTTGATTAACCGGGAAGTCTAGCCAAGTGCAGTTGACACGTCAGAAAGATCATCTCAGTGCATCCCTTGTCAACTTGGCCCCCATACACATCTCCTCAAACCATGTTTAATCTCCAGATAGGGACAATAACAAAGTCATGCTCTGCTCCACATGATACAACTGTCTTTTGTACAACCAAAATCAAGCTAATCTTTTCCCCAAAAAAGGATGCAAAGTCCTCAGGCGATGTTCACTCCTCTATTTTGATAGCCTGTAACTTAAATACTGTGATACAAAGGTAACCATTACTAATACATCTTATGTGAGATGATAAGGGTATAATAATGAGAAGAAAACAAAAAAATATTGTTTTTATATATATATACATATATATGTGTATATATATGTATATATATGTGTGTATATATATGTATGTGTGTGTGTGTATATACATATATATATATATACACACACACACACACATACATATTCATAAAAAATAAGTAAGAAATACTCGTAACAACCACAGTCCTCATTTCTGCAACTGGTTACCTGGTCATAGTATTTATGACTGCATTCTTCCACTGCCCATTCCATATTCCTTTTGCCCTTAGCAAGCACCTGAGCTGGCTGTAGTTCTTTACCTGGTAGTGTGACCCAAGCCTTCATTCCTAAAGGATCTGAGACATTAGTAGTCCTGCCTGAATTGTGTTGTTGTAGTTTTCCATTGACTTCTAGTAATCACAAGGCACAGTAGTACTAAGAGGCATTCTAAGGAGTCTTCTGTATTCTAGACAAACTCTTCCTTACCTCCACTGTGTGCCCAATCACCCCAGCCAGTACAATAACTGTTTGCCTGTGGATTCATAGCCATGAGGAGCACAAAGTGACTGGGCGGCAGTCTCAACTTCCAGGTCCATGGATCATTGTTGTATCTCTTGGAAGAAGTATTTTTTCCTTTGAAACTAAAACCAATATAGATCATCAAAGCCTAAGTGCATGGGGACAGAAAACAAAAACTTTGCTAGTGGATCACCGACCATGCCCATTTTTACCCTTTGACTCCTGAACTCATGAATTCTGGCTATGAGAGCAACACCACCACAGATTAGATGTTGATTCAGAGCATATACAACAACCTGGAGGACACTATCCCCACCCTGCAAGGTATTGCCACTAGCTGGCTGTAATTGAGTCTTCAAAGGGCCATTCCATGATCTTATCAAGCCAACTGCTTCAGGTTGGTAGAAAACATGGAAGCCAAATGATGGCACTTAATTGCTAAAAGCAAGGTAGACATGGTTACCATACTGGATAATGGAGTCAAAAAAGTAATCAGAATAGTATGACTCACAGAGACCTGTGACTTTGGATAGTTGCTCATGGTGTCCTATGTGGCAGATGAGTGGTTGCCAGAGGCTGAGGGAGACTGAGGAAATAACTGCTAATGGTACAAGGTTTCCTTTGGGGAGTGAGGAAATGTCCCGGAATGATATAGTGGTAATAGTTGCAAACCTTTATGAATATACTAAAAGCTATTGAATCGTATACTTTAAAAGGGTGGATTTTATTGTATGGAATTAATGGTATGTGATAAATAATTTACAATGTTTCTACTTTTTAAAAATGCATGTAATATGTATTCATGTAGAAAAACAAGAAAGTACATACATACAACAATGAGGAAAATAAAATCACTTAAAATTCAAAAAAGGTGAAAAGAAAAGTAAAATACGATTTCAACTTTCACAGCACTCATCTTTTGGCACTTTATATCTACAGACTAAGAGCAATATGACATATAAAGTGCTATTAAAACTATGACCTGCATATGACAAGAATGAAATACTTCTAGACTATCTTTCCCAAGATATGCACAGATGTGACTATCTGCCTGCAAGCCTTACACCCTCACAAGCATTCATTATAATTAATGGAGAAGATTTCAACAGGGGCTCTGTCTCAAAAAGAAAAGAAGACCCACCCTCTGGTACTGGCCCATGCCTAGGTGAGCTCTCGAAGTGGTTGCTGAACTGTAGGTGATCTGGCAGTGAAGATTGAGCCAAACAATATTAAGGAATCTAACTCAAGTAGAATGATTTTGCTAAGAGTTTTTGCTTTCTGTAAATTTTCTTGCTTAAAGTACAGTGTTTAGCTATCCCCCTTATATGTGTTGGTTGCTCCTACACATGCTCTTCAGTCTCTGGGGGAATTCCAAAGAACAAAGTGTGGAGCTTGAAAGAACTCTCCACCTTCTAGGTATTTACAACACATCAAGGCCCACCTAGCAGCTCCTATGGTTGAAGGAACTTCATCAAGACCTGTCAAGTACGTCATTTTCTAAGAAATCTACCAACGTCTTTCATGGAACGGGCCATGTCCAGTGCTAGGTCACCTTGGTCTTTCTCCAGTATCAAAATGGGACATTCTGGAGCTTCAGAGCCTTTTGTCTCCAGAGAAGCTGAGAAATGATCACTTTCTCTGTTCATGCTCAGTGACCTCCCCTTCTATTTCTTCAGCCAGCTAGCACTACCCTGTCTGTGGGAGGCAGCTGGAAGGAGTGCTTTGGAGATAGCCTGTCTAATTACTTAATGGTACATTTCAATCAAGGATGTTGTGATCACAATTTTGTTTTTTGATACACCCCTCTTTCACTTTTGTGGTTTCAATAACATGATACAAGAGCCTGTCCCTTCCCCTGTTCCTTGAAACAGAATCTTGATGCTGATGGGCCAGCTAAGCACAGGAAGGACCAACTAGCTTCACATTGGGAAAGAATACCTTACAAAATCTTAACCAACTCTTTCCATTTGGTAGAGAGAAAGAAAAGGAGAGAGAATTGGTGTGGCAACAATTGTGGAAGGGAGCGGGAAGGGGCCAAACCTCCAGGCTACACAGTATTCTAGTATTCACTTCCCACTCATTGCTTTAAATACCTATTCTTTTATGTTTCCACATCCTTGTAATCAGTTCTTGTCAGTGGGAATTGTATTGTGAATTCACACCTTGAATTCCTTAGTTCTGTGACTAGATGAGTTCATAGAACCTAAAAGTTTGACCTGAATAAAGTCCTAAGAGCAGAGATGGGGATAAAGGGAAAGTAAGAGCCCACAGGTAGTTCTCTCAGAGGAGGGAGAGCTGGAAGACAGAATGCCACAGAAGGCCTAGGAGGGGGTGGAGTGCTCAGTCCTTTGAATAAAGTTAGCAAGTGAGGTTTTTGTGGAGGTCCTCAGTGACACACTGGGCCCATGGAATTAACAAGGCATTATGTTCAAGGCCAGGATATGGGCAGCAGAATCTGTTCCAGTCTCAGTTCAAGGAGTCCAGGGGTTTGTCTGGGCTGCATCAGAATCACCTGGGGGAGGTGATTTAAACTTTTCACATTCATAAATATGTGCATGCACACACACACACACACACACACACAGAGACAGGGAGGGAGAGAGGGAGGGAGGGAGAGAGGGAAGGAGGGAGAGAGAGAGAAAGAGAGGTGATTCTAGAATGGGCCCTGGTAGAGAAAGCGGGCAAGAGTAGTTTGAAAATGGCTGGGCACAGTGGCTTATGCCTGTAATTCCAGCATTTTGGGAAGCTAAGGCAGGCAGATTGCTTGAGGTCAGGCATTCAAGGCCAGCCTGGACATGGCAAAACCCTGTCTCTACTAAAATTAGCCTATAGTCCCAGCTACTCAGGTGGCTTGAACAGGAGAATCGCTTGAATCCAGGAGATGGAGGTTGCAGTGAGCTGAGATCGTGCCACTGCACTCCAGCCTGGGTGATAGAGCAAGACTCTGTCTCAAAAAAAAAAAAAAGAAAAGCTCCCTAGTTTATTCTGCCACATGACCTTATCCACAACCCAACCATTGCCCTAACTTAACATGAAAAAGTCACAGAAAACTCTTTTTTCCTTCTTGTTACAAATGCCCATTTCCCTCAATGTGCCAGGTAGGACAGTAAGCACAATCCAAACTGGATGAAGAATAGACTAGGGAATGTAGTGGCTCACTTCAGTGTGGCTTCAGGTGCAACTTGATGTAGGACTCAAGTTATGTCATCTAAATAAGATCCCCACTCCCTGCATTTCTCTGTCTCCACTTCATCAGTGTTGGTTCCATCCTCTGGTCTCATGTGGTCATAGATGACTGTGGCAGTTTGAGCTATTACATCCTCTCTCCTTCATGTCCAACAAGAAGAGAGTAAGAGTCTTTCCCAGGATTCCTGATGACTATCATTGCCTATCATTGGCCTATTCTTGAACTGTTCGTTGTACCCATGAGAATGTGACCCTGCAACACTGTAGCAAGTGTATTCAGTAGTAATTCCCGGATCTCTCCCCCAAAGGGATCTACTTCTATTTACTAGGATAGCTATACATTGGAGAAATGGGAATGCCCAGACTTTTCAAAGATTCCTATACTGAAATTGATACTCAGAAACCCTAGGCGCCCTCATAGCCTGGGACCAGGCAATAAATGGGGTCCTGGCCCAAGTCTGGCTCATAGTGGGCCCACTGGGTACAGACAGCTACCTGTTTTTCCAATCTTCACGTGAATAACTAGAATGGAGGTACCTGATAGTTGGTAGAATCAAATGCTTTACACTGGTTCCTTGACCTGTGAGGTAAGATATTCTAGGGAAAAAGGTCAAGTAGAAGTCTCTGAAACTGCCCCAAACCTCTGACTAAGAGAGTATATAAAAAATAGGGCTACTTCTAGGGGAAGTGACACAGATTAGCGCCACTTTCAAAAGCTTTTAACGAATTCAGGGTTGGTGGTCCTTCTATATCCTCCTTTAATTCGCCACATGGCCTCTACTAAAACAAGATGGGACATGGTAGATAAGAATAGACTACAGCAGACTCAACAAAGTAGTAGCCCCAATTGCAGCTGCTGTGTCCGACATGATATCTCTATCACAGCAGATTAACCATGGCCTCCAGCACGTTGTATGTGGCCACTGACCTGATATCTGTGTTCTTGTTCATTCCTACCAGGAAGAGGGATAAGTAGTTCACAATCGCACAGGACAGAAAACTCTACATGGTTATGTTCTGGCCCAGGGCTATGAAAACTCTATTACCTTCTGGCATAAGACAGTCTGAGGGCACCTGGATGGCCTGACACTCTGAAGAACATTGGTTTGGTCCACAACATCAGTAATGTCAGGTTAATCAGAACTGATCATCCAGGAGTAGGAAGTATGTTGGATCATGGAAGACATAAAGTCTCCAGGGGTGAGAGGTAAATTCTACAAAGATGCAGGGGACCACCATATAAGTGAAGATTCTAGATTGATCCAGGGCATGCTGGGACATCCTCTCCAAAATAAAATACAAATGTTTGCATCTCACACCTTCCATCATTAAGAAAGAAGCACATTTGGTAGGTGTTTTGGGGTTCTGGTACAGCACATTTGGAATATTGTTCCATCCCATCTATTGGATAGCCCAGAGGCTGCCAGCTTTAAGTGGGGCCCTGGGCAAGAAAAGACTCTGAAGTAGATTCAGGCTGAGGGCCAAGTAGCCCTGCTTCTTGAACCATACAACCCAGTAGTCCCTATGGTGCTTGAAGTATCTGTGGTAAGAAAAGATGCTGTGAGGTGTTTCATCACAAGCTATAATAGGAGCATTGCATTGTAGACCCCTAATATTTTTGAGCAGGGGCATGCCATCTGCAGCAGAGAACCACGCACTATGCATGACCCAAAAGCAGCTATTAGTACACTACTGAGCCTCAGTAGAGAAAACATATCTCATCTTAGTAAAAATAGAGCATGGACCATTAAGTGACCATGCAGTCAGAGCTGCCCATCAGGAGGCAGGTTCTGTCAAAGGTGAGCAATCCTTCATAAGATGGAAGTGGTGTGTCCAGGATCCGACACAACCAAGGCCAGAGGGCATAAGTAAGCAGCACATGGGGAAGGCCCAGAACCCCTCTGCTTCTGGGCCCCTGCTCACACCTAGGGCTACATGCAGGTGGGGAAGATTTTCAACGAGGATGAAAGTAGGCTAGTCCTGTTTCATGGATGGGTTGGCTTGGCATGATCAGGTGAGTCTGCTGCTGACTTTCACCACCACTTCGTTATGGCTCTGGAAGACAGGGAGGTCCTCCCAATGGGCAGAGTTCTAGGGAGTGCACCTAGCTACCCACTTTACGTGGAAAAAGAAGTGGCCTGCATTAAGAATATATGCAGGTTCATGCAGAGTGGCAATGGCTTGACAAGTTGGTCAGAAGCTTGGAAAGAGAAATGGAATATCAGGGTTAAAAAGATCTGAGAGGCTGGGTGCAGTGGCTCAGGCCTGTAATCCCAGCACTTTGGGAGGCCGAGGCGGGTGGATCACGAGGTCAGGAGATCGAGACCATCCTGGCTAACACAGTGAAACCCCGTCTCTACTGAAAATACAAAAAAAATTAACCAGGCGTGGTGGCGGGCACCTGTAGTCCCAGCTACTCGGGAGGCTGAGGCAGGAGAATGGCATGAATCCGGGAGTTGGAGCTTGCAGTGAGCCGAGATTGTGCCACTGTGCTCCAGCCTGGGCAACAGAGCGAGACTCCGTCTCAAAAAAAATAAATAAATAAAGATCTGAGAAAGGGACAAAAGGGACATATGGATTTATAGGATGGGCAAAAATCATGTAACAAAGTAAATATGATGGAAAAGAAAACAAGGAATTACTTTAATTTTAGGTTAGTACTGGGTACAATTAGACTTTCCTTTTGATTTTAGGCAACTTTGTTGTTTTTAAAGGAAAATATCATACATAGCAACGGGAATTCTCACAGCTACCTCCACCTGCTCTTCCTTGGCATATTAGGCACCCAAAAGTGTCTTCCAGACAGCCAAGAAACTGGTCTGCAGTGCTATCTGGAATGTCCTAGGATGGGAAAGAGGGATTGGTTCTAGCCAGCATGAAAGAAAAGAAGGTTGAGAGTTTTGTAATACACATGGGTTTTTATTATGTTAAATTCAAAGTCTACTATGTATCCCCACTAGAAATTTATTTTATGACTGACTTTTTCCCTGGGGGATTTGTGATGGCTAACAGGAGTGGATGAGTGCATCAGTCAGGATAAGCCAGGTTGCAGCAAAACATGACTCTACCTACCCGGTGGCTTATAATAACAGGGTTTGTTTCTCCCTCATTCTACTTATCCAGTGTGTTCGGCCGTTCTTTCATTGCTCTAAAGAAATACCAGAGACTGGGTACTTTATAAAGAAAAGAGGCTTAATTGGCTCATGGCTCTGCAGGCTGTACAAACATGGCACTGGCATCTGCTAAGCTTCTGGGGAGGCCTCAGGGAGATTTTACTCATGGTAGAAGCAGAAGCGGGAGTGGGCATCTTATGGCAGAGCAAGAGCAAGAGACAGTCAGGCAGGGAGGTGTCACATATTTCTACAAAACTAGATCTCCTGAGAACTCAAGCATCATTACAAGGACAGCATAAAGCCATGAGGGATCCACCTCCATTACCCAAACACCTCCCACCAGGCCCCACCTCCAACACTAAGGATTACAGTTCAACATGAGATTTGGTGAGGACATATATTCAAACCATATCATTCCTCCCCTGACCCTCCAAATCTCCTGTGCTCCTCACATTGCAAAATATAATCATGCCTTACCAACAGTCCCCTAGAGTCTTAATTCATTTCAGCATCAACTCAATCAAAAGACCCAAGTTCACAGTCTCATCTGGAAATGAGCCCCTTTCACCTATGAGCATGTAAAATCAAAATAAGTTAGTTACTTCCAAGATACAATGGGAGTACAGGCATTGGGTAAGCATTCCTGTTCCAAAAGAGAGAAATCAGCCGAAACAAAGAGGCTACAGGCCCCATGCAAGTTCAAAATTCAGTAGGGCAGTCATTAAATCCTAAAGCTCCAAAGTAATTTCTTTTGACTCTATGTCCCAGATCCAGGACACACTGCTTCAAGGAATCTTTGGGCAGCTCTGCCCCTTCAGCTTTGTAGGGTACATTCCCCCATGGCTTCTCTCAAAGGTTGTTGAGTGCCTGCAGCTTTTCCAGGTGCAGAGTGCAAGCTGCAGGTGGATCTACTTTCTGGGATCTGGAGGACAGCGGGCCCCTTCCCATAGCTCCACTAGGCAGTGCCCCAGTGGGCACTTCGTGTGGACCCTACAACCCCACATTTCCCCTCCACACTGCCCTAGCAGAGGTTCTCTGTGAGGGCTCTGCCTCTGTACCAGGCACCTAGGCTTTCTCATACATCCTCTGAAATACAGACAGAGGATGCCAAGCCTCCTTCATTCTTGCACTCTGTGTGCCTACAGGCTTCACACCATATGGAAGCCACCAAGGCTTACAGCTTGTGCCCTCTAGGGTAGCAGCCCATGTTGTACCTGGGGCCCTTTGAGCCATGGCTGGAGCCAGAGCAGCCAGGATGCAGGAAGCAGTGTCCCACAGCTGCCCAGGGCAGCGGGGCCCTGGGGCTGGCCCATGAAACCATTCTTCCCTCCTAGGCCTCTGTACCTGTGATGGGAGGGGCTACCTGGAAGGTCTCTGAAATGCCTTTGAGGATTTTTTTCCTGTTGTCTTGGCTATCAGCACCTGGCTCTTTTTCAGTCATGCAAATATATCTCGTAAGTGGTTGCTCTACAGCCTGCTTGAATTCCTCTATCCAAAAAGCTTTTTCTCTGTCTGGCACGTGGCCAGGCTGCAAATTCTCCAAACTTTTATCTCTACTTTCCTTTTAAATATAAATTCCAACTTTAAGTCATTTATTTGATCCTGCCTCTGAGTGTGGGTTATTAAAAGCAGCAGGTCACCTCTTGAACACATTGCTGCTTAGCAATTTCTTCCACCAGATTCCCTAAATCATTACTATTTAGTTCAGACCTCCGCAGACTTCCTAGGGCATGGACACAACACATCCAAGTTCCTTGCTAAGGCATAATAAAGGTGACCTTTGCTACAGTTCCCAATATGTTTCTCATTTCCATCTGAGACCTCTTCAGTCTGGCCTTCACTATTCATATTACTATCAACATTTTGGTTACAACCATTTAACCAGTATCTAAGAAGTTCCAAACTTTCCCTCATATTTCTCTCTTCTTCTGAGCCCTCCCAACTCTTCCAACTTCTGCCCATTGCCCAGTTCCAAGGGTGCTTCCTTATCTTTATAGCAATGCCCTACTCCTCAGTACTAATTTCTGTGTTAGGCTGTTCTCACATTGCTGTAAAGAAGTACTCAAGACTGGGTAATTTATAAAGAAAAGAAGTTTAATTGGCTCATGGTTCTACAGGCTGTACAAGCATGGTCCCACCATCTGCTTGGCTTCTGGGGAGGCCTCAGGGAGCTTTTACTCATGGTGGAAGGCAAAACAAGAGCAGATACTGTCTCACATGGCAGAGCAGGAACAAGGGGTGATGGCAGTCCCACACATTTCTAAAAATCAAGATCTCCTAAGAACTCACTCACTATCACAAGGCACCAAGCCATGAGCGCCCCCATGATCCAAACATCTCCCACCAAGCCCCACCACCAACATTGGGGATTTAAGTTCAACATGGGGTTTGGCAGGGACATATATTCAAACCGTATCATCCACTGAGAGTTAGCTGCTGCTCTGATTTGATTAATTTTCACTTTGGGACTCAGGCTAATGGAGCCACCTCAATCAGAAACGTTACCAGTCATTATGGCATTGTGAACCATATATGCTGGCTGTTAACACCTTCTGCTCAGAAGTGGCCCACATTTGTTTTGTTTTGTTTAGAATAAACACATCTGGAATGTTTCCCATACTTGATTGGTCAAAGCAAGTCACATGGCCACTTCTGGGTTCAACAGGGTAGGAATGCATAATCTTCCCATAGATAGAGACACCGTAGAGAGAAGCACCAAAATCATGGGTGAACCATAATATAGTTGACCACAGTGGGTTGTTATTTTACTCCTTAAAAAGTGGTCCTTATACTCAGAAATTCAACTAAAGTAGGCCTGTAACTACAGTACTTTTTGCCTATGTGGCTGGATTTAAAGATTAACAATACAAGGCATTCAATCTAAAGACATCAAATATTTTTATGTGTGGTAGATATTCTGTGATCTTTCTTATAAAAGGGTATTCTTTCATTGTTTTATCATGGATAAACATATAGCAATTTACAGTCATCAGAAAATTAGAATCTCAAAATCTAAATTATAAGGGTATAAGTGAGCTAGATACCTATACTTTTTCCTAATAGCTCTTATTCACAAATACATGACTGAAAGGATGGAAGAAGAGTGTGTGTGTGTGTGTGTGTGTGTGTGTGTGTGTGTGAGAGAGAGAGAGAGAGAGAGAGAGAGAGAGAGATTGAGAATTGAGGAGGAGGGCAGACCTACCTAGAAATTCAATACCTTGTCCAGAGAGAGAGAGAGATTGAAATTGAGAATTGAGGGGAAGGGGAGACCTACCTAGAAATTAAATACCTTGTCCAGCACTGGAAGTTCCTAATACAACTTGTTAGTTCTGCCAGGAACCACCATGGACAGTTCCCATGGCACGCCTTTGCTTCAGAGAGAATCACCACGTTCTTGGGGTAAGTACATTCTGCACAACCCATTAACTCCATGCAAAAGTGACCATATTTCTCATTGTTGAAAGGTGTGAAGTTCTAGGATAAACAGCTAGATTTATCATCTTTTCAAGTAAAAGGAATATTTGAGTCATGGAATGCCACTTGCAGTTTCTAATAATACAAATATACTTGGGATAAAAACAAGTATCTTCAATAAATAATCTTTATCTTTAATAAATAAGCATTTTAGTGAAATTACAGAGCTTTGACAGCCTAATAAAGATACTTCTGTATCATCAGATATCAGAGAAATGCCTAAAAGGTGATCTTGGCAAGGCAGAGAAGAATTAAAAGATCTTTGCCAGTGATCCTGTCTTGGCTGTATCCACCAGAATGAAGACATAAGATTCAGCCCTCAAACACTAATCCAAGCTTGTGGAGCTGGCATGACTTAGTCTAGCAAAGTAAGTGGTCTTCCAAGTCGAGCATACTGAGTCTGAATCCTATTTCTGCCACTCACCAACCATGTGACCTTGAACAAATTAATCTCTCTGAGCATTGATTTTCTCACCTGTAAAATGAGAATAACAGCCCTTATTATTATGGCTGTGGTGGAGATTAAATGAGATAATATTCGTGGCACATGGTAAGTCCTTAATAAAGCATAGCTGTCATCAATCAATCAGTCATCAGCAACTTCATCTTCATCTTCATCATCATGAGCCAATCTATAGAAGGAACTAGGGAGCTACAAAGGAAGCTCAATCATAAAACATTCCACAGGCTGATAGAGGTAATGTTTGTTTTCACAAATACATTTTTAATGTCACTACATATCCTAGATTTCTGATTTTTAAAACATCATGATTACTTTCATCAATTAACTGACTAGTGATTGATTTAATGCCTTATTTAAAAGGGTTTAGAAAATATGGGTATTACAGTCCTAATTGTTTTTCTCATTAAATTCAGCAGCAACCATAGTACCACAAAAATGAGTGTCTTCATAATTGAACTATTTCCATTCTCACTGAGAAGTGTCTGAAATTTGTAATTTTATTAACTGAAATGAGTCTTCATCCTCATGCAGAAAGAAAAAGCATCTGCTCCTAATAATAATGCCATGAAAAAATTATCACAAAAATCAGACATTTTGTATTTCCTCCTTGGATAAATTTGCAAAAAAACCTCATCACTTTGTAGGGTTCTCTTGAGGGTGAAACTTAAATCCATCCAAAAAGTGTTGCCTTCTGAACTTAATTGCTACCAAATTATTTTATTTGCATAAGCCAATTTTTACTGGGTGAAGCACAATTTGTAGGATGAAGTTTTTCTGAAAGGCATAATGGGGAAAAATTAATTATAGTGCTCTAGAGTTCACCCAAAAGCACAGAAAATACACATTAATAAATGACTTTGTGTGGATATCTGGAGCTCATAGAGGTATGGCTATTTCTCTCCCTGAGATAGGAATGACTTTTTCCCAGGTACTCTGGAAGCCATGGTAGCTTTGGTAGACATATTACTGAAATATAGCCCAAAAGTAGACAGGCACTTTAGGCTTGCCACTTCATTTCACCAAAATGCCGTTCTACATCAGGTCTCTGAATTGTCGTTTCACTCAGAGTTTATTAATCTAAAATTTGCTTTCTCGCTTGAAGAGATGAAAATTAGAGATGCTTTCCTCATGAGCTACCCTCTCTTACTATGAAACCCCAAGAGAGTACTGTTCATAAATGAACCATACATGAAAGAGGAACTATAGCTAGAGAACAAAAATATGAAGACATGTCCAAAGAAAGGCAAACTTTAGGAATTGTAAATTTATCATTTTTAAAACAAATAAATCAATATTGGGCAAGAACGTTGAGAAACAGATACTCTTATCCATTGTGGGTAAAACTATAAACTTAATATTAACTTTTTGAAAGTTGGTACTGTGTTTCCAAAACTAAGAATATGGAAATCTTATCAAAGGCAGGTGAAGACCATGGGGTTTAGAGTTGGAGGCCTGTCTTTAAATCCCTATCCATTACCTGCTATGTGACTCTAGACAGCTTTCTCAACTTCTCTGAACCTCAGAATCCTCATTTATAAACATTGGGATAATAATATCATCAACTCCTTAGAGCTGTTGTGAAAATCAATGGAGATAATATCTGCAAAGTATTTATCACAGAGCATGTTAATTTTCTATTGCTACATAGCACACAAATACCACAACTTTAGCAGCCTAAAACAATAAACATTTCTTATCTCACAGCATCTGTGGGTTGGGAGTCTGAACATGGACCACTGAAAAACGTGAGACAAATGGCCATCATTTAGGAAATGCAAACTCAATGTGGGTGAAGCATACTGTGAAGTGCAAGAGGGTAACTGAACTCCAAAACCAATAGAAACAAATCAGAATTCTTCTGGCTCCCTACTGATGCTTTCAGACCACAAAACTCATACGATTATCAGAGAGTTGACCTGAGTATAATGATAACAGAAGTGGTAAGCTTAGAAGCAATAATAGTAGTATAAAACAGCTCTTTTCAAGCTCCAGTCATTTGGCCACACCTGCCTCCTCCTCTCCTTACCTCTGGCATCTGATCTCTTTATTCCATTCCTTCATTCCTTGAGGATAATGTGAGGTACCAAAGTTCCACCCTCCAATTTCTGTACCATTATTATCTTTTGCTCCATCAAGGTCTAAGAAAACTACCATCAAATATTCTGGCTTTACAAATCCTTTGACTCTCACAACCCACTGCAGCCGTCCTTTACCTATGGCCAAGCTCTCAATTTTGACAGCATCTCAGAAATCTTAGATTCCATCTTCCCCCCGAGCACAGTGTTTGATCCTTTCTACTCTCTCAAATTTTCACTTCCATTTCATCAGCCTTCTCCCTCAGAAGAGCTTCCAGAGCCTGGAACTCTATTTTATCTCCCATTGCATCAGATACCTTCTATATCCATATCTCTTTTTTTTTTTTTTTTTTGAATGAGAGAGAATCTCACTCTGTTGCCCAGGCTGGAGTGCAGTGGCATGATCTCAGCTTACTGCAACTTCTGCCTCTCGGGTTCAAGCAATTCTCCTGCCTCAGCCTCCCAAGTAGCTAGGATTACAGACGCACAACACCACGCCTGGCTAATTTTTTATTTTCAGTAGAGATGGGGTTTCACTATGTTGACCAGGCTGCTCTTGAACTCCTGACCTCAAGTGATCTACCCGCCTCGGCCTCACAAAGTGCTGGGATTATAGGTGTGAGCCACTGTGTTTGGCCCTATATCCATATCTTTCCCAATGAGATCCAATGGCCCATCCCTTCAAACACTCTCTTACCTCTTGAATTTATTTTATTTTTACTTTAATATAATTATAAAATATGTATATGTGTGCTGGTTATTCTTCATTATTTCCTCTACCCCACATCCAATGCCCACTCTTCTCTGTCCTGCTCTTGCCCTGGGAGGCTAACCCCTGTGGATCACACACTTCAAGTTTCCGTGCCACATGGCTTCTGGTTGAATTCAATCAATAGGAAGCACCAGCAAGATATTAGTAGGAGGGAAGAAAAACAGGTCAGGGTGGCACTTACTTCCGTACACCAGCTCTGACACTCCGGCTGTGACACTGTGACTCAAACAGGAAAAACTTGAAACTCTATTTATACCTTTCTCCCTTCTCCTCTATAAAACAAAAGCCTTAAGTCACTAGTATGGGGCAGCAAATTCTGTCGCCCCAGGGAACAAATGAAGATCTACTGCAGCTGGGGACAGAATAAAAGAAAAAAGGGTGAAAAAAGGAAAGAAAGAGTAAAAGAAAAAACATAACAGTCCTGGGCCCAGAATACTGTACCAACACAATTAAAGGTCTCCTACCACTGGAGGACAACAGAAAACTCCCTCCATACAAGATCTGCTGCAAGTACAAAACAGAGTTTGGCTTCCATGGAGAGGAGGAACAGGATGACTGAGATGCCACACTAAAACTCTGGCACAAAAGACCTAAGACTCAGACTAGATCAGGATAACAGAAAAAATATCCTGACCTCTACCACCAGACTTAGCAAGTACCAAGTAAAAAGCAACAATAGACTACCTCTAGGGGAGGTGCAAGAGCATGGAGAGAGACCCCACTGCAGAATGATGCACAAGGAAAGCAGAAAGCTAAAACGAAAGCAGGAACATTGAGGAAAACTCTCCGGTACCACAGTCCCCATTCTAACAAAGTTAACACCAGAGGAATTTGAAGTTAGTGGTATACAAATATAACCATAACAACAACAGCATCCAAATCTAGCTCAACTCCTGACTCAATTGACTCAGCCCCTGTCATCTACCATTACCATCAAATATATACACTAATGGTCTTGCAGAAGAAATTGTGTGCCCATTTCCAGGCACAAATACTATATATCTCATGCTCTGCTATCCTACGTGCAATGGACAGCATTGTATTAAAAATTATAAGACACTCACACAAAGGCAAGGGAAAAACCCACTGTCAAAAGACAAAGCAATCAACATTACAAAACGAAGAGATGACCTAGGTGTTTGAACAATCTGACAGGAAATATATAATTACTATGATTAATATCTTAAAGGTTCTAGTGGAAAGGATGGATAACACATATGAACAAATGGAAAATTTCAGCAGAGAGAAAAATCCAATATAAATGCTTAGAAGTTTAAACACATTTAATAACAGAGATGAAGCATGTCTTCAATGTTATCATTAGTAGAATTGATGCAGTTGAGGAAAGAAAAAGTGAACTTTAATGGTAAGTCAATTACAATTATCTAAACTGAAATATAAAGAATAAAAAGAATAAAACAAACAGAACAGAGCATCCAAAAGCAGTGGGACAATATTCATGATCTAACATACATGCAATTAAAAATCCAAGAGAGGAGAAAGACAATGAGGCAGAAGAAGTATTTGAAGAGTATGGTTGAGAATTTTTCAAAAATAATGAAATACATCAAACTATAGATCCAAAAATCTTAGAGAGCCCCAAGTAAGATAGAAACCCCCCATAAAAAGCACATAGACACATCATATTTAAACTTCAATATGTAAACCAAAGAAGAAGAGAAAGCCCTGAAGGCAGCTAGAGGAAAAGAACATATTGCATCCAGAGAAACAAAGGTAAGAATTACAAAGACTTCTTGTCAAAAAATATACAAGCCCAAAGACAATGGAAAGAGATCTTTAAAGTGCTGCGGGTGGGAATGGGGAGGGGCGGGGAAGTTCAATCCAGATTTCTACACTTAGCAAAAATATCTTTCAAAAATGAAAGTAAAATTAAGACTTTTTTAAATAAAATCTGTTCTGAACAATTTTTAGGAGTCACCGATACATGGTTAGCAGTGTTTCAGGAAACCCTGAAATCACACTGGAAGAGTCTGTCAAGACAGAAGAGAGAGGAGGCGGTTCCAAGATGGAGCTGGAGAACACCAAGACTAAAAGACACAGAGAATGAGAACTGTGCTGGTCTCCAGGTTCATCTGCTTTCTTAAACTAACCATGAGCCAAGAAACAAGTGGAAGAGGCCAGATGAAAGGGAAAAGAAGAGCTAACACCATATGAGCTCTTAGTAACGCCAGGTATTGCTCTCAGCACTTTGCATTCTTATTCTTATCAATTTATTGTATTTAATTCTCACAGCAGCCCTGCCAGTCAGATGCTTTATCCCATTTAACAAATGTGAAAACTGAGGCACAGAGGTTAGACAATTCCCTTATGGTCACATAGTAAGTGGTAGAGCTGGGATCCTGATATGGTTTGGCTGTGTCCACACCCAAATCTCATCTTGAATTATAGTTCCCATAATCCCCACATGTCATAGGAGGAACCCAGTGAGAGGTCATAGAATCATGGGGGCAGTTACCCTCATGCTGTTCTCATGATAGTGAGTTCTCCTGAGATCTGATGGTCTTATAAGGGGCTTTTCCCCCTTTGCTCAACACTCATTCTCTCTCCTGCCACCCGTGAGGAGGTGCCTTCTGTCATGATTGTAAGTTTCCTGAGGCCTCCCTAGCCATGTGGAACTATGAGTCAATTAAACCTCTTTTCTTTGTAAATCACCAAGTCTCGGGTATTTCTTCATAGCAATGTGAGAATGGACTAATACAGATCCCAAGCCAGAGGTTTAACCCACACCCCTTTTCCTTCCCACTGTGCTATATAACCTCCAAAGGTGATAGGAAGGAAGCACTGCTATATTCATAGCCACACAACCCTCAGTCACAATGGAAGCCTAAAACCTAGAGGGGAAGTAGATATCCCAGCTTTTTCTAAGAGACTGACAGAGGTTCCTGATGAAGGATATCTGCCATTGACTTTCCGTGAGATACAGGGACTCATATACCCTGAAGGTGTCCAATCCAGACCTTGGATCCACATTTTGTTTCCTTCTAAATGGCAATGCTGGCCCTAAGGTCATACATATTTCCTCATTCAACAGAAGCCTGCTGCATATCTGTGGAACTCCCCTAACAAAATAGGACAAGTAACCCAGCCCTAGGAAGATGGGATTAATCATAGAATTTTTAAAAAATAATATAAGGTACTTCTTTAGTCATGAACATAATTTCTATTAGTCTGGGAGAGCAGAACTTGGCTCTAAAATGCTAGTTCTGCAAAGCCAGGGAAGAAACTTTATAAACTGAAACAGTACATTATAATAAATGAAGGGTCTGTTTGGTAGCAGGAGGGACAGTCTTTTTAGCAATGCTCTATCCCAGAGATATTTTTCCTGACAAAGATGGTAGAATCATTGTACTGAGAGTGTAGGACTAAAGAATAAACGGAGCTTTGTCTTGTGCTTTGGTTTTATTTTAACTACTATACGAGGGGGGAAAGAGAACTGGTATTTCACATACCAGAAATTAGAATGGAATTTTTAGAGTATTAGAACAGCAAGTTTAGCTTTTGGTAGAAACAGACTTTAAAGCTATGGTCTATTTTAAGTTCAGTTATATCTAAATTGACTAAGAAATGCAGTTTATAAACCATTATTACCTTCTATACTAGTCATGTTTTATGACTTTCTATAATTGTTTAAAACATATTCCATGGTTCTTGAAGGGCACAAATACATGGTAAGTTTACCTGTCACTTAGGCAAAAATGGCAAAGACCTTTACCACCAAGGATAGCAAGGCCAAGTTTACTTGGGACCTTGTCTCCATCTGATTAATGAGTAAATATTTAGCTCTTGAATGGCAAAAATATACTGAATTCTGTAGCTTTTCTCATCAGCAAATAGAAAAGAAGACAATTTACAAACAGCATGGAATTAATGGTTTCAGTGTCTCCTTGAGAACTTCCCTATAAAAACTTATTTGCTTCTTAAAGGAAGACTCACATTTCTGTTTCCTATTTTTCTTTCTCAGAGAGGGAACTTGTATTACTCTATTTCCAGAGAAGAAGAACACACCAACAGACTGATGGGGAAAGGCAATGAAAATAAACTGTAGGAATAGGACCAGAAGAGTTGAAATAAGAATGCAGAGCCCTAGGCTGTAGGTCTGTGTGGCCTAGGACTCTGCATTGCCAACCAGCTCCCAGGTGATGCTTATAGAGCTGGTCTGAGGACCACACTCAGGATAGCAAGGGTACAGGAAGCATCCCTACAAGTACACCCCAAGACATTGACTCTGGGTGGCTGGAGCCCTGAGCTGGTCACATTCAGCTTCTGCAGCTTCCCCTGGGGCTTCAAATCTTGCCAGTTTGTCACAGTGCGTAACAAAAGTATCTTCTCAGTGTGCCCTGATGGGTAAAAGGTTGAGAAACACTGCTTTAGAGGCCTGGAGGTGAAGATTTGCCTTTCAGGAGCAGGGGCCTAAGAAAATGTCTTTAGAAATCATGCAGAGGGCAAAACGTGGAAGAAAATTTGAGTAAAAACAAGCTCAACATGGGAATGCTCTGAGGCCAAGAGAAAGCAAGGCCAGAGTAGCTATATATGAATGCACTGTAGCATGGTGGCAAACACTCATGCCTTAAGAGACATTCAAATTTAAATTTAAAATTAAATTAAATACAATATAAAAAGAGATATTCAGGAGTAAGAGAGGTAAAGACCAATATGAAATTTTGCAGTAAACACAGGCCAGGGCCAGAAGGATGGAATTTGGAAAAAGTAGGCTAGAATCAGATTTGAGATTAGCCATTCCTGGAAGAGTTTGCCAAAATCTTGAGAAGGAATTGGAATTTAAGCAAGAACACATCTGTCATTATATTAGATGATGGACATGCATGTGACTGCTTCTTTTTTTTAATAGACTTTATATCATTCATCCGTGTTATATTTTTGTTCTCATCCCTTTTGTTTCCAATGATTGGAGCATTAAGGAATGTCTTCAGATATTGTAAATGAGTCCTGGGTGGTGAACCCTGGACATACTCAGCCAAGCATCTGGTCTTAATGCCTTATATAAGGACTTTTATATAAGGATGGAATTTGGAAAAAGTGGGCTAGAATCAGATTTGAGATTAGCCATTCCTGGAAGAGTTTAAGGCTGGCATTCCTTAACTAAATTAGTCCCATATCCAGTACTTACAAGAGATCTCAGTGCCTGGTTGCTTGCAGCAAAGAAACT
This sequence comes from Homo sapiens, assembly GCF_000001405.40. Taxonomy (NCBI): domain Eukaryota; kingdom Metazoa; phylum Chordata; class Mammalia; order Primates; family Hominidae; genus Homo; species Homo sapiens. Next base: position 102,184,517 of record NC_000008.11, read on the forward strand.
CTGTGGTTAAGTCCTCCTGTCAGCCTTTCCCCAAAGTCCTGCACCAAACAGGACCTTTATCAATCCACTGGTTCCCACACTGAAGACCATGGCTGTGAGCTATGCTCTGTCTTCATCATGTTAGTGTCATAACATCATTCCCTGGAGAACTTTGTCTTCACTCTCCTAGCAACATTAGCTGGGCCCTTTCCAGGGGTTCAAGTTTATCTTCCTTCCTTGCCTGGAATGTTTCTTGAATGTTTGTAACTGTTTGACTTAAAGACGTCTCAATATATGAATTAAACCTATTTGCTGTTTGTTCCAATATGGTGAATAGTTCAGACCCGTAAGGTTGGGTCCATTCCGTCCAACCCACTTGACACCTCAGAGTTTCTCCTTTCTTCCTTGTGTGTTAAACAGGCACAAATTGAGTTGCAATCAAAGTGCAACTGGATTTTTATCACCCACTGACTTTTTAAAATCAACTCCCTGCCCTTGGATGAAAACTTGGTAGGTGCCATGGCCTCTTCTGTTCTTTCTTGGGTTGTAGACTCTCCTGGGGCCCATAAATTACAAAACAGATCAACTGAGTAATTTGAATGTTCAGTCCAAGACATTAGTCAAAACTTCGAATTTGATTTATTGTTAAATACACCATATATACTCTCCTCCTCCAGTTCGAATTTTCTTGCAGTGGCAAAAAGTGATGTGGTTGGTTTTGTCTCTTTTTTTTTTTTTTTTTTTTTTTTTTGAGACGGAGTTTCGCTCTGTCGCCCAGGCTGGAGCGCAGTGGCGCGATCTCGACTCACTGCAAGCTCCGCCTCCCGGGTTCACGCCATTCTCCTGCCTCAGCCTCCCAAGTAGCTGGGACTACAGGCGCGCGCCACCATGCCCGGCTAATTTTTGTATTTTTAGTAGAGATGGGGTTTCACCATGTCAGCCAGGATGGTCTCGATCTCCTGACCTCGTGATCCGCCCGTCTCGGCCTCCCAAAGTGCTGGGATTACAGGCGTGAGCCACCGCGCCCGGCCTGGTTTTGTCTCTTGACCATTGCTTAGAGTGGTGCAAGTTGGGCACTAGGCAACTCCAGGGAAGTGGGAAAGGGCCCACCATTCATACTCAGGCCTTTTCCTATGTGCACAAAGATGCCATTTGGTGAGACGCTTCTTGGCTTCTTCCCCTTCTCTCCCCCTGCTCTGGCTTGCCAGGTAAGGGACGGGAAATACCTTCTCCAAATTGGTGCCCCTCTCAGTTAGAGTTACACTGTCTGCTCTGGCCAAAGTTTAAGGCTGGCACTCTTTTGTAGGCTCTTCTGAAGATTTGGGGGGAATTCTCCTGCAGGCCAATCCAGCTGCGATTCAGTCATGGGGGTTGGGGAGCGACACCAGCTTTCCCATCTGGCAGCCTCCGGTCCCCCCCAGCTCTCCTTTCCTGGGAATTTACCCACACCTACTTGCACTGTTGGAATTCCCTTCTATCGGGTGAAGACCCTCTTGGTTAGGACTTAGTCAGGTCCAGGCCAGCTCTTTCTCTGTTATGTGGGAATTGCTGCAAGTCCACCCCAGCATGACCTGTTGCCACCATCTGTGAGTTCTCTCAGTTGTGAGCACAGGTCACCTGTGTTCTCAACTGCAGGGAGCACATGTCAGCTCTCCAGGAGGTCCCATGGCAGCCCTCTCACCAGACTTGAAATGGGGGTAGCCCTCACCTCTCACCAGAGGGGAGTGGGGCTTACAACCAGATGGCATTTCTCTCCAAAGAAATTCATTTATGCTGTGTCCTTGTTCCGTTCCAACCAATCTCTATTTCCTTAATCTGGCTGAAGGGCTCAACAATATGGAACAGTTCCACACAGTTTCCTATGTAAATGAAGGAATCCGTCTTACACTCGTTTTGGTACCTGTTGGTCATTGTACTGGGGCATCTTGAAATTAAACCCCAATTATATCCATTTTAGAGCCACTCCATTCTTCCTCTCCTAGTATTAACAAAGCATTAAGAGTAAACTTTCAGGGAAAACTGCAATTCTCCTTTTCAACTCAACAGGAAAGACAATAGCAGAGCTCATGGGGTAATAATCTCTGTCCAGCCCTAGGCAGCCAAGCTGAAGGTCTTCTTGGACTTCTCTCAGGCACAAGCTCCATGAGAGGCAGGCAGGCTTCTGGTCTAGCCTGTGATAGTATGATTCTTTGATTACCATCAATTTGGTAATTCTCTTAGGGCTAAAGAACCAAGTGTTAAATACATCAAGTTGAACAAAACACCCTGAGAGAGACACATATCCCAAAGTATTTGGCTTTTAAGATGAATGTGAATTCTTATATTTTTAAATATTGTATTTCACATTTTTGGGAAGTTCCTCTCAAACTCTCACTGCTAGCCACAGAACAATTCCAAAACGATGGCTCTTCTTTGATGGCCCAAAGAAACGGTTTCAGAGAAGCCCCCAGTGCTCAGAACTCCATAGTCAACATTTATGGGTGAAATTGAGCTTGCAGAGCAAATGTGCCAGCTGCTTATTATTGTGAGGAGGATGTATGGGAAGGAGGGTGATCTCTGTGGCTAATGGAGTCCCGGCTACACCACTGAACAATGGACTGGAAAACCTAAAATCAAAGTCTTTCTGTTCCTGCCCTGAAGGACTCCAATAAACTTGGTGTCCCAGGAAATCCTAGTCCAGTCCAGACTGGAATCTAGAGTCTGGCTGTTTGAAAAACTTGTGGGCTGGGGACTCCTCCAGGTGTCTATTTGCCCAGCGTGGTAGCCCTAAGGGGTGTGTGTTTGTGTGTATGTACATGCATATCCAGCCCCCTCGATTATTTTTGAATCTCTGAAGAAAAATTAGAGGCAGACACTGGAGTAACTGTTTTCATGAGGGAATGTGTACGACACTGAGCACTTGAGGTCCTGCTTTGGAACCTTGGAGATGAATGAGGTACAAAGTTAGAGATGGGACTACCCTCCCCACCTCTGCATTGAGTCTATGACCAGGAGATGACACCTCAACACAGACGCTGGTGTTCTCATGGGGCACAGCACAAGGTGCCACTTGGGTCTCTCAGGCTGTTCTGTGAATGGAAGACAGTGGCCAGGAAAGCCAGAGGAGATGGCAGCAGATCCCTTCAGCAGCTGTGCCAGATGGACTGGTCCCTGAGGCAGCCTCTCCCAGCCTCTCAAAATACCTAAGGCTGGGGTGATGTCACCTGAGTAGGTGAGGGCATGAATGGGAAATGTAGGAGACTGACTATAGCAGTGCTTCCTGTGGGTCCACAGACAGACTCAGCCTTGATTCCTGACATTCAGCCAAGAAGCAGAGTGTATACAATGGGAGCTCTTACAAAAAAACAGTTGAACCTGGTTATAACATGACTCACATTGCATGGGTTAGGGCTTATTCTGGGGCAAATGCAGACTGGAAACAAATCCAGCACCTACCCCAACCTTGGAGTGAATAGAATCATCTCCAAATTCCCTCTGAGTGTGCAAATGCAAATTCTGGGCTCATTTCTGGAAAGTCTGATTGAGCAGATGTGAGGTGAGGCCTGGTTATCTGCTATAAGCACCCTCGGGAGCTTCCAAGCAGTAAGCCAAGGCCCAAGCTTTGACAAACACTGTCTAACAGTAATAAACCACCCAGCTGACTCACATGGCCAAAAATTGGAAACATTTTAATTCCTGTAAGATTGAAGGTGAACATCTGTACACCAAGGGTTATTATCCTGGCCCCCCTCCTCAAATAAGTTGTTTCTGATAGCAGGAGAAGTCTTTAAAGATGGTCTTGCTGCTGAAGGTCTCAAAGGTGACAAAAGTGTCCACCTGGCTGCCAGGTGAAAAGCTAGACTTTGCAAACAGGAATTTCCCATCTGAGGACACCTGCAACTTCCACATGTTTGCCTTGTGATCAGAATAAGGTCAGTCGTGAAAGGACCCTTGAACAAATGAATGAGGCAGACAAACAAGGTGCCATGGCTTTGTTCTGTGGGTAGAATGAAGAAAATGTGTTAAGTTGTCCAATGAGAAAGAAGACACAAAGGAACCATCCCCAGTGAAGGAAACTGACGCAACTGTCTTCATGAGCTTGCAAGGGAGAACAAAATGTTCAGAAGCTGAGCCCCCAAAACTTCAGAGACCTGGAATGAAAAGTGTGGGTGGTAAGGGAGGTAATAGGCAGAGTAACACAGCCTTAGGGATGGCCCGGCCTGACCACGGTGATAAAGGAGCTGTCTACACAATAGTGTTACCAACTTGAGGGGAGTTGGTATCTGCCTTAGCCTGGGGAAAAGCAAGAGGGCATCAAGCAGGGGAAGAGGAAGAAGGTCTGAAGGGTAGGCTGAGAGAAACAGAAGCCCACAGAGAGGGCTAGAGAGGCAGGGGGCAGGGCAACAGCCTAGAAGGCAGCCCTTGCCAAAATACCAAGCTAAGCCAGCGGTAGTATTCTATGTAATGTGTTTAATTGTATTGCTGCTGACTTATTTCCAGCTGTTATTCAGTTAATGTCCCAACTTCCTTGGACAGGAATAAATTTCAGGTCTTATTTCATTCCACAGTTCACTGGTTCTCCAACTCTAGTGTGCATCAGAACCACGTGGAAGGCATGTCAAAATACAGATCTGTGGGCCCCAACCCAGGGCTTCTGACTCAGCTGGGCCAGGGCCTCAGAAATTGCATTCTCACCAACTCCACGGTGATGCTGATGCTGCTGGTCTGAGCACCACACTTTAAAAACCACTAATAAAGAGCATCCTTCCCTTAAACAGGTAAAAGAAGATGGGAGGAAGCTGGAGACAAAGAGAATAAAGGAGCCTGGTAGGAGGCAGTCTGCAACAATGTAGGTAGGGCAGGTTACTCTATGCAGACTGATTTCAGTGCTCATGGGAAAGTTAAGAATAAGAAGATGTTTATATCAGCAGATTGATGCAATAAGCTTCACATGCAGAATTTACTACCTTGATTTGAAAGCAAATACCCCTGGGGAGAAAATAAAATTTATCAGTCATTTACACCTTACTCTGAATGAGTTTTAAATTTCATATCTATATGTCAGATTGTCATCTGTGAATATAGATCATTTTACTTCTTCCTTTCCAATTTGGATGCCTTTTAGTTCTTTTTGTAGCTTGACTGCTCTGGCTGGAACTTCCAGTACAATGTTGATTAGCAGTGAAGAAAGTAGGCTTCCTTGGCTTGTTCCTGAGTTGAGTGGGAAAGCTTTCAGTCTCCCACCATTGAGTGTTAGGCCATTCTTGTGTTGCTATAAAGAGATACCTGAGGCTGGGCCATTTATAAAGAAAAGAGGCTTAATTGGCTCACAGTTCTGCAGGCTATACAGGAAGCATGGTGCTGGCATCTGCTCACCTTCTGGGGAGGCCACAGGGAGCTTTTACTCATGGCAAAAGGTAAAGTGGCAGCTTGTACATTACATGGTAGGAGCAGGAGCAAGGGGGTTGGGGAAGGTGCCACACTTTATAACAACCAGATGTCATGAGGACTCACTCACTATCAGGAGGATAACAGCAAGCCATGAGAGATCTGCCCCCATGAGCCAAACACCTCCCACCAGGCCCCACCTCCAACATCAGGGATTACAATTCAATATGAGATTTGGTGGGGACATATATTCAAACTATATCATTCTGCCCCTGGCCCCACAAATCTCATATGCTCCTCATAGTGCAAAATATAATCATGCCTTCCCAAGAGCACCCCAAGGTCTTAATTCATTCCAGCATGAACTCAGAAGTCCAAAGTCTCATCTGAGACAAGGCAAGTCCCTTCCGTCTATGATACTGTAAAATCAAAAGCAAGTTATTTACTTCCAAAGTACAATGAGGGTACAGGCATTGGGTAAACATTCCCATTCCAAAAGGGAAAAAATTGGCCAAAAGAAAGAGATGAGAGGTGCCGTGGAAGTTCAAAACCCAGCCAGGCAATCATTAAATCTTAAAGCTCCTGAATAATCTCCTTTGACTCCATGTCCCAGATCCAGGGCACATTGCTGCAACAAGTGGGCTCCTAAGGCCTTAGGCAACTCCACCCCCACCTGTGTCTCTGTGGTGTCTACTCACCATGGCTGTTTTCATGAATTAGAGTTGGTAGCCTGTGGCTTTTCCAGGTGCAGAGTGCAAGCTGCTGGTGGATCTACCATTCTGGGATCTGGAGGACAGTGGCCTTCTACCCACAGCTCCACTAGGCAGTGCCCCAGTAGGGACTCTGTGAAGGGCCTCCAACTCCACATTTCCTCTCTGCACTGCCCTAGTAGAGGTTATCTGTGAGGGCTCTGCCCCTACAGCAGGCTTCTGCCTGGGCACCCAAGCTTTTTCATACATCTTCTGAAATCTAGGGGTAACCTTCCAAGCCTTATTCACTCTTGCATTCTGTGGATCCACAGGCTTAACATCATGTGGAAGCTGCCAAGCCTTACTGCTTACACCCTCTGGAGCTAGAGCAGAGGCCCGAGTTGTACCTGGATCCCTTTGAATTGTGGCTGTAGCTGGAGCTGCCTAGGTGTAGGGAACAGTGTCCTGAGGCTGCACAGAGCAGCAGGGCCCTGGGCCTGGTCCCCAAAACCATTCTCTCCTAGGCCTTTGGACCTGTGATGGGAGGGGCTGCCTCTGAGATCTCCAAAATGCCTTCAAGGCCTTTTCTCCCATTGTCTTGGCTATCAGCACCTGGCTCTTTCTTAGTTATGCAAATCTCTCTAGCAAGTGATTGCTCCACAGCCTGCTTGGATTCTTCCCCTGAAAACAGGCTTTTCTTTTCTACCACATGTCCAGGCTGCAAATTTTCCATACCTCTACCCTCTGCTTCCCTTTTAAATATAAATTCCAACTTTAGGTTATTTATTTGCTCCCACATCTGAATGTAGGCTATTAGAAACAGCCAGATCATATCTTGAATATTTTGCTGCTTAGAAATTTCTTCTACCAGATACTCTAGGTCATCACTCTCAAGTTCAAACTTCCCTAGATCCCTAGAGCATGGACACAATACATCCAAATCTTTGCTAAGGCATAACAGGGTGACCTTTGCTCTATTTCCTAATAAGATCTTCATTTCCATCTGAGACCTCAGCAGCCTAGACTTCACTGTCCATATCACTATCAGCATTTTGGTCACAGTGAATTAACCAGTCTCTAAGAAATTCCAATCTTTCCCTCATATTCCTGCCTTCTTCTGAGCCCTCCAAACCCTTCCAACTTCTGCCTCTTATCTAGTTCTATAGCTGCTTCCACATTTTCAGGTATCTTCATAGCAATGCCCAACTCCCAGTACCAACTTTTTGTGTTAGGCCATTCTTGTGTTGCTATAAAGAAATACCTGAGACTTGGTAATTTATTTTAAAAAGAGGTTTATTTGGTTCACTGTTCTACAGGCTGTACAGGAAGCATGGTGCTGGCACTTGCTCAGCTTCTGGGGAGGACTCTGGGAGCTTTTACTTATAGCAGAAGGCAAAGCAGGAGCTTGCACATCACATTGTGGGAGCAGGAACAAGAGAGAGTTGGGGCCAGCTCTCATGAGAACTCACTCACTATCAGGAGGACAGCACCAAACCATGAGGGATCTTCCCCATGACCCAAACACCTCCCACTAGGCCTCACCTCCAACAGTGGGGATTACAATTCAACATGAGATTTGGTAGGGACATATAGTCAAACTATGTCACCAACTGTGAGTAAAACTCATATTTGAGGAGGTTCAGAGGGTAAGGAGAAAGGAAAGGCACAGAGACTGGATATGGCCTATAATTTATTCATTTTAACCTCATTTTACCCATGGCTAGTCTGAGGCTGAGAGATTGATTGATTGATTGATTGATTGAGAAAGGGTCTTACTCTGTTACTCAGGCTAGAGTGCAGCGGTGCAACCATGGCTCACTGCACCCTCAACCTCCTGGGCCCAAGCAATCCTCCTACCTCAGCCTCCTGAGTAGGTGGGACCACAGGTGTGTACCACCATATCTGTTAATTTTTGTAAAATTTTGTAGAGACAGGTTCTCCCTATGTTGCCTAGGCTGATTTTGAACTCCTGGGCTCAAGTGATCCTCCTGCCTTGGCCTCCCAAAGTGTTGGGATTATAGGCTTGAACCACCATGACCAGCTGAGAACAAGTTTTAAAAGCCAATTTATTAAGAAGGATTTAAGGTTAAAGCTGATAACCTAGTTCTAGTTCTAGTTACTGCTCTATATGGGACTTGGGCAAGGTTCTTGACTTTTTGGGACCTTAGTCTGCTCTTATAAAACAAGCATCCAGTGGCACCCTGAGAGTAACAGCTTTCAGGATACCTGGGCTGACCACAGGATTAAAACTCACCAAGACTAGTCCAACCACAAACTGGGATTTGATGCATCTCTTCTCTCTCCCAGCACTCTTCCCTTTCTACACTCAACTCAGATCCAGACTCTTGTCTATATTGCAACTCCTTCAAACCACAGATCAATATATATTCCCATTTTACAGATTAGAAAATTGAGGTTCAGAGGGGCTTAAGTAACTCATTCAAGGTCACATGGCTAATAAATGATAGAACTGAGATTCTTCTTCTGACTAAAGTATTTCATCTTTCCGCTTTGCTACTCTTTGTAACTCCTAACCTGGTACTCTTTTCCACACACCACACACTTTGAATCCTAGTCTCAGCCTAGCATACCTGGTAATACCTCCATTTGAGCCTGTGCCCCTCCTTTCATGCCCTCCTCAGTTATGAAACCCTAAAGCCAGGAAAGGGGCATTTCTTATCCTGCCTGCCTCTTCCCACTCCAGCCACCTGGCTTGATGAGCACATGGTCTCACTGTCTTCTGATGGGCTGTTTTGTGAAAGGTGTGAGCTACAGGATAGAATAAGCTCTGTAATTTATTCCTGTCACGGGGAACTTAAATATTAGCTAGATCACAACAGGAAACCAGCCATTCAAAAGTAATACAATCAAAGATGTTTTTCAGTCCAAACATACCTGCAGAAGGGAAAACAATCCCAGCTGTCTTCCAATCTGGAGGAGCCACAGAGTTTTTTGTAGTCCAGGCATGAGTACCTGATGTACTGTCTCCAGGACAAAGGTTTTGGTTTGAACATTAAGCATTCCTAACTTGGTCTCAGTTAAAAGGCAGTAGCACTCCTCCCTAGGAAAGAAGGGTGCTGGGGCACAGTCCTGAAATGAAAAGCAGGCAGGGCACCCCAATGGCAGAACCCAGGAGTGCCTTGGACACCTTCTTCTGTGAACTCACCACCGTTAGGGGATGAGGCCACCAGGAAGGCATCTGACTACTCAGGACCACCTTATCCCAACTGAAATGCAGAAAAGCCGTGCCAAATGAGGGCTGGGAAATGAATGTACATGAAGGATTCCAGCATTGCTGAGAAGTGGATATGAGTGTCCGTTTACAGTTTTAAATGTTTTGTAAGGAATGTAATCAGAATAGGAGTATTGAAACCACCCTATGGATGAGGGACACAGAAATGATAAGGAAGAAATAATGAACTCGCTTTGAATTGTTTTAAAAGGGGGAGGCTGGGCCAGGCATGGTGGCTCACACCTGTAATCTCAGAACTTTGGGTGGCTGAGGCAGGAGAATCACTTGAGGCCAGGAGTTCAAAACCAGCTTGGTCAACATAGTGAGACCCTGTCTCTACAAAATAAAAATTAAAAAATTAGCTGGGTGTGGTGGTACACAACTGTAGTCTCAGCCACTTGGGAAGCTGAGGTGGGAGGATTGCTTGAGCCCAGAAGGTCAAGGATGCAATGAGCTATGATTGTGCCACTGCACTCCAGCCTGGGTGATAGAGTAAGATCCTGTCTCTAAATTAATAAATAAACAAATAGGGGCCAGGCACAGTGGCTTACCCCTGTAATCCCAGCACTTTGGGAGGCTGAGGCAGGTGGATCACTTGAGGTCAGGAGTTCTAGACCAGCCTGGCCAACATGCTGAAATCTTGTCTTTACTGAAAAAATAACAAAAATTAGCCAGGCTTGGTGGTGAGCGCCTATAATCCCAGCTATTTGGGAGGCTGAGGCGGGAGAATCGCTTGAACCTGGGAGGCGGAGGTTGCAATGAGCTGAGATCGAGCCACTGCACTACAGCCTGGGTGACAGAGCAAGACCATGTCTCAAGAAAAAAAAAATAGGAGAGGCTGTTTAAATTAAGATGTATTTCTTATAAGTAATTGAAGCCATGAGTAAGAGTAGCTTAGGTAATTTTGTTATTTACTGTTTCACGGGAACAGGAAATGGGTGATAGGAGGTTTCAAGGCTGGTCCAGCCATGTAACAGTATATTCAAATCCCAAGCTTCTTTTTCCTTTTACCTCTTCCATTATCAGAATCTTGGCTTTTTGGTTCCTCCTTGTGTTTGTTGCCTCGTGGTCACAAGATGGCTGCCACTATTCCAAGGACCATATCCATACAGAACAGTTTGAAGGCAGGGCACAATGAGGTATGCCTGGCAGAGACATTCTTTTCACAAGCCTCACCCTTAGCAAGGAGGAAAAAGTATCCACAAGACTCCGACAGGCATTTCTTTGTTTCATTAGCTAAACTGGGCCATTTGGTCATTTCGAGCTGCAAGGGAGTCTGGGAAGCCAAGTATGTGGCTTTCCCAACTTCTATCATTGGAAGTGGGTAAGGGCTTGGAATGGCTTTAGTAGATAGCTAAGAGTATCTGATATGGAGATAAATAAATGCATGGCCAAAAAAATAAAAATAAAAATTCTTCCCATTGGGCCAAAGAAAAGGTTTTAGAATATACCTACAGTTTTAGTAAAAAGAAAGCTTCCAATATTGAAAAAAACTCCTGTGTATGTGTGCGTATATATATATGTGTGTGTATATATATACACACACACACGTACATATGTGTATATACACACACATATGTACATATATGTATATACACACACATATGTACATATATGTGTGTATATATGTGTATATGTGTGTGTGTGTGTGTATATGTATGTGTGTGTATATATACACCCACACAGGGGGCAGCTTCAAAATTCTGTATTCCTCTGACCCAACTTACCCCAGGGAAAAGTCATGGACATGTACAAAGTTATAGGTATGTGTACATATATGTGTATATATGTATATATACACACACACACATGCACTACTACTATGTCATCCTGCTCTGCCAGGCACTGAGGTCAATTACAGAGTTGGTCTGGAGAAAAGAATGACCCTCTTTCCTTTGAGTTACCCTCTTTATGCTTTGTACCCCGGCAGACAAGATTTTGTGCAACTACTCTTTGAAGCTCTACCTTCAGTTCTACCTGGGAAGGTTAGTATAATGGCATCCATGCTCCATTCACAATCTTTGCCCCATCCCATCACTTAGGGTACACCCACCTCAGTTCTGTCTCCTTCCCCAGAGTTGATTCTCTCTGAGGAGAAACTATGCATAGAAACTTTGGTTGAGCCACCGTTGCAGTTTTCTCCACATACTGAACCATGCCCAAATCCATGGGTAGGGCCTAGTCTCAAACTGAGCTCTGTATTGCAAACAATAACCAGTTTGAATTCTACTCATTGCAAGGAGATGCTTTAAAGACAGAGGGGCAGCAAGTCTGCACCCTCAAGCTATCAATCCAGTTGAGGGGACAGCAGGATGAGATCTACTGGGACCGGGGACTTTTCTGAGCAGTGACATACTGCACTGCTAAAGTTATTTGACTTTGCCATTTGTAGAATGAAATACGAATTGTTCCTTATTAGGGCTTGTGATTTGTTAATTAGCTTTAAAATAAAATGTTCATGATAACAGCGACAAATGATGTTAAACCTACACAGATAATTAAGATAAACGGAATGTCAATTGCTCCTAATGCTGTCAGCAGATTAAAGCTATCTTATTTGTTAAGGAAACACAGGAATATATTTCCCAGCCAACTACAATGCTAAATACTAAGAACACTTAGTAATTTATGCTAAAAATGTGCACAGCCAGTTTGCAAGATGGAACTGAAAACCTATACAATGAAGAAATTGTTAAAGGTGATATAGGAGGAAGCCATTAGCGTGGCCTTAGAAGATTTCTTAATTTTAAGGTCCCTCTAAGCTAATGGAAATGTTCCAGCATAGAGTTGAAATTTTAGTACTAAATAGAAGCTTTGAGATAATAGCTTCAATTATTGAGTGCTTACTCTGTGCTGGGTGCTATTTGAAGTGTTCCACATATTTATACAATACAAGAAGTCCACACTACTGTTCTTCCCATTTCACAGACAATGAACTCCAGGCACAAAGACAACCGATTTGCCAAAGTCACCCAGCCAGCAAGTGGAAAGCCAGGATTTGAACCCCAGCAGTTTGGCTCTAAAGCCTGTGCTCTTCCACATCTCACAGTGCAGAGTCCCGCATCTCAAGGCACTGTCTGTGGGTTGCCAGTGAGTTACCTGGGTTAAGATAGATTTAGGTTTCATAGGATGCAGCATCATCTCATGACCCCCTCTCTCCCAGGAAACCTGCTCTCCAGACCTGATTGTGCAGACACTTGCATCTTGTCCTGACCAGAGATACTGCCCTCCTCACACTGAGAAGGACGACTCCACATACCCAGGGCCAAAGGACCTCATGTGACCCATTCTGGGACAACAGACAGGCGCTAGTGCATCCTGCTCTGTCTCCAGCTCTTCTCAGAATAGGCTGGAGGATTACTGCTGTCTAACATTTCTGACCCTCCCCTCTCCACCCAACTCGTAGATTAGCAAATATCAAAGTCACAGGTATTCGTGACTAGTCCAAGCCACCTGATACTTCGAAAAGATGTGTGGTTTTGTCGGTTGTTTCATAACTGCTTGGGATCCGTTTATGGGAAGAGGCTCTTCCTCTTTCAGTTGGTACCAAAATGAGAGTTTCCCTTTGATATCATCCCCTAGACTTTCATCTTTGTACAGTCAGTCAGGGGAAAATTCCTCCAAGGGCCCCTGCTGTGAGTTTGCCATTCTAAAAGGCCAGGGCTGAACACATATATCTTCCGTGTCCAAAGGTATCTCTCCTACCGAACACCAAGCTCCACTGGAAACAGAATCTTCCGTCTTGAAAATCTGCATCTTCAGTTCCCTCCGTGAAGGAGCGGGCTCTGATCTGAGAAACCAGTGGTTCAAGAGCTCCACCATGAGGAAAGCAGGAAACAAGCCCTCGAGCAAGACATTTCTGTCATTTTCAAAAGCAGGTGCTACCCACAGGAAGGCAAAGGCCAGAGATGGGGAATGGGGACCAGGGGAGCAGCCAGGTCATGGCTCTGGGGCTGTCTGGTGAGGAAAGGGACTTGGCACAGTGTCTCCTGTCCCCTCATCTGCCCCGCCTTTTGCCGCATATTTATACAACACAAGAAGTCCACACTTCTGTTCTTCCCAGTTCACAGATAATTAACTCCGGGCACAAAGACAACTGATTTGCCAAAGTCACCCAGCCAGCAAGTGGAAAGCCAGGATTTGAACCCCAGCAGTTTGGCTGTAAAGCCTGTGCTCTTCCACACCTCACAGCACAGGGTTCCACATCTCGAGGCACCGTCTATGGGTTGCCAGTGAGTTACCTGGGTCACAGAAGATATATGTGCTCAGCCCTGGCCCTTTAGAATGGCTTTCTCCCCACTCCACGCAGGGCACATGGGGGCTACTAACTCTGAGCTCTACATTGGTAGCAGCTGGCAAGACGCTAAAGCTACTCTTCCCTCTTGGAGAATTAGATGCAATTAGGTTTGCTAAATTCTCCCATCAGCCCTGCTCACTAAATTCCTCACTGACTGCAATAGTGTTGCCTCCCAGCTGCTGCAGCGTCTGACCCTCACATCTGCTGGCTTCTCCCCTGGGGCCAGATCACTCCTGCAGCTACCAGCTCTCACCACCCCCACCCCCATCCCAGGCCACCAGCCCTTTGAGATGGGTTGGAACTCTCTGCCAATTAGAGGTGACTGGGGGATTCTGGGGAAAGCATAAGCTTTGGTATCAATTAGAACTGGGACAGAAATCTGGATCTATCTGTATCACTTTAAACAAGGAGCAGAACCTCTCTGAAACTCATCTTGAAAATGAGAGAAATGTTTTATTTCCTTTTCTCATTTATGTGTTGACCCCACTCAGAGGGCAGACATTGTGTCTGTCTTGTCCACGGTTTTATCTCCATTACCTAACACAGTGCCTGGCACTTAGAAGACAATAAATATTTGTGGAGGGAAGGAGGAAAAAAATACTTTCCCTATAGGATTGTTAAGAGCACTAAATGAGATAACATATGTAAGAATCTGAGTTACATGTGCTCTATAAATGATGGATTCTAACCACCAGCTTATTTTGATTACATGACACCAGGCTTCTTGTTTCAGCTAATTATCATTGTCACCTCATCCATTCATTCATTGCAGAAATACTGAGCACCTGCTACAAGTAATGCAGGACAATAAAAACGTAAAGAGCATGGTCCCTACCTTAAAGCGGCTCAGTTACAATTTCAGTATACCATGTGCCACAGCGGTCATAAGTACAGAGAGCCATGAGCACACAGAGACTAGCCAGGAAAGGATGTAGGAGCAGGGAAAAATCTGGAGGTGGAGAAAAACTTCCTATGTTGAACTCTGGTGCCCATTGACAAAGCTGAGTCCCTGGAAATGAGTAGATGATGAATTTTATCACACACAAAAGATATGCTTGGAATAATTTTTTACCAGTCTCTTTCCTCAGAGATGTATCTGGATGTTGCCTTTAGCTGGTTAGACTCTGTCTCTTGGAGAACTGTATGAAGGGCAGTCCAAGTTCTCTGAGACTTTTGGCTCCAACAGATCCAAACCACCAGACAGCAGGAATTAGAAACAGGTGCTACCTATGGTCTGTGTATTAGTCCGTTCTCGCACTGCTATAAAGAAACTGAGACTTGTTAATTTATAAAGAAAAGAGGCTTAACTGACTCACGGTTCCTCAGGCCGTACAGGTAGCATGGCTTGGGAGGCCTCAGGAAACTTTCAATCACAGCAGAAGGTGAAGGGAAAGCAGGCATATCTCACATGGCCGGAGTAGGAGGAAGAGAGCAAAGTGGGAAGTGCTACACACTTTTAAACGATCAGATCTCGTGAGAACTCACTCACTATCATGAGAACAGCAAGGCGGAAGTTGGCCCCCTTGATCCAATCACCTCCCAATAGGCCCCTCCTCTAACACTGGGGATTACAATTCAACATGAGATTCGGGCGGGTCCACAAATCCGAAACATATCAGTCTGGAATTTAAATAAATTGAAGCAAGCATATCTTTATTTGCCACCAATTTATTACCCTAAGTTCTGGGCAAGACTTCTTGGAAAACTCCTCTAAATTTTTTGAGCAGCATCTAACATTTTACACAGTAGACCACGTGATGTGTTCTCAGGTTTCCAAAATTTGTCATATGCAGCCACTGGCCGGACATGCCATTGTGAGTTTCACCTGTACTATTTCTTTTCTTAACGTTTTTAAATTATTTTACTTAAAAAAAAAAAACTATTCAGGATCAGGCGTGGTGGCTCACACCTGTAACTGCAGCACTTTGGGAGGCCGAGGTGGGCAGATCACTTGAGGTCAGGAGTTCGAGACCAGCCTGGCCAACATGGTGAAACCCTGTCTCTACGTGTCTCTACTACAAATACAAAAATTAGCCGGGCATGGTGGCATGTGCCTGTAATCCCAGCTACTTGGGAGGCTGAGGCAGGAGAATCACTTGAACCTGGGAAGCAGAGAGCCGGGATCAGTGAGCCGAGATCACACCACTGCACTCCAGACTGGACGAAAGAGCAAGACTCCATCTCAAAAACAAACAAACAAACAAACTAAACTTTTCAAAGAAGATTTTCCAGATGTAATTAAAAAACAAGTATCAACTGCCCTTGCAGTCCCAATGTCTTCAAACATTATTGCCATTCCAGTCATGAAGTGATGCTCAAACACAATTCTCAGCAAGCCATGCCGCATGACCTTGAGACGGACAAATGAAGCTCTAAATTGACACCTGCCAATGGAGTGTGTTATGGAGGGTGTGTAGCTCAAAGGGATCGTATCCCACCAAAAAATCATCTTGACTTCCACCAGCTAGCAATAGAAATTTGGGTGCACTCAGTGAAAAGATGATGCGATTTAAACCATGATGCCTGGGTTGGGGTCATGCCTCTACCCCTTACTAGTTGTGTGACTTTGGACAGGAACTTAACTTCTCTGAGCTTCAAGTCCCAAATATCATTGTTATCATAATAATAATGATATTATTATGACAGCAATTTCTCATAAAATTGGTGAGCCAATGAAATTATTGCAATGGTATGACTGCAAAATCACCTTGTAAACTCTAAAGTATGCATAAATATTTATTAATTTCCTGAGAAATAAATCTTCCAAGATACAGTGAAGCTTACACTTTTACTGTCAGAACTTGGACATTATCATTATTGATGAGAGACTATAAAGAACATGGCCTTTGACCATTACTCAGACAATTGAGTAGGCGACAGGAGAATGTTTCTCACCCCTTCTTTCTATGATGTGTAAACATGCTAAGCTGGAGAAATGATCAGAGAACAGGAGATGTGGTTGTGAGAGTTGGCACAGGATGCAGAAAGCCCAGATGTACAATGAGTGCTATCCTGCCATAGACACATCACCTAGCAAGGTCCCATAAAACCAGGACAACTCTTTCCTTCACATGGTGGATCTTCACTGCACCTCAACTCAGCCAGTTTTAACAAGTCAGTACCACCCCCAGCTATCTACGGTCGCCTCACCGTAGTCCTGATAGTGCTGTACATGGCCCCATTCCTGACCCAGCCTCACTTGTCTATCCCTCCCAAATGCTGGCCCTGAGCCTTTGGTAACCCCTTCTCCAAAATCAGTCAGTTGGTGCCTTCCTCTGCGGGCCTTATGTTACCTGAAACAGGGCATTGCCCTGGGAACTCTTCCCATGTCGCCTTTGGAAAGAAAGCTTTTATTTTCTCACACCCCATGGACCTCTCAGGTATGTGGGGAAAGTTGAGCTGGGGTCCTCTTTGATCCCCACTGACACCTCCAGACCATGGACACCACATTATTTTGTTACAACCCTGCTCTTTTAAGACTCACAACTCAGCTATACCTCCCTCTCCTACTCCTCATCTTGTCCTGACAGTACCTCTCTTTCACTGAAGAGTTAAACACTTGGCTCTCAGGATCCACCCAAGATGCAAAACCCTGGACTCTCAGCTCCCTGAGGTTCTCATCACCAATGAGCCCACCCACTTCCCCAGCAACAAACCCCAGCCTCCTTCTCCCACACTTACTATGTTCTGAATCACCAATTCTAGCACCTCACTCTGACCACAATCTCCTCCCCTTCCAGAGCACTTGTTCACCTACTCCCCCCACCACAGTTCTTAGACTTAATCAAGACCCCCAAGTTCTCTCACTCATCTACTTTCTCCCAATCCATGAACCTCTTCTCTTCACGTCTCTCTATCCAGCTAAGATTCCGGAGTCCATCATATTACTAGTAGTAGCATTCCTATCAATAGCCTTAACTCTGTTCCTCACCTGCATTTTACCATACATACATACATTTTACCATACATAGAAAAATCCAGGAAAAAACCCATTGTGAATGCAACAATCCAGTTTTTACATATTTGTACCCTAGCAGCAAATGCTGCTAGAGAAAAACCATACACTAAGGCAAACTGAATCTACTAGGCTCTCCATCCTCCACAATTGCTTCTTCACACCTCCCCTCGCTGCCCCTACCCCCACTTCCCAAGGAGGTGACCTTATCATCTCTTTCACAGAGAAATTAAGTCAACAAACAACAAGCTTACAATGTCTCTTCACTAAACTACAGACATACCCCATCACCATCCATCCACCTTCCCTAGCTTCCCTCCTGCTACAATAGAGGAAGTGTCTGAGGTCAAGCCCTCCACCTGTGCTTTCCATCATCCCACCTTCTCAGGAGGCTTACATTACCTTCTCACACCCCTCTTCTTACCTTTGCCAAGATTGTCTTGATGAATTCTTATCTCAAGATTTTTTCTCAGTTGGGCACGGTGGCTCACGCCTGTTATCCCAGCACTTTAGGAGGCCGAGTTGGGCGGATCATGAGGTCAAGAGATAGAGACCATCCTGACCAACATGGTGAAACCCCATCTGTACTAAAAATACAAAAATTCACTGGGCATGGTGGCGAACGCCTGTAGTCCCAGCTACTCGGGAGGCTGAGGCAGGAGAATTGCTTGAATCCGGGAGGTGGAGGTTGCAGTGAGCCGAGATCGCGCCACTGCACTCCAGCCTGGCAACGGAGTGAGACTCTGTCTCAAAAAAAAAAAAGAATTTTTCTCAATCCCAACTCTTATTTTGGGGGTTTACAATCAGCCTGCTTTTTCAGCCTGCAAGGTACTTAATTTTTTGAGTCTGATTTCCTTTTGGTTTTTCTTACAAACTCACTAATTCTTTCCTGAGCTCATCTCTTTCTTGTAATTCTTTGAGGAAAGTACCAATAATTTCCAACACTCTTTGTGACACATCTTCTATATGTCGTCCAGATCCATTTTCCACCCTACGCCTGGAGGCTGATCTGTAAGGACGGCATCAAGCTCCCTTGCCCTCTTGCTCCTAGTTGGTTTTGGCTAATGGGGAGCCACTGAAGGAGATAGGAGGCAAGAGGAACAAGGTGAGAGTATTTATTTTCTGGCTCCTTCTCAGCGAAGTTGCCTTAGGCTTGCTGTCTCGCTCTAAATGAAGATCACATCTTATTCATAATTCTCTCCCTCTGGTTTAACTGCTCCCTCAAGCTTAAGGGAGGAGTTAAGCAGGGGTGGTAACAGCCCTGTAATTAATTGGTAGCCCCATGTACTACACTATTTCCTATGGTTTCCTGTCCATAACTTTCTAAATTGTCCTGTTGCCAAACTTCTTTTGAATTACCCTAACTTGAATTGCCAACTGTTTCTTGCTGAGCCCGATACTCACATAAATACCGATTATTTCCATGTACTTTTTTTTTCTTCCAGGGATCAATTTCTGTTTTAACTAGAATCCCTTTGGTTGAAAATCAAGAAACCTAATTTGACCTACCTTAAGCCGAAAGTGGCATTTGTTACCTTGAAAATGAAACTATGCAAAGAATACAGTTGGACCTCAGAGGAGTTTAGAACTAGGACTCTCTCTAGCTTGTCTTTAGAATAAAAGTGCTTCTCTTTCTTCAGTTTCAATTAGGAAAACCCTAGGTAAGGACCTGGCCCAGTCTGGATCACATGCTTAAGCCTGCGCCCAGACACATTCAGTGCATACTAGCGTATTGGCAGCCCTGGGAGAACCGCATGGTTGGGAATGAGAGCAGCAGTCCCCAGAATTAAATGGCTGTTAGTCCCAGATATTTTCAATCACTCCGATTGTAATGACTCCACAGCAGAAATCACACATAGGAATTCATATCTACTGTTAACTTCTTAGGTTCTAGATTTGGGGCTCTTATATCGTCAAATTTTTCTACTAACTCTGAGAATATCTCTATGTGTGCAAAGTCCACAGAGTAAAATATATGGTCACCTCTTTGGGAAACGGGGGTAGAGGTAGAGAGAGGAGGTGTGAAAAAGCAATTGTGCACAGTGGAGGTCAAGTTTACCAGGAAATTGTAGTAGGATTACCAGATAGTGCTGAGATAGGGTAATCATGAATACGTAGAGAATCCAATTGCCTTGTTGTATGACTTCTTCTCTAGCAGCATTTGGCTGCTGGGGTGCAAATACTGGAAAAACTAAGTTGTTTCATTCAAAACAGACTTGGGGATTTTTCTAAATTTTTCTATGTATGGTAAAAAGCAGATAAGGGACAGAGTTGAGGGTACTGGTATGAGTGCTACTGCTAGTAATATGATGTTTGTGGAATCTCAGCTGGAAACAAAGACATGAAGAGAGGCTTATGGATTGGGAGAAAGATAGGTGAGAGAACTGGGAGTCTCATTTAATGTAAAAACTATGGTTGGGGCGATAGTTGAACAAACAAGTATGTATTTATCTGCAGACACAAATAGTAAGTATATACATTCCTTTATTAGGGTAGCCCTTGCACTTATAAAGAAACCTTCCTCAAAAAGGAAATGTACAAAATGATGAAGATACCATAGTTTATTTCAACATACTAAGCCAAAAAAATAAGAAAACAACTAATTTATTTGAAAAAAAAACAAATTCTGTACATGCAGGCTTGGCTTGATTGACCATAATGTATTTCAGCAAAAAAAATTTAGATACACCACACATAATAAAGCTTTCTATGTACACAGTAAATAGTAAATAACTTTGCTAAATGGCCAGACATTTGAAAAAATGAAAACACAGTTGTAAAACAAAGTATGTAAGAATATTGTGACCTTATTTAACTGTACAAAAAGCAATCATTCTCTCCAGCCTTCCATCTTCACTTACATTTTTTTAAACAAGATTAAGCCCCAAATTGAAGGGATTAAATCCTTTCTTCCTAATGCCTCGGGAATATGAGATTCTCTTTCAAATCTTTAACTTTTTACAAAGGAGCAGAGCACTTAAAGGGAAATGGTGGGAAACAAAGAGATTTCAATTCTGTGCCATTCATCCAGATTCTGCTGGGGAAGATTTCCCAAGTCCACTACCAATTCACTCAACTTGGTTTAAAAACATAATACCTGATTGTAGGATTAATTTGGCTTTTATTTAGCCCATCTGCAGCTTTATCATTAAAAATCAGCTCCTGACATTAGCCCTTAGTTCAGTATCTACAAATGAAATTTGGGAATTCTATGACAGTGATGTTAGCATATTTAAATGTAAAATGCAAAATGATTAATTTTTAAATATGCAAACTGCTACATTTTCTCAATAATCAATTCATGCACAAATAAAAAATGGCAATAGAAAAAGCAGAAAAATATGGATGTTTCTAAATGAGACAATGAGACAATTATAAAAATTTCATGTATTAATATCAAGACAAGGCTGGGGCCAGCTTAGTTGTAAGAAAAACTATTATTGTATATAATTGGACAGCAAAACCCAGTCCTGTCTAAAAGCAATGGATCAAACTGTCTTCTCAAGTCCTTCCTGGCCATATTTCTATGTGATACAATGAAACATTTTTAATAAATGCAATCTATCATAGAACTGCAAGTTTTTATATTCCTAATGAACTTAACTTTATTATAGCAATGATTTAAATACATGTACTGTAAAAAAGAGAAAACAGTTGTAAACACACTCTTAATTTTTTTCTTTATCTGCAAGATAATATTTTTAAAAGATTACACAACTTCTTGATTCTTTAAGAACTAAGAACCAAAGTATTGAACATAATAAATAAATGTGCAACCTGGAGGCCTGGAAAAAGAGATAGAATACCAAATAACAAACCAGTGCATTAAAAATCCAGTATGTCAGTATTAAGACTTCTTCATCCAAATCCAGTTAGGTTTATTGCTATTATAAATAAGCTTCACATTAAGGCATCTGTCATTACCTATGAAAAAGATTTGGATTCAAAACAAAGGAATATACACTGTACAATTTTTTTTCTTTCATTCTGATGTCATTACAGATATTATCAGTTTTAAATGTTAAGTTTTTGTATGGCAATATATAAATATCTTTAAACATATTACCTGAATACAGTTCAAATGTCTCTCTATATTTTGATACTTTAATATATATATTTAAAGTATATTCAATTAATGAGGAAATAGACAAAAGCAAATCAACATAGATGGTAAAGGACTAAATCTGAGACATTACAACCTCTAAAAAAAAATACTGTACAGACAGTGACGATGAGCAGATCTTGGCCAAGTCATTTAACTTCCCTGAGCCTCATTCTTTCCATCTGTAATATTTCAATAACAGTTGCTCTGTCAAGCTGTTTTGAGATCAAATGAGATGATGTAAAAACACTTGGCAAACTGAAGCAATGCAAAAATTAATGGTATTATCATAGGCCAAAAGATCTCAAGTTTCTGACAGTGTATCTAACAAATAAAGTTATGGCCTGCTCCTTTTGCATTCACTTGAGAACTCCCAGTTTTGATTAGATTGTTATGGAAAGAATGGAGCCAAAATTTATGCAAAGAGAAAATCTCTAAGTTTTAGCATCCAGAATTGTATAAAGTACAGTTTGTTGGGAATGGGAAACAACTGCTTGAAGGGGTATACAGAATACCAAATAATAATGTATTAAAAATTCAGTATTTCAGTATTAAGACTTCTTCATCCAAAGACAGGTCTAACTCTAACTAGGCTCAGGCTACCTCTTGATACTTACTAAAAATAAATAGGGGCAGACTTCTCAAAAACCTTGGTTCCCGGCCTTTCATCAGACTCTTCTAGAGAAACCTCCTTTTCCCTCACCATTGGCTATCATGTTGCATAGTCACATTAAAAGAACTATCTCTTATAACAGCTCAAGAGTTTTAAAACCATAAAGAAACACAGCCTAAGTCAATTGCTGGTACACTATTCAGGCTGGTATAAATTTGAAATGATTCAATAATCCCTACCATGTTCTCCCTTTCTCAGTCCATAAGCCCTTCCTCTATGTATAAATGGTTCTCGGCCAGCTTTTTCCAATCTTTGTTCTGAGGAACACTAGCTGGGTGAGATGTTAACAGGTAAAAAACATCTGTGTTAAGTATGTTGGGAATATGCAGGGCGAGATAAATTTATGTACCACTGAACTGCTCAGTCTTTGATGTACTGACTGTACTTGCTAAAGAAGAATGAAGTGTTCAGCATTTCCCAAACTCATCTGACCACAGAATCCCCTTTTTCCCCCAAAAAAATATCTAGAGGAGCTAATAGCTCTTAGAATATTCTTTGGAAAATGCTATTCTAGCCTGATTCTAAACATTCCAGAGCTAAATCTGGCAATAGTTATGTTTTTAATTTCTGAAGAAGAATCATTTTTCTTATAAGGTCAACTACCATGATAACCTCCTGGTTTCCACTCCATAAGTAGGCTTCCCAAAGCAACTAACAACTAAATTTTCTTCACTACATACTAAGGAATTCAAAGAACTTATTCTTGCGTGAATGAGAATTATGTTCTTTTTAAGGAGATACTTATATTCTTCCCCTAAGCATTAAAAATACAAAGATCTAATTCTAGATCCTAGGACCTAGAATCACAATTATTTTAAGGAAATGAGAGTATTTTATTACAACATCATTGCAATTAATATTATCAATGAATGATAATTAGTAGTGGTGCTAACAGTAGTAGTGTTGGTTAAGCATTTATTTTTGCATCCTAATCCTAATATCCACTCTATGAATTTAGGACCTACTATTACTCCCATTTTAAAGATAAGTACACCGAGGTTTACCAAGATTAACTGACTTGCCAAGGGTCACACACTGGAGTAAGGGCAGAACCTTAGACTCATGTCTGACCCCTCGCCCCATGCTCTTAACCACATAATGCCATCTTTTATTTCAGTGACAAGACAAAAGCATTTAGGTCACACTCTTGTTGTTAAACAGGAAAATTATATAAATGCAAATTGTTTAGAATAGGTTTTGGATTTCCTTTTGAGCAAACCCCCAGTCCTTTAAAGGATATACTTAAAATTTTTTTTAAGCAGAGGAAAATAGACTACTATTTACCAATGACAAGTTTATAGAGTTTTAAAACGAGAGGTTTTTTAAAAATCTGCATCCAAGGTGAAGACGTTATCTGTGGTTTCTGCCATAACTGCAAAACGCTGATACTCTGAAACTCGTTTCTCAAAGAAATTTGTTTTTCCTTCTAAAGAAATGTTTTCCATAAAATCAAAAGGATTTTCTGCCTGAAAAACCTAAAAAGGAAAGAAATATTATTAGACATTCTGAAGAGATCAAATTACATCCACAATAAGAGCAAAGATGACCAAAACAGAGGTCAGGTTTCTCAAAACCTATCTAGTCAGCTACAAGATCATATCATTCCCCTAAGACCCTGGAGGTACTCAAGGCTGACAAATTTTAAGATGACCCAAGATCAACCACTAATCTCCTCAAGAAACTGTACTAGCATCTCTGGTATTCTAATAAATAGAAAAAAAAACACAACTATTTCAGGAATTGAAATATTTAATACTAACCAATAGAAAATGTTCTCACAGCTTGAGATATCCAATACACCATGAGCATTTTTCATAGATATTACTATTAGTCAGACATACATGATACTATAAAATGTTAAATTAGCAACAATCCACTGTGGTTCTAAGTATGTTTCTTAGTTTATAAGAGAACAGATAATCAACAAATTGTCATTAAGGGAACATGATCAGGGAAGACAGAATAAATGTTATCCATAGTGACTAGATGTCTCCAAACAAAAAGGGGGACTATGCTAACAAGAAGCTTTTTTACTGCTTCAGAATTCAAGAAACAAGGCCGAGCATGGTGGCTCATGCCTGTAATCTCAGCACTTTGGGAGGCCGAGGTAGGTGGGATCACCTGAAGTCAGGAGTTTGAGACCAGCCTGACTGACATGGTGAAACCCTGTCTCTACTAAAAGTACAAAAATTAGCTGGGCGTGGTAGCAGATGCCTGTAATCCAAGCTACTCAAGAGGCTGAGGCAGGAGAATTGCTTGAACCTGAGAGGCAGAGGTTGCAGTGAGCCAAGATCATGCCATTGCACTGTAGCCTGGGCAACAGAGTAAGACTCCATTTCAAAAAAAAAAGAATTCAAGAAGCAGACTTGGAGATACAGCTTGATGGAAACTGTGGGATATTTCAGTGATTCACAAGGAGTAACAAAAGAGGATTTCTCAATTTAGGAGTATCCCAGCAAAAAATATGAACACTACAGATAAACATATATTCAAGTAACCCAATTTTAAATATGGGCAGAGTGTCTAAATAGACAAACTGATACTTCTTTAAAGAAGATATACAAAATGAAAAGATGCTCAGCATCCTTATCCATTAGAGACATGCAAATCAAGATCACAATGAGATACCACTTCCCACCTACTCGGATGGCTATAATTTTTTAAAAAACAGGTAATAAGTGTTGGTGCGGATGTGGAGAAATTAGAACCCTCATACAGGGTGGGAATATAAAATTGTGCAGCTGCTTTAGAAAACAGTCTGGTAGTTCTTCTAATGATTAAACATGGAGTTACCATATGATCCAGCAATTTCACTCCTAGGTGTATACTTAAGAGATATGAAAACATGTCCACACAAAAATGTGTAAATGAACGTTCATAGTAGCATTATTCACAATAGATCAAAAGAGGAAACAACTTAAATGTCCATCGAATGGATAAATAAAATTTGGTATATCCATACAGTGGAATATTATTTATTTGGTCATATAAAGGAATAAAGCACTGATACATGCTACAACATGAATGCACCATGAAAACACACTAAGGAAAGAAGAGAACCACAAAAGGCCACATATTATATGATTCCATTTGTATGAAATAGAATATGCAGAATAGGCAAATCTACAGACGCAGAATAGGCAAATCTACAGACACAAAAATTAGATTAGTGGTTGCCTAAGGCAAGGTGGGTAAGGGGAGGAAAGAGGAGTGACTGACTGCTAATAGGGATACAGTTTCTTTATGGGGTGATAAAAATGTTCTAAAATAGGTTGTTATGATGGTTGTACAACTCTGTGACTACACTAAAAACTATTGAATTGTACATTTTAAATGGGTGAATTGCATGCTATGTGACTTAATCTTTAAATAAAGCTTTAAATATTTATGTATCTTTTTTCCAAAAACTCATATGCTGGGTGTGGCTGAGTGAAATTCTATGAAATTCTCCATCAGAAATTGTGTGTAAAAAGTGAGGGAATATTGGAGCTGTAATATACAGCAAGATACAGTGAAAGGGCACTGAACCAATAGCCATAGACTCACTAGATGTTAGAACTGAAGACTTTTCAAAAAATTAGATCTAAGTCATTCATGGCATGGACAAAGTAACCAAGACCAAAAAAACAAACTAAATTAAGTGGCTTGTTTTTGGTGGGTTTTTTTTTTGACACAGAGTTTCGGTCTTTTTGCCCAGGCTGGAGTGCAATGGCACAATCTCGGCTCACTGCAACCTCTGCCTCCTGGGTTCAAGCGATTCTCTCGCCTCAGCCTCCCGAGTAGCTAGGATTACAGGCACCCACCACCATGCCCAGCTAATTGTTGTATTTTTAGTAGAGACAGGGTTTCACCATGTTGGCCAGGCTGGTCTTGAACTCCTGACCTCAGGTGATCCACCTGCCTCAGCTTCCCAAAATTTTGGGATTACAGGCATGAGCCACTGTGCCCAGCCTTATTATTATTTTTATTTGTAGAGATAGGGTCTTGCTATATTGCTGAAACTAGTGTGGAACTCCTGGGGTCGAGCAATCCTCCTGCCTTGGCCTCCGAAGTGCTGGGATTATAGGAGTCAGCCACAAGGCCCAGCTCCTACAAGTTTTGATACATAGTAATCATATTGTCATTTACTTTATATTTTCAATTAATTTTTATTTTCATTTTAAATCTCATTTTAAAGGAGATACATGTATATGCAGAGAGAGAGAGAGAGAGAGCGAGAGAGAAAGGGTCTCACTCTGTTGCTCAGGCTGGAGTGCCGTGGCACAATCTCAGCTCACTGCAACCTCTGCCTCCCAGGCTCAAGTGATCCTCCCAGCTCAGCTTCCCAAGTAACTGGGACTACAGGCATGCCACCAGGCCTGGCTAATTTTTTGTAGGATTTCGCCATGTTGCCTAGGCTGGTCTCAAACTCCTAGACTCAAGTGATTCTTCCACCTCAGCCTCCCAGAGTTCTGGGATTAGAGGTGTGAGCCACCGCACCTGGCCTAACGGATATATTTTTAATCTCTAAGTAGATTAAGCTTTTTGGCAATTTTTAAATCAGTTTCTACTTTCATTGCATTAAAAATCTAAGGCCTCTATAATTTCTGCTTTTTAGAATTTACTCAGATATTTTGAAGCCTGTGGAAAAACAAAGTTTTACATTGTGTTTAGACCTTCTCCTGCAGGAGGTGGCATGTTTTACATACCTACAGTTAGCAAGTTCCCAAAAGGAAAATTAGACCCAAGGGTCAGCAGTTTTCTAATAAGCAGCAGAACATGAACGTGTGGATGTGAGGATATGGTAATGGGTTAAAGAATAGCGAATTCACTGTAAGGCTTAAATAAGCAAATTCATTTTCTAATAACAAAAATATTGGTAAAAGTTATGAACAAACACAATTTCTTTTAATATACATAGTTTATAAGTTTAAGAGATTATATTAATATAGTTATAATCTTGATTTCTCATTAATTAGTAAACACAGAGAGGATCTTGCAACTAAAATGTTAAAATGTAGTTTATCTTACCAAAAAAACCTACGCCCCACTTGACTTTTTCATTAAGTACCTGGGTGGTTATCAGAATATAATTCTGCTATATCTGCTAATACAACATTAGCAAGATAGGTAATGATTACCACAGCATCATAGATTTCATAAGGATTCTCATTAAAGATAATTTGAACTTACATTTTCATGACAAGAAATCAAAATCTGTATTTCTAATTACCATGGTATAGTACATAGTGAATTTCTGTGTTTCACTTAAGTACAAAGTGACCATCTAGTGTGAGTTTATTATGTGTCTAATATTATTTTAAGTGCTTTAAGTGTATCAACTCATCAACAATCCTTTGTAGTAAATATTATTACTATCTCTAATTTATAGATGAGGAAACTGAGATAGTTAAGCAACCTGCCAAAGGTCACACAGCTAGAAAGTGGTGGAACCAGGATTCAAACCCAGATAGTGTGGCTGCAGGCTCCATGTCTTAAGTAATGGGAAAACCGCACTGATGAAATTCAGGTACATTATCTCTGATAAATGACAAAAATAACTTGAATAACTCTGTTCAAAGAGTTATATTGTGACAGTTAATGTCTTCCTAATAACTATTCCCTATTTAAAAGTATTAACTCCCAAACCACAATATAGACACATGGCGATTTATATGAGGGTGAATATATATATGCATATTAAACCTAACTCCTTGAAAATAATCCTATTAAATATACAGCTACAATTATTGCAAAATAATTTATTGAGCTTATTAGTTCTAATATTTTACCAGCCTCCTACTTCAGTTATTAATTTTAAATTTCAAAGGATTTTGCAAAACCTTGTTCATACAAAACAAGTCTCTGTCATTGACATTTAAAAAATAGAATAGTATGTTACAAATGCTTTCAGTAAATTATACTTTAGGGTCCTTGCTTTCCTATAATATTTTAACTAGTAGTAACACATTTTTAAACACATTACCTTTGAGAATCCAAGTTCCACAAGTAATCTGTCAGCTACAAACTCAATGTACTGTTTCATCAAAATGCAATTCATTCCAATGAGGCCAACTGGCAAGGCTTCTGTTAAAAACTCCTGGGATGAAAACAAAAACAGAATAAAGTACAAACAAAACTATAAATATGTATTTTCCAAATAGAAAGAGGACTTTCGTTTTATTTCTAAGACTGATTTTGTCCAAGGAAAGTATATTAGGATAAATTCTTTCAATGTGGCAAATGATGTCCGTATATTTAAAAACATTTGGGGTATTAACTATTCACATTTTTTCATGTTTTCGAAGAGCCAAAATAAATGGAAACGAACTACCAAATTACTGGATTTCTTGAAGTAGCAGATATAAGACTCGGATTCGTATGCTTTCTCAATAGAAAAAAAAGATACTTTGTTCTAAAATATCTGGAAAAAGATTCAAAGATGATCATCATGAAGAACATGACTATGGAAGGGAGCTGGGAAAGAAAGAAAAACTCAATTAACAAAGAAAATGAGAAAAAAGAAACAAACAGATTTGGGGGTTGGGAGATAAAATAGCTCCAACCATACTGAAAGACTATATAGTGGTAAAGCGTTAATAGAGGAAAAATAAAAATATATTAACCACTTGGATTTAGTTCTCAAAATGATTAAAGATACCAAAGTACCTGTTATGCCTTTTTCCTCTTTCAATATACAAACTACGCCTGTTAAACTACGCAGTGTTACCAAAACAAAAGCAATTTCAGAATGATAAAAACACATCCTAAGTAGCGCATCTAGCTCTTTCTAGTAAGAAATCCGTACATACCCTAACTTAATTGTTACTTTTCATTAACTTACTTATTCATTCTATAAAAATTTGTGTATGCTTCAAGCTAGGTACCTTGCTACGTTATTAAAAATACAAAACAAATAAAAAATCATCACTGTTCTCCAGTCACTAAAAATGTAAAAAAAAAAGCTACTATAATTAGCTGATCATGGCATAAAATTTGACAGAGATCAATAAGACAGAAAAATAGCCCTGAAACAGGTTTTAGTATACATAAAACCTTAATATATAATAAAGACTGACTTACTAAAGCAAATTGTAAACTGACATAATAATTGTAATATATCATGTATTGGTATTGTCAGGCTGACCAGAATAAAATTGCTGGTATTTTTATTGACCTACAGAATTTCTTATGAGTCAATATAATAGTGGTACAAACATCAGAGAAAGAGAGATGTGCTAATTACACAAACTTCCCGGTTTACCTGCTCAATTTTGACAGCATCAACAATGATCTCCCTGACCCTTTCTTCTGAAGGCTTATTTACTAAGTATTGGAACATCAGGCAAGCAAAGTCACAGTGAAGTCCCTAAAAGGGAAGAAAAATGTCATTGTCAAATAACTTTTAATCAGCTATTTGCATATGGTGATGGGTCAAGCATTGTATAAAGTGGTTCTAGGAATATAACACAGAACTTCTGGAAAATGGAAGAGGGGTTAATAGGACTAGGAACTTCCTTCTTTCAAATCTCATTAAATGCCAATACAATAACCTATAATAAAAATTTTCAATGCCAGCAAATCTTAGTTCATCAACATTATAGAAAAATTAATTTATGAACAAACAAAATCTGCAAATAAAAGCATTTTGGAAAGGAAAATAAAGCAAGAAAGCCTGAAATGAAAATTCATTAATTTTTAAATTTCAAAAATAATTAAGGAATGATTGAAAAATAATTAGTATTTAAATAACAGATGAAACTCAGATTTCAAAAATACATTTATAATTAAATAAGAAAGGCTCAAGATAAAAATGAATTCAGTTCTAATGAAAATGGAAACTGAGGTGGGGCTCGGTGGCTCATGCCTGTAATCTCAGCACTTTGGGAGGTCAAGGTGGGCAGACTGCTTGAGTCCAGGAGTTCAAGACCAGCCTGGGCAACATGGCAAAACCCAATCTCTACAAAAAAAAATAAAAAATAAATAAATAAATAAATAAATAGAAGTAAATAAAAAATACCAATAAATAAATAAGAAAATGGAAACTGAACAATGATGAATATCGCCTGAAGCCATACAAAGCAGATATGATCTTACAGATAACTCAACCAAAAATGAAAATAAACTTGTGAAATACCCGAGTATGGTTATACAAATGCAATAGAATCTTAAGTAATTGGAGAATAGGTGAAGGAGAGTCAACCTACAATAATCAGGACTCCAAAACACAGAATAGATAGTATAGAGCTAAATATTAAAAAAAAAAAAAAAAAAAAAAAGAAAATTTCAAAAATTCAACATGAAAAAAGAGAGAGGTCGGATATAGAAAGATGGAATTCCCAGGCTGGGCATGGTGGCTCATGTCTGTAATACAGCACTTTGGGAGGCTAAGGTGGGCAGATTCCTTGAGTTCAGGAATTCGAGACCAGCCTGGGCAACCTGGCAAAACCCCATCTCTGCAAAAAATACAAAAATTAGTCAGGCATGGTGCACACCTGTAGTCCCAGCTACTCAGGAGGCTGAAGCAGGAAGATTGCTTGAACCTGGGAGGTCAAGGCTGCAGTGAGCTGAGATCACGCCACTGCACTCCAGCCTGGGTGACAGTGAGACTGTTTCAAAAAAAAAAAAGGAAGAAAGAAGAAATTACCATCAAGGCTGAAAGATGTTAAAGTGTTGATGAAAACTGACAGGTAACTTATTACAGAAAGCAATACCAATCAAAATCCCAATGGAATTGGTGTGTGTGTGTTTGTAATTTATTTTAAAAGGCTTTAGAGCAGAAAAGAAAGAAAAGTACACTTCAAAGAGTCCCAAGCGGGCACAGAGGTCAAGTACCTAAATGGGATTGTTTTTAATTCAAAAGTTAATCTGGAAGGCTGGGCACGGGGGCTCATGCCTGTAATCCCAGCACTTTGGGAGGCCAAGTTGGGAAATCACTTGAACCCAGGAGTTCCAGACCAGCCTGGGCAACACAGTGAGACCCTGCGTCTACAAAACTTTTTTAATTAACTGGATGTGGTGGTACATGCATGTAGTTCCAGCTACTTAAGGAGGCTGAGGTGGGAGGACTGCTTGAGCCCAGGAGGTCAAAGCTACAGTGAGCCAGGATCATACCACTTGCACTCAGCCTGGGTGACAGAGAAAGACCCTGTCTCAAAAAAAAAAAAAAAAAAAAAAGAATAGAATAAACGGACAGAATCTTGTAAGAACACTTTCAAAAGAAAAGTTTCGATATTTATCCTACAAATTATTAAAATATATGAAACTATAATAATTAAAATGGTTTGTTATAGAATAAAATCTGATAGGTCAATAAGGAAGTAAAAATAGCCATGAAACCGATTTTAGTCTAATAAAACCTTAATAGATAATAAAGAAGACAGCGCAAGTCAATGAAGAAAGGATGATGGATTACTTAACAAGGCAAATTGGAAAAACTTCCCAAGAGTGTTTAAAATAAAATTAAATTCTAACTTATTCTTTATTATATTTATGCTAAATCCTACTTTACAAATTCCAATTGCATTACAGACTTAAAGGTTAAAAAACCAAGAAAAAAAATGTGTAATTAATTTATCTCTGGAAGTGGATTACATAAAATTTAAGGTTTTGTATGTTAAAAGAACAAAAATTAAAAAGCAAAGGATAAATTGGGAAAATATGTGAAATAAATATAAGCAAATTTGTATTTTATATTATATTTGTGCTATAAATATAACAAATGCTATAAAGGTGTACTTGTTGAAAGGACCCAATCAGTCACTGTACATTGGGAATAAACCAATGAACAAGCAAGCATGACCCCTTCCTTTAAGTATAATAGACTACTGAAGAAATAACCTTAAAATAGTGAGAGCACTCAGAGTTAAATAACAAAAATGTTAATATTGCACCAGTAATAAAGGCAAAAGATAAAAGTAGGCAACTACAGAAAAAATACAAATCACTAATATCATTATGAAAAAAGTGTTCAATCTAAGTAATAATTAAACAATGCAAATAAAACCAATAATGAGATACCAATTAACCCTATCAAATTTGCCAAACATTTAGCAAATTAATCTAAATTCTGGTGAGAGTATGGTAGAAAATGTTCATACATTGCTAGATGGGGCTGAAAATTGTTATAAAATTACTGGAAAAAAAATCTGCAAGTAAGTATGTATGAATGCTTTATAACTTAGTAATTCTACTTTTTGTGATCAAGCTTAGGAAAATAATATAAAGGGAGGACAAAGCTTATATATATGTAAAGGTATTCATTTTATACTATAGTAAAACAAAAAACCTGGAAATAATCTAAATTTCTAATTATAAAAGTCAAATAAATGATTCATTCATTAGATTATACATTTAACAAAACTACTATTTTCAAAAGGTGCTTAATGCCACAGAAAAATGATTGCAGTATTTTGCCAAGTGGAAAAAGAACATCTCAACTCCTAAATATATGAATGATTAAAATATGTTTATATATCTAAATAGAATTAAATGTAGAAAAAAAGTCTATAAAGAAATACTTCAACAAAACAGTAAATGTAGTTCTCTCTGTGTTGAGATTAATTTTTTATTCTCTCAATTCTCTATAACAATCCTATATGACATTTCTAATAAAAGTTATTAAAAATTTAAAGCCATGAAAAAGCAAAAAGTAATTATATGAAGCATTTTATGGCATTTAAAAAAATACTTTCACATACACTATTTCATTGCATTCTAACAAAACGGTTAAGTTTTATAGTTGAAGAAACCAAGGTTCAGAGAAGTTAAGGATTAGTGTAGGCAATAAATGTTAACTGAATGGCTATAATAGCCAAAACATTGAGAACAGAAAGATAAATAAAACAAAGTCCCTGCACTAAGGAGCTTAAAGTCTAGCAGAAGAGAGAAAGAAGAAGTACAATACATGCTATGGACTCCAAGACATGGACAGGTTCAGGTTTCAAATGGATACATAAAGGAAAGAGTGGCCAGTTTCACCTAATTGATCAGGAAAGTTTTGAGATGTCTCTTCTGAGAAGGTAATCCAAAAAGGTTTAAAAAAAAAAAAAGGGGTGGTAAGAAAGATGGAAAGGGTAGAAAGGGTATAGCAGGCAGAGGGAGACCAGGCTTACTTACTGATCGGATGTGGCTGAAAAAGAAGAAGCAATCTAAAATGATTCCTAAATTTAAATTAGATGATTGGAAAAGAAGGATAGAGACACTCAATGAAATAGGAAAAACAGAAGGAACAACAAATTTTTGGAGAAAGATGATGAGTTTGATTTCTGAAATAACAGGTTTGAGATACCTGGGGGAACTTAAAGGAGAAAATGTCTAACATGCACTAGCATACATGGGTTTGGCACTTAGGAAAGAATATCTGGGACAAAGGGTAGGTTTTCGGAGTTATGAGCATTTAGATGGTAGCTGATTCCATTACAGTAAACAAGATCAGCCAGGAGGGCATATATAGTGAAGGAGCAAGGCCAGTGCGGGAACCTAGGAGGACACTGATATTAAGAATGACCAGGAGACCGAGGAGAAATGGTAAGAGACACAGGAGGAAAATGCAGTGTCTTAAAAGCAAGATGACGTGACTTCCTATTTTAATTACCAGGATACTCATGTCACCACAGCATTTTTCAGGAGAAAGAAAAATAAATAGGCTGGGTACAGTAATTCATGCCTGTAATCCCAGCACTTTGGAAGGCTGAGGCAGGCAGATCGCTTGAGGCCAGGAGTTCAAGACCAGCCTGGGCAACGTGGTGAAGCCCTGTCTCTAAAAAAACTAAAGATACCAAAATTAGGCCAGGTGTAGTGGTATATGCCTGCTGTCCCAGCAACAATGGAGGCTGAGATGGGAGGAATGCTTGAGCCCAGGGAAGTCGAGGCTGCAGCAAGCCATGATCGTGCCACTGTATGCCAGCCTGGGTGACAGAGTGAGATCCTGTCTCAAAAAAAAAAAAAAAAAGATGGAAAAGAAAAATAGATGAACATCAAATATGAATACAAATATAACTAGAAAAACATTCCATTCCTTACTTCATCTCTGCTGATGAGTTCATTGGAAAAAGTGAGTCCTGGCATAAGACCTCTCTTCTTTAGCCAGAATATAGCAGCAAAAGATCCTGAGAAGAAAACTCCTTCTACAGCAGCAAAGGCCACCACTCTTTCCCCTGGGAGACATAAAATCGTTTCAATTTTTGAAATATACTGCAAACATTTGCATATATATATATACACATATATAACAATAAATACCACAACTGTTTGCAAAGAAACAAAATACACAAGTTAGTGCCATGGCCAAAGATCTCCATAGGAGAAAATGCGCCACCTCTACCTACTGGAGCAGAAAGGTATGCCTCCTTCAAATCCTCTGTCAGACGATGGACTTCTGTAGGTCTTGGCGTTGGACAAAGAAGGACCTTCCATACTCAAAACAAGAGGTGATTTACGTGTGCACCACACATGACTATGAGTGCAGGTACATGCACATGTGTGCAGTATGTATACATATGTGTGTGTGTGTACTGGAGAGTAGAAGGTAGACTTTATGACAAGTGTCTTCCTCTGAAAGGAGGAGAGGTTGCTTAAGTTTATATTTTTAGAAACCTATGGTATCTTACAGACCATCTGCAAACATTTCAAAAACCACTGGCGTGTATCTGCAATTTAAAAAAAATAGATAAACCCAACTGAGGATAATAAATATATCTATTAGATAAAATGTCCCCATAACATAAGCAAAAATACTGTTTTCTGCTAAATACAAAATGGCCAATTTTAAAGGTTACTCATTGTTAGGCAAGGACTTCGTAGAAATCCATCTCCTATTAATAAATTGTCTACAGTGGCATCATATCTGTAACATTATGCAGGATGATCAGAGCTGTAACCCAAAAGGTCATTCACAAGGTGCTTATGTCACCACACTGCATATGCCTGAGAAAAGTATTTATATATGTCTAAGGAAAAAGGTTTGGTCTATAAGACGGTGAGATACAGGCAGCTGAGTGCTTGAGTGCACTACAAACCGTTTTCATAGGTGACATCACGGTTTATACCTCAGTACATGTCACAGGACCACACCCAAAGAAGTCACTTAATAAACAAGTCCTGAACTGACTCAATGGAACCTATATAAGTACTAGATGAGAGAAGACATTAAAATCCATTCTAGGCCAAGTGCTGCAGTGGCTCACATCTGTAATACCAGCACTTTGGTAGACCGAGGAAGGAGGATCACTTGAATGCAGGAGTTAGAGACCAGCCTGGGCAACATAGCAAAACCCCATCTCTACAAAAAATTTAAAAATTAGCTGGGTGTGGTGGTGCGCACCTGTAGTCACAGCTACCTGGGAGGTTGATGTGGGAGGAATGCTTGAGCCCAGGAGGTCAAGGCTGCAGTGCGCTATGATCACACCACTGCACTCCAGCTGGGCGACAGAGTGAGCCCATCTCAAAAATCATCATCATCATCACTATTCTTAAGATGAGGCTTGTCATTAGTTTAACATATAACTTACTGTATCTTTTATCTTACTATTAAGATAACTTATTGATACGTTTTTAATTGACATTAAGGTAACATCATAAGGATAATTATCTGTCAGGAAAGTAGACTATAATTAAATACAAACGTGAATAAAAGAAAAATTGATATTTTAATTTTTGTTAGAGACAGTATGGGGTCTTGCTCTTGTCACCCAGGCTGTAGTGCAATGGTGCATTAATAATTCAAACAGTCTCAAACTCCTGGGCTCAAACAATGCTCCCACCTTAGCCTCTGACGTAGCTGGGACTACAGGCGTGCGTCACCATGCCTGGCTAATTTTTTTATTTCTTTAGAGCTAAGGTCTCTCTACGTTGCCCTGGCTGGTTTGAACTTCTGGCTCAAGCCATCCTCTCATCTCAGCCTCACAAGTAGCTGGGATTATAGGCACAAGCCACTGTGCCTAGTGGAAAATTGGTATTGTAACCATGCTATACATTAATGTGAATACTAAAGAATGAAAATCATAACATAGTTATAGAAGGCTATTCTTTTTTGGAGAAGATTAAAGGATTATAAGTGGTACATTTTACAATTTTTTGAGAACATATGTGAAATAAAAAGAGGGTTCCGGAACATTTCTCCTAAAAACTATAGTGAATGTAAAGGCCTCATGATTCATTTTAGAGAGGGGAAAGTCGGATACATTTTTAAGATACAGCTGACCTCTATGATGGCAATGTACTAAGATTGTGTAGCTAATATTTTTTGAGGCTTGAAATGAAATTTCATTACATATATTAAGTTTTAATCTGTATATTTGTTTTGAAGTTATTTAAAGATATTTTAAAAATTAAACAGGATGTCTCAATTTTTAAAAATCTATGCAGATATATAATTAGGAAAATTTTTGCTCTATAGGAATTGAATCTCCTTATAACATAAACTTCCAAGCTAATAATTTTTAAAGAAATATTCTTAGTTTCTCTTTAGCTAAAAATAAAGGCTTATAAGAGTCTGGATATAAGGAAAGAATAGTTGCTACGCTGGATCTTAGTGCAAAAGGCACTAAGAAGGTCACCAAAAATGTTAGGCAAAACCCTAAGCCAGGTGAAAGAGCTGCCCTTTTCAACTTAGAGCTACTAATGGTGCAGGTAGCCAAATCAGTTCATGAAACAGCACTTCCTCAGCTGGTTAAAGGAAAGTAGCAGTGTGCAGCAAAGCAAGGCAATATTTCCATGTTACTGTCTTTTAGCTCCACTCCCAAAAAGGAGAGCCACCAATGCACTCTTCACTCTTTCCTCTTTCCCTGTTCCACTCTACACCCATTCAACTCCCCTCCACAATTTTAGAACATGTTCTTTCCTCTGAGACCCTATATTAGAACCTGAAATGGAGTTTCCCTTGAGATTAAGCAATATGGAGAATCTAGCTGGAGTCCTCATGTAGTTACATGGTGACTGCCAGCCTTCTCTGTGTTCTCTATTTCTAGGTTGTCCTTCTTGGGTAGTTCATGAAATACATGCTTTCCGTGGGCCTGCTCATCATTTTTCATCACTACCTACCCATACTAATATTTTCAGCGTATATGGAACACTCTGCCTCTTCCCTTCTTTTTTCTCTAAAGCCAGCATTTCCCAAAGTGTTTCTGAAGCTCCTTGTGAGGGAATCAGCTGAATACAAAATGCAGATTCCTCAGTCCCACCTGGGCCTCCTACATCAGTTTTGGCAGGATTCTTAAAAGTTTTTCCACAAATTCTCCAGATGACTTTTACATATATTGAGAACCAGTGATTTTCTCATTCCTATTTAAATTTTTTTTTTTTTTTTAGAGTCTGGGTCTTGCTCTGTCACCCAGGCTGCAGCACAGTGGATCATAGCTCACTGTAGCCTCAAACACCTGGGCTTAAGTGGTCCTCCTCTCTCAGCCTCCCAAGTAGCAGGGTATACAGGTGCATGCCACCACACCTGGCTAGTTTTTAAATTTGTTGTAGAGATGGGGGCCTTGCTTTGTTGCCCAGACTGGTCTTCAACTGCTGGCCTCAAGTGATCACCTGTCTCAGTCTTCCAAAGCACTGGGATTACAGGCGTGAGCCACCATGCCTGGCTGCTTTTCTCATTCTTGAAATGAACTGAAGGCAAGGAGGCAAACATATCTGCTTCATCCCTGGTATACTACATGCTGGCCCATATACGCACTATATCACTGGTTCTTCAGTGTGGTCCAAGAGTCCCTGAGAGATCCACAGACCCAGGAGACCTGTGAGGTCAAAACTATTTTCATAATAACATTAAGGCATTATTTTTTTTTAACTACCAGTCTCTCATACTTTACAATGGTATTTTCTAGAGGCTACATGACATATCCGTAATAATCTGAAAAGCTAAATAAAATATTCCTCCCTTTTCTAACTATAATACATATTTAAATGAGGCATATACTATATACATATACACTGCAACAAATCGAATGCAAAGGCAGATATGGTACTCCAACTGTTTCCTATTAAGTCAGACATTTAAAAGAGTTACAGAAATTTAAAAGCATGCTATTCTTTTTTTTGGAAAATATAGAAACTTATATAAAAGTGTTATCTGTATTAAAATATAATGGGTTGATTATTGCTATCTTAGAATGCACTAATAAATATTTTTAAATTATCTCAATGTTAATTTCTAATGCAAAAATAACAATACCCATAACCTACCCAAATAAAGGCACTTTGGAGTGCTCAATAATTTTTAAGAGTACAAAGGGGCCTGAGACCAAAAATTTTGAGACTTGCTTCCTCACATAAAGAATAAAACCAGAAAGTAAAGAACACCAATTAAAAATAGATAAGAATGAGATGGGTACTTAGAGCTATCCAAATGAAATATATAAATATTTTAATTAAATTTAGTAAGTATTTATTGAGCAACTACTATGTATAAGACATAATATGATACACTTCCTTAAAAAAATGCTATGGGATCTCAACTCAGCCAGAAGGGTGTTTGCATTTAGCTTACCTATGAAAAATAAGCCTGTTATTACAAATTGGTTTTGTCCTAGTTGATTACACTAATCTTTAGTTTTTGAGAAACTAGATATTTGTTTCCTGAAAAATGTTAAGATTTCACTTGCTTTAAATTTCTAAAATAGGCCAGGCACAGTGGCTCATGCCTGCAGTCCCAGCACTTTGGGAGGCCAAGGTGGGCGGGTCACCTGAGATCAAGAGTTCAAGACTAGTCTGGCCAACATGGCAAAACCCCCATCTCTATTAAAAAATACAAAAATAAGCTGAGCGTGGTGGTAGGTGCCTGTAATCCCAGCTACTCAGGAGGCTGAGGCAGGGAGAATTGCTTGAACTTGGAAGGCAGCAGTTGCAGTGAGCCAGGATCACGCCACCACACTCCAGCCTAGGTGACAGAGCGAGACTCCGTCTCAAAAAAAAAAAAAAAAAAAAAAATTCCTAAAATAAACTTAAAAGCCAGATACAAACTGTGAATTGCTATAATACTCTTGTTATTGCTATGTGACTGACTCCTGTTTAACTGTAATTATGCACTAACATCTTAACTTTTCAACTTCCAACTTATTAAGTAGAATAGGTAACAGCTTTATCACCACTTTCTAATTAATTATTAGGAATAATGATTTTGGTAAAGGTGCATTTGAGACATTTGTACTCCTTTTCCATGCTGTAACTTTGATTCGTACTGGATAGTCACACCACATAAAATACTGTCATATCACCTTAGGCAAATCTGATCATACATAAATTAGAGCCACATACCAAAAGTAGATTTTCTATCTGCTATCCATCGCAAGGCCCAATCTGCTTTTTTCTTAACATAGGGCATGGTTTCAATTGCATTAAATAAAAATTCCCTGTAAAAACAAAAGAATGAACAGCAAAGTTATTCACTTGTTTTTCTTTTTTTTTTTTTGAGACAGAGTCTCGCTCTGTTGCCCAGGCTGGAGTGCAGTGGCACGATCTCGGCTCACTGCAAGCTCCACCTCCCGGGTTCATGCCATTCTCCTGCCTCAGCCTCCCGAGTAGCTAGGACGACAGGTGCCCGCCACCACGCCCGGCTAGTATTTTTAGTAGAGACGTGGTTTCACTGTGTTAGCCAGGATGGTCTCAATCTCCTGACCTCGTGATCCACCTGCTTCGGCCTCCCAAGGTGCTGGGATTACAGCCATGAGCCACCATGCCTTGGCCTCACTTGTTTTTCTTAATTGGACTAAA
Organism: Homo sapiens; assembly: GCF_000001405.40. Classification (NCBI taxonomy): domain Eukaryota; kingdom Metazoa; phylum Chordata; class Mammalia; order Primates; family Hominidae; genus Homo; species Homo sapiens. Next base: position 102,224,502 of record NC_000008.11, read on the forward strand.
CTTAATCAGAGATAATAATTGTAACTCTACGGTATGCTACCAGATCTGTAGTTTTTATACATTTTTACATGTCCATAGAACAGAAATAAAACTCAAATTATTGGTTTGAATCTGGTCTCATACAAAACCAGCTAAATTTGAGTATTCAATTTCTAAACAGAAGATGCTACTGAACAGTTCTTAAAGATAAAATATCTAAAGGTTAACTGGTTCTATAACAAGTTTTTTTTAAAACCCAATACATTATTAAGCAATAGAAAATATTATGCTCAGAAACTTCCATACTTGAATAATCTTTCCTTAACATTGAGTTTTGGAATAAATTCTGATCTGAACATAACCAAGCCGTAAGCAATATTTTGTAAATAAAATCCCAACAATACCTTTTCTTGGGATCTCTGATGTAAGTGTCTATCAGCAAACTGTACATCTCTGAGTGAACATTCTCGATGAGAATTTGAAAGCCATAGAAACAGCGAGCCTCTGGAACCTGCACCTCCTGACTAAAGCGCTCCACCTAAGAAGATAAGGAAAATAGATATATCCAGTTCTATAGGCTCTCATTAAACACTGCAAATCAGAATCTGGACATCAGCATTATCGCTTAAAAACTGCCTGTCATGTAACAAACAGGTCAGAAAGACCTTATGGATTATTTTAAGCAGTATCCTAGGCAGTACTGTTTATCCATCAATTCTCCATGGTAAATTATTTGCATAGTATATTCTTTTTTTTTTTTTTTTTTTTTTTTGAGATGGAGTCTCGATCTGTCACCAGGCTGGAGTACAGTGGCGCCATCTTGGCTCACTGCAACCTCTGCCTCCCAGGTTCAAGAAATTCTCCTGCTTCAGCCTCCCAAATAGCTGGGGCTACAGGCATGCGCCAACACGCCCAGCTAATTTTTGTATTTTTAGTAGAAATGGGTTTTCACCATGTTGGCCAGGATGGTCTCAATCTCTTGACCTCGTGATCCGCCCACCTCAGCCTCCCAAAGTGCTGGGATTACAGGTATGAGCCACCGTACCCGGCCTATCTTTCTAATTCTTTTTAAAAAGAAATTATGCCTCCTGATCAACCATAATCAAGTTTTAAAATGGGGAGCCAGAATCCAGTGTTCTATTACAGAGCTCCAAAGGTTAAGGTGCAGGTTCTCTATTAAGCTTACTATCTGAGAGTAAAAATCAAACTCATGTTAATGCACTGTAAATAGTTTTGATTCATATCATTTATGCTTGATTTAATAATAGTTTGCTGGTCAAAGGATAAGCAATTCATCAGAAAAACATTTAAAGAGTTAAGCTTCATCTAGTTCATTTTTTAGACATCTTGTCTTTGGCTGAATTTAATAATCTTACTGACATTATCATCATTTAACTGCTAAAGGAGAACAAAAGTTAAATCAAGCAAAAATCTTACCAAATTTTCATTTACAATTCCATCACTGGCTGCAAAAAAGGCTAAGATGTGAGAGATGAAGTACTTCTCATCTGCTTTAAGCTTGTTCCAGTGAGGGAGATCCTTTGATAAGTCGACCTGGAATAAAAAGATTTTCAAAAATTTTAATTTGGAGTTAAGTTCTTCTCAAAGTGTTTGGGAAACTAACTTCTATTGTTAAGTAGGAATATCCCACTACCAGTAAACTATGGAAAAAGAAAGATGTTAGCACTGCAAAGAAATAAAAAAAAAAGTTATGTTAACAAGTGTATTATATTCAGGATTTTTGTTAAATGAGTAGATTACAGCTATTCTTGGTGGGGGGGTGAACAGCTAAACTATGTGAGGCAAAGGAAATATTAATTTGTTACATAATGGGTAACCATTTTATTATATATATATATATATAACATCATGTCATACACCTTAAACATACACAATAAAATTTATCTTTAAAAAATTAAGATGGAATCGAATTTTCTGGCTAATTAAGAAGCTGGCCAGGATGTACTTTAAAAATATTCAAATTAACATAATCTAGTGGCACTGAAGCAAATGAAAGAAGGGCTAAAAGGGGAGGGGGGAGAGTAAAAACTAGTCAAGAAGGCACTGAAGTAAATAAACTAATGAATCTCAACAGTCACTGCTTTAACATTTTATATAATATGTGCTATGGTGTTAGATAATTAGGCACCTATTAACCAACTGTAGCTGCTACTTTACTGCCAGGTAATCAGTCTACTTTTACATCCAGAAGTAATGCCAGGCAGGTAACAACCTGAGTTTTGTTTTGTTTTGAGATGAAGTCTCGCTCTGTCGCCAGGCTAGAGTGCAGTGGCATGATCTTGGCTCACTGCAACCTTCGCCTCCCAGGTTCAAGCAATCCTCCTGCCTCAGCCTCCCGAGTAGCTGGGACTACAGGCAGGCGCCACCATGCCCAGCTAATTATTTGTATTTTTTAGTAGAGACGGAGTTTCACCATGTTGGCCAGGATGGTCTCAATCTCTTGACCTCATGATCTGTTTGCCTCGGCCTCCCAAAGTGCTGGGATTACAGGCACGAGCCACCACAGCTGGCCTTGTTTTGTTTTTTTAAAGAGATGGGGTCTCACTATGTTGCCCAGGCTGGTCTCAATCTCCTGGCCTCAAGCAATCCTCCTACCTCAGCCTCTCAAAGTGTTGGGATTACAGGTGTGAGCCATCACAGGTGGCCAACAACCCAGTTTTTTTTTTAAAGCAGTTTATACATAGGTATGGCTTCCATTGGGAATGGAAATATTTTTGAAAATGTTCATTAGAATTAGTCTTTGGAATTAAGGGAGACGTACTTTAGAATTTGGTGAAACCTACAATTTAAAAATTGTTTATTTTTTTAATTTTTGAGATGGGGTTTCACTCCGTCACCCAGTCTGGAGTGCGGTGGCACAATCTCAGCTCACTACAGTCTCTGCCTCCTAGGCTCAAGCAATCCTCCCACCTCAGCCTCCAGAGGCACAGGTGGGACCACAGGCACACAAAACCATGCCTGGCTAATTTTTTGTATTTTTGGTAGTGACAGGGTTTTGCCATATTGCCCAGGCTGGTTTTGAACTCCTGAGCTCAAGTGATCTGCCCGCCTCAACCTCCCAAAGTGCTGGGAGTACAGGCCTGAGCCACTGCACCCAGCCAAAAATTGTCTTTAAATGTACCTTCCCTTAGTCAGTTCTGGGGGCTATAACAAATTACCATTGACTGGGTTGCTTAAACAGCATACTTTTATTTTTCTTTTTGAACATTTCTGGAAGCTGAAAGCCCAAGATCAGGATGTCAGCATGGTTGGGTTATTGGTGAAGGCCCTCTTACTGATTTACAGATGGCCACCTTCTTGCTGTATCCTGACATAGCAGAGAGAGAGAGATCATATCTCTCATGTCTCTTAAGGGCACTAATCCTATTCATGAGGGCTCCACCCACATGACCTAATTACCTCCCAAGGCTCCACCTCCAAATACCATCACACAGCATATATAGACATCATTTTGATAGGGACAGGAGGCAGGGAAATTCTGGGCAGAAGAAGATGGTCCCCAGCGAGGACTCCACCCTCAATCCTGGAACTGCAGCCCAAAGTGACATGTATTCCTGTTTTCCCACTATAATGTTGCCCTTTCCAAAACCACCCATGGCCCCACTCCCCTACCCTGTGCCCATAAAAACCCCAGGCTCTACCAGCAGAGAAGAGGAGAGGAGAAGAGGAGAAGCAGCTGGATGTCAGAGACTACGGTTGGATGTCGGAGAGAAGCAGCTTAACTTCAGAGGGACAGCTTGACAGCATTCCTTTGGAGAGGAGTCAGCTGGGGACGGCCAGACAGACTCCAGGAGAAGATTATTTTTCCACTCCATCCCCTTTCCAGCTCCTCTTCCCACTGAGAGCCACTTTCATTGGCAACAAAATCCTCTGTATTCACCACCCTTCGATTTGTTCATGTGATCTGATTTTTCCTGGATGCTGAACAAGAGCGTGGGTGCCACAGGTGTGGATGCTAAAAGCTGTCACACTGACCCTCTGCCCTCACTGGTGGAGACCAACTGCCCCATGTGAAAAGGCAGAGGGCCCACTGAGCCGTTAAAACTTAAGCCATCTGCGGACAGCAAAAGCTAAAAGAGAGTTAACTATAACACATTCCTTCTGGGGCTTCAAGGGTTGTGGGTACTCCTCACAGATGCTGCCATGAGGCCTGCATGGAGTTTTGCTCCTGCCGGTGCCCAAAAGAATTCACCCAAGCTCCTGCACCTGCTCACCTGCATGCTCCCTCCCTCAAGGGGCTGAGCGCAATGGGTTCAAGTGAGTGGAGTTTGCCCCTGCCAGCGCCAAAGCAGCCAGCTAGCTCCAGCATGCGCATTCCAGTTCCCACCCACGAAGGGATCGGAGAAACTATCCTGCTTCAATTTTGTCAGAAAAAATCTTTTAAATATTTTTCATAATTAACTTCATGAACAGTTGAAATATGTAATTGTCTTTGTCTTTTGCCTTTCTTTTATTTACTCTAACAAACCCTCGGCTGGGCACGGTAGCTCACGCCTGTAATCCCAGCACTTTGGGAGGCCAAGGTGAGTGGATCATGAGGTCAAGAGATTGAGACCAACCTGGTCAACATAGTGAAACCCTGTCTCTACTAAAAATACAAAATTAGCTAGGCATGGTGGCGCATGCCTGTAGTCCCAGCTACTTGGGAGGCTGAGGCAGGAGAATCGCTTGAACCCAGGAGGAGGAGGTTGCAGTGAGCCAAGATCGTGCCATTGCACTCCAGCCTGGCAACAGAGTGCAACTCTGTCTCAAAAACAAAACAACAACAACAACAAAAAAAAAAAAACCCACAAAGCCTCAAGCCTCAATCTCTTTGACCTTTCCAAAAAGGACTAATGTCCCAATCTTTTAATCACATGCTATTTTCCAAATCCTTTTTCCCACTAATTTATTCTTTAAGTGTTTGCTGAGCACTTACTGCACACCTGACACCGTGCTAAGCACTGGGGATACAACGGAGCAGGGTGGAGGAAATATTTGTCTTCATCTTTTAAAATATGCAACCTAAAAATCAAGTTCTGTTCTATTAAAAGCTCAACTCAGGTTTAACTGAAGGACATCTTCTTCATTCATATATATTATAACCCCTCAGGTTTTTTTTCGGAGACAGTCTCACTCTGTTGCCCAGGCTGGAATACAGTGGCATGATCTGGGCTCACTGCAGCCTCTGCTACCTGGGCTCAAGCGATTCTCCTGCCTCAACCTCCTGAGTAGCTGGGATTACAGGCACCTGCTGCCACGCCTGGCTAATTTTTGTATTTTTACTAGAGACAGGGTTTTACCATGTTGTCCAGGTTGGTCTCAAACTCCTGACCTCAAGTGATCTGCCCACTTTAGCCTCCCAAAGTGCTTGGATTACAGGTGTGAGCCACCATGCTCGACCTCTTATATATTATATATTTGATATTAAATGTTAATATTGTAAGATGCTTCCTCTTAAATATTAAAATTATTTCTTTGAACACTCAGTTTCAAAGGTCTTCTAAATTTTATTTACACTACATTGGAAATATTCCCTTCCTGCCTAGCTTTTTCTTATTTGAGCAAATTCTCAATTTCATCATTTAAATACTGATTCCAAACTAGACAATTATCATAACTGCCTGAGTGGCTTTAAAGAAAAAAGTCCCAAACCCCAGACTTTTGTCTTTTGATCAGGGTTTCTGTTGATCAGCCATATTTAAGAATTAAGCTCAACCATTTAAGCTGACTAAATGGTAACTTACATAATTTGTAAATGAAAAATATGTGGAACTAAAAATGTGTTTGATTTATCTTCAAAATATGTATTTGAATCGTCCTATAATTAGCTACAGAACACGTACCAACCTGTAGATTTCAGTTTTTAAAAATTAGTGTTGCTTTGTTACAGGTCACATATTACCTTTGCTAAAAGATGCAAGTTAATTTCCAAATGAATTTCAAGAATCCTAAGAATCCTAAGTACCTTTTTAACATAATGAACGAAAAAGCCACCTGCGTATTCCACTCGTTCTCTGAACCGTATCTAACAAAAAACCTTTCTAAAAACCACAGACAGTTAGGGACAGTCAGGTGTGTCAAGCATTATGACCACGTATGAAAATATTGGGTGTTTGTTTTTGTGTGGTTTGGTTTTTTGCTCTATATGTCAACTATAATATAACAAAGATGTTGACAATATAACACTACAATATAACAAAGATGGGTAAGTGGGTAAAATTAGTGTAATAGAAGCTTCAAACACTGGTGCCTTCTGATTTCTAGGTTAAATTTTCCCCCTTCTGTGCATAAAATAATAGTTTACATTTATTTAGTGCCTACTAAGTGTCAACTACCATTTTAAATATCTCATAAATCCTCATAACAACACAAATAGCCAAGTACAATTAGCCTAATTTACTGATGAGGATACACAGAGAGGTTATGTAACTTTCCCAGTTCCATAGCTAGTAAGTAGTGGCACAGGATTTGTACCTAGGCAGTCTGACCCCATAGCCTGCATTCTTAACAGCATGTGTTTAACATTTATAGAATTAATGTCTTGAAAAATAGATTCAAATCTATCTATCCAAATAGATACATCTATCTATAGAGATACATATACAAACATATACAGAACAAGAGTGCTGTATAGGTATCACCCATTATATTTAAAGATCAAGACAATAACTATTTGTTCAGTTAGACTACAGGGCAATCATTTTCATGACCACTGTCCTTACCAACCAGCAAATATTTTCTAGTTTGCTGTGTTCAACTGATCTCCCAGGTGGAATTAACAAAAAGCTTTCTACAGCTGATCTATTAGTGGCAACTCTGTCACGTTTGATGTAGCTGAGGGCAGGGCCAAACTGGGAGCAGCACTGTGAGTTCCACCTGGCTGACTCGGGAGTGAGTCCACAGCCTAGAGGATCAAACTCTTCATGCAGCGGCTCATTTTGTACAATCAGATAAATCTCTCAATTGAAAGCAGAGTTGCTACAGCTTTCACTCATTTTTTGACTACAGCTGCAATTTTACTTATTCTGCTGACCTTGTAAGACTAGTCAGACAAGTCTTACTTGGCCATATCAAACTAAAAGTCTGTTTAAAAATAGAAAATGTTGGCTGGGCGTGGTGGCTCATGCCTGTAATCCCAGCACTTTGGGAGGCTGAGGCAGGTGGATCACAAGGTCAGGAGTTTGAGACCAGCCTGGCCAATGTGGTGAAACCCCATCTCTACTAAAAATACAAAAATTAGCTGGGCGTGGTGGCTGGCGCCTGTAATCCCAACTACTCAGGAAGCTGAGGCAGGAGAATCGCTTGAACCCGGGAGGTGGAGTTTGCAGTGAGCTGAGATCGCGCCACTGCACTCTAGCCTGGGTGACAGAGTGAGACTCTGTCTCAAAAAAAAAAAAAAAAAAGAAAAAGAAAAAAAATGTTCTAATATATTGGAAATAAAAATCTGGCAGAATTAGATGCCATTGTTGCAGCAGAAAACTTGTTTATAGATAGTAATCTAAACTAAAACATTGAGAACATCATATTTAGTCTCAGTAATTCCAACACTTATCTTCTACAACTGATCTTCTTCAATGTATAAGTTAAAGTTATTCAATATCCTGTAAAACAAGAAGGAACACTGCACTATAGGATGTGAATGCTCTTGGAGGCAATGCCACGTACCTCTTCTGCTGTCCAGAAGGAAGCCTGTGCCTGTTTATACATTTTCCAAATATCAGGGTACTGGATTGGAAAGATGACAAACCGGCGAGAACTCTTTCTTAGGAGTGGCTCTTCATTTGACTTTATTTCACTTTCGTTGGTGTCTGAAGATGATCTCTTTGAAAAATAAAGTACAAACACGCCTTTTATATAGACATTTCTTCTTTATTCATACCTAAACATACATCTAAGGAAGTCAGGGAGACGGCATTGGTTTGAGAGCCTGTCTGCCTGGGTTGAATCCTTACTGTTACCTGGTAGCTGACTAATACTGTTAGGAAGTGCGTGTGTGACCATAGAAAGCTGCTTAACTTCTCTAACCCTCAGTCTCCTCAGCTGTAAAATAATTCCTACCTCATAGGTTTATTCTGATGATTAAAAGTGCTTTAAACAAAGCCTGGTATATAGTAAGCACTCAAAAATTATTGTAATTATTGCTAGTTTGAGGATAAGTACAAAGCTAGACCCATAAATGTCATCATGATGGGCAAATTTCTAAGTTTGTGAACAAAATGTCCCTTTAGAGCCTCTCTGATAAGATTGCTGGAATGAATAAGCTACTGGTATAAGCTACTTTAATGTTTTTTCTTTCTACTCTTCACTGAAATAATATAATACTTATCTGAAAACTCATTACCTACAACTTAACCTTTGTTCATCTTAGCCTTCTGATACTCCAATTTGTTACTGCTATTTACATTCTAACATTACTGCATATGATCTCACTGTGGGCTGTCTCAAAGCTTTGTGAATAAAGTGAGAAACACATACCTGTATTCACACTGCTTCAAAACACGATGGCACTCTAAGAGCAAATGGTGCCATGCATATATTTTTAAAATAGCGGGAACATCAGAAGAGAATCAGAAGAGTCGCACATGTGTGAGAATGAGTATAAACAAAGGACATACAAATAAGCTAAACGTGTATAAACCAGGATTAGAACACATACAACTTCTAGACTCCTATCCAAAACTGTCTCTCTCTCTACTGTGACAGGCCCGTTATGTTCCTTACTCCAGCGTCCACCCATTGTCACCTCGCCAAAGCAACTGTTATAGCAGAGGAGGCTAAGGCTTAGCAAGAAGAAAGCCCAAAATACAAGCATACGGCTATGCAAATACAGGGGGGCTTGCGTGCTTTATACCTACTGCCATCACAGTACAGATGGTCTTGATTTTAACTACTTGTTTAAAGGTATGGGCCTCCTCAGATACAGCACTTGAGCCCTGGAGAAGAGGAACCAATTTTTATTTGTTGTGATGTTCCCAGAGCTTAGTATCGTGTCAAGCATGTTAGCTAAGTAAATGGGCTGCTAATTTCTCTTCTTCCTGTACTCAGATTTCTAGGTACCTTTAGAAAATTTTAATTTAACATAGGACCACAATACATCAGTGAGACAACCCAATAACCATTAAAATCAATCACATTTTCCCCTCTTCACATCACCCCAAAGGTCTGGGTTAGGTTCCAGATATAAGTACATAGCTCACTGCAATTTAATTCCCTGTTAATTGTCTCTAATTTCCTGTGCTTCTTGAAAGTAAAATCCATTTTCACCCTTGTAGAATCCCTTGTGCTTAGCACAGTACCTGGCACTTAGTTGGTACTCATTCCACAAATATTTGAGCAATTTTTTTTTAAGACTGGGTCTTGCTCCGTCACCCAGGCTAGAGTGCATAGATCAGAGTAGTGTGATCATAGATCACTGCAGTCTCAAACTCCTGTGCTCAAGCAATCCTCCTGTCTCAGCCTCCCAAGTAGCTAGGACTATGTGCACACGTCACCACACCTGGATAATTTTTAAATTTTTTGTAGAGATGGGGGTCATGCTATGTTGCCCCGGCTGGTCTCAAACTCCTGGCCTTTGTTATTTTTATTACTGAAATTTGGGATATACTCAAAGTATGAAAGTTGGGAACTTCTATACTTTTGTTACTGGAAGTTGGGAAGGACATCACAAGCAGTCACTCTTCAGCACCAAATGCCCTGACGATGAATGAAGTTTTTAAATGATGATAAATAACTGATCTGCTGAAGACTAGTACCTTTAAGTTAGAATGAAAGTCACATTTGTATACACATTCTCCTGTTCTATCCTGATAACCTGTAGACTATTAAGAGGAGTAGCTGGATTAGGAGTGTATTATGAGGGATTTTGCAATGTGAAGAGAAGGAGGTTAACCAACATCAACCTTTGAGCTGGGCTAGAGATGACGTATTATTTCATAATGCTTAGAAACGTGCACAAACATACATTTGAATACAATTTCAGAAAGTTCATGCATCTTGAAACTCTAGGCTCTCCACAGTACCCTCTGTGGACCTAATCTAAGAACCCATATTTTAGAAGAAAAAAAAAATGTGAAAAAAGATATGATGGGCAGGGCGCGGTGGCTCACGCCTGTAATCCCAGCACTTTGGGAGGCCGAGGCGGGCGGATCATAAGGTCAAGAGATCGAGACCATCCTGGCCAACATGGTGAAACCCTGTCACTACTAAAAATACAAAAATTAGCTGGGTGTGGTGGCGCGTACCTGTAGTCCCAGCTACTCGGGAGGCTGAGGCAGGAGAATCACTTGAACCCAGAAGGCAGAGATTGCAGTGAGCTGAGATCACGCCACTGCACTCAGGCCTGGTGACAGAGCAAGACTCCATCTCAAAAAACAAAACAAAACAAAAAGAAATATATGGGTGCATGAGAGAGCAGCCTACTAGACATAGAAATTTCAAAGCTCATGGGTATCTATATTTTTACAGGGTTAATAAAAGAGCAAAATTGGTTAGTAGTAATCTGATTTTTAAAAAATTTTGGAGGTTAAAGTGGTCTGCTTTGATATAAAACACTTTGGCATCTAATAACTCTAAGATGTATGCTATTGGGAGCCACTGAAGGTTTTTAATAAGGCAAATAACATAATCAGATATATCTTTTAAGATCGCTTTTCTAGAAACATTGCTAGATTAGAAGAGAAATTAGAGGCAGAAAGAACAATGAAAAGATTATTGTACTACCCATCTCTTGCCTGAACTAGAAACACACACAAAAATTGATTTAAGTGATATTCAGAAGTAGAATGAATTATTCTTCCTAAAAATTTGAATTTGGGACAAGGGGCAAGAACAGTTAAAGATGCCCTTGATGTTTCCAGCTCCAGTAACTGGGTGATAACAAGATCTAAAAGGCACACACAAGGTGCTCAGTACCTGGAGAATAAATAAATAAATCAGACAAAAATTTTGCTTCTCACATTAGATGTTTAACGGAAGTTTAATTTAACTCCTCCCACCAAGCCAGGCGACAACAACAAAGTTACAAACACAATATCCTCACAAAGTCAACTAGGTCATTAGAAGAGATAATGAATTCAGGCCCGGCGTGGTGCCTCACGCCTGTAATCCCAGCACTTTCGGAGGCCGAGGCGGGCGGATCACAAGGTCAAGAGATTGAGACCATCCTGGCCAACATGGTGAAACCCCGTCTCTACTAAAAATACAAAAATTAGCCGGGCGTGGTGGCGTACGCCTGTACTCCCAACTACTCGGGAGGCTGAGGCAGGAGAATCACTTGAACCCAAGAGGCAGAGGTTGCAGTGAGCCGAGATTGTGCCACTGTATGTACTCCAGCCTGGTGACAGAGTGAGACTCCGTCTCAAAAAAAAAAGAATAGAAAAGATAATGAATTCAGTTTCAAGATGTCCAGTAAGCAGTTAAAAATATAACACTGCAGAACACGAGTGATGGAGATCCCATTAGTGGTTGCCAAGGGAATGGATGTGATTATCCAGAGAGAACATATAGAGCAGCAAGACAACTGAGGATACAGTCTTAGAGAATGCTGATATTTAAAGGGCAGATGAAAGAAGAGAAGCCAGCTGAGATTAAAACAGGCTGAAATGGATGCAGGACAAGGAAAAGCAAAAGTAGGAATGATGTGATTTGGCTAAAGCAAAGGATCTAGACTCTTAAGATAAATCAGACTAAGAGGTTAGGAATCAATTTTGTGGCCAAAGATCTTCAAACATCGGAGGTCTAGAAGGCTCATACTCCAATTCTCCCCATTTGCCCCCAACCCCAGGTGCTGGCGTTCATAGCAGGGTACAGTTTGAAAATCTGTACCCCACAGATTTGGGGGTACAAATAGTCATGGAGAGTTTCTGAATGGGAATTAACATGAATAGAGGTGGCATTAGGAAGACTAATCAGAAAACCACGTATAGGATTAATTGATAAAAAACTAGATTTTGCAAGCAACTAAGGAACCAATTTCAAAGATGGAAATGAGGACTTGAATTAAGATGTGGCAGTTAGCATGAAAAAAGCAGCTTCAACAAGACTTCACCAGCCTGAGGTGTTGGCCAGGCTTTTTGGTAGGAATTGAGACTCTTTTGGGAGTTTTTTGGGGGACACAGGGTCAGTGACACTGAGGCACTGGTCTAATGAAGGATTAACTTGGCAATGGTAATTAGGATTGAATGGCAGGTAAGATAGGAGATAGAGAAACAACAAAATTATTATAGCCGCACAGGTGTAAAGTGATGAGAATTTGAAATAAAGTTTAGCAGTAGGCATTCCTTAGTGACATTCTGCTGTTTTTTCCAGAATGGTACTTCCAGTTTCCGACTGACTCAATTTCTGGTCACCCAGTTGGAAGACATGCCTGGGCATGTCAGGACAACAATTTAGGTCAAGATTTCCCAGCAAGCACTTACGATGCCCCAATCTAGGCTGGCATCATACCAGGCTCTTACCTCCTATCCAGCCCCAATTCCACCACTTCCGTTTCTTTGCCTTTATGTCTCTTCTACTTCTGTAAAATAGCTGTATGTTGTCATAGTCATACACTACTTGTAAGTATTATTTTCACTTCTATTCCCACAAAGTCTGACGGAACCAATGGGATACCCGCCCAGGTGCAAGAACTTGGTTTTAAATTTAGCTCCTCTACTGAGTCCTGGGCATGCCATTTAATGTTTTCTGGCCTAAACTTTACCTTGACAATAGACTATGAATTAGATTAGCAATAGTTAACTCTGAGAAATTGACAATAACTATGGACCCCTTTCTCAGAAGATTCACATCTGCACATACAAAATCTACATATCACTTCAGGAGATTTATAAAGCCCCTTCTAGTCTATCTATGGACCCTTTAAGACAGTGGGGGGTTTTTTGTTTTTGTTTTAATATGTGTACCAGGATCACCTGAAGTACTTGTTAAAAATGCAGATCTCAAGAGATTTTGATTCACTATGTTTGGGGTGTTGGTCCAGCAATTTACATTTTTTACAAAATACTCCAAGTGACTCTGATGCAGGTCTCCTATTATGCACTCTGGCATCTAGAAAAACAAAGTGCTTCAGGCAACCCAGCATCTCAAGTTAAAAACTTTTGGACCACTAAAATTCATTCTGAATCTAAAATTCTGTCTGTCCTTGCGGGTCTGTATCATTGAGATAGGAGTAATAAATAAAATGTAATATCCAGGTGTTAAGCCTGAATCACTGCTGGTGCCATTAGCATAAACAGCAGTCTGAATTTTCCCCTTTGAGTAGGGAAGTTGGTACTAAACGCATTTGTTTCAAAACAGGAAGAAAAAGCTTGAGGGATATTTACAGTTAGTTACTAAATGCTTACAAAAATCAAGTTAAATAAAATAAAATCTCAAACCTGGAATCTACAACTTTCTAAAGAAATGTAGGGCCAAGCATGAATCTCTTGGGGTGGAAACGTTTGTTTCCCCCAAATCTTCACAGTATTAAATCAAAGATACCACAGCAACAGGTTCCAGTAGTACAAAAAGCATTTCTCTTGTCCACAAAGGGCTTAGAAGTATTTGCAAAATGACAGTGTTTGAAAATTATACAGCAACAGTTTAAACTACCATACAATCCTACAGTCTAACAAATTCTGGTTTATTTATTTTAGGTACTTTTATCAGCATAAACAACTTGGATGAACAACTTGGGCTTATTAAGCACCTACAATTTTCGTGGCACTTTGCATAAAGCATTTTACTTAATTCTCTCTGAAGTATCACTTCCATTGTATAAAGGAAGAAAGTGACACCCCGAAGATTCAGTTAGTTAAGGAGCCGGGCCTGAGCAAAACTGGCCTCCTACCCTGATTTTTTCACTGGGAGGAGGTCATGAGGATTTCGTGTCCCCTTCTACCTGTCATCTTCACCCCAGCCACCTGTGTCAATTTCCACACGCGTTCTCCAACTCCTTGTCACCATCCCAAATGGTATGCACCTCTCCAGCAGAGCCGCCACAGTCCTCTTTCCTTGCCTCGGTTTCCCTGGCCAGGGCTCCAAAACAGGGAAGGAGGGTGGGAGAGCGTGAGGCGGATAAACGCAGGGGTAAGTCTCACCCCGGCCTGAGGCCTCCAAGCGTCGTCCTTGGCTGGCCCCGGGGCAGAGCAGCGAGCGGGACGCAAACCCAAAGTCAGCTCCTTCCTCCGCCCTCCCCGGGGACGGCCTCCCCGGCGCTCGCAACGACGAAGCCAGGCTGCGGCGAGGGCGGGCGGACAGGCCTGTCCTGACCGCGGCGAATAACATTTCCTACAGCGGTCCTGCAACTTGCAATCTAACGGGCTGGCGTGACTGCGGTGAGGGGGAAGACGCAACAGCAACATTTACCTCATCCTGATCCAGCCCGGCCGCTTCCGGCCTTTCCGGGTCGCCCATCGCGCAGACTCCGCCGAAGCTACGGGCGCTGAGGGAACTGAGCTCCTCAGGCCACCTCCAACTACGACAGCACCCAGGTGGTCCGCTGGTCCGCTGGGTCCGCCCCGCCCCCAGCTCTAGGGACTCGGCCGGCCCCGCCCCGCCGCGCCGGTCCTGCTTTCTCGCCTGTCCATTGAGTGACTCTCCCTGCGCCGGCCCGGCCCCGCCTCCCCCGCCTCGGGGCTCCGCCTAACTTCGGCCAGCCCCGCCTCCCCGCCTGCGGCCTAAGGGTTTCTCCCCGCCTCGGCCGACCCGCCTCCCCTACTGCGGCCTAAGGGATCCTCCCCGCCTCGGCCTGCCCTGCCTCCCAGCCTGTGGCCTAAGGGATTATCCCTGTCTCGGCAAGCCCCGCCTGCCTTGGGGCACCGCCTACCTCTGCCAGCCACGCCTCCCCTGCCTCGGGGCTCCGCCTACCCCGGCCAGCCCCATTTCCCCGCCTGCGGCCTAAGGAAATCTCCCTGCTTCCGCTGGCCCCGCCTTACTCTGTTGCACCGCCCAGTCGCCCGGCTTTCCACTGAGGGACGCCCCCTGCTCTGGACTGCTTAGCCTACTCCAGCTGGCCCCACCTCACCTCATCGGCCCCGCCTCCTCCGCTCGCCCACTCCGGGCGCCCACTCCTGAGGAGCTATCCCAGAGTCCGCGCGGCCTCGCCTTCCCGGCCCGCTCACCACCCCGCCTCGTCCCACCTCGCCTCGCCCTCCCCGGGCTCTAGCCACTTGGTGCGGCAGGTGTCCTGCAGGCCGGCTCGAGATTCCCGAGCTCGCCCTCGTGGTGTTCCAGGAACACGGTACTTTGCGCTAGCCTGGCCTGTCCTGAGAGACTGCGGGAGGCGAAGAGAACGCGCTGTTGCTGTGGGAAGCGCCGGGGACGGGACAGCTACACCGCCAAACACTTCGCTAGGGAAAGGGCTGGCTGGTTTCGTGCGTAAACAACCGAAAAGGGGAAGTGTCTGGGGGAAAGTGTGTGTGTGTGTGTGTGAATGCGGGTGAGTGAGGGGGAGAGGGACACGTTACTAAAGTCAGGCAAATATTTTGAAAAAAATATATTTTGAAAAAAATAGTTTGGTCTAACAAAAATAAAATGGAAGAGAGATTTGTTTAAGTAGTTTGAAGCTGAAAGATTGACGGGATCTTGCCATGACCTGAACAGCATGCACCTGTTTTGTGGCTGGCTGAAGGATGGTAAATAGGATCAAGATCTCACTTTAAGCGTTGAAAATGCTGAAAGCCCTTTCTCAAACCTGCCATAGCGTAGGGGTAGACAGTCTTTCTTAAAGCAACTACTAGGGGTCAAATGCTGAGTGAAATTTTTTTCATCTGTGAACTTTAAATAATAGCCACATACATTCTGCTAGGCAACTGAGTCTCAATTTACTATAGGCCACGTGGCAAATAATCAGATTCAATTAAAGTCATCAAACAATAATTGTGTGTCGGGCATCACGTTTAGGTATTCAAGATACAAACATGAATGAGTTTGGTGAAAAAGTCATATCATCATGGGCATGAATTCTAGTTCCCTCACTTATTAGCTATGCTACCTTGGGTCAATTAACCTCTCTGAGACTCAGCTTTCTCATCTACAGGATAAGAATAATAATCCCTTCCTCATAAGGTTGTTGTGTGAATTTAATAATATATTACTTGTAAAACACTTATTGGGGTGGGAAATTACCTTGATGCAATGGTAGCTTCCACGTACGAGTCAGGCCATCCCAGAGGGTCATGGAACTCAGATGGCTGAGTTCAAAAGGCTCAGATCAAATTGAGATGCCTGAGTCACACAGTTTATTAAATCAATTTATTTTCATTTTAAATAAGTTTATTCAAACAAGACATTTGACTTGAAAGGAAAACTAGGATTTTTTTTTAAGAGTAATGTGTCATTACTGAAAGATTGCCTTACATGTAATAGCCACGTACAAAGAGTTATAAAATTGTCTTGGCTAGGCCGGCACGGTGGCTCACGCCTGTAATCCCAGCACTTTGGGAGGCCAAGGCGGGTGGATCACCTGAGGCCAGGAGTTCGAGACCAGCCTAACCAACATGGCAAAACCCGTCTCTACTAAAAATACAAAAATTAGCCGGGCGTGTTGGCGCATGCCTATAATTCTAGCTACTTGAGAGGCTGAGGCAGGAGAATAGCTTGAATCCTGGAGGCAGAGGTTACAGTGAGCTGAGATTGTGCCATTGCACTCCTGCCTTGATGACAAGAGCAAAACTCAGTCTCAAAAAAAAAAAAAGAATTGTCCTTGGCTTTACAATCATAAACAAAATACATTACAATTCTTCAACTGAAGAAGATATGCAAAAACTGTTATGGTGTTTTGTTTTGTGTGTGGGGTTTTTTTGGTTAAAACAGAGCAAAATAACGAACTGGAATATAAAGATAAGACCTGAATGAGCATGGCATTAATGGAGAAGGGAGTCTTCACAAAACCATATTTCTCCGCCCATCCTATCTTCATTTGATGCGGATCAAAAGATA
Source organism: Homo sapiens (assembly GCF_000001405.40). Taxonomy (NCBI): domain Eukaryota; kingdom Metazoa; phylum Chordata; class Mammalia; order Primates; family Hominidae; genus Homo; species Homo sapiens. The sequence continues at coordinate 102,241,401 of NC_000008.11, forward strand.
ACATTGGGGCCAGGCGCAGTGGCTCACGCCTGTAATCCCAGCACTTTGGGAGGCCAAGGCGGGTGGGTCACCTGAGGTCGGGAGTTCGAGACCAGCCTGACCAACATGGAGAAACCCCATCTCTACTAAAAAAATACAAAATTAGCCGGGCACGGTGGCGCATGCCTGTAATCCCAGCTACTCGGAAGGCTGAGGCAGGAGAATCACTTGAACCCGGGAGACGGAGGTTGTGGTGAGCCAAGATCGCGCCACTGCACTCCAGCCTGGGCAACAAGAGCAACACCCCGTCTCAAAAAAAAAAAAAAAAAATTGACCATTTGGTTAAAAAATGCAATACGCTTTTATGCATTATAACTATGGCATATACAATATGCCATAAAGACTATATGAAGATGTAGAATTCTGTTACTCCTAGAGATCTTGCAGTTACACATTTAATTGTTTACATAGTTACATTGTAACTAATATATACATATAATAAAGTAATGGGGAAGAGGAAAATGATAGAGAAAACTATACTGTAGTAGTCAGGGTGTGATGGAACCAAATCGCAGTTTTCTAATTGAAAATGCATTCTTGGTCCGTAAGAACAGAGTTCTGTAATAAAGTAGCAGGCTCCATTTTTAGTCAAAACCTCCTGTCCTTGGAACACATTAATTGTATCTTTAGCCTCCATCTTCAACTTTACAGGTGTGTCTATTTCATTGATTGGTTGCACATGAAGTCTAGAATCTGATCAACCTCATTGCCTAACCCTGTTCACAATAGGCTTTCATTAATTTACTAAGTGGTATACACCTTTTTTTTTTTTTTTTTAAGACGGAGTCTCATTCTGTCACCCAGGCTGGAGTGCAGTGGCGGGATCTCGGCTCACTGCAGCCTCTGTCTCCCAGGTTCAAGTGATTCTCCTGCCTCAGCTTCCCGAGTAACTGGGATTACAAGCACCTGCCACCACACCTGGCTAATTCTTGTATTTTTTTTTAGTGGAGACGGGGTTTCACCATGTTGGCCAGGCTGGTCTCGAGCTCCTGACCTCAGGTGATCCGCCCACCTTGGCCTCCTAAAGTGCTGGGATTACAAGTGTGAGCCACTGCGCCCGGCTGGAATATGCCTTTTAATCTTAAACTGCACCACAGACCCATTCTGCCCTGCCACCTTCAAATTAATAGGATTGTTGTTCTCAATCTTGCCTCCTTCTTTGGGCTTTCTGTCAGCCAGAGTCTTCTTAGCTGCCACTTCACAAAACAGGTGCCAGTTCTGTGCCAAACAAGCACACAAGCTGTACCCTATTAAATCATTTTAAAACATAACAGCAAGGGGAAAGAGATTGAGTGGACTAACATATTTTGGTTAGGATGTGGGGAGGGGAGAGAGTGGAAGGATTATACCATCTGAATCTTAATGTTACTGTTCGTGTACTGTTTGATGCATCAGACTTCCTTGCTGGTGGTGTAGTTATGAGGACCATAGTGAGGATGAGCAAGACTGCTCAGCAGGTAGAAGGTGGAGCCAGCACACACTTTTCTTTTGGAGAACTGCTGGAACCTGACTCCAGCTATAACTGCATTTATAACCAGTTATAATTAACCTACTGAGCAGCTATGGATGGTATCTGTGTTTCTTGGACAGAGCACGTGTGGGGCCAGAGTGGATCTCACCAGTGAGTGGCTGGTTTAGGGATAACATAGTTGTCAGTCTGGCAGTAACATGATCATTACCTTATGAATATTTAAGATTTATTTGGGGCTGGGCACCGTGTCCCACGCCTGTAATCCCAGCACTTTGGGAGGCCGAGGTGGGCAGATCACCTGAGGTCGGGAGTGCGAGACCAGCCTGACCAACGTGGAGAAACCCTGTCTCTACTAAAAATAAAAAATTAGCCAGGCGTGGTGGTGCAAGCGTGTAATCCCAGCTACTCGGGAGGCTGAGGCAGAACAATCGCTTGAACCTGGGAGGCGGAAGTTGTGGTGAGCTGAGATTGTGCCACTGCCCTCCAGCCTGGGCAACAAGAGCGAAACTCCGTCTCAAAAAAAAAAATTTACTTGGTCCTTCTAGCCCTTTTAATCTAAAAGTGGAACTCTCATGTGTTCCATTATTTTTGTGTATGTTCAATACATATATGTTCCATTCATCCTATTTTTAACATGCCTCACAGTGTAATTATTTATTATTTATACTTAATACATCTTACAAATTTCATTATGTCTAACAAGCCATTTGCTCCCATACTTAGTTTCTCTCAATTTCTGTGGCAGAATTGAATATTCTTAAATGACACAGCAAAAACATCACAGTACTCAGAATAGTGTAGGCAGTGTGAGTTTCCCCCAGGATGTTCAAAGTTATTGGAAGAGCAAATGGAAAAAAATAACACGCGTAACTGAAAGATCTCAAGGAGTAAGAGGATTCTGCATCTTCATATGGACTTTATGGCATATTGTATTTTCCAAAAATGGCCACAACAATATTTCTGGTACCATATGCTGTTCCAGAACTTGGATACACCTCCCCTTAAAAGGTGGTGTCTAATGCACTTCCCTTTGCATATAGGCCATCAATATTAACTTTTGTTTGTTTGTTTGTTTGTTTGTTTGTTTGAGACAGAGTCTCGCTCGGGCACCAGGCTGGAGTGCAGTGGCACGGTCTCGGCTTACTACAACCTCCGCCTTCCGGATTCAAGTGATTCTGCTGCCTCAGCCTCCCGAATAGCTGGGATTACAGGCGAGTACCACCACATCCAGCTAATTTTTTTAATTTTTAGTAGAGACGGGGTTTCACCGTGTTAGCAAGGATCATCTTGATCTCTTGACCTCGTGATTCACCTGCCTCGGCCTCCCAAAGTGCTGACATTACAGGCGTGAGCCACGGCACCCGGCTATTAATACTAACTTCTAACAAATAGGATACAGTCAAGTGCCATGTAACATTTTGGTCAATGATAGACCCCATATATGGTGGTGGTCCTATAAGATTATAATGGAGCTGAAAAGTTCCTATCATAGTGACGTTATAGTCATAGCACAACACATTACTCATGTGTTTGTGTTGATGCTACTGTAAACAAATCTGCCAGTGTGTAAAGTATAGCTTATATAATTATGTACACTACATAATACTTGATAGTGATAATCTATATTACTGATTTATGTATTTACTATAGTTATCATTATTTTAGTGTATACTCCTTCTAATTATATATATAAAAAAATCAGTAACTGTAAAATAGCTTCAGGCAGGTCCTTCAGGAGGTATTCCAGAAGAAGGTATGGCTATCATAGGAAATGACAGCTTCATGTATTTATTGCCCCTGGAGACCTTCCAGTGGGACAAGATGTGGAGGTGGAAAACAGTAATATTGATGATCCTGACCCTGTGTAGGCACAGACTAATGCATGTGTGTGTCTTAGTTTTTAACAAAAAAAGTTCAAAAAGTAAATTATTTTAAAAAATAGGAAAGAGTTTATAGAATAAGAATATAAAGAAAGAAAATTTTGTGCAGCTATGCACTGTTTTAAGCTAAGTGTTATTACAAAAGAGTCAAAAAGCTTTAAAAATTTAAAACGTTTTTGAAATACAGTTACAGTAAGGTAAGGCTAATTTATTGAAGAAAGAAAAATATTTTTCATAAGTTTCTTGTAGCCTAAGTATGCAGTATTTATGGCATCTACAGTAGTGTGTAGTAATACTCTAAACCTTCACATTCACTCACTGACTGACTCACTTAAAGCAACTTCCAGTCCTGCAATCTCCATTCATGGTAACTGCCCTATACAAGTGTGCCTTTTTAAAAAAACCTTTTATATCATATTTTTACTGTACCTTTTCTATGTTTAGATACACAAATACAATTGTGTTTCAGTTGCCTACAATATTCAGTACAGTAACATGCTGTACAAGTTTGTAGCTTAGGAGCAATACCACATACAGCCTAGGTGTATAGTAGGCATTACCATCTAGGTTTGTGTAAATACACTCTATGATGTTTGCACAACAATGAAATAATCTAATGACACATTTCTCAGAACATATTCCTGTTGTTAAGTGATGCATGACTTTTAAGCCTCATTCATTAAGGACACTACAGATAGCTTTGGTGTTGTCTCTCTTTTGGGCACTTTCCTTGGGAGCTTAGGTACCATGCTAAAGGAAGCCAAAAACTAGCTCACACAGAGAGACTACATGGGAAGTCCACATGGAAAGCAACTGAAGCACCAGCCAACAGCTAGCATCAACCTCCAGATGTGTGAATGAATGAGCCTTCAGAGGAATCCAACTCCTAGCTGTCATGCCTTCCAGTTGAAAACCCCAGAAATTATGGAGCAGGAAAAACACCATCTTGGGTTCTGTGCAAATTCCTAACCCACAGAATCCACGAGCCTAACAAATGGTTGTTTTAAGCCACCAATTTTGGGATAATTTGTTATGCAGCCATAGTAACTGGTCCAGCATCCATTCCACTTAGAGATTTGTGTGGTGATCGCCTAGGAAGACAAGCTAGCCTTTTGTATAGAAAATATGTAATTTCAAGCTATTGCTGTCTTATTGTATGTCATTTACTGGGTAAATCCTCATTTCTCAAACTTGATGTCTCAACACCCCTGCCCTTTTTTTTTTTTTTTTTTGAGACAGAGTCTTGACTCTGTCGCCCAGGCTGGAGTGCAGTGACATGATCTCGGCTCACTGCTGTCTCTGCATCCCAGGTACAAGGGGTTCTCCTGCCTCAGCCTCCTGAGTAGCTGAGCCTACAGGCACACACCACCATGTCCAGCTAATTTTTGTATTTTTGTAGAGATGGAGTTTCACCATGTTGGCCATGCTGGTCTCAAATTCTTGACCTCAAGTGATCCGCCTGCCCTGGCCTCCCAAAGTGCTGGGATTACAGGTGTGAGCCACCGTGCCTGGCCTCAACCCCTTTTAAATAAAAAAATTTTCACAGCCACTTTGATATTGACTTAAACTACATATGTATTGTTACTTAAGTATGTACAAACCTAAGACCAGTAATAAACTCCTTATTCTTGGAGCTTTACACAACTAAAAGTAGATCTATAAATTAAATACAAACAAGACTATAGAAATGGTAAAATTCCAGTTTACAACCAAAAGCAATGGATGATGATGTTGCTTTGCTGAAACTATATTGCATCAGTGTGAATTTTATAGTGACCATTAATGAAGCATGTTTTTTTGCATCGTAGCCATGGGATAACTTTTTCTACAACTCTTTTTATCAGTTGCCTTTCATAAGGAACAAATGTGTCATTTACATATTTAATTCCATTCTTTAAGTTTTTATGTATTATTTGACATCAGTGCCATCATAAATGGTCAACCAGGTAATTCAAGATACTGCATATATATATTAAGAATCAAAATAAGATGCTTGTGGAAAATTGGCAGATCCTGAACCCTAGTTTGAAAATCACTAAACAGGTCTATATTTAATGAGCCATTCATTTATAATTCAGGAAGGCCTCCAGTGTGAAGGAAGGTGAAAATTTTGGAATTAGATTGGTTTAGAGCTAGTTGGAATAGGCCCAGTACAGGATAAAGCAAGCTTGAAATAAGGCAGTGGTGGTGGGGAATGCAAGAAGAATCCGTGCATGTGAGTTAAGTAAATGTACTCAAGATGACTTGATCAGTGGTTGGATATGGAGTGTAGGGTAGAGGGAGGATTCTAGGATGACTACAAGTTTTTTTTTTTTGTTTGTTTGTTTTTTTTGAGATAGAGTTTCGTTCTTGTTGCCCAGGCTGGAGTATAATGGCACGATCTCGGCTCACTGCAACCTCCGCCTCCTGAGTTCAAGCGATTGTCCTGCCTCAGCCTCTCAAGTAGCTGGGATTACAGGCATGCGCCACCATGCCTGGCTAATTTTTGTATTTTTAGTAGAGACTAGTTTCTCCATGTTGGTCATGCTGGTCTCGAATTCTCAGCCTCAGGTGATCTGCCTGCCTCAGCCTCCCAAAGTGGTGGGATTACAGGCGTGAGCCACTGCGCCCAGCAATGACTACAAGTTTCTAATCCAGAGACTAGGCAGTTAGCAGTGCCTTTTGCCCATGAAGTCTTAGTAGGAAAATAGTGAGTTGTTTTGGACATGTCAAGATCATGATTCTCATGAGATCCAACTGGGGGTTTCTAGTAATGTGGTTCAGAACTGATTGGCTCAGCCATTGATCTGATCCAGCTGTGACAACCTGAAAGCCATACTTAGCAACCCGTCACATTAATAGTAAGTAAAGCAGTTTTTGCAAAAGAATCAACAAGCAATATAGATTTTTTCTAAAAAATTTCGAGTTCAGTACAAAGAACATTTTCCCTCTTAACTGTTTCAGAATAAGTTGCTATGTCTAGGCTAAATGCAGAAGAAAAGAAGTGAGACAACTTTCTTTTACTCGTAAGTGTGAGAGCATTGGAAGGACAGGAGTTTTGGGTCATAGAGTTGGATAATAAGACAACATTTCAAAGGTGCAGAGTTCCAGGTGAGATAAAAACAACAGATTACAATAGTATGTTCCTAAATTGGATTGAAGTTGGTCATTTGAATCCATTCAATAAATTTAACATTCTACCAGGCACTGGAGAGAAAAAGGTAATTGAGACAGAGTTCCTACACTAAAGGAACTTACAGAGTAGAAGGGAAAATCAAGCAGATACATTGTTCAGACGGAGTACAAAGAAAGTAAAACAGCTTTGTCAAGGTGGAGGGTGGAGGGCAGGTCAAGGAGAGCACCTCAAAGAGGTGGGTAAACCGGATTCTGAATTATGAATAGGAACTAACCATTCCAAGATGAGGGGCCATAAAGAGTGGGCAGTAAGGTCAGAGGGAGCAAGTATTTATACAGGCTCCAAGGCGATAGAGGTCATAACCCACCAGGGGACTGCAAGTCTTTCAGTATAACAAGATAGTAAGTAAATATAAGGCTGTAAAGCAAGATCCAATCATGAAGGGCCTTGTTGAGTTTGAACTTCATCTTACATAGCCATCCGTGGAAAGTCAGTGTATTTTAAACAGGTGAGTGAGTAAAATGGTTAATATGCATTTTAGAACTTGTTCTGCCTCTACATATTAAAGGGAGCAAAACAATAAACAGAAACTGGTTAGTAAGCTATTGACATAATCTAGGTAGAAGGTGGTGACAAAGTTAGGTAATGATAGTGGATGTGGAGAGAAGTAGATTAACTCAAGAGTTCAATATATAGTAACTGTAGGGCTTGATGGTTAATATGAATGTTAGGGGTAAAGAGGGAATTGAATGATTCCGTTTCTGACATGGGAACTATATAATTTACTGATTCATAAATGATTTTTGACCAGGCATTGTGGTACACACTGGGCTTAAGAGAAGTGAACAAGGATAGAGTTTCTGATAGCCTCTGCTATTATTGTGTAGGGTCACTAGGGGAAGTCAGACAATGAGCACATAAACTAGTTTCAGATAGCACATGGATGGACCAAGAGTGGTGAGAGTTGGAATATCTGTGAAGCTTTTAGGGTAAAGTCATAGCTGTGGGAGGGCAGGGACCCTCTTGTTACTGTACTCAACTTGCATTGGTTTAGGGCATTAGCAGTAGGGGAAAGTACAGAATGACAAAAAAATTGCACAGAAACCTTAGTTCTTTTTCACTTTCTCAGATCACTTAAACACTTCAGCTGCTGTACCTTAAACCTGGCAAGTTTTTGCCTCCCTTAAACAGGTGTCCCAAGATCTGCTAAAGTTTTATTTTAAAAATAAGAGAATCAGTGTTTTACAATTCTTCCAAGAAGTTCATGTGATCAAGAAAATGTACATTTCTTCTCATCCAGGTCAAGGACCATAGCTTTTCTATATAGTGCTCTACTGCTGCACTTATTATAGGTAATATAGTGGTTCCAGATAATTTGGCACCTTTTAGAAATAAATTCTTTCATTCAAAAAATATGAGTGAGGGCCAGGTGCGGTGGCTCACACCTGTAATCCCAGGACTTTGGGAGGCCGAGACGGGCGAATCACCTGATGTCAGGAGTTCAAGACCAGCCTGACCAACATGGTGAAACCCCGTCTTTACAAAAATACAAAAATTGGCTGGGCATGATGGTGAGTGCCTGTAATCCCAGCTACTCAGGAGACTCAAGCGCGAGAATTGCTTGAGGCTGGGAGGCAGAGGATGCAGTGAGCCGAGATCGCACCTCTGCGCCCCAGCCTGGGCAAAAGAGCGAGACTCCATCTCAAAAAAAAAAGTGCTTGCTTTGATCAAGGCCCTGTATTTCGGGTTACAGAATTTCTTTTAAAACATCTTAATCAACATTGGACATATCTTTTTAAATGCATGCTTCTCCACTTTCTTCCAGAGTATATAGAACAGTTTTTAGTGGATAACTATCCTGACCTAAAGTAAATGTTAGCCTTGAGTGCTGTTTTTGAATTGGATAAAGCTGCTGCATGTCATCCTTATGTAGCAGGCACAATATTTGCAGTATTCAGACTTCTAGACCTGGTGCTAACCAAATATTTCTACATTAAGTGGCTTCATTCTGTTGTGCTTTTTGAATGTTTTCTAGCTTCCTTCATCTTTCTAGCTTCCTTGATCTTAATTTTGCTATTTCTGGTCTGTGTTAAAGCAGGAACCTGATGATCAAAAACTCTAGGAATCAAACCCTCTCCTTTTAATCACTGTACTTGGACTTCAGTGCCTATATTTTGAGGCCAATGTGACTTTTTTTTTTTTTTTCCAGATGGAGTCTGGCTGTTATCTCCAGGCTGGAGTGCAGTGGTGCAATCTCGGCTCACTGCAACCTCTGAACCCCTGGTTCAAGTGATACTCCTGCCTCAGCCTCCCAAGCAGCTGGGATTACAGGCATGTGCCACCACACCCAGCTAATTTTTGTATTTTTAGTAGAGACGGGGTTTCACCATGTTGGCCAGGATGCGCTCTATCTCCTGACCTCAAGTGATCCGCCCGCCTTGGCCTCCCAAAGTGCTAGGATTACAGGCGTGAGACACGGCGCCCAGTTGACTGTTTTGTTTTCACTCACTCCTCCATATGGGTAGTTGAGGATCACTATGACTGTTTTTATGTAGGCAGAATTTTTAAGAAAACAACATAAATTTAGATATTTGTTCCGTAAAGTTACTAAAAAGTAAATATATTAAAGGTGATTGTCACATAAGCCTTCCAATCACAGTGCCTGTGATTTCATTAGACAAAACTGAACATATAAAAATGTAGTTGGCTACCTGGGAGCCTGAAGCACTTTATTTACAGATACTTTCTTAGGGCTAACTCAAAACACATCTAATCAGAACCATGCCATAAGCTTGCCAGAGAATGACAATGCATTTAAACATCGTAAATAGCCAAATTTCACCTTCCCCATTGAAGACAGCATTTCAGATACAAGTACATGGCCTGGTAATGTTTTTCCAGAAGAGATCCTACTTGTATCAAAGTCAGCCTGTAGCAGTGCAAACTACTGACTTAAAGTTTAGCAGCTAAAAATAGAGTCTGAAAAGATTCAGAAAATTGAGTTATTTTACCCATGAAACAAACATCTGCTCTTTTAGAGCAAGCAGCTCTTTATACCTTATGAGAAAGCTCAAGAACAAAAAAGTTAGCTTTTCATTTTAAGGTACCATGGTTGATTTTAGACAGTTCTCATATCTTCAAATTATTATCCTGGGGAAAATTATGCAGGACAAAAGTGTTTTTTAGAAATATTTAGCAAAAATATATGAATTACTGCCTTTTCATAATGCAGCCAGGACTTGCATCGGAATATTTGATTATCCTATGACCAACTCACTTATACCTTCCACAGAATACTATAGCACAACGTGTAGTATATACAAGCTCCAGAATGCTTGGAGATGTACCTCACTTTAGCACTAAGTAGCTGTGTAACTTTGAGCAAGTTGTTTAACCTGTGTCTCCATTCCTCTCGAGGATCATAATAGTCTTTCTCATGGGGTAAAATAATACATGTGGAACACTCAACAAGATGCATGGCACACAGTAAGTACTGTAATAAAAGTAATTTAGAGAAACAGAAGATACTTTGCTTAACCCAAGATACCTTGAGGTAAATTTAAAAGTCACATTTTAAATACATTCCTATTGTTTTTCATACAACTATCACTTCTGTGGTAATCAAATGGTGTTTAAATAATCTATGTTTATGCCTACTTACATAGGTTAACATAAACAGTAAAAATATTTTCATTCACTACCCAAGCACAGTCTATTGAAGGCACTTCCAACCAGCCCCTTATCAGTAGGAAGAATCCAACCTAGGACTAGTTTATCAATAGATGTACTTTTCCATAGATTGTAAGCAGTTCTAAGTAGGAAAGGTTTGGCTCTCAGGAGCTTTCAGCGGGACATTTATATTTGTAAATAAAAAGGAAATATTCTTTGGGCAGTGTTTCAGAATCACCTGGGATGATCTGCATGAAGATTCCTGGCCTCCACCAAAGACTTACTGAATCAGAAAGGAGGCAAGAGGATGAGGAATGCTTAAGAATCTGCATTAACAAACTTTACAAATGAATCTTACAACATACAGAAGCATGGAAACTACTGCCTCAAGGGATTATCTCAACTTGAGTTTAAACATAGGAATTGCTGACTACCTTTAAAATGTAAAAATAGTATCTTTATGGGAGGGATGTTGTTTGGGGGCAGCTACTAAATAGTGAAATCATTCCTTTAAAATACCCTCTCAAGTCTGCCCCAGTTATCCATTTTACTGGATAGTCTTGGTATCCAGATGATTTAGGGAAAAAAATAGTAGTAGCAAACTCTGAAAACACTCAGTAAAGTTCATTCTTGGTCTTCTCTTCCTAAATTTGTTTTCAATTGTTAGATTTAAACACTAAACAAGACCAAAAGAGAACTTTATTTTACATGTCTTTATTTTACATTTAGAACCGTTTTATGATTTACTTAAAAAAAAAATCTTTTACTATTATTAGAAGTATTTTTTAACCAAAATCTTGATTTAGGAAGACTTAAGACATTGTGCATTATTTTAAATATTTTCATTTCAGTAACTATTAAAAATAAATTCACAATTAGGGTTTCAAATGTCCTAATCATATCTAGTTTGTTCTCATTTAATATTTTATCAATCCCATCATGTGCATACAGAGGTTAAGGTGATGTATAAATTTTATATCTTTCAAACACATTGATGCTAATCAGCTCTTGATCTAATTACTATTTCATTTATTCAGAAATAGCATTTAGACATAAAAACCAATGTCTCACTTTGTAAAATAACCTTTGGCTAATTTACACACATCTAATACAGCGTGTTATATAAGTTTTAAGTAATACAATGAGTCACTACTATCATTCAGTTTTAAATATTTTTAGTGTTAACAGGGCTGAGAATATCATGTGGTTCAGTCTTCTGAAGGAAGTTATATAATAAAAGCATAGTGCCTTTGAACATGAAGACTATCCTCAAGGCCAGAAATCCTACAAAGGAACTGAAAGGAGAGATTCCAGAGAATTGCTCTCCTCATTTTTAATATGTAAAGTGACTGTTTTAAGTCACTTCATTGAAGACTTAAGGAAGAAAACAGTGTTATTATGCCACTGAATAAAGCTACTTAAACCAGAGTAATTTTGGGATATTAATCCTAGGCTACATAATTAATAGGTCATCAAAACAAAAACCTGTCAGTTATTAGGTGTAAGTTAACTTCCTATGCCAAGTAAGGGGTCACACTTCACTTCCCCCATTTGTAAAATGAAAAGGTGGCCAGGCCAGTGCCATTTAGGATTCTCTGCTAACTGTAAAATGTGGACTGATTTTCTTCTGTTTCTTATAGTCCAGGTGTATATAAACTTCCAGTTCTTTAAGTCAAAATTTTTATGCACATAACCATGTCAGTGTATTGCCCTTAGTTTAAAAATGTACAACTACATAAATAAAAACTATTGTTTCTTCAATATTACTTGACATTTCTTCTGTAATTTCTTTATTTAAAAAAGTAAATGTAACAAGATACTTAAAAAAGGCTAGATACAAAAGTAGTTAAGCTGCTCACGAACATTTAAAATTTTCCAAAATGTATCTTCAATAATCATGATCTTATAAAACATTTTACAGTTATCAGAAAGTGCCCAGGCTGAGTTTACATAACTGAAATACCTTAGTACAAATGTCTAGTTAGAACTGAAGTGCAGTAACCTCTTGAGACTGACTGCTCATTGAAATAGGGATACAAAGAAAAAGTTGATTGTGATAAAAGTATTGTGCATTGGCCCCATCATATGTACAAAAAAAGTGCCCTCACTCAAATGAGCAAATTACATGCAAAATATTAGTGATATCATTTAATATCCTAGAGCTCAATGCAGTCAAACCGCAATAAAAGTGGTTTTTATAGGTAAAAGTGATTTCATCTCTTAAGATCTGAATGTCGAGAACTTTTTTACAAGTTCCATATACATGATACACAGTTGCAGCCAACCACAAATTAAACACCATAAAAAAAGTTAAAATGAAAACACAGAACATACTTAATTTTTTATTTTGAAATTCCCTATTCCCTCTATACAAGAACCTTTGCTGAAACAGTTTCCACAAAGGCAGCAGTGAATTTTCAGAACATTTACATTTTTTCCCCCTCAGCAAAAAGATAAATCACAGTGTAAATTATGTTGTTCTGCTGTCATCTTTGGCTGGGGTTAGACCCAGAAGTTGGTGACTAGCAAACCAATATAGCCAAATGTTGCTAGTGCTCCTTAGGCCTTTAAGCTATAAACTCAGCAAGGAATGTCTGCATTTTATCTCTTTAAGGTACCACCAGGGGGGTATGACAGCATTAACTTCCATAAACTTTTATAGACAAATGGAAAAAAATCTACAAAATTTGCTAGTAATATTACACAGCAATACACACTTTTTATACTCTACACAAAACCAAAATTCTTGGTCTTAATGGCGAGTAACAATTTCTGTTTGAGAATCTGTTTAGAGGAATAGAGTGGGACGTAAAGTCGAGAAATGCAAGTATTTGCAGTAGGAAGATGTTGGTCATCTGGTGGTCTTATTGTGATTGAGGGCATAGGCTGGAATCCTTCTTCACTGGCTGGCAGTGATGGGCTTGATGTCCAAAAGTAAACCTGAACAGGAATTTAACAGGTTAATATTTAACTCTTAACTCTGGCAGTATATACACAAAGCCCTATTGTTATGTTAATAACCTAAAAGGAGATATTATTTTGAACTGGATTTTAAATATATTTTCTTGTACTAAAAAGGAAAGGGATCATTCATACCTCAAGACAGGTTTTTGTTTTTGTTTTTTTTCCCCAAAGGAGTAAGTCTAGAGTTAGTAGAGGAAAAAAAGGTGACTTTCTGTCACAGAGCCTCAGTATTTTCATCTGTAACATGAGGCTGTTGGACTAAATGGTTTCTAAGAGCCTTTCTTGCAGCTAATTCCATAAAGTGTCTATTAGTGGAAAAAAGGCTGCCAAACAAAAGATACGGTCTTAGGTTCAAAACTCACACAGGTTATCTTAAAAAGTTATTTTGCATTAAGGAGCAAAATAATGCAAATAATAAAATAATAAAGCAAAAAAAGTATTTACTGCTACATTGTGATACAGAATCATTTTATAATAGTAATTATTGGGGAACATCTATCTATGCATCAAAATTCATGCAATAAGCCATATTAACACTAAGTTTTATCATACCTCTGTAATAAAACTTTGTGCAACACAGTGTAAATGATGCTCAGTAAATGTGAACTTACACTTTTTAACTTAACCAAGGATATGCCTCCCTGAAATAGTTTGCTGAACATGTAACATTCCTCATCAATCCATCCCTTCATACATACGCATCATTCTTCAGTGTCTGTCTCTCTTAAGGAAAAGCTTTTTTTTTAATCTAATCATTTTATAATGCACAACAATGAAGTATATCCAATTTCCTAGAATGACTAGGAAACCTAAACAAACTTAAGATTTCCTGAAGCACAGTTGTATGGGAAAGCTCATCTAGAATTCTATATAAAGGGACAGAAAAAAAAAAAAAAAGTTAAGTATCAGGATCTATAAAATCTGAAAAGAAATAGAAAACAGGTACTCTAGAGATGAAGTTGATCTAAACCACTCATTTCATAGATAAGAAACAAGCTTAATATAAAGTGTTTCTCCAAGGATGAATGTGGTTAACCAGGGTAGATGACCTCACTGCTGGATCTCTAAGAAGTTGGAAGAGAAATACTTTTACTAGTGAATTATAACACTCCAAGAGGGAAATAAACTGTAGTTTACCCAATAACTCTGGAAACCCTATAAGTTGCAGGACTAATTAATTCATGGGAGAACTGTTTCAGAAACCCCATTCTTATGTCCTCTAGATGCATCAGGATGAAACCAAACAATATGTGAAGGATGACTTCCCAAAAAGAGGAGAAGGGTAAGGGGGAGGAAGATACCATGATAAACTGCTTACACCCTAAACATAGATTTTCAATAAGAGTTTAAGGTTCACAAACTAAAGCTGTTGACAGGAAATTTTGAGGTCTTTATAGAAGGAGATTTTCTTTTTTCTAAGATTGAGTCACTAGCAAATTTTTCTTTCAGTAGAAGGCAGAAACTCATGAGATTTAAGTTGGCTGACTGGACTGAGGAAATACTGGTTTAAAAACGGCAGAATTGGGAGGCCAAGACAGGCGGATCATGAGGTCAGGAAATCGAGATCATCCAGGCTAACATGGTGAAACCCTGTCTCTACTAAAAATACAAAAAATTAGCCAGGCGTGGTGGCAGGCACCTGTAGTCCCAGCCACTCGGGAGGCTGAGGCAGGAGAATGGCGTGAACCCGGGAGGTGGAGCTTGCAGTGAGCCGAGATTGTGCCACTGCACTCCAGCCTGAGCGACAGAGTGAGACTCCGTCTCAAAAAAAAAAAAAACCTGGCAGAAATTAAAACTAGGAAATAGATTAAAATAGATGACTTAGAACTTATACCAGATAGCCAATCCTTTCTGTTTTTGGTGGTTCTTACAGACTTGAGATGGGGCTTGTCTTAAGGAAACAAGGTGCCCTGAATCTAAAGACTGACTAAAGGTGGTAGAACTTAAGCTATTTAGGTGATCCTGAAACCAACAGGGACAGTTATGGTATTGACTAGTGGGAACTTTTAAGAGCCATAAGACTGGAGAAGTCAAATGCTGACCAATTATATCAAACCCACCTGGGGAACAAACTAAGTCAAAATTACTAGGGTGGCTAAAAGCTGAGAAATGAACTAGGTGGCAGTTAGGACTGCTGAACAAACCCATCTCACCATAGCAGAGAAATATTAGAATACACCTAGAGCCATGTAAAGATTCAGGAGTGCTAAAAGCATGAATTCCCCTCCTTCCCTCCACCACCCCCAAAATAAGCTTCTGCCTGAATGAAGGTAACTGGGAATCTGCAATTTTTTTCTTTCCTGCACAAATAACCACTTCCCCTTATTCAAATAAAATAAAGGATATATCTAGAAATCTGATCATTTTTAAATATTTCCAGAAGTGGTCTAGTTTAGAACTAAGGCTGGTTAGACCGGGGCAATGTTCCAGGAGTACAGAAAGGATCTTCCAGGGTCTTCTAGATAAGGAATGTCCTTCAAATTTCTACAAGAAAGTCTGCAGCATACTGCCTTTCAAGATTAATGGACAGGATGATTTGGTTATGGTTTTACTTGATGGGTGGACGTAAGTTCCACTAAGAGGTAGACTTTCCACTAAGATCAAAGCTTCTGTTATCTAATTTATAATTCTAAGTTAGCTGGGGCTCTGTACTAATAAGATTTTGAAAGACTTAGTACCCACATATCACAATTAAGCTACTCTCTTCCTAGTATGCAGATAACAATCAAGATAATACTCAGAAATTCTGTCAAGGCTTGGCACTAGTCAAAAGGATTAAGGATGTATACAGGGAGAAGCATATGTAGGCAGTGCGATAAAGATAAAAAGCCATGTTGCAACAGTAAACTGGTATCTTCTGGGACTAAGGACAGCATATTAACAGCTAAATGTACTTCACTCTGCTTAGAGCTTTAGTAATACTTCAGATATTGTTATAGAGCAGAAAAACAAAAACTGCCTTATTTGTGACCTTCTATAATTGCCCTACCCAAAATTAAAATGACCAACCATTACAAACTTAAAAGGCCATCATACATGGTATTTTTAACTTCTGTATTTCCTTCTACAAATCTTGTGAAATTTTTAACTTACAAGATCTTGTCGTTCTGTCATGCTCATCTTCTCTACTATTGACCAGAACCAACGCTTGAACTGCAGAAGCTTCTCAGCATTTTCTCCTAAGAATGAAGAATGTAAATAAAATATACTATACCAGTTGTTGTTATTATCTGTAGAATATTACTAATCTTCTTATAATAAAAGGATACAGATTAAAACATTATTTAAGACTTGGGGGGGAGCGTCTAATTCCTAATACAAGAAATTAAGAGCATTTGCATAATGCAAAACCTCTACAGTTCATTAGTCAATCCTGACTCAATATGACCAAAACAAATGAACCACCAGCCTTAAAACTGATATTCACATGAGTTTTATCTCATCTGTATGTCAGTATTCTTATGATCTCAAGAAATGCAGATTCTCATTCATTCACTGGGTGGGGAATGCAGAGAGGGGAGACCAGAGATTCTGCCTGTCTAAAACGCTTTCAGATGATGCCAATGCTACTGATCTGAGGATCATACTTGGAGTGGCAAGATCTTAGGCAGTTTATTTGGATACTGTTTTCCTTCCTAAATTTTTGGTTTGTAAATGAGACAAATTCTTATTAGTATTAAAAACTGTATTACAAGGTAGCACAAAAACTATTACAATATATAATTTGGCTGAAGCTGCTTGCAAAATAGGAAAAATAAAGGGGAAAAAAATCAGTACCTTTGTGTACATAATAATCTTGGAATATAGGTATAATCCTTTCACAGAGAACTTCTTGGAGCTTCTAATGTACAGTCACAGCTAAAAAGCCTATTCCTAGACCATAGGACTTTCAAAAGAAAGAATTGCAGCAAATCAAACACTGGAGATAAAAGTTTTTCTTTCAAGAGGACTTTCACTACCACTCCTTATTCTTCCTAGATTCTAGGAATCTAGGAAGTGTTTGTGTGCTACTGTGTTTTTAGAAGTGTGATTTGGGTCCAGCTCTATAGAGCAATCATCATACAAATTCTTTCATTAGGGAGTTTAAGCAACATGAATCAGAAAAGCCCAGAGAGTTGTCACATGGATTACTTTTTCTTAACCACTATATACAAATCCTTTTTTACACAGTTGCTCACCATGAAAAATTTTTGTTTGTATTCATATTTTTTGAAACCTAGAAAAATTAAGCAGTAAAAGAGTTAAGAATAGCCTAATGCTAAGCCATCAAAATACTATTTACTTCAAACATACCTTTAAAAACAATGTAAAAAATTGTTTTAATGCTTGAGTAATACAGCAATTTCCCAAACCCTATAAACAGGCCTTAAGAACTAGAAACTCAGAAAATGCTGACTGACCTATCTATATAGTTCATTCTTTAAACATTTTTTTTAAATGTCCTACCTGATTCATCATTGAAAGAGGTAAAACTGATCAGCATTTGCACATTGACTTCACCGCAGCCATTTACCAAAAGCCTAAAATCTTCTGCCGTTAAATCTTCTAATGAATTTTTTGGAAGCACATCTAGTAGACCTTTCCTCATTGCCTAGAGAATTTCAGAAACAATAATACTTCATTTTCCATGTAACATTTATTTATATTATTAAAGCACAAGACATAATTTTAGCAGCCTTCTCTAACAATGCTAGTTCCCATTTTATGCCAGATAGCAAAAAAAATTCAGTCCTGTATTTTTTATTTCTTAGGATTCAAAAGAGAGAAAGGCAGGAAGTGGGGAGGGAAGGCATAGTGAATAAGCTATGGGTTCAATAGTGAAGTAGTATTATATCCCAGTGATTTAACAATTTTAAAAGTTTTGTTAATAACAAACAGGCTAGTCATTAAGAATAGCTTCAATCTTTAAAAAGTGCTACCCTGTCAGTATCTCAGGAAAGATAAATTGACAACAACAAACCTCCCAGACACAAACTCAAAAGCTAGATGCTTACTGAGAAATTATGATGTGCCAGGAATTGTCTTAGTACCTTACCTAATTCAATTTAATCTTATCCTCATTTTGCAGAGGAGGGAACCAAGGCACAAAAAACTTAACTTGGTAACATCATACAGCTAGAGGGTGGTAGAGCCATGATTTCAACTCTAACAGTATGACTCCAAAGCCTGCACAATTATTGTAGCACAGGGATCAGAAACACTCAACACCATCAGTCATAAAGCTATATAAACATTTTACAGGCTGGGTGTGGTGGCTCATGCCTGTAATCCCAGCACTTTGGGAGGCCAAGGTGGGCAGATCATGAGATCAAGACCCCGTCTCTACCAAAAATACAAAAATTAGCTGGGCATGCTGGCGCGCGCCTATAGTCCCAGCTACTCAGGAGGCTGAGACAGGAGAATCACTTGAACCCAGGAGGCGGAGGTTGCACTGAGCCAAGGTTGTGCCACTGCACTCCAGCCTGGTGACAGAGCAAGACACTGTCTTAAAAAAAAAAATATTTTTTTTTACCCTGGATGGGGAAGACATTAACATAGTAGGATTGATGTTACTCTTTACAAGGGCCTGACTAGTAGGGCTGGCATTGGCTGGTGTCTGAGAACTTGGTTTTTGCAATATTCCAACATTACTAACTGGTAAGGCTGTTTTGAATGTCTGGAGCAATGAACCATGCTGTATCAGACTGCCTGGACTATTTGTGCAAACAATGCAGTTCAAGATGAACATGTGCTTTCTTCAGGGATTCTGGAATTTCAGTAATCATGGCTGGTTGTGCAGATAGAAAATGCCCATGGAACTAGCTTCCAATAAAAACACTGAGCTCTGACTCTAAAGTGGGCTTCCCTAAGCACAAATAATGTATACATGTTGATACATTTCACTAGTGGAAGAAGTGTGTTCTTTGCAATAACTCATTCCCCTGCTTGAGACAGAACTTTGAAAGCCTGCACCTGGATTCCTCAAGACTCCGCCTAATGTTTGTTTCTTCCCCTGCTGATCTTGCTGTGGGTCCTTTTGCTACAATAAACAATAACTATTAAGTACAACTGCTTCTGAGTCCTGTTGAGTTCTTTTAGCAGGTTACCCAAAGTAGCTTTGGTAAATAAAACTAAAGCTGTTTGCAGTACCAAAATGATTGTTTTAGGGTCCTACCGCTAATACAGTAGGACAAAGGACTAAGATATATTATTTTATGCATACATTTTAAAATATAAAGACAATTCTTTATCTGACCAGAAGCTAAGTGATGGAAACATTTTGGTATAAAAAGCCTTTGTACCTCTCAGTCTGTCTCAATAACTCTACCACTAAAACAGTAGGACCCTAAAACAGTCATTTTGGTACCATAAGCACCCTTTCCACACTTTTGTTTGCCAAAGCTACTTTCTCACAATGACGTGGTTTTTCCAAGTAGTTTTATCAAAAAGAAAATGAGTACTTGGTCTGGATTCTTAAACTTAGGTGTAATTTACATTGTAAATAAATTCCTTTTGGTTTAAAAAATTTGTCCTTTTATAAATAAGCTGAATATACTTAGCTAGTTTACCACACATTAAGACACAAATAGCCTCATTGGATCACACAACACTTTCTAGAAACACTTACATGTAAGGGCTGTTCTGCAACTACCAACATTCTGTGTTCTGCGTATTTCCGCACATACTCATATACATTCTGTGGAGTGACTGGTATATTTACACCATTAGGAATGAGTTCAACCTGTGAAAAATTTACCAGTGCTATTTAAAGGCAATTTTGTCAAAGCAGTAAAACATTACTGTTTATAAAACTAGTTCCTAAAATTTTTAAATATAAACACAATTATTTATTTGACCAGAATCTAAGAGATGGAAACATTTTAGGCCAAAAAAAGGACAAGCCGCCAGGCGCAGTGGCTCACGCCTGTAATCCCAACACTTTGGGAGGCCAAGGTGGGTGGATCATGAGGTCAGGAGATCGAGACCATCCTGGCCAACATGGTGAAACCCCATCTCTACTAAAAATACAAAAATTAGGTGGGCGTGGTGGCGCGTACCTGTAATCCCAGCTACTGGGGAGGCTGAGGCAGGAGAATCGCTTGAACCAGGGAGTCAAGAGGTTGCAGTGAGCTGAGATTGTGCCACTACACTCCAGCCTGGCGACAGAGCAAGACTCCATCTCACACACACACACACACAAAAAGTACAAGCCCTTCTACCTCAGTCTGTCTCACTAACTCTTGATCCATCTTTAACACCGACAGTATCCATCTCTCCTATGTGTACACACACGTTCATCTCTTTCATTCCCTAACTAAACTGTCTATACATAAGACAAGCACAGCAGTTTAACCAAATTCTCTTGCCAGAATCAGAAAAGTGTATATTTGCTTTACCTGTCCTCCACCTTCTTCTTTACACAGGTCAATTGCAAATGCCAAATCCATTGCTGAGAAAACAGCATCAGCATCTGAACTCTGAGACGCGAGGATTAGTTGCCGCAAACTCTCATACATTACAGGATCAAAAAAAGCAAAATCATGCCAATTGACCTAAAAAAGTAATCATATGAAACTCAGTTATGAAAGAAACAGCATCTTCATTCAATTAATTAGTAAATTAAAATCTGATAAAGAATTTTATCTAATTTGAAGATACATTGATATAGAATAATTTCCCACTGGGTATATAACTATTTAAAGAGATAAGTTTAATAAATCTTTGGCTCTGACAATATTTGCTTTTCAAAGTATAAGAAGGGTTATATTTTGAAAAAATATAAAGCCAAAAGCATAATAGTTTTAAAGTTCCAAAACTGCAAAACTTTGCACTACTTATTAAACACCAATTATGGGGAGCAGCCGGCTCTGAACTTAATATACATCTTATTAATTCTTGATAGTAACATAAAATATAGATTATTAAATCCAGATGATAAATCTGACACTCAAGGAAATTTAGTAACTTGCCCCAAGGTCACTTTATTGGGTTAAACTTGGGTCTATTTAATTAGCTGTTTCCTAAACCCTGCTGAAGACTCAATATATCAACAATTTTATGTTGCCAAGCTTTGAGTCTAGTTCTTTAAATAAGAACATTTTAGCTGGAACACTTTAAGAATTTAATAGGGTCAGAGTTAAAAAGAAAAAATCATAATATGATATTCTTGTACTAATAGAAAATTATTCATCAGTAGGTCTGATTAAAGAGAATTATTAGGAGGCTACAGCTTTAACATGCTTATTTATCAGATGTGTGACATGTACCTCCGGAAAAAACTATAACATAAATCCTCAAAGCCATTGGCTGGATGTGGTGACTCACACAGAGGCCGAGCTGGGGGAATCACTTGAGGTCAGGAGTTTGAGAAAAGCCTGGCCAATATGGTGAAACTCCATCTCTACTAAAAATACAAAAATTAGCCGGGCATGGTTGTATGCGCCTGCAGTCCCAGCTACTTGGGAGGCTGACACAGGAGAATCACTTGAACCTGGGAGATGGAGGTTTACAGTGAGCCAAGATCACACCACTGCATTCCAGCACGGGCAATGGAGCGGGACTCCATCTCAAAAAAAAAAAAAATTAATTAATTAAAGCCGTTGATAGGTTCTTAGCTGTAACTTTGAAATGACAAACAGCAGGTTCTCAAATAACATCATTTCATTATAATGTTGATAAGAAAAAACTGGTTTCATTTCAATTAGAGTTGCAGTTTCCAAGAACCTATTGACGACAATAAGAACTTACTCAATCCCAGCTACTCGGGAGGCTAACTCATGAGAATCACTTAAACCTGGGAGGTGGAGGTTGCGGTAAGCCGAGATCGTGCCACTGCACTCCACCCTGGGTGACAGAGTGAGACTGTCTCAAAAAAAAAAAAGAAAAAAATAAAGGCACTTAGTCTATTCCATTTGTTTTGTGTCAAGTAATTTCTCTAAAATATTTTTAGGAACGTGGGTAGTTTTCTTTTAAATCAAAAGCTGCATAATTAGCATTGTATATTAATTTTAAAGCAAACGGTTTTTCTTTTCCCCCTGCCATCATAAAGGGAGGTGCAGGCTACCAAACTATCAAAACACATAAAGATAAGCTAATTCCATCATCCAGAGATCAATACTGAGCATGCTGTGTTGTACTTCTTACATTCTTTGGCCACCCCCATGTACCTCTTATAGGTATTTTTGAAGTTAGAATGCTCTATTTTTTTTTTGTTTTGTTTTATGAGATAGGGTCTTGCTCTGTCACCCAGGCTGGAGTGCAGTGGTGCAATCATGCCTCACTGAAGCCTCAAACTCCTGGGCTCAAGCAGATCCTCCTATCTCAGTCTCCCAAGTATAGCTGGGACCACAGGTGCATGCCACCACACGCAGTTAACTTTTAAAATTTTTGGTAGAGTCAGAGTCTCGTACGTTGTCCAGGCTGGTCTCAAACTCCTGGGATCAAGAGATGCTTCTGCCTTGGCCTCCCAAAGTGTTGGGATTACAGGTGTCAGGCATAAGCCACCGTGCCTGGCCTGGAAGGCTCTTTTCAATACCACTACCTTCTCTAACACCAGGTACAACTAATAATAGTGGATACAATTTACCAATCACTTACTATTTGCCAGGTACTTACGATGTTGTGTTTCTTACCAATTTATAAATGGGGAAACATGGCAGAAATGTCAGCATATTTGTTTGCAACAGGACGTAGGTCTGTCAGACCCCCCAGCCCCACTTGTGTTATCTACTCTGCTATGCCATCTCCCCATAGTCTTTTTCTGTCATTAATTTATTAATTTTATTTTTGTTGACCATAATTGTATAATTAAATGTTTTAAAGTTATTTATAATGGCTGTAATGCTTTAAGATTTAATAGTAAATGAATGTTATAAACAGTATGCTAGCGTTTGATTATTTTATAAAAGAAAATTTTTGCAATTGTGAATACAATTAGGTTCATCAAAATCACTTACTTTTCTACCAAGCAATACTTTAATTACATGTCTATTCAATGTGATAGGACATAGTTCATTCTGTAACAGACATAGTCCAAGAATCCTAAAAACAAACACAGAGAAATAAGATTTAAATAATTCTAGAATACATATATCCCCCCACACATAATACGTATTAATATTTTGAGAAATTCTCTACAGCCTCCTTTCTATTCAGCATAAAGTACAGCACATACACTTTTTCAAAAAACAAAACAAAACAAAAAAAAACAGGAACACCAGCCTGAGAATGTTTTGTTTTTGAGACAGGGTCTCACTCTGTCAACCCAGGCTGAAGTGCAGTGCCACAGTCAGGTCATCCTCCTACGCCAGCCTCCCAAGTAGCTGGGACTACAGGCATTGCAGCACAATGCCCGCTAGTATTTTTTTATTTTTAGTAAAGACAGGGTTTCGCCATGTTGCCCAGGCAGGTCTCCAACTCCTGGGCTCAAGTGATCCTCCCAGTTCAGTCTCCCAAAGTGCTGAGATTACAGGTGTGAGCCACCGCACCCAGCGTACATACATTTTAAAACAAATATATTTTAGAAAATCTCATAAATTGAAATGTTTTAAAAAATTCAAACCCAAGATTAAAGTTCTTTTACCTGCCAATGTTTCTGAAACAATTCAACCTTGCTTCTGTGTTCTTGCCAGGCCTTGGAGTATAAAATCCTCTTTTCCCAGGTTGGTAAAACAAAGGGGCATTGTCATCACCATCATCTGTATCATCTAAATCCATATCTACTACACTTCGACTAGAGCCATGGCGCTTTCGGTTTTCCTGCTAACAGAGAATATCAGAGAGTAAGCCCCAAGATTCACTGAAAAAACAAAACATATGAAATGGTTCTCTCAAATCATTCAAATGAAGTCAGGTAGGAAGAGCAACATAAATATTTAAATATATGTGTATAACAATATTAAAGGTAAATGAACTTTTAATTTGCCCTTTCAGAATGTGACACACAAAGCTTGTGTATTATTAGGTCTTTAACGTCTCTGTTGTTAAAATAAAGTCATTTAATGAAACTCGGATAAGCTTCTTTCACTTTATTGCCTGAAAATTCTTTTCACTGGATACAGAATTCTGTCATCACTTTGATGAGTTTGTTGACTTTTGGCTTTCATACTTTATAGTGAGAAATCCACTCTTTCAAATCACTGTTTCCCTATAGGTAAAGAACCATTCTTTGGCTGCTTTCAATAACATTTCTTTATTTTACAGAAGTTTGATTATAATGTATCTGGACATAGTTTTCTTTCAGTTTATTCTGTTGAGTTCACTGACTCTTGAATCTGGAAATCTATGTCTTTTACCAAATTTAGGAAGTGCCCAGCCATGATTTATTTCTTCAAATATTTTTTCTATAGCAATTTCTTCTCTTCCCCTGAGTATTTCAGTGACATATATGTTAGATCTTTTGAAGTTGTCCCACAGGTCTCCCTGAAACTGTCCTTTTGTTTTAAAATATTTTCTCTATCTGTTCTTCAGAAAGGGTAATTTCCATCTATCTTCAAGCTGACTGACACTTTCCTCCAACACCTTCATTCAGCTATTGATGCATCCTGTGAATTTTTTTCTTTTAGATATTGCCCTTTTAATTCTAAAAATTTCCCTTTGTTCTCTTTTGAAGTTCCTGTGTGTGTCTGCTGAGAACCTCTGTCTTTCCATTCACCAGTGTTCACCATTATCTTGCAGAACATGGGATAGTCTTTGATAATTCCAACAAGTGGGTCATCTCGTGGTTGCCATCTATTGGTTCTTTTCCTGAGAGAGGTGGATCCAGTTTTTCCTGGTTCTTTGTAGGCTGAGTAATTTTAGAGTGTATCCTGGGCATTGTGAATTAGTTGTGAAAACTCTGAGTCTTAGTAAATTAATATGAATTTAGTAGGCAATCAACCTACTTAGGTTCAAATTGGAAGTCTCACCTTCTATGTGCAATTGTTTCAATGCCAACTAAAAAGGCTTCCTTATGCTATAGCATGATATGTCACTTGTTTTTGCAATGTTGGCACCAGCTACTTCTTTGAAGAATGAGTCCCAGGAGTCCTAGAACTCCTGATCTCGTGATCTGCCCACCTCGGTCTCCCAAAGGGCTGGGATTACAGGCGTGAGCCACCACACCTGGTGAATTAGTCCTAGGATTCTATACATCTTTCCCTCTCTGTTCTTCAATTTGTTACTTATTCAAAGTAAAGCTTAATTCAAGCTGTGCTCAAATGGATGCCAACCAATGGGTGGGATTATACTGAGCCCTAATTAAGCCAAGCTTATTATTTGATTCTATGCATAATACCGATATATTTATCTTTGCTTCTGTCTCTCTACTGTAAACATTCATTTTATTTATAAAGACAGTTTCTTCAGAAATCCTGCTTTCATCCCCTTTATTGAAATTTCCTTGTAATTTAAATTCTGTGATTATCAGCACATGAATAAAATGTTCCTTACCTGTACCTTTTCTGAGGAGTCTACTAATCCAAGATCCAGGATACTATCAGCTCCATTTTCCCTAAAAACAAAAAGCCTTTCACATTCCAGATAACGGAGACTTCTAGAATTTAGCGTATAATTTAAATTTAAAAGGACTTACTTACAAAATACATTCAAGTTTTGGAGTCAATAAATATCCAATGCACCTGCTAGTACTAATGCAGTATGAGCAGAGAAGTTGGTAATACAAATCTTTAAAAAAGTGTATCACTAGATCCTTCATGTATGATTCAAGATAGTGGACTAAAGGCTCCCTGACAAAATGAATGTGGTCTTCATAGGGGTGCTGGAACACTTCTACAATGCTCAGAGGGAGCACTACAGAAGAACAGAAAAATGTTCAGAAAGCAATCCAAATTCACTAGCAAATTCTCTAGCGAATTTAATGATTCTAGAACACCAATAAATTCACTGTTTACTCCAGAAAGCCAGGTGAAAGCTGTCAATATTGTACATTGGTTGCATTCAACAGAAAACATGACTAAATACGCAACTCTTAACATATACTCACAAAAATCTTTTCACCAAAAATGTACATTGTTCTTGATTTTTCTATAATGGACTAAGCTATACCAGTATGCAGTAGCTCCAGAGACAGGGCAGAGGAATAAACGAACAGTACATAAAATCCAGAGAAGAAAAGAGCATCAGCAAAGAAAATACAGTTCTCTCAACAGTCTTTGGCTTGGACCATTAAAAGGCTCTAGAAGTGGCTGTTTAGCTCTAGTGCCCAGCCTACCAGCTTATACATCTCTAGGAGTGTATCTAATCTAAATTCCTAACTCATTAGGAAGAAAAAAATACAACTTTTCATCTAAAATAATAAACACTTCAAAGTTTCAAACTGGGTATCAGATTAGCCCCAGGATAGAAACTACAGCATAAATGTGACCTATCTTCCCTTTTTTTTTCTTTTTTTTTGAGACAGAGGCTCGCTCTGTCACATAGGCTGGAGTGCAGTGGCGCAATCTCAGCTCACTGCAACCTCTGTCTCCCGGGTTTAAGCAATTCTCCCTGCCTCAGCCTCTCGAGTAGCTGGGATTACAGGTGCTCACCACCACACCCAGCTTATTTATTTATTTACTTATTTATTTTTTGAGATGGAGTCTCGCTCTGTCGCCCAGGCTGGAGTGCAATGGCATGGTCTTGGCTCACTGCAAGCTCCACCCTCCTGGGTTCAAGCTATTCTCTTGCCTCAGCCTCCCGAGCAGCTAGGATTACAGGCGCCCACCATCATGCCTGGCTAATTTTTCTATTTTTCGTAGAGACGGGTTTCATCATGTTGGTCAGGCTGGTTTCGAATTCCTGACCTCGTGATCCACCCGCTTTGGCCTCCCAAAGTGCTGGGATCACAGGCATGAGCCACCGTGCCCAGCCACTTTTAACTTTTTTTTTAGTAGAGATACGGTTTCACCATGTTGGCTAGGCTGGTCTTGAACTCCTGACCTCAGGCAATCTGCCCGCCTCAGCCTCCCAAAGTGCTGGGATTACAGGTGAGAGCCACCGCACCCGGCCTTATCTTCCTAAGTCACTTTTACTTGTCACCTTGGAAAAAGGGATATGTAATCTGTTAGATATTTTTTAGATTTTATATTAAATTCATACTTTACAGAATAGAAAGCAAAAACTTCCATGAATTTTTAAGACAAATCAGGAAGCCTAAAAGAAATGTCATGGTTATGGCAAGAACACAGTATAATATGTATGGCCTTTGCCAGGAGGGTATTCTGATAAGTGAATTTGAGATGTACTTTCTTTCAAGTAATTTCCAAATAACCTTGGTAACTATTAAAACCCTACCTTTCTAATACATGAGAAGAAACTAAGCTGTCTCATTCATGGAATTTAAGCTATCATTTAAAAAATAAATAAAAATGCATTTAAAGTCTTATACTTTATGACATAAATTTTAAGATATGATGGCACCCACATACTGAAAGTAAGTAGCTGATGTTTAAACTGAAATGCCTTCCCAATTGTACACATTACCGTCCATGTGCAATAATGAGTTCCATGGCCTCATCCACTCTTGCTCTCAGAGAATCCTCACTTGCTAGAAGGAGAAGCAGCTGAGCTGGGGATAATTCCAACAACATGCCAGTGATTTTACTTGCAAATGCCTGTAAATGATGAACAAATGTTACTTGACTACTCTCTAAAACCTCTTGTCTAATTACATCTACAATCTTTTATTTAAAAAAAAAATAAAATAAGAAACTTGGGTAACAAATACAAAATTTCAGAACCAGTAAGGTCTTTTATGAAACTGGAAGATCAATTATAGAGAAACTTGGCAGGGAATAAACAGTCCATGCAGTACCACATCTTGTTAAGGCTACTTATAATATTTGTATGACAAGTTTTCTTTTTAGGTTTTTTTATATCTCTGAGTTAAACATACATATACTCAATTTCCATATTTTTTTCTTCATCAGAGAGCCAGAAATATCTTTTATTTAGGGTAGAAAAAAAGAAGGGGGTAGGGTAGAGAAAAATATACCTATGTTTAAGGCTGAGGACTTGCTGGAAGAAATAATAGTTTTCTGTTATTCTTTCACTATAAAATGTGTACATACAGTTATGCATAAAGACAAAAAACATAACTAATTTGTGTTTCATATCATATAAAGAAAAACTCTTGATAGAACATTCAAAATAAAATTCTTCCTGCAATACTAATCAGCATTAATGTGTTCCAACTACAGCTTGCTAACAGATAAAGTCTGCTCCAAAAGTAGTAATAATTTGTTCAAATGAAGATACAATAAATATAATGCACAGCAAATTCTTTAGCATGCAAGGAAGGTAGAATGGAGACAGTGTCCCAACATAAGGTGGGTGGAGGAAAAAATAAATTCAAGCTATACAGTTACCCTTCAGTAAACACTGCCTTATTCTCTCCTGAGCTTCCTTCTTACTGCAGAGCTAAAAAGAGTCCTCAATCATGTGGTTTTGCCAGTAGCTGACAATTTTTTTTAAACACCATCTTTAATTCAAAAGCAAAAAAATAACACAGCCAGTTAAGAGGTAACTAAGTACACAGTACACACTGGTTGCATTGCTTGTACACGAGGATAAAGCCTCTCTCCAAGTGCCTGCCGATGTGCTGGCAAAGGCTCAGGATCATCGCTAGGATTCCCTTCAGAGGCTGGTCTAAAGGGCCTAGTGTCGATGGAAAGCTGTCTTCTAAAGTCTCTGTAAGAGAAGGAAAACTATTATGACTTCATTTCCTTTGACTAACAAGTAAAAATATTAGCACAACTAGTAAAAAAGTTAGAAAACCAGAGCATATAGGTTGTTCAGTTATGGTACCTAGGTGGTAGAGTGCCAAAACAGATGATGGTTAGGAAATAAAGATTATCTAGATTTTGTTACTTAATTTAAAATTTTTATTGTAAGGGAGTAGGACCTTAACATACCAGATATCAAGAGTCCACACATAATTCTGGAAATTTTAGTCAAAAGTAAAATGCAATCCATCTTAACAAGAGAAAACTTCAAAGATTCTAAATAGCACAATCTGCCAAAATTAAATTTTTTTTTGCCAGACAGAATTTTGCTCGTTTCCCAGGCTGGAATGCAATGCAATGGCATAATCTCGGCTCACTGCAACCTCTGTCTCCCAGGCTCAAAGGATTCTCCTGCCTCAGCCTCCCAAGTAGCTGGGATTACAGGCATGCGCCACCACACCTGGCTAATTTTTTGTTTTTAGGAAAGACAGAGTTTCACCATGTTGGTCAGGCTGGTCTTGAACTCCTGAACTCAGATGATCCACCCACCTCGGCCTCCCAAAGTGCTGGAATTACAGGCGTGAGCCACCGCATGTGGCCTGAAAAATGAAGACTTTTTAAGATAAACTTAGGAGAGAATGATATGGGTAAAAAAATTCAAATAGGAACTTGAGTCAGATAAAAAGAATATAATTTCAACCGCCTCTGGGTTTTTAAAGCAGAACTTTTTATTAGTTAATAGACTATTCTTAGTTATTGTATTTTATTAACAGACTATTCTTAGTTACTATACATATGTTCAAAATTAAAACTTTACTTTTCTAAAAAATAATCCATAATTAAGATTCTTTCATTTACAGGCCTATCTCTAATTCATCCAAAAAGGTGGTATTGAATCAAAGATACAAAATTTACCTATCCCGGTCCCTCCGAGAACCTGCTCGCAAACCACTACTCCTCCTCATTTCCCTTTCTCTCTCCCTTTCCCGGTCTCTCTCTCCTCGGTTCCTTAATCTCTGCATTAAACCTAGAAGAAAATCAGAAATATACTGTATTTAGATGAATGCAAATTCAACTACCTTAAATTTCAAAGTCAATGCAAAGAAATGAGACAAATGTAAGAAAACATGACAGCTAAAGATTATCCTTCCCTAGCATCTGTGTTGTTAATGCCTTTCTCTCCCTATGGGTTTTCAGGGTTGGAGGTGATTGTGTAGAATATACCTGGCACGAAATAGATGTTCACTCAATATTTGTTAATCAATTTTCTCCCTTGTCATGTCAAAGCTGTGAAATAATATATAGCAAGTAAGGTTATGATAGTGTCACTATAAATAACGCTGAAATTTCTTACATGACTAGACTCATTTAAATATCCTCTGTTCTTAGTTTTTGGCATGAAAGCATTAAAGGCCACCAGAATATTACCTATTATTATTTTTAAATTCCTAAGCCCAAGCCAGAGTATGGTTTCCTATAAGTGTACAAAACAGATAGTTTGGAAATGTTAAGACTTCCCAGTTTCCTCATTCACATCTCCTAATTTCTTCTCATTATAACATTATAGAAAGTGAAATGGTGAAACTGATGAAAAGCTGAGGAACTCTCACCCATTTTTTCACCCTCAATCCTTTCTACAGCTCAGTCAGTCTCCATCCACCTACAAGTCTGATAATCTTCTGCTCCTACTTGATGTGAATCTCCTAAGGCTTTTGTAATTTTCACAAATTTTAAAATTTGATCCTTGTAATCTTAAAACTTAGCTAAGAGTCCTAACCCCAAAGTGTTGATCCTCAGTGGGGTAATAAGCTTGCACCAGGATTTTTTGTTTTAAGTCTTGCTAAACAGTGAGCTTAGTGACACAGTGGATTTGCATTTGGTTGTAAAGTCCTTATCTCACTGGGGACCAGGAGCAAGTTTGGAAATCATAATGTGAACAGCACTGCTCTTAGAATAGCATTTTCTTCTCAAATATCCCTGTGGGTTAAATATTGAAGTGGAGGAAATGCTGCAATTTGATCGGTGAATTTTTATATCACTATGTATTTTACAACCTCTTACCCACCCACAACATGTAACAATTGAGATGAAAAACTAGTACAATCACAAACATTTATCAAAATAAATGTGTCCGTAGAATAGCAAATTGTTGTCCATTAGAATAGTTTAAACAAGATTAAATCAATCTAGAATAAAAGTATGTAAAAATGCAAATTTATGCACTCACACATATAGAAACCATGATTACCACTGTTGGTTTGAGGAACAAGGAAAGAATTTTAAGCTGCTTGTTATTTGTAGAGTACTTACTTGTGTGGGTGCCTTTGTTGGCATTTTGGATACACTCTAGATTTGGCAATTTTTCATTTGATAAAAATGCTTGTGCAATGGCTGTATAAAAACTTCGTGCTACACCACTGCCCTCTCCTGGCTCATCCTTAAATGTGACTTTTACTCTGTGTACAGCCATTGGTGTAGTAGCACATCTTCGACCAAAGTGATTGTTAAGCTGCCTCATAGTCTGCTGAATGAGAAGATCTCGATCCCGATCAACCTATTAAAACACATCAAGAAGTCAAAAAGTAGTAAATTCAATGTTGGAAAGTAGCTTGAATTTTTCTATGTACAATCTGAAAATCTAGTTTTAGCCTTTCCTTGAGAGTTTAAAAAACAACAAAGTAATTGGAGTTCTCAGAAGCTTATCCATTACAAAATACAATACTTTAAAGCATACAAGAATGTCTTGCAAATTAAATCAGGACAACAGAATTTAATTCAATTCTAACACTTTCTTTCAAAGGTCTATTGGAAAACAATAATCTTGTTCAATTTTGGGATACACCAAAATACCAAATGATCAGAGATGTTAAAAAAAAAATACTAGAAAAAAAACAGATTCCTTGATGACAAGCTAAGTGGGCGGGAGGCTGGAGGGGGACTAACCAAACTGGAAAAATTGTTTGCACCTTTTGTCACAAAGATACATATTAATTAATGAGTGTGTCTATCACCTACAGCTACATAAAAAGCCTCTGAAATCTGAGAGAAAGCCAACTTAGAAAAATGGGCATATCAACTGAGTTAAATATAACTATCCTAACTATATGAAATAATGTTTAACTTTGCTCAAAATAAGATAAATTCAAATTAAAACTATACTGAGGTGCTATTTCTTACCTATTAGATTAGCAAAAATCTAGAAATTTAACAACTGCTGGCGAGACTGAGCAATCAGGCATTCTCACATTGATGGTGAAAATGCAAAATTATGCAACTGCTTATGCAGAAGTATTTGTCAATGTCTAGCAAAATTATATGCACATGCTCTTTGACCCAGCAATTCCATGTCTAAGAATCTATCTCAGGGACACACTAGCAAAAAAAAACACGAGGCCATTCATCACACTATCTGTAATAGCAAAAGACTGGAAACAAGCCCAAATACCTAGTCTGTAAGGGATTAGCTGCAAAAACTGCGATAACAACCATTAAAGTGCAGTACATTAAGCAGCTATAAAAGGAAGGTAGAACATCTCATATTTTCTCTGGGATATACTACTAAGTGAGAAAAGCAAGATGGAATAAAATGTATAGTATGTTTGGGGAGGTGGGAGGAGGTATGTAATTAATACATACATATGCTTATATGTTTTAAAAGGGAGGGAAGGAAATAAACTTGAAAAAATGGTAAAAGAGACAAGAATGGACTTATATCCATTCTTTTGTAGAGTTCACTCTGCCACACTGTAGATATTTTACATTGATTACAAAATAAAACCAAAAGAGGAAAAACGAATCCCTAAAATCTGAAAGCAAAATGAAACAAAAGGCCCTAATTATATAGAGCTGGTAGCAAAACCTACAAAGAAGAATTACTTCAAGTGACTTTAAAACAAACCTAATTTAACTGTGTATCTCTAACTGCATATGACCTAAGGACAAACATCCGCAAATAAATCTTCAATTATTTTGAATAATCATTTTGTTAGTGGTAGTGTTGATGTTATAATTCTTTGTAAGAGACAGAGTCTCTCACACTATGTTGCCCAGGCTGTCCTCGAATTCCTGGACTCAAACCATCCTTCCACCTCAGATTCCAGTGATGTAATTCTAAGACTGCTACTGTGTATGTTGTGGCATTAAAACAAATGAGTAATTTGATTAATGTTGTTGGGAAGTTGGCTATTCAGTTTGAAAGAAAGGAGATAAAGACTTAAGATCTAAGAAGCAAGGCCAGGTGTGGTGGCTCACACCTGTAATCCCAGCACTTTGGGAGGCCAAGGCAGGTGGATTACTTGAGGTCAGGAGTTTGAGACCAGCCTGGCCAACATGGTGAAACCCTGTCTCTATTAAAAATACAAAAATTAGCCAGGCATGGTGGCAGACACCTGTAATCCCAGCTACTCGGGAGGCTGAAGCAGTAGAGTCACCTGAACCCAGGAGGCGGAGGTTGCAGTGAGCCAAGATCATGCCACTATGCTCTGGCCAGGGCGACAAAGCAAGACTGTCTCCAAAAAAAAAAAAAAAAAGAAAGAAATCTAAGAAGCAAACATAACAAAAACAACCTTGTGGTCCTAAATCCTGAATTTGAATTGGGAGTATCAATATTAATTCATTATTTGATTTTTTAAAAAGAACAAAAAAAATGCATTCCCAAACTGTTATCAATTAAAAAGGCCTAGAAACCATGATCAACCCAGTAGCAATATGCAACCTTAGAGCACAGACTGTAATCTCATAACACAATTTCCTACTAAAAGGAATCAAAGCTACTTTAAGAAATGGCTGATTTAAGGTCTGTGACAGGAAATACCCAAGATGAAACATACCAGAAAGTAAGAAAGTTTATCAAAAATTATTGGGGCCATGTCAAAAGAACTCAGGAATCAAAACTGACTCAAGACTCCCATTAGCCAAAGAAGACACAATCTGAGCATCAATATGAATAATAATCTCAATGGAATTAAATACATCAAAAAAAGTTTAAATCAATGCATGCATAATGATACTTAAAAACTAAAACAAAAAAATTCATAGAGGATGCTAGGGAACCAAACTGCCAGAGAAAACTACTATTCTAAATTTGGTGGTTACAATAAGAAAAAAATAAAAAGAAACCACACACACACACACACACACACACGAAAAAATAAATTTGGTAGTTAACATTTCTTTTTATTTTCTTTAAATTTTTAATTATAAGTACATATCCCTAAGCAAAGCTATTGTTATTTTGCATGTTTTAAAATTTATATAAATAGCATACTACAGGTATAGTATAAGAAAATCTAAATACCTTTACCTCTAGTGACAAATCTCTTGACTGCTGGTTTCTCAGTTTTTCCATTTCTCTGCGGAATTTTGATTCTTTTACCTCAAAACCACCCAATTCAGTTAGGATCTTAAAAAAAAAAAAATGCATGACAGATTATTCCCTGAAATACATGCTTATCAGGCAGAATGGAATTTAAGGTGCACAAAATACATACTGATCCAGGTTCTGCTCCAACATCTTCCATGAATACCCTGCCGAACAGTTCTAAAGAAAGGCGCCAACGTCCTAGCAGCATATCATGGGAAATAACCATTCCCATAAAGCTACACTGTGGCCTGTAAGAAGTTTAAGGGAAGGGGTGGGGGGGAGAAATAATTTAGCCAATTTCAAAGACTGATTGGTTTTTGTTCAATGGTAGTAACTTACTTTTTTTAAAAAATATTCTGAGGTCTTAACTTCTTCAAACTGTGTCCTAACAGAGAACTTTTCCATAGCTACTTGTTCCCGACAACTTATTATTTTTCCTCCCTTATTCCTTCTGTATTCTACATACGGATAAATCCCTGGGCTATGTCTTATCTTCGTCTTTCATTTTACCTCCTCTCCTTAAAGTCCAATGTCTATCTCCATTTAGGTGACTCCCAGATCCACCTCTAGTTCAAACTTTCACCATGAACCAGAATCTCCATTTGTTAAATAAATATGTCCACGTCAACGATGCTCAATTCAAACTCAGCATGGTTAAAACTTAATATGGCTTCTTCACCACAATGACAGTTCTCCTGATTTTTTTTCAGTAGTAACATCTCTTTCCCTAATGCCCTGACTTAGACCAGATTTTAATTTTTCTTCCTCCTCTTCCTTCAAAGTGATCAAGTCCATCTTAAGTTTCTCTTCCTTTCCATGATGTCCTTTCTAAAGCCAACATTCTGCCTCAGCATCTTTCCCCCAACTAACTGAAACTATTAGTAATAACAAACAGCTTTTTAGCTGGCCTCCCTACCTCTAATTCTCTCCAGTCTGTTTCTGCACATTCTAACCATCTCAATTCAATCCATATTGCTTCTAGGAAGCTTGGGCCACTCAAGTCCACAATTCTCCCCTGTCTTACATCGTTATTAGACAACGTATATACAGTGTATCTTATTTTCAAACTAGCTTTTTAACTCCCATCTAAGCAAAAAAATTATTATGCCATGTAACCAAAAAACAGAGTCAACAAATCATACTGAGCCACAGTATATACTAACAAATATTTGTTAGATAAACAAAGAACCTACCTCTTGTAAGAGAATTACAAACTTGGAAAAGGAGCACAGATAAGTGTGAATCACAAATCTAGAAAGTTCTACTCTTTCTAGTTATTCAGTTTCCCCTTAGCTGAGCTGCTAATAGCAAGTCTATAAATGGTAACTAGACATGGATATATATTTTTAACGCTGTACTGAACAATAAAAACAAAGGGTCTTAGCAAATACCTGAAAGATGTGAGAGGTGGCCCTTCACTTTCAGTAAGTCCTATTTCTGCTAGTAAGCTACTTTTTAATTGTGCAGCAAGATCATGAGCAGATGGCCCTGGTTTTGAACTCTCAGTTTCTTCTGGCAGCACGGGCTGTTCTTCCCCTTCTTTTTTTTGCCGGTTTTGCATGTTCATTACATTTTTCAGATTGGCAGCATAAGACATTTTTGTTGGAAGAACCTATGAATATTTACATTTAAAAGTTACAAATGAAGGGAAAAAAACTAATTAGATTTTGTCCTCAACTTAGTAATACAGGAATCATACGCAAGTTTTTTTTCCCTTTCTGGAGCTTCAATGGTCCTTTTGTCTGATGGCCCTGGCTGACCACCAATTCCAACGCATTACCAAACCAACCTCAGATAACTACTTTTTTTTTTTTTTTAGACGGAGTCTTGCTCTGTTGCCCAGGCTGGAGTGTAGTGGCGTGGTCTTGGCTCACTGCAACCTCCATCTCCTGGGTTCAAGTGATTCTCCTGCCTCAGCCTCCCGAGTGGCTGGGATTACAGGCGCCCGCCACCACGTCCAGCTAATTTTTTGTAATTTTAGTAGAGATGGGGTTTGGCTATGTTGGCCAGTATGGTCTTGAACTCCTGACCTCAAGTGATCCACCCACCTCAGCCTCCCAAAGCGCTGGGATTACAGGCATAAGCCAGCACAACCAGCCTTACCCACCCCCCTCCTTTAAATTCACTTCTTGGCCTGAGCGCGGTGGCTCACGCCTGTAATCCTAGCACTCTGGGAGGCTGAAGTGGCTGGATCACTTGAGGTCAGGACTTGGAAACCAGCCTGGCCAACAAAGCGAAACCCTGTCTCTACTAAAACTACAAAATAATTACCCATGCGTGGTGGCGGGCACTTGTAATCCCAGCTACTTGGGAGACTGAGGCAGGAGAATCGCTTGAACCCAGGAGGAAGAGGTT
The DNA here is from genome assembly GCF_000001405.40 of Homo sapiens. NCBI lineage: Eukaryota > Metazoa > Chordata > Mammalia > Primates > Hominidae > Homo > Homo sapiens. Next base: position 102,277,936 of record NC_000008.11, read on the forward strand.
GCAGTGAGCCGAGATTGTGCCACTGCACTCCAGCCTGGGTGACAGAGCGAGACTCTGTCTCAAAAAATAAAATTAAATAAATAAATAAATAAATTCACTTCTTGCCTTGGAACTTCAGAGAACTTTTAAAGAAATCTTTATAATACTGGTGGTACTTAAGTCTCATATATTTTTAATATTTTCAGTACTGCATTCTCCTTTTTATCACTGAGATAATAAAAAATATTCTATTCAACTACATGTCTTCTAAACCTGCTTTTTAATGTTTTACTACTTTTTCAGTGGACAAACAGAAGAGTATAATTTTAGGCTCCCAAATCGGATCTATATATGAAAACTAGATCTACCACTTAACTAGTTGTGTGACACAGACATTCCCACGTGAAATTTACTTACTCTCTTCAAGACTCTATTTCTCACCCAAAAAATCAGGGTGATAATGCATTCTACCAAACATAGTTATAAAGATGGAGACCAATGCCCAGGAAACAGAATTAGTCAACAAATATTAGGTATCATTATTAATGCTATTTATCTACAGTCTTGATTAAAATTAGTTCAGCAAGTAAAAGTTGTAGCCAAAATTACACATGCTCATCTATATATTTTTATTATACATGAAAAATTCAAATTTTCAGCCACATACAGCAGTCAGCTCTGTGAAACAGACAAAGCACATATGGAGGCTGGTATTTTATGGATGAAGTGATCTGACAGCAAGTTAATGACAGTGTTGGAATTCTTCCTACATTATACCACAAGGCAGGAATTTCTGACACTTCATTTCAGAAAATATAATATTCTGAATTAACGCATTTCTAAAAATCTATATGCTGGGACAAGTTGTCCTTAATAAATGTTATATTGCAAAAAAACTTTTACTGTCTTACCTCTAGGCAGTTTCTATCCACTGTAACCTCCATTAAACATTTCCCACTACTGGCAGATGAAGAATAAAGACCCTGACTTGGACGGCCAAAAAGATCCTCCTTTCTAGCATTTGGCTGGAATTTTAACAGAAATATTCTAGTTACATTGAATACTTTAAAGAAAATAAACCCAATTAGAAAGAAACCTTAAGACTAACTTGTTTAATTCACCTGCAACAGATGTGGCTGATCAGCCAAGGGGATGGCTTCAGCCAGAGGCACTTCAAATGGATTTGGGGGTATACACCCAAGGAATGTCATGGAGTCTGAACGTCGGAAAAATGGATGGTTTTGGCCAGTTTCTGCAGGAAGAGAGTCATCATCCTTATCATTCAAAGTAGCACCTAAACATAAAAAGATAAAATGTTTTGTTTTTTAGGAAAATTATTTAATTACTGGATTAGGGTAACAGACCTTTAACCTGCTCAATCCAAAATTCCTACTACCTCTTTTATAAAATTTTAATGCCACACAAAAACAAGTTCATAGTCCAAAATTCTGGTATTTTTTAAAGTAAATGTAACAGTTTAATATGGTTACAATGTAAGTTTTATGTTATGTGCAAATTTTACGTTATGTGTATGTTACAATAAAAAATGCAAAATAAAAATCAGCATTTAATAATATTGTGCCATTTTGTATTGGACAAAGGTTTCCCATATCCTCCTCTTTATCTTTTGAGATACCCACCACCCAAATACAGTTAGATTCATGAGTATACTCAGGACCCAACTCACTGACAAATCCAAACAGAGGAGATGATCAGGAACTGAAACCTGAGCATTTGCTAAGCAGAGTAATGTCTGAGCAATTTACATATCTCAATAGTAAGTCAGCACACTAGCACCAAATCTCCTTAATGGAATAAAACTTTGGCAGTACCTTGTTTGCGTATAAACGGCAGTGAGCTATGGCTGGGTTCTCAAAAAACAGCAATTAGGCCAACTGTCTTTCCATAGGCTGAATAAAAGTACTAGTTGATAATAAGAAACTGGAGAATGCATTATTTAGTCCCATTTGAAATAACTGCAACCCACAAATAAACTCCACTAGACCCCAAAGTGTGATATTAAAACTTTTGGAGAAAAGTCTGGAGTTGGGATATTTTCTCTTTTCATTGTATTAATTGCTAGCGTTCTGATATTTGGGAGCTGTAACTGGTAATTCTCATTTTCTTGATTAAATCTATTTTGCATCAATATTAACAACGGTTTTGCTAAGATTTTATTAAATGTAATAAGAGTATATTAAGAGTAAAGGTAAACATAATACTAAGACAAATACAAGAAAAGATAGAAGAAAAAATATTGTTGGAAAGTTTATAACATTTCTTTAATACATCCTTAGTTGTGAAATGTATAACGCAAGAATGTGTAAGCAAAAATGGACAGAAAATGTAAGAAATGAGACATAGAGAAGAAAAGAGAAATTCCCACCCAGACAGAAAATAATGAAGTTAAAAAGCTTGAAGGGGAACTACTGAGGCAGCCATTTCTTGAAGTAGATTAGCAGATTTTCTGTGCACTAACTTTGATTGGTGTCATCATCATTTTCATGTTCTGAATCTTCATTATCAATACCCAGTTCCAAGAGTTCTCGCGTCCTTTAAAAAGACAAGTGAGTCATTTTACTTGAAGTATTTGTATAATATGAACAGGAGCAAAAGTCAGAGGAAATACAAGCAAAAACACACTAAAAAGGTCGCTAATGTATCTAACCAATTTCAAACATTTTCAGAATCTGGGAAATGGTAGAGTGAACAGGTTTAGGTACTATTATTACAAAATGGACTCAACAGAAGAAAAAGCAAATCACCTAAGAAATAACGAGCACCTACACAAACTCTAACAGAAAACATGGGCTGAGCATGGTAACTCATGCCTGTAATCCCAACACTTTGGGAGACTAAGGCAGGGGGATCACTTAGGCCAGGAGTTGAAGGCCAGCCTGGGGAACATCATGAGACACTGTCTCTCCAAAACATTAAGAAATTAGCCAGGCATGGTAGCACACGCCTGTAAGTCCTATATACTTAGAAGGCTAAGGCAGGAAGATTACTTGAGCCCGTGAATTCAAGGTTGCAGTGAGCTTTGATCGCACCATCACATTCCAGCCTGGGTGACAGAGTCAGACTCTGTCTCTTTAAAAAAAAAAAAAAAAAAGGAAAAAATAAAGATGATAATCAGGCCAGGCCAAACTATCTCAAGCATGAAGTTTAACCAGATTCTTAGGTTTCCTATTTTAAGTGAAGAGTGGCAATGGGGAAAGGTTGGATAAATTCAAGCCCACTTTCCTATATGAAATGGTCCTGTGCTAGTTCTCTTTTGCAATGCTATTCTCCTTACTCCAAATGTTGACAATGTACTAAAGAAGACCATACCAAGCAAGTATTTCTTAAATCAACCTCATGGCAAGAATGGATACCTTTTGCGTTCTAGTTGAGGTGTATCCAATGTTGTCTGCTGATTCATTGCCTTAATCCAGTATATAAGTGCTTGAAAAACATATGCCACATGCTTCAATGAGCAAACATCCAAAACTGGAAGAACATCAGAATGCTCATCATTATGAGACCGCATTAGAGACAGAGCATAATTTAGGAAGTCTCCTCGTGCAGACATCATTCCTTGACGGGCGCTAAGCAAGGTGGCACGTCTATAAGAACAGAAAGGAAAATGTTTATTAGAAGAATACAAATGTGAAATTCACTATCATAAATATGCAAAATTAGGAGCTGAGAATATTCATAAATACAAAGTAGTTAAGCCTGCTGCTCAGCTTTAGAAATATAACCACTGTGCATGATTTACAGCCTTATACTTTGTATAGAAAAGGAATTCCAGTATCCTTTGGAATGGCAAAATGAATTCTTTCCCTGAAGACAGTGATTCTCAAACTTCAGGGTCCATCAAAGTCACCTGGAGGGCTTATTAAAACAGACCTCTGGTCTAATCCCCAGAGTTTTAGTAGGTCTGGGGTAAAGCCCCAGGATTTGCATTTCTAAATAGCTCTTAGGTGAGGTTGATGGTGTTGTTCTAGGGACCATACTTTGAGAATCACTTCATTAAAATGACACCAAAAGCACAAGCAACTAAAGAAAACACAGATATCCTGGGCAACATGGTGAAACCCTGTCTCTACTAAAAATACAAAAATTAGCTGGGCATGGTGGCGGGTGCCTGTAATGCCAGCTAGCTGGGAGGCTGAGGCAGGAGAACTGCTTGAAACTGGGAGGTGGAGGCTGGAATGAGCCGAGATCACGCCACTGCACTCCGGCCTGGGCAACAGAGCGAGACCCTGTCTCAAAAAACAAACAAACAAACAAACAAACACCCAGATATACATTGGAATTTACGAAAATTAAAATTGTACTTTCAAGGATACCACCAAGAAAGTGAAAAGATATCCCAGAGAATGGGACAAAATCTTCCCAAATTATATACTTGATAATGGGCTTACATGCAGAATAAAGAACTCATACACCTCAATTTTAAAAGACAAACCAATTTAAAAAATGGGCAAGGTCAGGCGCAGTGGCTCACACCTGTAATCCCAGTACTTTGGGAGGCCAAGGTGGGTGGATCACCTGAGGTCAGGGTTCAAGACCAGCCTGGCCAACATGGCGAAACCCCGTCTCTACTAAAAATACAAAAAAATTAGCATTGTGGCGGGTGCCTCTAATCCCAGCTACTCAGGAGGCTGAGGCAGGAGAATCACTTGAGCCCGGGAGGCAGAGGTTGCAGTGACCCAAGATCACACCACTGCACTCCATCCTGGACAACAAGAGTGAAACTCTATTTAAAAAAAAAAAAAAAAAGATGGAGGGGGTGGTGGCGACGGGAGGATCCAAATAAGACATTTCTCCTAAGAAGATATACGAGTGGCCAGTTAGCCCATGAAAAGATGATCAACATCACTGACCATTAGGGAAATGCAAATCAAAGATACTAGGTCACACCCACTGGGATGGTTATAACAAAAGACAGATAATAAGTGCTGGTGAAGATGTAGAAAAACTAAAACTCTCATACACACACTGCTACTGAGACTGTCTTCCTTTTTGGAAAACAGTATTGCCAGTTCTTCAAAGAGTTACAAATAGAGTTACCATATGACCCAGCAATTCCATAACTAGGTATATATTCAAGAGAACTGAAAACACACATCTACACAAAAATCTATACACAAAAGTTCATATGAGCATTATGCATAATAGTGGAAAGGTGAAAACAACCCAAATGTCCAACTGATGAATGGATAAACAAAATATAGTACGCTCATACAATGAAATGTTACTAGGAAATGAAAAAGAATGAAGTACTGATGTATGCTAAATATAGATGAACCTGAAAATCATTATGCTAAATTAAAGAACCCAGTCACAAAAGACCACATACTGTATGATTCCATTTACAGGAAATATCCAGAATCTATTGAGAGGGAAAACAGATTAACAGTTGCTTAGGAAGGGGAAGGCGGGGGGGGGGGGGGGTGAGTAGGGGAAAATGAAGAATGACTGCTAATAGGTTTTCTGTAGAGAGGATTAAAATATTCCAAAATTCATTATGATGAAGGGCTGAAAAACTATGGAATTGGACACTTTAAATGGGTGAATTATATGTGATATGTGAATTATTATATTAAAGCTGACAGAGAGAAGGGAGAGAGAACACTGCCACCAATCAAGATCCGCTATCAGAATTCTGTGTTCTCTGGGGTAACAACTACAGCCTAACAAAGATAAGGCTTTCGTCTTTGTGAAGCAGCGTTCCTAGGACAGGAAAGCTGCTACCTCTCAAATCACTATCTTCAGTACAGCTATCTTTGCCAAGCATTCAATTCTGCACATTTGACATTTCTACCATTTTTTTTCCCCCAGTTCTCACATGTTCAAAAGCAAGTTTGTCCATTATACTACTCTTAGGTTTTTCTCTTTAATTTTCCTATTAGTTACTCAGGATCAAGGTTTAAATATAAATGATGCCCCTGCTACTTAATCCCTCAACAAGGCCCTAAATTCTGTTTTTTATTTCAATGCTTCTCTCCCCTCCTTTTGGTCTTCACTGCCCTACTTTAGTAACTATTACCTCTACTGTAGATGCCTATCACTGTCTTTCTAAGTAATCTCTTAGACCTTTGTCTTTCCTCACTTTATGATCTGCCCAGAGTAACAAAGTTGTTTATCCTGAGGTAGAGACAGAACCAAATCCTTGGATTTTGACTTCAGGTATGAGGCACTTTTACTATATTACTGCTATTGCTCTGATGTTCAATATTTGAGCTGATACCTACTCCTGAAAAAGGTCACTTTATAACTGAATAGAAAGAACATAACAAATACATAGATATATATTTTATTTTAATTCAACAGACTAGGGGAGGCAGAAAAAAAGAAATGTGATTTGAGAAAAAAAGAGCAGCACTGGTAATCACACATACTTTCCCCCTCCTGAGTACAAAGTACATTCATAACCAATTATAGTCAAAATAACTTCCTAAGAGGAGAGGGGGAGGTCTTGGGGATAATGAGACAAAGATATAGACCAATAACTTCAAAAATAAAAAGGCTTTAGTATCAGATTCCTACGATATGAATGGATTTTTAAAAACAGCTTGGATGATAACTAGCCTATTCTGCCTCAACAATTTAAGTAATGCAAGCAAGTCATTTCTTTCTCCCTTCACAGTAAGATGAGGTCTTACATAATAGCAACTAAAAAGCTTTAACCTTCTAGGATACAAAGATTCTATCTAAACATGCAAGTATAGATACTCCTTGACTGAAGATGTGGTTATGTCCTGATAAACTCATCATAAACGCATAAAGTCTAAACGCATTTAATACCCCCAATAAACCCATCACAAAGTCAAAAAAAAAATGTAAGTTGGGGGTCGGGCGCTGTGGCTCACGCCTGTAATCCCAGCACTTTGGGAGGCCAGGGTGGGCAGATCACAAGGTCAGGAGATCAAGACCACCATGGCTAACACAGTGAAACCCCGTCTCTACTAAGAAAACAAAAAATTAGCCGGGCGTGGGTGGCAAGTGCCTGTAGTCCCAGCTACTCGGGAGGCTGGGGCAGGAGAATGGCATGAACCCAGGAGGCGGAGCTTGCAGTGAGCCGAGACGGCACCACTGCACTCCAGCCTGGGTAAGAGTGTGAGACTCCGTCTCAAAAAAACAAACAAACAAACAAACAAAAAATTGTAAGTTGAGGATCCATTTTAAGTTGGGGACGTTCTGTATATATGAAGAATTTCATACCGTCTGCCTTCAAGTGTTCGTAAGCTAGCTTCTTCTCGCGCAGTCATCCTCTCTCTTCTCGCTGAATTCTGAGAAGCGTGAAGAGGATGATTTGGATGTCCAGGATCACCAGCAGATGCTAATGCAGAACCATAACGTAATTGAGCTTCAGTAGAATCCATAATACTGACCATCCAGTTCCAAGTGGGAATAAGCTTTTCTTCTACATAGTTCTATGAAGACCAAACTAAAATAGTTAAAACTATCCAAATAGAGCTAAATTCGATACAGCAGCAGTATGTCAATATGTAAACGTTTCTAACATTTAATTCCCCTAATACTGGAATTCTCATAATTGACAGCCAAAAAAAAATAGTGGAATGGGAAACTTTTCAGTGGTTTCATACCTGTAAGTTTACTGCATCTTGGTAAGTCAATTTCACAGCTGCTGGAATCTGAGAGTATACTAGGTGATTATACTTAGGAATAAGGCCCATCAAGTCCGAGATTTGTCTAATGACAATGCTGTAAGCCCTGGCTAAACTGCTTGCAGATGTTAGGTAACTGCTGGCGTTGCTAGCTTCCAAAGCAGCTGCTGCAGCTGCAGCACTTGTACTGATGGTACCACTCCGGCGTAAGTTTGAAGGATCAATATAAATCAAACCCGCTGAACTTGCTATAAGGAAAAAGGACAACCACAATGAGCTAATGTCAGTTGCTAATTGTGTTTCTCTGGGATTATATATACTTACGTAAATCTAAATGGTCAATTGTGGTACCCAAGCAAAAAACTTTGCCTAAACCACACTATTTTGGGGAGAGGAGTATGGAGGGGACAAGAATTAATATAAAGTTCTCAACCAGGGGAAATCTGACCCCCACGCCACCTCCCCCCGCCAAAGGGGCTACACATTTGGCAGTATCTACAGACATTCTTGGTTATCACAACTGTGGGAGCCAAGGGGAGGGGAAGAAGGGTGAGAGGGGTTTCACTGGCATCTAGTGGGTGTAGGCTAGGGATGCTGCCTAACATCCCACAATGCACAAGACAGCCTCCCACAATTACCCAGTCCAAAGATGCAATAATGCAAAGACTGGGAAACCCTGCTATAATCATATGTACATATTTTTTATATTTGAAACTCAACAAAACAATGAGGAACTATCATAAAACTAATTTTATCCCCAGATGAACATGCATAATTTAAAAAATCTATCTAAGTATTCTTAGCAATACTAAGTTTTCAGACTTGCCTGCTGGTGTAGATGTACTGGAAGGGGCTGTACTGGCTGCTCGCTGATGCTGGGTGTTGCGGACAGCCCACTGCATTGAACGGGGAGCTTGGGCAGCACCATTGGCATGGGAGCTATTTGTGGTTCTTTCTAATGGCTCATCAAGCATAAAGGTCTCCTGTTCTATGTCGTCACTCTGACTACTACTGCTATCAGAATCACTTGAGTCATTCGATTGAGAATCATCTTCAGAAAAGAAGGCAGGAACACTGCTTGCTCCTAAAATTTTTATTTTTAAAACCAAAAACATTGTGAGTTTAATAATTAAAATTACAATGTACCCCCTCATTCAGGAAAACATACATATTAAACAGAATGCCAGATTGTATTCAATAATCCACAAAACCTACCATAAAATAGTTTTTATTAGAAAATAACTTTCAAGCCCAGCTCTGTGGCTCAGGCAGGACTGCAGTGGCACCATGTCGGCTCACTGCAGCCTCTGCCTCCTGGGTTCAAGCTATTTGTATGCCTCAGCCTCCTGAATAAGTAACTTTTAGCTGGGTGTGGTGGCACATGCCTATAATCCCAACAACTGAGGAGGCTGAGGTGGGAGGACTGCTTGAGCTCAGGAGCTCAAGACCAGCCTGGGCAACACAGTAAGATCCCAACTCTTTAAAAAAAAAAATTAGCCCGATGTGGTGGCTTGCACCTAGTAGACCCAGCTACTCAGGGGGCTGAGGTAGGAGCTCAGGAGGTCAAGGCTGCAAAGAGCTCTGACTGCACCACTGGAATATCCAGCCTGGTGACAGAATGAGACCCAATTTAAAAAAAAAAAAAAAAAAAAAAAAGGCAAGAAAATAAAAATCTTTTAAAGAAACTTTAAAATTCATTCATTATTTAATGACCAGAAAAGCTGGAGAAAGAGTTATTAAAATAATACTTTCTTTTCTAATACCCAGAGAACAAGGATGAAGTTATAAAAATGCTTAGCTACCCTTGCGTATATCACACAAAGTATGACCCAATCCACGCTGAATACACACACACAGCCTTAGCATAAGCAAGAAAGTAGTTGGGATAAGGCAACATACCTGCTTCTGAACCAGCAGTTGCTGCAGTGACAACGCTTCTGCGCCCACTAGCATTATCTTGGTTGCTGTGGTTACTTTCACTATCACTTTCTGTTTCAGCTGCTGCTAACAAGTCCAGCTCCATATCACTCCCTAAAAAATACATTTAAATAAGAAAAAAGCACAAACTCACTATGGTTTAAAACAGGGTCTGATAAGCCAGAATATCGTAAGGGTGGGAACTAAGAAGGCATAGGGGGTAGGAGTTGGGGAGAAGGGGAATGGTGTGAAAGAGAAGGGATAACTACTAAAATAAGACTAAGTAACTACTCAACCTTAGAAGAATGGCTAGGGAAATTATGGTAGTCAACAGACTAGTACATCAGGGCAGTGCAGGGGAGGACTGAAAGTAAATATACAAGCTATTAGCATCTGGGTGTAATTATGGGTGATTTATTTTCCTTTTCTCTAATTTCCAAATGTTTCATAATGCGACTATGATTATTTTAGTTTTTAAAAGTCTTTTAAGAAACTGACTTAAAAAGAAAAAAGGGAAACTATTTTATATATGTATTATATATAGCGCCTAAATTTTCTAAATAGATGCTACAGAAACCCTTGGCAAAAAATAAGTTTGACCATTTCACTATACATTCAAATGAGGTTTCTCTCTGTATTTAATATCTCCCTTTAAAAGTACCTGATTTACTCATACTGAGTAATTTCTCAAATAACCTGCATACCGTCTTCATCATGCTCATCATGTTGTCCCTCTGCCTCAGCATTTTCTTCCCCGTGTTCTTCCTGTTCATCATGATGATCCTCTTCTCCAGCCACACCCTCCACCACCTCAACCTAAATCCAGAATCTTATTTGTAGACAATCAAAGCTAGTTAACTAAAATGCGAAGACCACTAACTATAGAGAATTTGAAATCATATATCAAGCAGTTTTGAAAATCTTCATTTGTTAGTGACAATTTGCTATCAAAAATTATATCCTGGCCGGGCACGGTGGCTCACACCTGTAATTCCAACACTCTGGGAGGCCGAGACGGAGATGGGCGGATCACAAGGTCAAGAGATCAAGACCATCCTGGCCAACATGGTGAGACCCCGACTCTACTAAAAATACAAAAATTAGCTGGGCATGGTGCGTGCCTGTAGTCTCAGCTACTCAGGAGGCGGAGGCAGGAGAATTGCTTGAACCCGGGAGGTGGGGGTTGTAGTGAGGCAAGATTGCACCACTGCATTCCAGCCTGGCAACAGAGCAAGACTCCATCTCAAAAAAATAAAAAAATTATACCCACAGATCCCAAAGTTCATTACTGAGCATATACAGAACCCTCAAGTTAGAAGTATAAAAATTATACTAGGGGCAGGGAGGAGAGAATTTACCTCATAAATATGTAGTATCCTCTTTCAAATACATTGTACAAAACTACTAAATTTTTCTAACATTACGAATATCTTGGCTGGGCGCGGTGGCTCACACCTGTAATCCCAGCACTTAGGGAGGTTGAGGCAGGTGGATCACGAGGTCAGGAGTTCGAGACCAGCCTGACCAACATAGTGAAACCCCGTCTCTACTAAAAAATACAAAAATTAGATGGGTGTGGTGGTGCGCGCCTGTAATCCCAGCTACTCAGGAGGCTGTGGCAGGAGAATCGCTTGAACCCGGGAGGCAGAGGTTGCAGTGAGCCGAGATCACGCCACTGCACTCCAGCTTGGGTGACAGAGCGAGACTCTGTCTCCAAAAAAAAAAAAAAAAACCCAGAATATCTTTGCTGTTAACACTGAGAATATCTCCACCCTTAATCCTTAAAGACAAGTTTGTGTCCAATTTCCTAATATCCAGTAAGTCACAAATTATTAAAATAATTTTACTATGTATAACCACAAATGAGAATATATAATAAACATCTACAAACTGGATGCAAACGCATATAGTAGTCTCAAGCTACTATTAATGTAATTTCTACTGACTACTCTTCTTTTCTCATAAAATAAAAGCTTTTTAAATCTACCACAATTAAAATCACCTCTTCCACATCTGCTGAAACAATATCATCCTGTTCTTCATCTCTGCCCCGAACGGGCTGTGACTGGCTGATGCGCCTCTGCTGTGGATTCCTGATGATGTAGGATGACTGAGACTGACTGGAGCTGTAAAGAATCAGAAGCTTATGAGTGGGCTCCTGCCACAGCTCAGATATGCAACACATATTTTTATTTAACTCATTTATTACATGTGAGACACTTGCTAGGATGTGACTTTAAATCTGAGCTGAGAATTCTTAGAAACCAACAATACTTAATCTATATATCAGAAAATATAAATCTCAGAATATGTTTTTTCTTTTTAAGTCATTTCAAATCTGTGTTGATGCACATTATTTGTATGAGTCCATCCCATCGAAAAATTCTACAGGAAGATTTTTCCTCCTCCACCAGCAGTTCTATTTCTAAAAACTCTGGTAGCACCATCTGTCCATTAACAGCAAGTGTTTAATAGAAGTGATCTAACTTTTAAGAGATCTGACATGATTTCTATTTTGAATGAGCTTATTAACTAATGACTTGCTGATGTGTGTGGGGAAAACATCAGTTCAAAAGCATGATTTTAAAGTAGTCATAACCAAAGGCAAAGTGGCAAAAGTTTCACTTCCCTAAACACCTGATTTGGAGACAACCAAGAAAAGACAGTTGACTGGATTATAAAACAAAAAGGGGGAACCAGAAAATACAGCTTAAAATACAGGCCAGAAATCTGAAACTGGTGGCTAAATAACCCTGTCACCTATTATTTATAGATTATGAAACGGGGTAAAAGATGTTGAAGTCAAAAGACCTTTAAGTGATTGCACTGACAGGTTCTTTCCTATCTCAGTTGCTATGAGAAATGAGAATCAAACCAATTAGACCTGAGAGTTGACTGAAACACCATGCCTTCAAACAAACAGATAAGTAGTCTCAATATGATGTTTAACACTAGAACTATAAGTAACTGGTAAAACAGAGATCGTGGATTACAAAAGTGGGAAAGGCTAAGAGAAAATCTGTAGAGATGAAAAAGGGTATTTCCAACCACTAAAGAGATTTCAATATTAAAACATAAAAGCACTGTGTGAAGCCACAACTAATGAGTATTTCTTTTTTAAAACAAACATCCTAGAACAAACATCCACAAGAACTATAGGCCCCTCAAAGTGGTTACTTTAAGAAGTTATGCAGTTAGTATGTATAATACTGCCAAAACAGACTAGGTATAGTGGCTAATGCCTGTAATCCCAATGTTTTGGGAGGCTGAGGTGGGAGGATTGCTTGAGGACAGGAATTTAAGACCGACCTGGGCAACACAGCGAGACCCAAACGCTACAAAAAATTTAAAAAGAGTAATTTAAAAATACCAATACATAAAACGTATTACAGTTGAACATCCCTTACCTGAAATGCTTGGGACCAGAAGTGTTTTGATCTTGGGTTTTTTTTTTTTTTTTTAAATTTTGGAGTATCTGCATTATATATATTTATCAGTTGAGCATCCTCAATCCCAAAATCCAAAATGCTCCAATGAGCATTTCCTCTGAGCATCATGTTGGTGCTCAGAAAGTTTCCGGTTTTGCAGCATTTCAGATTTCTCATTTTCAGATTAGGAATACTCAACCTGTGTAACTCCCCAGTTAGTGTGACTTCAACTTTTTTCCCAACAGACTTGCTGGCACAATGAAGCACAACAGTCCTGAAGCCTAGTCTAAAAAGCCCCGTTAATACACTACTAAGTTTTGGGGACTTCTAGTTCCAGCAATTTGGCAGACTGTGCAGAGAAACCACTCTTGTTAAGGAACACATATATATGCTAGATATTAAAAAAAAAAAAAAAAAAAAGGACAGCTGTGCAGGTGATAAAGAGAAACGACTGTACTGTATAAAGCTTGGAGAGACAAGTGCCACCATTTATCCCAAAGGGACCCACTGATGTCTCTTGGGCTAGAAGGGCTTCAAGGAACCACAGATTTCACATGAGAGTCTGGAGGCTAAGCAAAGAATAGAAAGTCATCACAGGAATCTCCTCTTCTGTCCCCCTCACATATATAAAGCTAAACATAAATCTTAAAAGGGCAACACCATGAAGGAGTGAAACAGAAAAATCATACCTCGAGAGATTTACCTATCTCAGCCATGAATAGATGCAGAATGGAAAAAGGTCTCTTTTGAGAACTTCTAACTACAAGTCTGCATTTTGGAGAGTTTTGGACTGCACTCTACACTATAAAGCCTGGTTCAGTGTTGGTTAACTGTGTGGTGGCTCAACACTATGAGCAAGCACCAAGTAGTCTTCCTCTCTACTCTGCCATCTACTATTCAGGAGAATACAAAAAAAAAAGGAAGTATCTGTCAAGGTAAGTCCAGCGTCTAAACTTTAATTAGCTGTGTTACACTGGAGAAGTTGCCTAACTTTTCTGAGCCGTAGTTTCCCCATTTGACAAACTAGAATGATAGTGGTTATCTATGACATATTGGGAAAATTAAAACAGGTAATCTGTCTACAATACTTAGGAAAGTTCCTAGTACATACTAAAATTTCAGTAACTGTTAGTTACTGTTATATGAGAGACATGGAAATAAAGTAGAAACAGATTATTTATTAAGAACATAACAAGAACATTTTCAAGAGGTGGAAAGAAGCAACAGAAAAAGCTACTCTTAAGACTTCACACTCAATGGGGTGATATACACCTTCTATAATCCAAGACAAGTGAAATCCCAGAGAATGGTCAAGGTCTGTGTTTTTCAACTTAAGACATCCTTGGAACACTAGTCAAAATACACCCTTTATGGGTAAGAATGTACTGTACTATAATAAAGAACTTTTAACAGTTGAAGAAAACATTAGCACTATTTCTTGATTATCACATGAGATCTCCTTCTGGGAAGATTTAGGAAGTTGTCTCAAGAAACAAGCAAAGGGAATGGAATAAAGAGAGTTTAAGAGTATGTAATACTTTAATAATGAGACTAAGAACAAGATGACACAAAATCTTGAAACTTAGTAGGAACAGTTTCAAGGGCAGTGTTTAGAGATGAGACGATCCCAAAATCTGTTCAACAGCCATCAATTTTTTATGTTCCAGAACAAGATCAAGGGAAGTATACTAAGAATTCACAAAGTAATACCACTTAAGTAACTAATGAGTTCCTCACAGGGTATCAAGATCAGGAAAATCATACAGAGTCCAAGCAGATCTCACAAGCAGAATTATTTAATCATGGGATAGATTTGACAAGTCTGAAGATACACAGCTTGATTTGTAACAGTTTTCAACAAGTCCTGGATGTATATCAGTATCAAGGATACTATGGGAGAGCTCTGTCAGACAAAACTGGATTTAGATTAAAGGGACACCTGACATTAAAGGAAAAATTGGGACACATATACTGGCATATAGGAGAATAGTGAGAGCAGATACTCAACACCAACCCAGATCAAATCCAAGCGTAACAACTTGGGAACTATCCCAAACACTAAAGCAGGCCATCCTTATTAACAGAGATGTTTTCCAGAAAAGGAGGAAAAGGGTCTTTAGATCCTAAAGGTCCTTATTAAAACATCATCACACATGCACATGGTTATAAAATCAGACTTGAAAAAACAAAATACACTAAATATTTGCCAAAGATCTACAGCATTATTACTGAAAAGTCTGACCCCTAAACCAGCAGAATTGGCATCACCTGAGAACTTGAAAGGCATACGAAGTTGGAGGCCCCACCTCAAGACCTCTAGAGTGGGCATCTATATTTTAATAAGAGCCCCAAGTCATTTTCATACATATTAAAGTTTGAGAAGCAGTGTGCTAAAGGACATCGGAAAGTTTTAAGTTGCTCAACATCCTGATTCAACAAGCTTACAGTGTAATTAGGGAAACTATCAAACAAATAGAAAAGATAAATGAAACTTAAGAACAAATAATCTTATAATTAGAAACATTTATAATGGAGTTATTTTAGCCCTGTCCTTGATAATACAGTTGTTGTAGAAAAATATTTAAAATTCCGGCTTTCTGGTTGTTATTTATGTTACACAAATGATCATGTACACCACCTGAGTGCTTATGCAAAGGTTTTAGGAAGTCAAACACGACATTTCCAGAGAAGGATTAATCAGAATCTGTTACCTGGTAGCAATTTACCTGCTAGACTGATCAGATGATGGTCGTGGTGGTAGTGGTTCCACTGAAAATAATTCTTCACTGCCCTGCATGGCATCTATGCTAGTACTAGCCAGGGTAAATGGTGCAGTTGGACGAGCAATCCCCATTCTGACAGGAACAATCAGTGACTCTGCTACGTTGCACAATTCTTCCACAGCGTAAGGTAGCAATGCTTGGAATACACGCTTGCATTTTCCAATTGGCTGTGGAATAAAGTTGCTAGAACAAAAAGAGAAATATCAGCAATCTATCTTTTCATATACATAAATCACTATCACAAAAACAGAGTGAAAATGGTATCTAAACCAAAATCAAAAAGGATGCCTTACTTTTTCTTTTTGGATGAAGCCATTTCCACACTCAGAATAACAAAAACTCTTGCCACTGAACGTAGAAACCTCATTGTCACAGCAATAGCTTCTTCTCTACGTCCAGGTGTATATTTGTTTTGGAGTTCTTTCACTAGTGTACCTAGTAGAGTATCTAAAAGCTTTAAAAAATTATATTCACTCTATTAATGTTAAGATACTTCATAAGATGTTTAGACATTCATAAAGTTATAAGTTCTAACATTTTTTAAGTATTAACATTTTATAATAAAATCTCAAAACAAATTTAACCAAAACATTTACAAGGTCAGTTTATGAAATATACCTGCCAATGTGCTTGACATACAGTGAGTCCTAAATGTACGATTTCTTATTTTTTGTCCCACAGTCCTTGGTATATCAACTAATATTTAGAAGAACAATACCAAATATATGAAATCAGAAGAAGAAAACATAAACTCAGTCTGGGGCACTTTCCAAAACAGCAAAGCAGACTCAAATATTTATATGAATAAATTCATAATCCCATCTCCCTCATGGAACCATTATTACTTTCTAGTCTCTTTTCTGTGTGCAGCTTCTTGTATAAATGTTAGCTACAGAGAACACCCAATTTTCACAGTTTGGTTGTTTGGTTTTTTTTTTTACGTTATTTACAATACGATTTATTTTTAAATTGCTGCATCATATTCCAGTAAGTGGTCAGGCTATAATTTGATTCAAGATTACACTAGTATTAGGCTGATATTTTTCTGTTTTTAAATTTTACATTATTCTGTGACATGCCTTTATTTTTCTCACATCGTAAATTATTTATTTATGACAGGTTCTGAGGGCACTGATAGTTTTATGTTTTCCAGAGAAAGGAACGATGCAATGCCACCCCATCCCTATCTGAGTGTGTTATTACCATAACCTCATTCGCACTGGATCTTAAGGTTTAAATTCTTTTCTAGTTTCACAGCAAAGAAGAGTACTTGAAAAACATACTTTTCATGTACTTGTAATACACATTCAAAGAACTTACCAAAATATCTGCTGTACACTTAACTATAAGGCAATGAGTGAAACAGTCCAGCCGAATTGTGCCACTTTGCTGATTGAGGTATACTTGCTCTTCTGGCAAAAGATGGCCTATTCTACTGCTGGCACTAAGACTTGAGGAGAAACGAAAGACAGAATGAACTGTAAAAGGTCTACACTAACGTAGGAAATACATAAATCTAAAAAGGTTTTAATGAATACGTACGGGTCTTTATTCTCCTGCGACCCAAACATAATCATAGATTTCAAGGCATTCCAGTCCTGTAGAACACGCTCCAATGCAAGCTGGGCAAATCTTGGAGGCTCTAAATCATGATCTGGCATATCTGAATCTAAAATGAAAAAGAAATAGTGACCAAAACAAAAATAAAACATATTGCTTCCCACAAGTGTCATAAATGTCTAATTAACTCACCTTCAGGACTGGCTGTTTTTCGGTTACGATCTTCCCTGATTCGAGGTGGCCTGTATTGACAATGCTCCACCGTCTGCCTTGCGACTGTCTGTACTAAGAATAGTAAGAGGTGCTCTCCCCTGCAAAACAGAATGTTGTCGTGAGGAGGGAGGCTGAAAAGCTACTCAGCTGTGCTGCGCTCTTTTGATTTAACTTACTGTATGTTCTAAAAATCCCACTTGCCTGCTGTTTGGCAGAGTAACCAGATTAGTAGCAGTGAGCAGGCGATAAAGTAGATCAAGACGAGCAGATTTCTGTCCAGCAATAAGAGTTTTACATTTACATTTCTCCCAACAATCACAGTAGGCTGTTGGTGATGTCCGTTTGAGTCTATAGAGAATTTATACACAAGTACAAAAACTGAAATTTTTTAAACATACAAAGGTTTATGTTGACATTATGAAGGTATAACTCACTGAAACCAGAGAGAGCCCTTGTTAATTTCTAAATGCAAAGTATAACTGTCAAAGCTTATATAACAAGAAGGATTACTTGGTAGTAATGACATCTATAAAGCAACACAGAATTCCTATGAGAAGAGGTACTCTAAGGTACAATCACTTTTGGAATCTCTTCCCTAATTCCCAGTCCTGTTCAAGTGGTCCTCCTATATGACCTAATGAACCCTGTAACCCTATGGGCAGATATTTCTTGCTTCTGATAGGGATGTGAACACTGTCAGGACTATTCACCACCACCCTGGCATCTAGTACACTTGGAAAACAATCAATAACAACAGATTATCACACCTTTAGGTACTTAAAATAAGGAAAACAAAAAATACCAACCAGAATTCTTTTAATATCTATTAAAATTTTTCATTTGTCCTATACAATTACTTAATGGTACGGTAGATGGTTTTTACAGTCCAATTCTCTATTATAACATTTGTAGCCATTTATACTGAAGTCCCTATCCATAATCCTAAAACACCACAGATGTTAGTGCTAGGTATTTCATTGCTTCTCAGGTCTCTGAAAACCAACAGAACTAGCTGTGGTAACTGTTGCTGAATGAAAGACTGTTGCATTTAGTTTAAGACACAGTCTAAACATTCACCATGATTCCCTCTAGGCCTATGGCAATTTTCTCCTAGTATACCCCACTACAGGGGACCTGAGACCTCCGCTGCATAATACACTCAGGAACATTCTGTAGATATACTTCTCAAAAGACTAATCTGATCCTAGTTACAATGTATAATCACCTACTTTTATTTAAGGAGGGCAATGTTTGAACTAGCAAAGAAACCAAACATTTCACAGT
This sequence comes from Homo sapiens, assembly GCF_000001405.40. Taxonomy (NCBI): domain Eukaryota; kingdom Metazoa; phylum Chordata; class Mammalia; order Primates; family Hominidae; genus Homo; species Homo sapiens. The sequence goes on from NC_000008.11 coordinate 102,296,719, forward strand.
ATACTTTAAATCAAGAATCACACTATTATACATAAACTGACTTAAACAAGGGAAACGTAAGTAACCTCATGCTTTCTGAAGTAAAACATGACTTAGTACAGATTATTTCCATACAGCAATATAAATCTAAACAGCTTATAATATTAAACTAAAGAAAACTAGAATTGTACTCACTTGCAATCATGACCTTTATGACAAACCCTTGCACATTCCGTACAACAACACAGTGACTCCAGCAAGCCACAAGTTCGACACTCAAAAATATCCTAAAATTAAGAGTGTACTTTTAAAGGAATAATTATAAGTATGCATATATCTCATCATAATAATTATTTCTGGTATTTTCTAGAACAATTCAATCTCAACAAACAAAATTAATGTGCTTTGGAAAACTAGAACTTATAAAGGGCTACAGCAAATATACAGTTTATGATATACAAATAGAAATATTACCAGTAGAAAAAAATAATTTGTATCATCCCCAAAAAGGCATTGTAGTTATAAAATCTGTATCAAGATTTGTGGATCAGATTATACTACCCAGTGAAAATTTCCAATTTTCATGGTATGCCATATTTAACTGAGCAATCAGCTCTTTTGCCTCATTTACTTAGGAATTAAATCAACTTTCTTCATATCAGACTTAATTCCAAAGCTGAAAACTGTAAGTCTAGTGATAGTCATAGCGAAAAAAGACACAAAGATATGATTAATACAGGAAAATGTAGAAATAACTTACCTGGTTAATGTGCTCTGCTCCAGTCCATGTAAAACTGCAAGTGTCATTACAACATAAAACATATAAAGGAGAGTCATCAGGGTTGGTACCTGATGGGCAAACCATTCCCATGAATACATCTTCCTCTTTTTCACTTGAGGATATTTCAGCTAAAAAAGTAAGAACATAGCAGTTCATCTTTCAGGAAAGGACTTAATTAGCCATCCATTTTCTTCAACTGGAAAGCCTTAGCATACACACAATATAAACCAGAAATTATATATCAATTTTAAAAAGTGATATACAAAGATGACATGCAAAGAAATCTAACCAACTCTGGAACAATATAAAGTAAAGCATAATTACATCATACCCACATATGATGCCAATACAAACACACTATACATCAGCCATCTGAATCCTTAGCTCTGTTTCAGGCAGTTAAGACTCAACTCCTGGCTCTATTTAGCAAATTATAGACCATCTCATAAACTATTTATCAGTGTTTTAAAAAGATAACTACTTTAATCTTTCAAAGGCTGGAAGGTAAGAATTGATATTCCTTAATGCTTTCTATTTAGCAGGAATTCTGTCAGAAATAACAAGACATCTGTCTATTATTCTGTAAAGTTATATCACTTAACACCAATTAACTACCAAGAGGTTCTATCAGTAATCCATCTTATTTTCCAAAGATTTTACACTGTTCATTACGGAGTGTTTATTCTTAAATCAATAAATTTATATCAGCTGTTTTTTGATGGAAAGTTGGAAGATACAGTAAACTTGAAGGAATAATAAACACATGAATTTCATACACACACAAATCTTGATCATTTCCAACCAATTGTATCATTTACATATATAGAAATCCAGTCTGAATAATTATAATATATGGACAGAAGAGAATCTATCCAAACTGAATGTAACTCATTTAGGATCTGAAATAAATTACCTTTTGCAATTTTCTGAGCAGTTTCTAAGATGGTAATTGCAGCAGGATAAGCTCGGCCACTTACAGCTGACATAAATGGGGTCATCCCTCTTGCATCCCTAAAATAAGAAAAATTATATGTAAAAATATTAATTACTACTTATTTTCCTTCCTGATTATAAATGTTCATGATAAAACAAAAAACTAAATTTTGTTTTAGTCTTTCACATATAAATATACACCTCAATCAAACTAACATAAAAGCTAGTTTGTATTCATTTAGTGTACACTACATGATGTTGAGACAGCCTCTTTCACTCAACAGAGCTTAGCAGTAGAGGGAATATCATGCTGGATTCTGATAAATTGTTTTAAATTTACATAACTATTGTCCATATAGTGTAAGAAGATAAACTTTAATAGTAAAAGCTAAGCTAAGCTAAATCTTCACATGAAAAATATATCAAATCCTCTTACTTGGCAGAAAGAAGTTCTCGTAGATAGGGCTGGAGAACCACACTGTCACATAACAATTTCAATATAAAATGAGCATTCGCCTTTCGATCCTTGGATTCTACTACAGATGGCTCTGTGGAAGGACCTGTAATTAAGCAGATTCATTTGGTACAAAACAACAATGAAGAAGACACAGTAAAAGAATATTCTGGGCTACCCTGCCTATGGGGCACATAAGCACATAGACAATAGGGTACACTGCCTATGGGGTATCTAGCCCTGCTCTGCAAGGAGCAGTTACAATTTTTTTTTAAAAGAATATTCTGGAATAATATATCAGGCATAAGCTACCAGAACAATATTCTAGTATCAGTAATAAATTAACTTCATCACAAATAATTTAAACCTATGAACACCATTTTACAAATCTCATCTGATTTCTAAATGTATGTACACAGACACCACATATTTGCACTGACAGATGGAATGTAATTCAGAGAATTAGATGTTTTTCAAGCAAAGAACAGTCTCCTTGAGATAAAGTGTAGATCTGTAGAACCCTATATCCAAAGTGTGTCCTTTTTTCTTCCAGATGACTAGGCAGACAAAGAGTACAGATTCTTACCTGGAATAGTGGAGGTGCTTGGTCCTTGACCAGTACCGGTTGCTGCTGTGGTAAGAGATCCCACAGCGGGGGCCAGGATAAAATCAATGTCACCATCTTTCAGTAAACAGAACAGTAGGATGTATATCATTATAGGCAACATATTCCTAACATGTTCTCTTAACTGGCCTTAAGGCTTTTCTCTGCAAGCCAAAGGTCAAATTGGATAGAGTTTAAGTGAAACTTCTTTTCCAAACTACAAGAGAAGGAATCCACTAGGCAAATCTATTGACTTATCTTGATATATTACTAATAAAGGGATTATTCTTACTGGTATAGAAATAAATATTTCAGTAAAAGTGGAATACCTGACAAGAGTTCTGGAATTTTAATTTTTAAAATATAAATCCCTTAAATCTAATTTTTATAGCTAAACTAGTTATAATATTCATCATACTACTTTCAAATATTTCAAATTTCTAAATATCCCTTTAAAATGTTAAAATTATTTCCTTTCATGACCTGCTCTTTTTGTTAAACACTAAATGAAATTAAATAACAGCTCTTACCAGGATCCATCGCAGGAGGGTCAGGAACCCAACTAGGGGGAGCTATGGGGGGTGAAACTGGATCCTGGTGGTCACTGGATGAAGCTCCAGCTTCATGTCTACCCAAACCAGCTGCTCTCAACGAACGTCTCATCATTTCCCGTAATCTCAAACTAAAAGAACATGAACAAAATCAGAGCTCACTACCATATCTACACATAATGAAACGGTGTACAGAACTTCTCATCTGAGAAGATGAAAGTATGTCCTACAAGCAAGCACTCCAGGCAAGGGAAGTGAAGTACAAATGCCAATTCTGGAATCACAGAATAAGTCAGTGAGGGATAGAAATAAAACTGGGGGCTCCTAGTACACCGTTCAGCACTAAAATCACTATATTAAGCTCCCACACAAACTTAAGCACAGGGAACGAAAGCTGCGGTGAAGTAAGATTAGAAATAATCTTTCATACAGTTCAGATAAAAGAACAGCTAAACATTAAAACAAAAAGTTTCTATCCCCCGTTTATAATCGGTAATAATTAAGTTTAATAGTAGACATCAGCAATCATACTGATTAGCACAAAACCAGTATTGTTCAACACTAAATCCCTTTTATAATCTCAAAAGCATCTGAACTAATATCCACACAATGATTAGTTTTAAAACAAAGACCAATTTAGATTTTTACACACAAAAAAATTTTTAACAGTACAACTTGCATCCCAAAGAAATTAATGAATGAAACTAGAGTTTATAAAATGTGTTGTTAATGTATGGGCATGGTTTTTTTCCTCCTGCTATAAAAAAAAAATACTATACAGGTGTACACATCACTAAAAAGAAAAAGAAATAATCACAAACACAGAACTCGTTAGGGGAAATGGGAACTATCTGTATGAAAATCTATACTTTACCTTTGAATAAAACCTTACAACGGCTACAAAATTAATACATTTAGAACTAACAATGATTTAAGAGAGCACAAAAGGCAAATCCCTTCACTCAGCCACAATTTTAGAGCTTGTAAATGGATAAAGAGTAAAAATTTCATTTTGAGGGCCAGAAAACGCATAAGGGACTTCATTCTCCCATGTAGAATTAATCTCAGACATGACATTCTCATGTGAAAGACCTAACACCTTACTAGATACGCATAATACATCTAGAAATAATTTCAAGTTTTATTAATGTTTAAATCTCTAATTGCAATTATTATTTAATTGAGGATAAATGTGTTTTTCCATGTCAATACATTTTTAATTTTATAAGGAACCTTTTTTAAAAAGTCATTCACAAAAATTACTTTTAGAGGCTATGTTCAAGAGCATATCTATTTTATAAGATTTATGATGTATTTTTTGGAATAAAAACACTCTAGAAGATTCTGCAATGTAAATGTTACTGTCTCAAATAATATATTTGCCATTATAGTATTCACTATTAAAAAATAACTATAGTTAATTATTTTATAGTATCAATGTCTTCTTTTTCCAATTTAGAAATTTGAGTTTAAGAGTTTTTATAATGTGGATGGGAGCATGGCACAGTGACTGTTTCAGTCCAGATCACTTCCCTGTCCAAAGATATCACCCAGAGGAAAAGGAAGACTCCTTACCAGTAACAGCACACACCATGGTGACTGTTCACACTGTGATGCTCCTATACAATCTTAATTAAGCTCAACAGACACCTGGTATCCTACCTAATGTGTCTTACTCAAAGCACAAAGAAAAAAAAAATCAGCAATAATTGGGAGACACTGCAAATAACCTGAAAATAAATGCATGTTTTGGCCTTTTTAAGAATGCTTACACCAGAGTCACAAACTCAATGGCTAATGGGTCAGAAAGGTAAAATAAGGGCAGTCAGGTGTAAGAAATGGGGGTAGTGACAAGCTAGAGGCACACATGCTTATCTGAAGGCATTCAAATTAAAGGAAAAAAAAATTTTAACATTGCGCAGGCCAAACAAAAAACATTATGTGGGCTATTCTCCAACTTCTAGCTTAAAGCAGATTAAGAATAAATGAAGATAAATTGAGACCATAGTCTCATCTTGAACTTGCAAACTCCCAACTTTGTTGCTGTGATGTAGTCAATTCAATATTAAATGAGGGGGCCATTCCTTGTCATTTTTAAAATTGTCCTTAACCTCTTTTCTTCATTAGGTCTTGGGAACATTTTTAAGTACAATGCCCAGCTCCTCATATAGATTCTTAAAAAACAAAAAACAAAAAACAAAAAAAGAAAATTATTCTTCAAGATGTTGTACACAATTCATGAAGATTCACCTGTATCCTCAGTGGCTGAGGACAATACTGAGGAGATACCACCTTGGCTGCTAAGATTCAGAGTTTTGACATTTCTTCGTAAAGGCTTGCCTGGAGTCATCGTATTTTCTGACAATATGGAAGAATTCAAGGATGATGTAATTTCCTCTTTGTAAGCACGTTATATCCATGCTACAGAAGCCTTAGAATCCAGTCATGTTCAAACATAACACTGTGACAAAAAAGCGAAGGTCATGTGTCTTCCAGATTAACAATCTCTAGAGTATATACACCTGCAATCAGATGCATCAATCAAGCTTTCCACTAAATCTGCCCTTTGTACTCAGGAACTATTGAGTTCACATAATAAAACTTCTGAGTCAAATCATCATCTGAAGGCATTTAACAGTATTCCATTCAATATTGAAATTGCATCAGTTTTGAGCTTACAGCTCATGAATCCCAGCCTGCATACTCATCAAGGGGCATCGCCTAGAAAATCCATTGGAGGCTAGAGGAGGGTTTCACTTCAATGAAGCAGTCTGTGGACTTCCTACTGCCCGGCGTGGATAATAAGACTCCTGTGCTTTCATCTGTTCAACCGGCAGCCCTGAGTTTGAACTGGTTAAGAGCACTGCAGTGAAATCTTCGGCAAATTCCTCAAAGGAGCTTACTCTGCAAATTATTTCTGTGAGCAACACATCACCCACTCTTGAAGCTCCTTTTAGTCTTTGCCTTCAAAATAATCCTGACATGAAAAAAAGATGGCAGCACTGGCATTGGACCAACCATATCAGAGTCCAACTTGATTTGCACCTGTAATTTCCCTGAGGAAATGAAATACCTGAAATAATTCAGACACTAATTTCTTCATGAAGAATTTAAGTTGCTTCCCACTTTAGACCAAACACTTTGTCTGCCTAGCATAGTCCTGAATAAATAAACTGGTGATAATTTCCATTTTGTTTAGTCTACGTAAAGTTTTTGCACTGTTTTAAATTGTAATTTGGTCACCCATGAATACTTTTTGATAAATCTCACTTCAGGATGTTTTTGAACCTGGTAAAGTATCAACTTGGATCAACTTGGTAGCCTTCCTGTTGCCAATTTAAGAATACACATTTTTAAAGGAATAGTTAACTATGGAACAGAAAATAGGCAAGGAGAATCTTCATTTTAAGTAGACTTTGCAACCTGCCACATTAGCACATAGTGAGCAGTGCTTCCATTAATGATCTTGTCAAGCAGACAATAAATTTTTTTCCTACAGAAAGAAAACTATATCCTGAATTCTTCATATTCATTATCTAGTCAAATACCTAGCAATTTTTAATGTGTTATAAAAGTTTGTCCATCCCAAAACTCAGCCTGAAAATTTAAACATCAGACATCCATAATACACATCACCCTTTCATTTTTTTCCCAGATCAAGATATCTGAGAAACTGACCTAAATAAGCAATCTGAAAAGATTAAGGTTCCTTCAATTATTATACTACTTGTTCTCCAAATAACACACTAACTTCCTAGGAAGCAAGAATGATGAATTTAGAACAAATTGAAAGAAACAAATTTAAACTACTTGTCTAAATTATTTCAAATTTATTAAGTGTCCCAGCTCTACCTTAAACTCTAATTTGTTATCAGATTATTTTTCCCAGGGTGTTATTGGGAGGAACAAAAATGAAACAAAAAAGGACCCACCAATTCATGTACACGACAGGTAAGAGATATACTGCTTTCTGTACTTGGTTTTTTCCTCCAATTAAAGTTTCCTGGTAAAAATCACATTACCTTCGGCTACTTGATGATCCAGCCCGATTACCTGGGCCATTACTTGAAACAACTGATATTGCATTTGCAATGGCCTCAACAGCAGAAAGCCTTTCTGCAAATGTATTTCTTTCAGAACGCTCCGCTTCTGAAAAATGAGAAAAAATTAAGATCAATTTAAGTTTTAGAACTAATACACTGAGTATGTATAGTCCACTAAACACTAATCTCTATATATTTAGTATTCTAATTCACATACTAGATAACCAATTGTTCAATTTTTCCTCCTTAGAGCAACTAACACTTCAGACAGACTGAACTATCTGATCTTTCACATGTGATTTATTTCCTTATTCCGCCTTCCTTCTCAATCCACGAAGGGCAAAAATAAGGTCATTAATAAGAAGACTGAAATTTAGCTTTCACTTATTAAAATAGAAAAAGACCTACTTACCAGTACTTCAGTCTCAGTTTATGTACTATGTATAATCCTTACTGATTCAATGATAATGACATAAAGGTCAGAAACCTGCAAACCACTATTCAAAAATGTAGCTACCAGAGTATCATCAGCAAATTCAAAAAAAAAAACACATTATGAATTACATATTAACACTTTGTCCTCAATTTCTCCCTTCATTTAGCCAATTAAAAACTTTATGGCAAAAAAAGCTTATTTACCTTCCAAAAACATATAACACCTCACTAAGTGATTTTTCTCCTCTACATTCTAAAAATTTAGATAAAAGTTGCCTCAATGTAACTTGGCTTAACCTGCTAAATAATTCTCATGTAATAAGTCATCTGCAATTATAAAATCAGTAAAGTTCATTTAGCATTACATATCCAGTTTGTATATATCATATAGTATTAAACACAATAAAAACACACTGGTGCAAAATTTTTTTTCTTACATACCCATCTTTACCTTCTGAGAAAGTAAAAAAAAAAAAAAAAGGACACACAAATTCTTTATAGTGATTTGCTTTTCTTTAACAACTGTTACATTTTCAAAATTGCCTAAAACTCCCTTTAAAGACCTTGCTATAGTTCTTAATCTCACCCTCTTCTTCTTTAGTTTCTTTATTGCTGGTTGGAAAGCAAACTGATACACAAGCATGCAAAATATTTCGATTTCCATCACATCTGTGGCTGATGAATGTCTGCAGCATCTGTAGATTCTGCTCTAAAACAACCGCTTGCTCAAGATTCATTAGATATTGTCGACAGGCCTCATAGTCACAGCGCAGAATGTGTTGCATTAAGGTTTGTTTCTGTGCTCAGACAAATTAGGGGAAAAAAACCTCAATGAATTTGAGTAGCACATTACATATATTAAAAATTTCTCATGGCCAACACAATAATATATAATCAGATTTGCAAATCAGTAGAGACAATTTCAGGTGGCCTACCAAAAGAAACAGAACTTAAGGGTACACTTTAAGCAGAACATACAATCGACAGGAATAGAGAAGGGAGGGTAAACTTTCTGTTAAGGACAAGTAAATATTTTTAGCTTTCTCAACTAACTCAGCTCTGCAACTGAAACAGGAAAGCAGCCACATACAATGCATAAATGAATAGGAGTGGCTGGATTCGGCCTTTGGGCCATAGTCTGCCAATCCTTGGTTTTTACTTCATGTTATCTATCTAATTAGAACCCTTTTAATAATGATAGCCAATTAAGCAAAGGATATAAATTTTATTCCAGGCTTACTCCCACCTTCTTAGGCTTTTGTGTGTGTGTGAGACAGTGTCTCACTCTGTCTTCCAGGCTGTAGTGCGGTGATGTGAACACAGCTCACTATGGCATCAACCTCCTGGGCTCAAGTAATCCTCCCGCCTCAGCCTCCCATGTAGCTAGCATGCACCACCACAGCAGGCTGATTTTTTGTAGAGGCAGTCTTGCCATGTTGCCCAGGCTGGTCTCAAACTCCTGGGCTCAAGTGATGCCCCCACCTCAGCCTCCCAAAGTGCTGGGCATGAGCAACCCACACCCAGCCCTCTTATGCTATTAAAGGTTATATGAAAACCGATACCTTCAATTCTGCAGGGATCATGACAGGTGTAATTTAATTAACAAAGACACAGTGGTACTGATAAGTATTTATAGAACATATCATTAGCTTTCTGACAAATAGCATGAATATACCAAGAAGTTCATTCTTTCACATTGGAAAACTGTAGTTGTGGAATATTTAATGAATCGAATATAAAGCTTTAGTTTTATAAAACAAAGTTGTTCATTTTAACTATAACTAGAAAAAAGCAGGTGGGAAAAGAGCATGTGGGAGTATAAAGGAAAAAAAAAAACTGCATTTGAACAACTTGCCACCTTCTGGAAAACTGTCAAAATAAGCTCTCCCCTATCCCCAACTTGAGAGCGGGTGGAGAACAGATGTCCACACAAGAAAACACACCTAAACAACTATTTTCACTATCCACTACACGTGAGACAGGCCACTTTGATTGTGGAACTAACTATGGCTCTGAAGTCACCTCATCAACAGCAAGCTCCAGTTCATGAGGAGCTTAATACTAAACTTTCCAAAACATAGGGAAATTTATACAAAATATGTGTTGAGAGAAAATGTCAAAGTCTCCCTGAAGAACAAAGAACAGAGTACTTTCAAAGGGCAACTAAAATCAAGATATTCTGTTGTACGGTGCTGTCATATACACTGGTTTCAAGTAACAGCAAATTATTTAGTTAGAAGCAGCTACTACTCTACAGGAAACTCTTATCTCCAACCTGCCAGACTATAGTAGATGGGCTCTCACACTGAGAGTATCAATACTACTTAGTTGTGTTACAAGCAGAAAAGTTTACTCTGCATCATTGTATGTTACATCTGTCAGTTATTCTTATAGCAAAAGGCAGAGTGAGTTCAATAAAAAATTTCTTGTGGGTCTACTGTGTGGTAGGCCCTAGTCACTGAGGTAGGTATAAAGACTAATCATGACACACTTCATCCCTACCTGCGGGATGATGACTCTACCTGTCAGATCCTGACAAAGTGAAGAGGTCACAGAATCAAATGCCTACACTTGAAGTAATATAAATGAATGAAGGAGGCTGTGTGTAAAAGAGATAACAGAAGCTGTATACTAAATGGCATCACTAGCACTTGGAGCAACAAACTCTAAGTAGTGAGAACTGCAATGAATTGTAAAGACCAGTCTAATGTTTTTGGGATGTAGATTACGAGGCCCAATTTCACCAGATCTTCTAAAATTAAAATCTGGATTTTAAATGTAAATCCTGTGATTTTTCAATATTGGTAACCCATCAAGAATTCTAAAATGATATGAAGGCTATTTCTAGACATCAAGTTCAGACCACAGCTACCTCTGTATCATCACCTCCTTTAGTTTGAAACCACTAGTGCAGTAGGTTACAAGCAAAGCTAAGCTAAGAATGAGTCTGGGTGTCTAAATAAAAGCTTACAGATAGTGCTCATAAGCACCTGGATTCAGTCTATTTTAGATGCAGTTCTAAAAAGTACTTCTCACCTCCAATCTAATGGAGGGTGAATATGCTCCCATATTAAACTCCATTTCCATCCTTTATAGAAAAACTGCTCAAAAAAGTTGCTGATATTTATCTTCAGTTCCTCACCTCTCATTTTCTCCTAAGTTCACTCTAATGCTTTCATCCCCACTATCAATAATGACCTAGATGGAGCTAAATCCAACAGTCAATATTCAGTATTCACTTCACTGACCTACCACATCACTTGACACAGTTGGTCCCAACATCCTGCTTGACATGTGCTCTTCATTTGACTTCCAGGACACAACTCATTCTAGCTTTCCTCCAACCCTGTGGATGTTCCTTCTCGATCTCTTATGCTCGTTCCTCTTTATCACCCTAACATTTAAATGTTGAGACTATTCTCAGGACTTAGTCCTTGGACCTTTTCTCCTCACCACCTCCATGATCTTGTTCAATATAATTCCTCTAAATAAACAACTCCCAAGTAAATTTCTCCAGCTTGAGCCTTTCTCTCTTAGTCAGACTTACACATCTAACTTTCTACTTGCCATCTCCTCTTGGTCCAGGAATCTGTCAGATAATCTTCTAATAGACAACTTAAATTTCACCTGTCTAAAACCAAATTCCTGAACCTTCACCTTCACTTCTTCTATCAGAAGAGACATCTATTAAAATGTCTTCACATTCACTTCCTCTATCAGAAGAGACATCTTAAACTTCACGTCTAAAACCAAACCCTTGAATCTTCTTCACTTCTATAGTCTTCAACTCGGTAAATGACAACTTCATTCTTCCAAAACCATTAACCCTCTTGCTTCGTCTATTTGATACCCTACATTTAGCCATTAGCAAATCTATTAGTTCTACCTTAAAAAGATACCTAGTACAGTCATGTGCTGCATAAAAACATTACGGTCAATGATGGACCACATATATGACTGTGGTACTATAAGATTATAATGGAGCTGAAAAGTTCCTATTGCCTAGTGACATCGTAGCTGTTGTTAAATCATACTGTTTGTGGCAGTGCTGGCATAAACAAACCTACTGTACTGCCAATCATATAGAAGTACAGTACATACAATTTATGTACAGTATAATATTCGATAATGATAAAACTAGGTCACTGATTTCTAAAGTATTTACTATACTTTCTTTGGTTACTTTAGAATGTACTTCTTCTATCTATTTTTTTTAAAGTTAACTAAAACAGCCTAAGGCAGGTCCTTCAGGAGGTATTACAGAAGAAGGCATTGTAAATTGCACATTTTTTAAAAAGGCAGTAAAAAATTTTAAATATAGAAAAAGTGCTTAATACCTGGGTGATGAAACAATCTGTACAAAAAACCCTGTACATGAGTTTACCCTGCAGTAAAATCTCACATGTACTCCCAAGCCTAAAAGTTTTTTTTTTAAAAAAAAAAAAAAGAAAGAAAGAAAGAAATGAAAACTCTGCCCCTCCCCCCCAAAAAACCCTTAAGGATATAGGAAAGAAAGTTATTTTTTAGATAGCTACACAATGTGTGTGTGTGTGTGTGTGTGTGTGTGTGTGTAAGACAGAGTCTCACTCTGTCGCCCAGGCTGGAGTGCAGTGGCATGATCTCAGCTCACTGCAACCTCCACCTTCACCTACTAGGTTCAAGCGATTCTCGTGCCTGAGCCTCTTAAGTAGCTGGGATTACAGGCACAACCACACCCGGTTAATTTTTGTATTTTTTGTAGAGACAGGGTTTCGCTATGTTGCCCAGGCTGGCCTCAAACTCCTGGCCTCAAGGGATCCATCCACTTTGGCCTCCCAAAATGCTGGGATTACAGGTACAATCCACCATGCCCGACTGTGTACAATGTGTTTTAAGCATATTATTATTACAAACAAATCAAAAGGTTAAAAAAAATTTAGTGTAGCCTAAGTGTACAGTGTTTATAAAGTCTACAGCAGTGTACAGTAATAACATAAGCCCTCACATTCACCTACCACTCACTCACTGACTTACCCAGAGCAACTTTCAATCTTCTAAGCTTCATTTGTGCTAAATGCCCTATCAGGTGCACCTTTTTTTTATCCTTTAGACCGTATTTTTACTGTGCCTTTCCTATGTTTATGTAAACAACTACTTATCACTGTGTTACAAATGCCTACGGTATCCAGTACAGAAATACACTATATAGGTTTATACCCTAGGAGCAATAGGCTATACCATCTAGGTTCATGTAAGTGCACTATGTGATGTTTGTACAACAATGAAATCACCTAACAATGTATTTCTCAGAATGTATCCCTGTCATTAAGCAACACATGACTACGTAACTAGAATCTAGTCACATTTCACTCCTAACTCCACCCCCTGGGTAAGTCACTATCATCTCCCACCTGGATTATTATTATATCCTCCTAACTGGCACTCCTATTTACTCACTTTCACCCTAGTACTCTCAGCACGTCATAAGGAATCCTTTTAAAATGTTCACTGATATCAGGTCAATCTCGGCTGAAATTGCTCCAATAGCTTCTAATGCACTGTCTCCACATCTAACAAATACTCTATCACAACAAACCACAACATGTTTAAAACTAAATTCATCCTTTTCCCTTATCCCATTTGTTCCCCCTCCTATATTTCTTCTCTACCATCAACCATGCCCAAATCAGAAGCTTTATTAATTCTTTCATTCACTGCTAAAATCCAGTTACCAAGCTTTACAGGTTCTAGTTTCTTAAGATCTCTTAAATCCATCCCCTCCTTCCTCATTTCCAAAAGTTGACATTTACTTTGTTTCTAACCTGGATTATTGCCTGACTTTTTCCCTTTTTTTAAAATGTTTTTTGTTTGTTTGTTTGTTTGTTTTGAGACGGAGTCACGCTCTGTTGCCCGGGCTGGAGTTCAGTGGCGCGATCTCGGCTCACTGCAACCTCCGCCTCCGGGGTTCAAGTGATTCTTGTGCCTCAGCCTCCTGAGTAGCTGGGATTACAGGCGTGCGCCACCATGCCGGGCTAATTTTTGTATTTTCAGTAGAGATAGGGTTTCACCATGTTGGCCAGGCTGGCTTCAAACTCCTGACTTCAAGTGATCCACCCCACACTCTGCCTCCCAAAGTACCGGGATTACAAGCGTGAGCCACCACGCCCAGCCTACATTAACCTTTTTATCTGATCTCTAAACTTCTGATATCTATCAGCTGCTCTCTAAACACCCACCAGCCACTGCTGATCTTTTTTAAAAAATCAAAAGCACGTCATTCACTGGCTTATAATCCTCCTCCTCCTCCTCGCTTTCAGGCTGAAGTTTAGGTAGCGTTAGGTGAACACACAAACACCCTAGTGCCCCTCTCCAGCCTTTTCAGTTGCTACTCACTGACCCACAGGATCCCTACCAGAATTCTGGTCATATCAAAAAAAAGTACTTTCTCCCAACTTATTAATAAGATTCACAAAGGTTGCTCTTGGTGCCTGGGATAATACCTCCCAACTCCATCCCTGTGTCTAAGGGGCCTATCTGATCTGTCCGGGTATCGCTTCTTAAAGAAGTCTTTGGTACAGTCACAGTATGATTTATATCTCTCCCCTTTGTGCTCCTACAACATTATGCATGCCTTGCTCAAACACTTAAATTACACGATAATCACTGATGTACTTGTCTATGTAGTTTTAATAGACCATTAGCTCTTTTAGGGAAGAAAGGGGCAATGAATGATCTATTTAAGATTGTTGCAAGATCTATTCAAGACTATTTAGTGGTGTTTTGTGAATTAAAATGCCCAGTAGTTTCAATACTCAAATTACCTCTACAGCCATGATGATAACAGCAGCTTTCTTTTTGATTGTTGAATTGGCAGGAAGATTTATTAAAGAATGCACACCCATTCCAAGACTACTAATAGGTGGAAGATCCAGCCAATCGGGATCCCTTATTCCTCCCATGCAATCTTTGGCCATTGGGTAGATGGTACCATTTCCATCTCGAAGAATAATGGGAGATTCCTATAATAATGGGAAAATGGTAAAGTTTGACTCCTAATCAAAAAATGTATCTGATTTTTACAGGCATATTTATTTCCAAATTAGATTTTAGTAATAGTAATAAGAAACCTAGTATTCAAATGTGCTAAATATTCTAGGTTTTTGAATAATTGATAAGCTAACCAGAGCCAGACCCCCTAACCTCACAAAAATGCCATTGTTGTCCTATCACTTTTCAAAAGCAAAAATGAGCCTCTACCTGTCCAGCAGTGAAAATGGCTACATTCCTCTCATTCTGACCAAGGAAAGCAATGCTGCTTGTAGGAAAATTATTTTCCTGTTCTGCTTTTCCTGTAGCAAGATCAAAGATACAGTATCGTACCCAATTTCCAGTCTTCAGAACAGCATGAACACCTTCAGAAGCACATAAATGAGAAGAAAAATTGTTATACATCTTATCTCTAATAAACATCTACAATATTTTAACTTCTCTGGCCACACTTGTAAGTCAATTCAAACAGATACATGCCATTCCATAATGTTACAGATAGGGAACAAAAAAATGCCAATGCCCTGAATTATTTTATCATATTCCCATTTCCTGAACAAGTATTAATGGAATATAGGATATGCCAGCTGAAGAAGTTTCAAAATTTACCTTTGGAATCTACATTCACTGCTAATATTTCTGTTTTTTCAGGTATACAAAGCTTTTTAGGAGTCCTTTGGAAACAGTCGGGAACCTTCGGTGTTCCACCAGTTTTGACAACCTGCATGACACAAAAGGAATTTTGCTTTCAAACTCCATAATAAACTCACGGAGTCAGTTCCAATATTCACTTGCTGAATAACTTCTTTACACTTACCTGCAATTCATCAATTCTAAGTAACCTACAATCCTGCAGGAGAGAAGAAGGGTCAGCATCTGGACCAGAGCTGTTCTGACAGTTAGTATTACTGGAGGTTCCTGGAAATTTTACAGCAACATAGGCACCATCTACTTTTAGCACCTGGAAGTATAGGCAAATTCAATGAACATTAGCAATAGCTTATATAAAATCAACATACAAATTCTATTCACTGAACTAATTTAATGTTAAAGGAATCCAATTCTTTGTATGTTTCTTCAATGATCACCAAGTTATAAAATCAACCCAGACAGACTCTGAGCTTTGCTACTGACATCTATATTCAAGGCTCATTTGCTAGAGAAAACTGACCCACACAGCCAGTGATTACAGTCAGTGAATGTTTTCAGTAATCAACTGAAAAACTTAAGTATATAGCCCGTGAAATCCTCCCATCTCCTAATTAAATTAAAGCAGCCTTCGGTCTGACAGAACTTTCTTGAAAATGGCAACGTTCTATATTGGCGGTGTCCAATACGGCAGCCATTAGCCATAAGTGGCTACTGAGCACTTGAAATGAAGCTAATGTGACGAAGGTGCTGACTTTTTTAAGTTATTTGATTTTAACAAATTTAAACAGCCACATATACAGCTAGTGGCTACAATACACTCAACACAGGGATAGGGTCAGCAATGCACAGAAAGACAAGCACAGAATTTGAAACCAGGACAAATTTGGGTCCCACTTCTGCTACTTGATGCTTTTTATTTTAAGCCCGTATCTAATTCTCAGAAGAAAACACCTACCCATGAACTACAGGTCTATTTTGAGAATCAAATGAAACGGTATATGAGAAAGACCTTTGTAAGCTGCAGAAACTGGTATATCTGCTCTTTCCTTTAAGTATAAATGAAAGACTATCACGTTTCAGAAACTACTGAGTAATCATGAAAACCTTTACTTTACAGACATTCTACAACTGCAAGTGCATTTTAAATATGTGTCAGTAGAAGAGTGAAATTAATGGCACTCAAATTGATGGTTTCTTAGAAGGCAAAACAGAAGAGAGGAGAAAAAGTGGAAGGTGACTTGTAATAAGGTTTTTCAGTACTCTGGAAGAATTTTAAATGTCATGGAAGATGATCTCAACTAGAACTAAGAGATCCAACAAATGGGCTGTACCAAAAAGTAACGTATCTCTATGCAACTTTTCTACAAAACTAAAACTATTCCCAAATAATAGTTTTTTTAAAAAGCAACATATCATCACAAATGCTCAAAGAGAGGCATAATCTCTTCATCTGTCAGCGACTGAGAAGACAGATCTGCATCAGATGCAGGGGTGCAACTAAAGATACCACTGAAGATGATAAATAAAACAGCCCTGAAGAAAGGACTCAGATATCAACCACAAATCCCTGGATAACCAATATCATTATAATTCTGTTAGTAATTAAGTTTTAGATATCTTGAACAAACCTTGCCAACAGGAACATTCTTGACATCTTCCACAAAAACCACTTCCCGAAGAGACCACTGCTCTTCATTCACCTTTTCCTCTTCTTTTGGTGCAGGGGTTGACCGTCGTCGTTCTTAGACAACAACAAAATGGTAAGTACCAAAAAGAAAATGTAAAAGAGACTTTATAGATTTCATCTAAATTTATAAGAAAGACTATCTTTAAAGGGATACATAAGTGAAGTTTCTCAACAATTTCCTAAGCTACTGCTTTATGAATTGGAGTTTTCTGATCAATCTGTACTTCAAATAAATTCACAGTGAAGAACAACTGTAACCATTAATGTTTAATTGTATTAACACCAGTATAAACAAGTACAAAGAAATAGCGTAAAATGTATTTTGTACTCCCAAAATTATAGTATCTAACCAGAGTTTAAAAAGGAAGATCTGCCAGATAGTTTTAAGAAAACTATCACATAACTATTAAAGTCTAACTTTTAATTTCCTAAATTGCAAAGCAATTAACACCATAAAATTTATTTTAAGGAATTTTTGAAAAAATTCTATCCATGGTGTGGCAGTAAGTCTAGGTTTATAAATTTACAAATTTTGAGCAAAAGTTGTGACCAAGACATAATCAATTTACAATAATAAGAGTCTCAACAAAAGTGAGTAGATAGACTAGCTAGTGGCAATTATTTCCTTCTATTACTATCATGAATTTCACATATCTTTTTAAAACTCTAATTCTGAAAAACAACAGAAATAGTCAACACTGTAAATACCATCTTTCTATTCAAAGAAGGTTATGCAAAAAAAAAAAACCAAAGTAATAGAGATACAAATTATATAAAAAGATGTAAAAAATGATATGAGTTGCCTTAAATCAGAAACAAACTAAACACAGCTGTCTGCATGAGACCTATTTTCACAAATGCATACAACAAATAAAACTTACTGTATGGCATTGATGCACTGCTGGCAATTGAGGATGCATCACTACACGTGGATGCTGGAGATGGTGGAGGACCCATTTCTGTTTTCACTGGCTCCTGCTTACTTTCAGGCCTGAGATAAGAAATAAGATTCTCCTTATAATTAGATAAATGAAATAATGGAAACTAGTATTTTTTAAAGACAAGTATTTTCTTATAAAAGAATGAATATTAAAAACATTTTTATTAAACTATGTATTTATATTAATTTTTTCATTGTATATTTTTAAGACTCAAGAATAAAAGGTACACAATGCATGCTTTCAAATAGTGGTTTAATATGGGAAGGAAAAATATAAAAGCTATCAACAACTTGAGACAATGATTCAGATAAGCTTTATCTAGAAATAACGAAATTTACACTTAATTTATCAACACAGCTTTGTCAAAGCCTCTTGAGCAAACAAGTTTCACACTGCAACACTGCTAAGATTTGGATATGGCAATTTAACTGAAAAAAAAAAAGGGTAAAGGCAAGTAAGTAAAAAGCCCATTAGACCATTAATTTCATAGAGTTCCAAGAAGAAACTCTACTCACAATGGTTTATAAAAATTTATTCTTAAACCATCTGGTGACAGGATTAAAAAACTAGCCCTCTTTAATGAGTTATTTAATACTCTGTTTAAGAAAATAACTACAGCAACTAAACAGCATTCTACAGATGGTGCAAACATAAATATTTTTATATATTAAAGGGTAGAAATCAGTTTTTAATCAGAAAAGTCACTGATTATTCACAAATTTGTTATTTATATACCTATTATAAACTGGACCATCATCTTAACCCTCGTCTCCTATTACTCTCATCAGAAATTTCACCTGAGTTTAGAAATAATCTAAAAGAAAACTGGTATTATTTTCACCAGGATCTTAACATGAGTGATCTCAATAAGTACACAGCAAATACTCCTGGCTGCTCCACAAATGCTGTGATGGTGGGGGGAAGCCAATACTGATTAATCACTAGCATACCTTTAAAGTGAATGCATTTCAATGACTGGCAAACGAGGGTACTACTGACATGAAAAAGACTATGTTCTTAACATTTAAATTTCACTTAGCTCTTTTGCTAATATTTGAAATGGCTGATTTCAAGGAAGATCTTGAAAAACTTCATCAATTACAGGCTTTAAATTCCATATTCTATTCTAATCTTGTATTTGTACACATCAAAATTATTTCAAATGTTCTTTACAAAGTTCATAAGACAATGAAAATGTTTTATTACTTCTATTTTTAGTACAAAATCCAACGTAATTAGAAAGTCTATAAATCTTTTTTAAAAAACCAAGACAGAGAAAGAACACGAAAACTAAAAGCAAAACCTTAATGAGGTATAAAGTGCAATAGCTTTGGTTTGTTAAAAATTACATTTAACTTAACAGTAATCACTGTTTTCACATTTAACTTTGCACTTTTAACACTGAGGAATTACAGCAGTAAACTTAGTAAATTTATAATCATAACATCTGAGTATAAATGGAAAGCAAACTAAACAATTTTGGAACCTTAAAAATCTGTATGTACAGTAAAATCCCTATCGTTTTTCAATGCCTGAATACATTTAGAAAAAAAGAAAATACATTGATGTGTTAAATGTTCTTTCTAGAATGTGATATTACTACTCTCCCACATATCTATACTGGTCACCTATTTTTATAAGATTAAGAAAAAATGTTATTTAACAATTTTACTAAAGTTTTAAAGTTCATGTACCAAACAACCAAATTACAGTACAAACGATTATTTTTAAAGATGAGTAGATGTTTCTAAAAGCACAGGTGTTAAGATCTCTGTACTACGCTCCAAACAGAAGTCAGCCCCAGAACATGGGGCTATACAAAATTCAGCGGTGTTTCTATTCACAAATCCCTTCAACCCAAAAAACGTTTACCAATTCTTTACAGATATTTCCCTCTTGAGTACATTAATCTGTAAAACCCTTTCAATAATCAAGATGTAGGGCAGGAAGTTAGGTAGAAATTTAAGATGATTAAACAAGGAGAGAGAATGTCGGCTTAATAGCAAGGCTTAAACATATTATTACTGCCACAAAACACCTGCAAAGGATACAATCTAATAACAAAACGAGGGCATCAAAAGAGAACACTACACTGTCATCTGGCCATCAAAATCAACTGTTAATATATAAATATGAGGGGGGAGGAGCCAAGATGGCCAAATAGGAACAGCTCCAGTCTACAGCTCCCAGCGTCAGCTACTCAGAAGACAGGTGATTTCTGCATTTCCATTTGAGGTACCGGGTTCATCTCACTAGGGAGTGCCAGACAGTAGGCGCAGGACAGTGGGTGCAACGCACCGTGCACCAGCCGAAGCAGGGCGAGGCATTGCCTCACTTGGGAAGCGCAAGGGGTCAGGTCAGGGAGTTAGTTCCCTTTCCTGGTCAAGGAAAGGGGTGACAGACAGCACCTGGAAAATCGGGCCACTCCCACCTGAATACTGCGCTTTTCTGACGGGCTTAGGAAATGGCACACCAGGAGATTATATCCCTCACCTGGCTCAGAGGGTCCTACGCTCAGAGTCTCGCTGATTGCTAGCACAGCACTCTGAGATCAAACCGCAAGGCGGCAGCCAGGCTGGGGGAGGGGCGCCCACCATTGCCCAGGCTTGCTTAGGTAAACAAAGCAGCCAGGAAGCTTGAACTGGGTGGAGCCCACCACAGCTCAAGGAGGCCAGCCTGCCTCTGTAGGCTCCACCTCTGGGGGCAGGGCACAGACAAACAAAAAGACAGCAGTAACCTCTGCAGACTTAAATGTCCCTGTCTGACAGCTTTGAAGAGAGCAGTAGTTCTCCCAGCGTGCAGCTGGAGATCTGAGAACGGGCAGACTGCCTCCTCAAGTGGGTCCTGACCCCTGACCCCCAAGCAGCCTAACTGGGAGGCACCCCCCAGTAGGGGCAGACTGACACCTCACACGGCCGGGTACTCCTCTGAGACAAAACTTCCAGAGGAACGATCAGACAGCAGCATTCGCGGTTCACGAAAATCTGCTATTCTGCAGCCAGCACTGCTGGTACCCAGGCAAACAGGGTCTGGAGTGGACCTCTAGCAAACTCCAACAGACCTGCAGCTGAGGGTCCTGTCTGTTAGAAGGAAAACTAACAAACAGAAAGGACATCCACACCAAAAACCCATCTGTACATCACCATCATCAAAGACCAAAAGTAGATAAAACCACAAAGATGGGGAAAAACAGAGCAGAAAAACTGGAAACTCTAAAAAGCAGAGCGCCTCTCCTCCTCCAAAGGAACGCAGTTCCTCACCAGCAACGGAACAAAGCTGGATGGAGAATGACTTTGACGAGTTGAGAGAAGAAGGCTTCAGACAATCAAACTACTCCGAGCTACAGGAGGAAATTCAAACCAAAGGCAAAGAAGTTGAAAACTTTGAAAAAAATTTAGACGAATGTATAACTAGAATAACCAATACAGAGAAGTGCTTAAAGGAGCTGATGGAGCTGAAAGCCAAGGCTCGAGAACTACGTGAAGAATGCAGAAGCCTCAGGAGCCGATGCGATCAACTGGAATAAAGGGTATCAGTGATGGAAGATGAAATGAATGAAATGAAGCGAGAAGAGAAGTTTAGAGAAAAAAGAATAAAAAGAAACGAACAAAGCCTCCAAGAAATATGGGACTATGTGAAAAGACCAAATCTACGTCTGATTGGTGTACCTGAAAGTGATGGGGAGAATGGAACCAAGTTGGAAAACACTCTTCAGGATAATATCCAGGAGAACTTCCCCAGTCTAGCAAGGCAGGCCAACGTTCAGATTCAGGAAATACAGAGAACGCCACAAAGATACTCCTCGAGAAGAGCAACTCCAAGACACATAATTGTCAAATTCACCAAAGTTGAAATGAAGGAAAAAATGTTAAGGGCAGCCAGAGAGAAAGGTCAGGTTACCCACAAAGGGAAGCCCATCAGACTAACAGCTGATCTCTCGGCAGAAACTCTACAAGCCAGAAGACAGTGGGGGCCAATATTCAACATTCTTAAAGAAAAGAACTGTCAACTCAGAATTTCATATCCAGCCAAACTAAGCTTCATAAGTGAAGGAGAAATAAAATACTTTACAGACAAGCAAATGCTGAGAGATTTTGTCACCACCAGGCCTGACCTAAAAGAGCTCCTGAAGGAAGCACTAAACATGGAAAGGCACAACCGGTACCAGCCGCTGCAAAATCATGCCAAAATGTAAAGACCATCGAGATTAGGAAAAAACTGCATCAACTAACGAGCAAAATAACCAGCTAACATCATGACAGGATCAAATTCACACATAACAATATTAACTTTAAATGTAAATGGACTAAATGCTCCAATTAAAAGACACAGACTGGCAAATTGGATAAACAGTCAAGACCCATCAGTGTGCTGTATTCAGGAAACCCATCTCACATGCAGAGACACACACAGGCTCAAAATAAAAGGATGGAGTAAGATCTACTAAGCAAATGGAAAACAAAAAAAGGCAGGGATTGCAATCCTAGTCTCTGATAAAACAGACTTTAAGCCAACAAAGATCAAAAGAGACAAAGAAGGCCATTACATAATGGTAAAGGGATCAATTCAACAAGAAGAGCTAACTATCCTAAATATATATGCACCCAATACAGGAGCACCCAGATTCATAAAGCAAGTCCTCAGTGACCTACAAAGAGACTTAGCCTCCCACACACAATAATAATGGGAGACTTTAACACTCCACTGTCAACATTAGACAGATCAATGACACAGAAAGTTAACAAGGATACCCAGGAATTAAACTCAGCTCTGCACCAAGTGGACCTAATAGACATCTACAGAACTCTCCACCCCAAATCAACAGAATATACATTTTTTTCAGCACCACACCACACCTATTCCAAAACTGACCACATAGTTGGAAGTAAAGCTCTCCTCAGCAAATGTAAAAGATCAGAAATTATAACAAACTGTCTCTCAGACCACAGTGCAATCAAACTAGAACTCAGGATTAAGAAAATCACTCAAAACTGCTCAACTACATGAAAACTGAACAACCTGCTCCTGAATGACTACTGGGTACATAACGAAATGAAGGCAGAAATAAAGATGTTATTTGAAACCAACGAGAACAAAGACACAACATACCAGAATCTCTGGGACACATTCAAAGCAGTGTGTAGAGGGAAATTTAGAACACTAAATGCCCACAAGAGAAAGCAGGAAAGATCCAAAATTGACACCCTAACATCACAATTAAAAGAACTAGAAAAGCAAGAGCAAACACATTCAAAAGCTAGCAGAAGGCAAGAAATAACTAAAATCAGAGCAGAATTGAAGGAAATAGAGACACAAAAAACCCTTCAAAAAATTAATGAATCCAGGAGCTGGTTTTTTGGAAGGATCAACAAAATTGATAGACCACTAGCAAGACTAATAAAGAAGAAAAGAGAGAAGAATCAAATAGACGCAATAAAAAATGATAAAGGGGATATCACCACTGATCCCACAGAAATACAAACTACCATCAGAGAATACTACAAACACCTCCATGCAAATAATCTAGAAAATCTAGAAGAAATGGATAAATTCCTCGACACATACACTCTCCCAAGACTAAACCAGGAAGAAGTTGAATCTCTGAATAGACCAATAACAGGATCTGAAATTGTGGCAATAATCAATAGCTTACCAACCAAAAAGAGTCCAGGACCAGATGGATTCACAGCCAAATTCTACCAGAGGTACAAGGAGGAACTGGTACCATTCCTTCTGAAACTATTCCAATGAATAGAAAAAGAGGGAATCCTCCCTAACTCATTTTATGAGGCCAGCATCATCCTGATACCAAAGCCGGGCAGAGACACTACCAAAAAACAGAATTTTAGACCAATATCCTTGATGAACATTGATGCAAAAATCCTCAATAAAATACTGGCAAACTGAATCCATCAGCACATCAAAAAGCTTATCCACCATGATCAAGTGGGCTTCATCCCTGGGATGCAAGGCTGGTTCAATATACGCAAATCAAATGTAATCCAGCATATAAACAGAACCAAAGACAAAAACCACATGATTATCTCAATAGATGCAGAAAAGGCCTTTGACAAAATTCAACAACACTTCATGCTAAAAACTCTCAATAAATTAGGTATTGATGGGACGTATCTCAAAATAATAAGAGCTATCTATGACAAACCCACAGCCAATATCATACTGAATGGGCAAAAACTGGAAGCATTCCCTTTGAAAACTGGCACAAGACAGGGATGTCCTCTCTCACCACTCCCATTCAACATAGTGTTGGAAGTTCTGGCCAGGGCAATTAGGCAGGAGAAGTAAATAAAGGGTATTCAATTAGGAAAAGAGGAAGTCAAATTGTCCCTGTTTGCAGATGACATGATTGTATATCTAGAAAACCCCATCATCTCAGCCCAAAATCACCTTAAGCTGATAAGCAACTTCAGCATAGTCTCAGGATACAAAATCAATGTACAAAAATCACAAGCATTCCTATACACCAATAACACACAAACAGAGAGCCAAATCATGAGTGAACTCCCATTCACAATTGCTTCAAAGAGAATAAAATACTTAGGAATCCAACTTACAAGGGACGTGAAGGACCTCTTCAAGGAGAACTACAAACCACTGCTCAAGGAAATAAAAGAGGATACAAACAAATGGAAGAACATTCCATGCTCATGGGTAGGAAGAATCAATATCGTTAAAATGGCCATACTGCCCAAGGTAATTTATAGATTCAATGGTATCCCCATCAAGCTACCAATTACTTTCTTCACAGAATTGGAAAAAACTACTTTAAAGTTCATATGGAACCAAAAAAGAGCCCGCGTCGCCAAGTCAATCCTAAGCCAAAAGAACAAAGCTGGAGGCATCATGCTACCTGACTTCAAACTATACTACAAGGCTACAGTAACCAAAACAGCATGGTACTGGTACCAAAACAGAGATATAGATCAATGGAACAGAACAGAGCCCTCAGAAATAATGCCACATATCTACAACTATCTGATCTTTGACAAACCTGAGAAAAACAAGCAGTGGGGAAAGGATTCCCTATTTAATAAATGGTGCTGGGAAAACTGGCTAGCCATATGTAGAAAGCTGAAAATGGATCCCTTCCTTACACCTTATACAAAAATTAATTCAAGATGGATTAAAGACTTAAACGTTAGACCTAAAACCATAAAAACCCTAGAAGAAAACCTAGGCAATACCATTCAGGACATAGGCATGGGCAAGGACTTCATGTCTAAAACTCCAAAAGCAATGGCAACAAAAGCCAAAATTGACAAATGGGATCTAATTAAACTAAAGAGCTTCTGCACAGCAAAAGAAACTACCATCGGAGTGAACAGGCAACCTACAAAATGGGAGAAAATTTTTGCAACCTACTCATCTGACAAAGGGCTAATATTCAGAATCTACAATGAACTTAAACAAATTTACAAGAAAAAAACAAACAACCCCATCAAAAAGTGGGCAAAGGATATGAACAGACAATTCTCAAAAGAAGACATTTATGCAGCCAAAAGACACATGAAAAAATGCTCAACATCACTGGCCATCAGAGAAATGCAAATCAAAACCACAATGAGATACCATCTCACACCAGTTAGAACAGCGATCATTAAAAAGTCAGGAAACAACAGGTGCTGGAGAGGATGTGGAGAAATAGGAACACTTTTACACTGTTGCTGGGACTGTAAACTAGTTCAACCATTGTGGAAGTCAGTGTGGCGATTCCTCAGGGATCTAGAACTAGAAATACCATTTGACCCAGCCATCCCATTACTGGGTATATACCCAAAGGACTATAAATCATGCTGCTATAAAGACACATGCACACGTATGTTTACTGCGGCACTATTGACAATAGCAAAGACTTGGAACCAACCCAAATGTCCAACAATGATAGACTGGATTAAGAAAATGTGGCACATATACACCATGGAATCCTATGCAGCCATAAAAAATGATGAGTTCATGTCCTTTGTAGGGACATGGATGAAATTGGAAATCATCATTCTCAGTAAATTATCGCAAGGACAAAAAACCAAACAACGCATATTCTCACTCATAGATGGGAACTGAACAATGAGAACACATGGACACAGGAAGGGGAACATCACACTCTGGGGACTGTTGTGGGGTGGGGGGAGGGGGAGGGATAGCATTAGGAGATATACCTAATGCTAAATGACGAGTTAATGGGTGCAGCACACCAGCATGGCACATGTATACATATGTAACTAACCTGCACATTGTGCACATGTACCCTACAACTTAAAGTATAATAATAATAAATTAATTAATTAATTAATAGATATATATTAGCAAAGTTACAAACAGTAAAATTTAGCACTTCCTTTCAAATTTCCTGGGAACCTTAACAAGACCCTATCATGTTAGGAGTTTACAACTTCACACCTCTAAGTCTTCCTTGATTATTCCCATTCATATGCAGAGCAAACAAGGAACTGGTGTCAAAGCACGATTAGTTAAGCTATAGTACTTACTTAGCTTCAGTAGTTTTGCTAGCTTTTTCCATGTTTTTCAAGCTTTCAGGAGATCTAAGTTGAAATCTACAGCTGTCATTCATATTCCAAACTGACTCCATTAAGACACCAACTTTAGGAATCCCAGCACTAATTGAAAATGCAACTGCTCCAGCATGATAAAGAGGATTATTTCTCAAGCATACCTAGCAAACAAAAGAAAACCACCATCAAGATGACATAACTTTAAAAATATATATAATATTTATTTCAAATGGATGAAATACAATATATGAAAGTACTGGGCTTCCTAGGTTTCCCAGTATAATCTTACCCAATCAATAAGGCTGAAAAAGCACCACCTTAAAGGTCTTCATTAAGAAAATTTGTTTCTAGGCCAGGCGTGGTGGCTCACGCCTGTTATCCCAGCACTTTGGGAGGCCAAGGCAGGTGGATCATGAGTCAGGAGTTCAAGACCAGCCTGGCCAAGATGGTGAAACCTCCGTCTCTATTAAAAATACAAAAATTAGCTGGGCATGGTGGCATGCGCCTGTTATCCCAGCTGCTTGGGAGGCTGAGGCAGAGAATTGCTTAAACCTGGGAGGCGGAGGTTGCAGTGAGCCAAGATCATGCCACTGCACTCCAGCCTGGGCAACAGAGTGAGACTCCATCTCAAAAAAAAGAAAAAGAAAAGAAAATTTGTTTCTAATATTAAGGAAAAGGAATAATTTCAACATGTTTGCTAAAAATTTAGCATTAACTTTAAATTTTCATGCAGCAAATATCCCATCCATTCTGCTACAAACAAACAAACAAACAAACAAACAAAAAACAGAGCAGAAACAGCAGAGAAGAAACTAAAAGGCATTATAATTTAAAAAGTAAAATGTGAAAAAAAAAATTACACTTCTTGTCTGTTTCCTACAATCTGAAATAACTTTTTCCCTTAATTCATGATAGGCTCCATAACTTTATAGATGTTTCTTTATCCCAGAAGACTACTGTTTCCTGCTAGCCAGAAGGTTCCATGAATAATTTTTCTTTTAAATTAAAAAAGAATATGTAGACATTAGTGTCTGAAGTTTAACTGGGTTTAGGAGTAAATAACTTACAGAGAAAAAAAAAAAAAAAACTCTGTCAGGGGACTAACCTCAGGTCATGCTCCGAAAACCAATGGCCTTCAAGACAGCACTGTTAAACATACCAACAGTATCTCCATCTTAGATAGGAACATTTTTTCTGGAGATATCTTTTATTTATCCAATATCCCAATCTTACTATGTGGTAGATGACCAGAGGTACACACGAAGATCATGATTTTTTGTGGCTTATAATTAAATGTAAGAAACAAAAGAAGATGGTGGTACATTTGAAAAGTGCAGGAACTGGAAACATTGGCTTAGAGGTACAGTTCTACCAAAGAATAGTTGTGTATCATTAACTATAACTCCGTGGCATAAAATGAATAGTTCTTAAGATGATCTATAAATACAGATGCAGCTGAATAAGTGACCAACAGTTCTTTTCAATGTTAAGACATGAATATTTTACTTGTTCTGCAGCTGTAACTGCCCTCAGCCTCCAGTATTCTACAGGTTTAAAACACAACCTTGGTTATATACCAAGGTATTTTCATATGTTATCTTTCGGCAATTTAGTGTCAAGCTTTTTTATTTAAAGCTTTTCTCCAATATTTTTTCTGTTCTCCCTGTCTACAGTAATGCCATATTACCTGCTGATATGGCAGCTGCTGCAACATCCTGCTAGTACATGAGTGCAATTGAAAAATAATGTCCAGAACATCAGAAATCAGTATTTAAACTAAATAGGCAAAGAAGGGATCCTACAAAGGAGGGAAGGAGGGGCAAAGAGAGGAGCAGGGGGAAAAAGAGAGAGCATACCCTGTCCAAAGAAACTAATATAAATAATGAAGGCCGATCAATAATGTTCAAAATAGTGGGTAAACGCTGAAAGTTTTCTGGTTCGAAGACCAATAGGCAGAAGAACATGAGGAAGACCAAGAAAAAAGGTATCATGAAGAAAAAGAATAGGTACATTTTACTTCCTTGTAATGAAAAAAAAAAAATACCTGCATTTAAAGTGCTAGATGAAGAAATTAACACCACATTCTATAATAAAAAACTACCATTTTGTCTAAGTTTTAAGGATTAAGTTTTTAAACATTCATAACAGCATTTGCTGTAATGAATACAAGCATTAAGTTTTACCCAGAAGATAAACCTCAACCAGAATGTAATAAATTAGAAGTTCTCAGACTCATTTGATCTCAAGACCTTTTTCCTTTTTTCACTATTAACTATTACTGCATATCCCAAAAACCTTATGTTTATATGGGTCATATCTAGTTTTAATAATTAGTAAATTAAAACTGAGTAAATCGAGTGTATTAGTAATTGAAATTGAGAAAGTTTTAAATATTTAATAGTGATAAAACCCCACATTCATATAAACAATTTTTATGGAAAATAGATTTTCAAAAAAATAGTGGCGAGAAAAGTAACATCATTTACATTTTAGCAAATCTCTTAATGTCAGACTTAATAAAAGACAGCTGTATTCTCACGTCTGCTTCTGCATTCAATCTGTTGATACCTTCTTCTGACAAAGCTAATTCAGCTAATAGGAAGCTAATTCAGCCTGACACAAATATGTAATAGAAAAATGAAGGAAATTTTCAGAGTCCCTGAAAGGGTTGAGGAGAAGGCAGGGGTCTCTGGACCACACTTAGAGAACCACTGAGATATTAACAATATCAGCTTCCAGAAAATAGTACCCGTAGAAGCCTAAAACCATCTCAGAGTCAAAAACCAGAAAGTGGTAGAAATGGGGATTTGCCAAAGCCCCCTGCCTCATGCTGACAACATCCTCATAGAGCAGTATCTTTCAAACGGGTTAGTCATATGAATCACCCGGGATGTTTGTTAAACACAACGATGCCTGGCCCTACCACCAAACAAACTTAAACATTTCAGGTAAGGGGTTCCAGACTCTGCATTTTAAAAGTAGCAAGTGATTCTTAAAGCCAGGGAACCTTGCCCCATAGGGAAACCTACTAATACTGAACCACAATCTATACAGTATTACTCTACTGAATGAAGGAAGAATGACGTGACACATACACGTTACTGGAAACCGACTCTTCAAATGATGCTCATCTGTAAAACTGCTTACAAGGGAAGAAAGTGATTCTGAAGAGAAACGAGGTCCCTTAAGACAGGCTAAATCCATCACTTACCTGGGTACCAACAGTGATGTTCGGCATTGAAGAAATACCAGCACTGGATTTAGGCTTTTTATTTTTTGCTCTAGCTTTCTCTAACATTTTCTTCCTTTGACTAAAAGGAACTACACCCCTGAAAACAAAAAACATAAATTGGTCAAATAAGCAGTAAAACAGCCCACTAAATAAATCTGAAATTACACATATTATCAGTTAAGCATTTCTGGCATTTCTCCAGTATTTTCGCCTCAGAAAACTATTAATGTGTACAATTTCATCTTAATTATAATTTGTGCATTAGATTAATAACTGGATCTACTTTTATTAAACCTTTATAATTAAATTTTATGGGAAATTCATCAATTGCTTTTTTTTTTTTTTTTTTTTTGAGACGGGGCCTTTCTCTGCTGCCCAGGCTACAGTGCAGGTGGCTGATCTCAGCTCACTGCACTCTACCTCCTGGACTCAAGAGATCCTCCTGCCTCAGCCTCCCAAGTAGCTGAGACTACAAGGCACCCACCACCACACCCAGTTACTTCTTGTATTTTTTGTAGAGACTAGGTCTCACTGTATTGCCCAGGCTGTTCTCCAACTCCCAGGCTCAAGCAATCCTCTGGCCTTGGCCTCCGAAAGTGCTGGGCCTCCGAAAGCCACTGTGCCTGGGCCTAACAGACATATTTTCTTCCAAATAATTATACTTCATTAGGAAACTCCCCTATATATTGTTTCCAAAATGCAATTTTGCTGTTAACTCCTTAAAACACAACAAAGAAAAAATGTAAGGTCACCTTCTAACAGTAAAGCTATAATTAAATAAGGTAGAGAATATTCATACAATGAAATGAAAAAAATACTCTATAACCTATACTTTCAATTATGTAAAAGCAAAGTACATGTTTATGCAGAGGAAAAAAAGATTTAAAATACCCCAAATGTTAACTGTAGTTATCTCTGGGTTGCAGGATTCTAAATGACTTTTGTTTCTACTTTATACTTTCATAAAACTTATTAATTATATTCACTAAGTATGTATTTTTATAAATTTAACTGTTAAAGTTTTTTAAAATGTTACTTTGTTCCAAAGTGAAATTTCCCTTCCATAAGGCATAATCTTTTAATTGAACTTCTCATGTTGGTATTCCACTACTCAAAGCATCTTTCTATACATACACAAGCATTCACCGATAAATTCCTCCTCCCTATAGACTCACCACCAATATAAACTGTTTTCCAGCTGAGCGCAGGTGTAAAGGGCACAGCAATGTAAAGAAACTATCCGCTCTCCTTGAAGTTCAGAGTAAGTCTGAGCAGTGTGCTCTAATTTAGAAGCCACAGAACTTAAAGTTTCATCCACCCATGTAGCAACCTAAAGAATAAAATATTAGAACTTTAAATAAAATCAAGCCATCTTTTCAAAAGGATTGTGGTAAAAACTAGGGCAAGGCATATATACTTTAAAGACTGGAGTTCTAAAATGTTTTGAGTTAAATGCTATAAAAATAAGTAATTCAGAGAGGTTCTTAGTAAGACTAGAAACTATAATACTTTTTCACACAAATCAAAATAGCAGTTATTCAAATGAATGTCTAAGGCCATCTTTAAGGTCAGAAGTAAACATTTGCTCTACCAATTTTTAAAAGAATTTAGTGACTTTAGGCCAGGTGTCATGCCTGTAATCCCAGCACTTTGGGAGGCCAAGGAGGGAGAATCACTTGGCGCCAGGAGTTTGAGACTAGCCTGAGCAACACAGTAAGACTCTGCCTCTAGAAAAAAGTTTTAAAAATCAGCTGGGCACAGTGGTGTGTGCCTACAGTACCAGCTACTTGGAAGGCTTGAGTTCAAGGCTGCAGTGAGCCACGACCACTGCACTTGAGCTTGGGCAACAAAGCAAGACCCTGTCTCAAAAAAACAAAACAAAACAATTTAGTGACTTTAAAGCCAAATCGATAATTTGAGACATAATATCCATACTTTGTCAATCTGTATTTTCTAGCTTCTCAACATCTTTTCTTAGCAATTTTCTTGAATATTTTTGCCTTTCCTTAAACCAGAAAGCTTTTTTTTTTTTTTTTTTGAGACGGAGTCTCGCACTGTCACCTGCGCTGCAGTGCAGTGGTACGATCTCAGCTCACTGCAACCTCCACCTCCCAGGTTCAAGCAATTCTCCTGCCTCAGCCTCCTGAGGAGCTGGTATTACAGGCGCCTGCCACCACACCCAGCTAATTTTTTTGTATTTTTAGTAGAGATGGGGTTTTGTATTTTTAGTAGAGATGGGTTGGCTAGGCTGGTCTCGACACCTGACCTCATGATCCACCCACCTCAGCCTCCCAAAGTGCTCGGATTACGGGCGTGAGCCACCAGGCCCAGCCACAGAAAGCTATTTTTAAAGTTACAGTATAAACTAGCCAACAAAAATATACATTAGATTACTAAGGCTTGAGACACTTTGTATTTATGTTAACATAGATCAAAAATGAAAAGATGGAAAAGGAGCAAAAAAGAAAAAAAGAAAACAAGAATTAAAGCATGAAATGTTAATCAATGCAAAGTGTTTCATACCTTGTTATTTTCTGTAGCTACAGTTGCTCTTATGCTATTTGCAGACAGGAGGACTATCTTTTCATTGGTTAACCCCAAAAATGTTGCTCGTGGATGATGTAATGAAGGATTCTTTGAAAGCATAAAAAAAAATTACTATTTTATATGTTGATATGTAGAGCTATTCAATGCAAGATTTCATAAAATAAAATACCTGGGCATTTCTGTAAGGCTCAGATTCACTCCATTTCCACTGATAAAGTTCTCCTTTACTGCTGACAGCCAGAAGTTCAGAATACAGAGCCCCAATACAGATGAATTTTGTTCCATCCTATAAAGTAAAATACAATACTATAAATATAAAAATTGCCAAATCTACTGATTTGAACACTGTCACTTTAATCACTTCATCAGATCTAGATTAATTATGTAAACACATAAACCACAACTATACGAAGTCTTTAGCACAGCCTACAAGGTATCCAATTAAGGTGGCCCTGGCTCCCTCCATTAACTCACTCACCTCCATTCACACTGGCCTTCTTCCTGTCACAGTGGTCTTCTTCCTACCCTCGGACCACTGTCCTTGCTGTTCCCTCTGTCTGTGTTACTCTTTCTCAGGTGACACTCCCTCAAGAGACTGTCTCTGATGACACTATGTACAGAACCACCACTCTCACATTAGTTCCTTACACTGCTTTCTTTTTAATCCACAGCACTTCACAACTTGACATATTTATTTGTTTATACACTATCTCACTCAAGTATAAGCTTTGTCTTATTCACCACTGTAACTTAAGAACTTAGCGTACAAGTAGGTGCTCAATCAATGTGCTGAATGAGTGAAGGGAAAAAAAGAAAAACAGAATACGGAGCTGAAACAGAGAAAAACGATGTCAAATCAAAAGATTCTTTCCCTGTAAGCTCTTTCAAGCTATGGAAACAAGTGCCCATATTTAAGGTAATCATTCGTTCACTTTTATGTTGACATACATGCAATGATTTGGAATGCAATTAAATTATAAAAAGCTTGGCTAATAAATGTAAATAAATAATTTTCTTTAACATAAAACAAATGATCAGAGCCACAAAGCTACCTAGAAATCTCACAGCAAAAATTGCCAGTAACGGATTTTAGGTTGCAAAAATGCTGTTGGTCTATACACAGTACTTCTCCATTTTCTTTGGGATTCTGGCTCCAGGGTATGATAAACAAATGGTGTCTTTCTGGTTTTTCTGTCAAAATTCAATTTTATTTGGTCAGATGGTAACGTTATAGTGCTAAAACTTGTAAAGTCTACAAGATTTATTAATATAACACAATAACAACAGGTTATGCCTTAGTGTTGTACAGAAATAATACTAATTTTAATCGTCTATTTTACCTGTACCAGTCAAACCTATTTTCCTATTTTCAAGTCACTTTTATTGGGGGATGGAAAAGAGACCAAATTTGGAATTCTCCAAGTTAGCAATTCTTCCCTTACCTTTACCATGGATGTCTACAAACCATTACTGACTTTCTCCATAGAAACTGCATCAAATTTTACCTTTCTACTTCATATTCTCTTCTCAATCCTACGGTTAAGAATTAACTATAATGGAATCAGACTAAGTGAGTCCCCAACCTAGATCCAACACTTATTAAGTATGTGACTTCAGGTAAACTATACAATTTCTCTGAAACCATTTCTTCATTTCTAAAATGGGTATTAAGGTAATGCAAATCATGGTAAGGGAGAGGGGAGTGCAGGGTAAAAACCAAACGGAGTAACATATATAGCTGACCCTTGAACAATATGGGTTTGAACTGTTAGGGTCTGCTTATAGTTCTCTTCAGCCTCTGCCATCCTTGAGACAGCAAAAGCAACTCCTCCTCTTCTAATTCTTCCTTCCCCTCCTCAGCCTATTCAACATGAAGATAATGAGAATAAAGACCTTAATGGTAATCCGCTTCCACTTAATGAATACTAAATGTATGTTCTTTTCCTTATGATTTTCTTAATAACATTTTCTCTAATTTACTTTATTGTATAAATACAGTATATACTACATATAACATACAAAATATGTTGTTAATCAACTTTATGTTGTTGCTAAGGCTCCCAGTGAACAGGAGGCTATAATAAGTTTTGGGGGAGTCAAAGTTATGTGGATTTTCAACTGCATGAGGAGTGGGTGCCCCTAACCCCTTCATAGTTCAAGGGTCAGCTGGATAAAGTACACAGCACAGAGCCCAGTGCAAATAAGCACTCAATCAAATTCGACTATGACTAATCTCCTCCCCTGACTTCATCTCTGACTCACCCAGAAAATGATAGCTCTCAGGCAGGGGCTTCCTCAATATTCCTAGCTCTAGATTTGCTTAATGAAAGCACCATTCTCACCTCCTCCCTTCTCCCCATCTCAGAGAAAGAAGTGTTTTCCTCCCCTCCTATTTAAAGATAACCCACAGACACACTGGATGCAACTCCTTCCCATATCCCCCAACAACCATCCAAACAAATCTCTCCTTCAGTCCTAACATGGTAAAGTGAATTACTGCCTGGCATATGTTTCACCTTACCAGTTTTCAGTGATGGACATGACATTTTTTCCAACTGCCAAATCAATGCTCAATGTACGTAATCAGTCCATCTTCTCTTTAAACTCTTCAAATGATTTGCCTCTGTTCATTATCTGTTCTGGAACCCATCCTTCTCTCCCTAATTCATAGGTCACCATTCTCTACTGGTCTTCCACCTACCTTCCATCTCCCTGGCACTACCATGCATGGTCTTCCCTCCATCTCCCTGGTACTACCATGCACTCCCTGCCACTGATTCTGTGTTTCTCCCTGTATTCAAATTGTGCTTCACCTTCAGCCTCAGTGACTTCATCTACCAGAGCATCATGCTTTTAAATGTGTAAATCTCATATCTCCAGACTTACCTACAGCTGTCTTAAAAAGCACAATGACATCCCTAAAATGAATCCGCCATCTCCTGCAAAGCTGTGCCTTCCCTGTAGTTCCTATCTCTATGAATGACATCACCACCCACCTGGTAATGGGAGACACGACAATCGAATTGACTGATGAGAGAAAAGGAAGAGATGAGGCGTGCTCCCAGGTTCCCATGTCTAAACTGATCTCAAATTCCTCTCAGATTCTTCTCTTTCTCTCTCCCCATACCCCTGCTTTGGTTGAGATCCTCACAATTTCCTTGAACAACTGTAGCATTCTCATAACCGACTTTTGATTTTTCCTGTTGCTTTCTCCCATCATGCCAGTAATGTTCACCTCCTTAAAACAAATCAAATACAACAAAGCAAAACCCCACCAATCACATCAAGTCACTTCTCTACGGACTCTGTTGACTTCTTAATTGCTGCAAAACAATATCCTAACTTCTTGCTTGGCAAACTGTCTAGTCATCTCCATCCCATCTCTTCTCCTACTCCCCACCACAAAGCAGCAATTCTGAATTTTTCATGGTTCCTCAAACACATCATGACCTTTTGTGACTCTGGGCCCATGCCCAGATACGTTTGGAATACCTTTGTGCCTTGGTCAATGCCCACCTCACCTTAAAAATGCTGCTTAAATGCTATCTCCTCTGCGATGCCTTTGCCAGATCTCTCAGGTGGTATTGGTCATTTACCACTCAGAACCCCTATAGCACTTTACTCATACTTTCAGCCTAGCACTGATCACATTATGATCACATTACATTCTATGTAAATGTTTGTGTTCCCCACTGAATTCCTTGTAGAAAGGCCAATATCATACTCATGACTATATTACCATATGCCAGCTTGGTATATGGCACAAAGCAGGAACACACTGACCAACTGTTGAATGAACAAATGAATCTTAACTCCAGCTTCTTTGGGTAAATGCCTTACTAGAGCAGTACAATCCTGAACAAACCAGCCCAATAGCAAGAGCATGGTGCATGAGGCCCTCTCAGAACTGACTTGCCTTTATCTTTCAGAGATAGGGCAATGTCCCCCACGGTGATAAGGCCTGGATGAGCCAATTACACCCCTACAGGCCCTGAAAACCCACTATGGACAAATGAAGATGAATAGCACAACTATGAACCCACAGGAAGAGGACAAAAAAATCACCTACTACTTCTTGCCTGCTTCAGATTTATCTGTATTAAAGAAATTTACTGTATGTAAATACAAAACAATCAAATACATACACAAGGACAGTATTTTAGCTCATTCATTTCATAAGTCATAGAAAACAATGTTTTTATTGTTTTTATGAAGTACGAATTGCTGCTTCTTAGCAAGCTGACATCTGCTCAATCCAACTAGAGAAAGTGGCTATGCATGTTTCCTTAAAGAGCAGTAGTTTGTAGCTCTATTTTTCAACAAAAAGAAGTTGAATCAGTAAATCTGCAACTGTCCAACATAAATGGGTCATAAATTTAACTAGAAATCCTTCCTCAAAGGGGGAAGGAAAACTGTTAAAAATATGAGACATGAAATAGCGGCCAAAGCTTTAAAAAACACTTGGCCCAGCAACACCAACTCTATTAACTGGCCACACCTATGTTTACTAATTCATATTGTGAAAAAGTTGGCATCTCTATTCCTGAATTTTGCCCCACAAAACTTGGTTTTCACATTTTTTCTACTATGAGCAAACACTGGTTTTATCATTAGGTAGCAGCTCCAACTCCTATCACTAAATACAATATACTGCACATCATGATTGGAATGATGGCAACTACAAGATACACTGCAATTTGGCCAACTGTGTCCATTCACACTTCATCTCTCTCTGCCTATCCGCTTTTCCATATGCTTTTTCTGCCGAGTTTCTTTTCCTTTTTATGATCATTTTTCATTTTGTTCTTACTTCATATTAAATTACATTTGTGACACATCTAGTTAATCCTGGAAGTTTCCAGATGTCAATAAAAACAAAACAAAGACCTTCCCCAGCCAACTTCCACTTTTAGAATCCTCTGCCTTCATTTTCCTCAGTGTTGGAAGCACAATGAAGGTGAAGCAATATAACCCACAAGTCTGATCAGCTGGTTCCAACAGGGAGGTTGCTCCAAAGAGCTTAAACAAGGGGTCAAATGAAATGGATCCATTTCCTCTCAACACCATTCAAAGAAACAGAGTAACATACAACTCTACAATATAAAGGGCTGGTGGGAATAATTCTACTTATTGTTTCCTCTAGACTAGATAGAAATAGATCCAGAACAGTAAGGAATATTAATGTTTTTTAGCGGGGAAACAGAACCTCACTCTGTCGGCCAGGCTGGAGTGCAGCAGCACGATCTTGGCTCACTGCAACCTCCGCCTCCTGCGTTCCAGCGATTCTCCCACCTCAGCCTCCCACGTAGCTGGGACTACAGGTGCACGCTACCGCACCTGGCTAATTTTTGTATTTTTAGTAGAGACGAGGTTTCACCATGTTGGCCAGACTGGTCTCGAACTCCTGACCTCAAGTGATCCGTCTGCCTTGGCCTCCCAAAGTGCTGGGATTGCAGGCATGAGCCACCAAGCCCTGCCAGTTAATGTTAATTAACAGTACCGAGTCAGGCGCCGTGGCTCACGCCTGTAATTCCAGCACTTTGGGAGGCCGAGGCAGGCAGATCATGAGGTCAGGAGATCGAGACCATCCTGGCTAACACGGTGAAACCCCGTCTCTACCAAAAATACAAAAGACTTAACCGGGCATGGTGGCAGGTGCCTGCAGTCCCAGCCACTCGGGAGGCTGAAGCAGGAGAATGGCATGAACCCAGGAGGCAGAGCTTGCAAGGAGCCGAGATCGTGCCACTGCACTCCAGCCTGGGCAACAGAGCAAAACTCCCTCTCACCAAAAATAAATAAATAAATAAATAAAATAAAAAAATAAAAAGTATCTGCACTCTCATATTCACTGTGGTAGTATTTATAATAGGTAATATATGGAAAAAGCTTAAGTGTCCTTCATGGACAAATGGATGAAGAAAACACACACACACAGACACAACAGAAAAAAAGGATAATTATTCAGCTTAAAAAAGGAGATCTTGCCATTTGCCACAACATGGATAGACCTAGAGGACATTATGCTAAGAGAAATAAGATAGACACAGGGAAAAAACATATTGTGTGATCTCACTTATATGTGAAGTCTTTTTTTTTTTTTAAAGGTCAAATATACAAAGGTAGAGAATAAAGCAGTGGTTACCATGGGCTGACAAGCAGTGTGGGGGTGTGAGGGAGGGAAAATGGGGTTATAGGATACACAGCAGACATGTAGGATGCAAATCTAGAGCTGCAATTGTTATGTCATGAGGATTACAGTTAATAAAATGGTATCATATTATGGATTTTTGTTAAGTAGATTTTAGCTGCTCTTGTCACAAAATAGTAACTGTGAGATGATAGATGTGTTAATCTATTATAGTAACAATATAAATACATGTATCCTATAACCTGTTGTAAACTTCAAATATACACAATAAAATTTATTTATTTATTTAGTTAGTTAGTTTTTTGAGACAAGAGTCTTGCTCTGTCGCCCAGGCTGTAGTGCAGTGGTGTGATCTTGGCACACTGCAACCACCGTCCCCCAAGTTCAAGTGATTCTTGTGCCTCAGCCTCCCAAGTAGCTGGGATTACAGGCATGTGCCACCATGCCCAGCTAGTTTTTGTATTTTTAGTAGAGACGGGGTTTCACCACTTTGGCCAGATTGGTCTCGAACTCCTGACCTCAGGTGATCCACCCGCCTTGGCCTCCCAAAGTGCTAGGATTACAGGCGTGAGCCACCGCGCCTGGCCCAAGTGCAGATATGCATGATTTCATCTCCTCTGGGTACGTACATAATAGGGATTGCTGGGTCCTATGGTGGCTCTATTTTTAACTTCTTTAGGAACTTCCATACTGCTTTCCATAATAGCTATACCAATCTAGTTCCCAACAGCATACAAGGGTTCTCTTTTCTCTGCATCACTGTCAACATGTGCTATCTCTTGTCTTTTTGATAACAACCATCCTAATGGGTGTGAGATGGTATCTCACAGTGGTTTTAATTTGCATTTCCCTGACAATTACTGATGTTAAGCACCTTTTCAAATATCTGTTAGCCATTTTTATGTCTTCTTTGAAGAAACGTCTTATAAGGTCCTTACCCGGTTTTTAATCAGGTTATTTTTCTGCTACTGACTTCAAGTGTGCTTTATAAATTTTGAATATTAACTCCTTATGACATGCATGGTTTGCAAATATTTTTTCACAGTCTATAGAGTGCCTTTTTATTTTGTTGACTGTTTTCTTTACTATACACAAAGGTTTTTTGTTTCATGTAGCTCCATTTACTTATTCTTCCTTTTGAAGTTTGAGTTTTTGGTGTGAAATCCAAAAAAAATCACTGCCATGAGCAATGTCAAGGAGCTTTCCTTATATTTTCTCATAGTTTTTAAGGTTTCATATTTCACATTTAGGTCTTTTGTCTATTTTGAGTCGATCTTTATGTATTGTCTAAGATAGGAATCCAATTTTACATGTGAAAATCCAGTTTTCCCAGTACCACTTATTGAAGAAACTATCTTTTCCCCACTGGTGCCCTTGTCAAAAATTAGTTAATAATATATGTTTGAATTTACTTCTGGGCTCTCTACTCTGTTCCATTGGTCTATGTTTCTGTTTTTACGCCAGCACCATATGGTTTTGATTGCTTATAGCTTTGTAATACTATTTTAAACCAAGAAGTATGGTGCTTCCAATTTTCCCATTATTGCTTTCACTATTTGGGGTATTTTATGGTTCTTTACAAATTTTAGGATTGCTTTTTTATTTCTGTGAAGAATGCCACTGGAATTCTGATAGAGATTATGTATAAATCTGTACATTACTTTGAGCAGTATAAGTTTAAAAATACTAATTCTTCCCATCCATGAAGCTCCCTAGACTCAAGAGATCCTCTCGCCTCAGCCTCCCAAAGTGCTGAGATTATAAGCATGAGCCACAGCACCTAGCCAAGATTATTTTCTTAATTTCTTTTCCGGCTAGGCTGTTATTTGTGTATAGGAATACTACTGATTTTTGTATGTTGACCTCGTAGCCTGCAACTTTAATGAATTTATTAGTTCTAACAGGTTTTCTTGTGAAATTTTGGAGGGGGTTCTACATATAAGATCATGTCATCTGCAAATACAGATAATTGTACTTCTTCCTTTCCAATCTGGATGTCTTTTATTTCTTTTTCTTGTTTGATGTTCATTAGTGCTTCCAGTACTATGCTGAATGGAATTGGCAAGAGTAGGCATCCCTGCCTTGCATTAAATATTATTGGAAAAGCTCTGAGTTGCTCCCTGTTGATTGTTAGCTATGGGTTTTTTCATATATGGCTTCTATTATATGCAGGAGCTTTCCTTCCACAGCTAAACTGTTAAAGAGTTTTTATCAAGAAAGAATGCTCAACTTCTTCAAATGCTTTTTCTGCGTCAATCAAGGTGTTCATGTGATTTTCAGGTTTCATACTGCTAACATGATCTATCACATTGATTAATGTGTATATATAAAGTCAGCCTCATATGCCAGGAATAAATTCCACCTGGTCGTGATGTATATCTTTTTGATATGTGTTGAATTCAGTTTCCTGAATTTTTTTTGGAGGATTTCTGCATCAATGTTCAAAGATATTATTAGCCTATGGTTTTCTTTTCCTCTGGCGTCTTTGTCTGGCTTAGGCCTTGTAAAATGTGTTTGGTTTAGATTCTTGTTGGAAGTAGGTTGGTATAAACACATATATAATTACAATTTACATGCAGACATTCAGCAACATATTATGAAATTTCTAATCTAGAAAAAATAAATTGCAAAAATGACTGAGAAGAGAAAATGGAGCCATGTTATACAACCACCTAATTAAAAGATTACCTCTTCTCACCAAAGTAAATGAATTATCAAAGCTATTCCAGAAATGCAAAATGTAATAAGCAGTCATACAAGCCAGAAAAACAGTAAAAAACAGTAGGTGCACAGATGGTTAGATGGAAAGGTGGATGGACGGAAGGATGGAAAGAATGGCTAGAGAAGGGTGAGTAAAGGGAGCGGGAAAAAGGAGTCGGCGGGGAGTATGGGGGAAGAGAGGGAGGGGAAGCAAGAAAGGATAGATTTTAGGGAGTAGGGATAGCATAATAAGAAAGTTGATGTTTTGGGGTAAAAACCTTCAGAAACCAGTATCAACTTGGCTGGTTTCACTGTGAACATCATAACCTTGAACTTAGAGCACAGACTTAGGCACTCCCTCCCCTTCTCACTTTGGTACATATAGGCTGCCCTTAATTTCCTATTACACTAAATTATTACTATAATAAAATGTTTTCATAACTTGAATTCATTCTAGTCCAGTCAGATAAAGGGGGCATGCATGATCTGTATCTTTTTGGTCTGTGTCCAATTCACTACTAACAGAGAACCTGGCACATAACACACAAGTGCCACATAAACGTACTTCGAAATACCCAACTGGGCTCTCTCACCCTCCCATGACCTGCAGGAACTGCCCGTTCTCCCTTCCTGGGACAGGACCATGCTTCTCCTTGCTCTTTGCACTTTACATAAACTAACTTATTTAATTCTCATAACAAACCCATAATGTAAAAAGTATTACTATATCTATCTATATGAGAAAACCAAGGCAGAGAGAAGTTAAAGAACTTGATCAAGATCACACAACTAGACAGTGGTAGGATTAGGATAGGAAATCCAGCAGTTTGACTTCAGAGTCCACACTCTTTGTAATCATTCTGTGCAGCCTCCTGTGATTTCCCAATGCCTCCTGTGCTACTGTGTAGCTATTACGTATGTATGTATGGAAACCTATTATGGTACTTATTCAAACAAATTAACATTATTTTTCTTCTTCCTATAAAATCTCTCACCCTAACATCTAACAAAAGGCCTAACACATGGCACATATTTAATCAAGGTTTCTAAAGTAATAATGACTGAATGACCCTTACTTCTGTCTTTATGGAACTTTCAAGATGCCTATAATTTTCAATTATGCTTTTATATTAGTTTTGACATTTAATTCAAGAATAATTTTGGGAAATATGTGTATTTTACAGTCACCTCAAATATTTTCAGTTCAATACTATACCACAAAACCTTAAAGAAAAGAGAACATCCTATCATTAAAATAATTTTATTGGCTTACAAAAGGGTAAAACTGCCAGGCACGGTGGTCACGCCTGTAATCTCAGCACTTTGGGAGGCCGAGGAGGGTGGATCACCTGAGGTCAGGAGTTCAAGACCAGCCTGGCCAACATGGTGAAACCCATCTCTACTAAAAATATAAAAAATTAGCTGGATGTGGTGGCAGGTGCCTGTAATCCCAGCTACTCAGGAGGCTGAGGCAGCAGAATTGCTTGAACACAGGAGGCAGAGGTTGCAATGAGCCGAGATCACACCACTATACTCCAACCTGGG
The DNA here is from genome assembly GCF_000001405.40 of Homo sapiens. Classification (NCBI taxonomy): domain Eukaryota; kingdom Metazoa; phylum Chordata; class Mammalia; order Primates; family Hominidae; genus Homo; species Homo sapiens. The sequence goes on from NC_000008.11 coordinate 102,339,507, forward strand.
CAACAAGAGCGAAACTCCATCACAAAAAAAAAAAAAAGGTAAAATTTTGAAGAACTGGTTGTTCCTCTAAATGGATGCTGGGAAAGTAGGTACTAATCCAGTTCCTTTACCAACAGAATTAAGCTTGTACCCTAACAAAAGACAAAATGAAAATTACTATGGACACTAACAACCATACTTAATATTTAAGAGTATTGTATTAGGTCATTTCTGAAATTAAACTAGGATGCATATTTTGATTGCCCCCACTCCTAAAAAAGCTACTCCTTCCCGTATAAAAAAAAAACTTCATTGCTGCATCTGCCATTTACAAGACATTTGAAATAAGCAAAGACATGAAGTTTCCTTCTCCATAAAAATGAATGGATCAGAGGCAAGCCAATTCCAAGTTTACTATTGTGTACAAAATTGAGACTATCCTTTAGCAGCCTGGTATGTCAAGAACGTAGAAATAACACTTTCAGTCAAAATAATGCAAGTTACCAAGATTTTTTTTAAAAAGCAAACCCCAATCAAGATTATAAGGAAAGTCACATTTTAAGAATATTACTTTGGATGACTAATCACCACCTGTCTCCTGCACTAAACCTCACAAGTTTCATAAGACAGGCTCAATATCCGATCTTGTGATTAATATAGCCCCCATAAGTAGCAAGGTACTAGGCAATTAGCAGCAATGTCTGTGGCATGGAGGAGATAAAATGATAGATGCATGCTCTGCAACTGCTCTGGTTTTCCAGTGTTAGCCTTAGCATGACATTCAAACTGTCTTGAGCTAGGAATTCCTAATGGACCCCTCATTAGACAAGCCCCTACTCTTGGCAGACCACTCTCATCTGGTGCTGGTACCTCTTCTCACCAATGGTAAATACCAAGTGCATCCTGACACCCTATCTCCCTGCATTCTCCACCTACCTCTCTATTCCCTATCAAGCCTTCCCCCAAAACCTTTTGCTCCTCAGGAATCACTACCCCTAACTAATTTTGAGAAACCAATATAAGTCTCACATATTACCAGTTTCTTCACATGGTATTTATCCTGCGCCCCTGTATAATACTTTGTTTTCCTAAAGTTACATAAAAACAAGGTCTTCTTTCCCTTTAATAGCTCTCTACATTCTCTTGTAGCATTCAGCCCTGCAAACAAGCACCTAATGGTATTTACTGATCACTATGATAATGCTTAACAGTTTAATTAAAGGCTTAAGCTGTTTTCTTTCCCAGAATTCAAGTATGAATTTCTAGATTTCCATCATGTGCTAGTAAAAAGAGTTTTTTCCATGTTGCTATTTTAAATTTGGTATTTAATGGAAAAAAGAATATAGGTAGGATATACTTTGTTTCACATACCGCTCTTCTTCCATTCACTCGGTGGCTAAACAAACCAAGGAATAATGCACTAAAAGTCTATACAGTGCCAAGATTTCATGATGCACTTACAACTGTCTCTAAAAACAAGGTATACTTAAAAACATATCTATCATATTTTTAGCCAGGCCAACAACGGCTAGCTAAATCTAACAGAGGGTACAATGGCTAGGCTTGCTAAACTTACACTATTCAGAAATACTTTCATTAATCAAAAATAATACATGACAAACCTAGATTAATAATACGTGGTGGCCCTATTAAAACATAATTCAGGAGTCTCTTTTACTTCCTGCAAATATGAAATAGACACAACTCTAACATGATCCAGACAAGAGAAATAGGAAACGGTAATTGATGTACAAAAAGAAAAAAAAAGTAAAAGCCCAATGGTTTAAATCAGTCCCTACCATATGAAGTAAAAGTAGAACTTGGGACATTTCTAGTTTTAGGGAAATAAGTAAAAGAATGCAATTCAGGGAAAGTTTGGCAGTTGCCAAAGAAAACAGAATAACCTTTTGCTTCCAAAGAGACTGATTAAAATTCATGTTCCTTCTTGCATTCAAACTTGCCACATGAGCTGAATGCAGAGGAAAATAAATGAACTACAACAAGACTCACAGTAACCATGGAAACGTAAATTTGGAAAGTTAAATAATATTCGCCTTCAATATCCCGGATTCAAGTTCTAAATCAAAGAAAGAAAAGAAATCCATATCAGGCTCTCTTTATCTGCTAGTGGGGCCCCAAAGTTCCCATCTTCTTTTAGTTTATTTCTGCTTTAGAAAATTTCCTACCCAAATGGTTCTGGAAATAAGAAGAAACAGACGCAGTAAAAAACAAGCGAAAAACATGGGTTCCAATAGGAGCCTCTGAAGATGAACTATCAATTACATACATACCATCAACAGGATACATCAACTCTGTTTCACTTATGGCAGTGATGGATTTTTAAAGATTCAAATCAATTACCAAATCCTAGATGCTTTCTAGAATCCAGTCATTGCACTATTCCTCAGGATACAGAGCATAACTCCCCTAGCCCATTCCTGTTCAGTCAGCTTTGTCTCCCACAGCATTCACCGCAAAGAATCTGTCAGAACTCACTGCCATTAAATGGCATAGTTAACTAATCAAAGAACACAGATCCCTAATCTTGTCATGATATACATGCTGTATCAATGACTAAAAACATGCCCTGCAGAAACTGGTGTCCACCTGACTTTAGAAATTTGACAAAACAAATTTCTACCAAGGAATGTAACACCACTTACTGGAGTAATTATTACCAGAAAAGAAGTACTGGAATAGCATGCTGATGTGTTATCTAGAACTAACATCCTAATTTCTCTGATTTACTTTATCAAGTAGTAAGATACGTTGCACCACTGAATACATCTCACTGAGATGACTCATGGAGTGCCAAATAAAGATATATTCTATCTATATTTTAAAACAAAACAAAAATATTGTTTTATATATTTGTGTTTTTCCTTGAGTGATAGTACAAAAACCAGAATAAATAAAATGGAAACCTTAGAGGGAGGGGTTGTCAGGGATCCATTTAAATGGAAGCAGTGTGAATTTTTTCCAAATACCTTATCAGGCCACCACTGCAAATCTTCTCCTAGAGATACTGGACTTTGAACAGGTGTATTCTTCTTATCCAAGTTTGGCTCTCCTTCCTTGCTGGTAGAACCCCTTTCATTATCAAATGAGGCTCCATCAAGCCACCTTCGTTCACGTAAACGTAAAACGGATTCACGTTCACGCAACAGCTCAGAGTCTCTCTCTAAGGGAAGAAGGAGAACTGGTATGCAATTGGGTCACACCAGTGGGATAAAAGTAAGCCACTCTCTAGTAAAGACCCTTCAGGATGCAACTAACAGCAGTTTATCTACTCATAAAAATTTATGTAAATGTATATCTAATAAGGCTGACATGCAACATTCAAAACATCAACCCTTTCAAGTGAATGTATAAAAATTATAACTAGTATTTTAAAAAATTAGAGGCAGACTTTTGTATATTTCAACTACATGGTTTTAGAGTGGAACTGCTTTATTTTGAAGTATATTTGGTTCTTTTTTAAAGAATTTTAAATTGTTGGCTTTCATTAGAAATGCGTACTATAAATTCAATTTACATATCAGAAAATATACACTCCTCGTTTGTCTACTGGTGGGTTTAAAAAGCACATAAATTTAGAACTTCAACATGTTACGTATATAAGCAAACTCGAAAAATGCACACATAGAAAAAACCCTAAAAAGGGTAAACTATGAATCCATTAATATAAGCTAATTATAAAGTTTTTAAAAATCCAAGCCCTTGTTTAGAGTAATTTTTATAGGATGAATTTTTATGAATAAGTCTTAAATTTTACTGAGGAACCAGACAGGCTTTTTTTTAAAAATAATCTTTATAAAATGATTTCCTTACCAAAATGCTTCCCATGGCTATTGGCCTACAAACTATCTAAAGCCAGTTTTTCTGAAGTTGCTCATACATTACTTTTTAAAGAACGTAATCCAAATAAACTCTCTAAGACTAGGATAAATAAGGATTAGAAACAATAAATTGAACTATACAAAATTACCATATATAGGTCAAAAGTGGTCAAGTATTAGCTATTCCATATGGTTCAAACTAAAAGTAATGCCTACATAGGATGAACATAGGAAAAGAGACATTTGGCCAGGTATGGTGGCTCACACCTGTAAGCCCAGCACTTTGGGAGGCCGAGGTGGGTGGGTCACTTGAGGTCAGGAGTTCAAGACCAGCCTGACCAAGATGGTGAAACCCTGTCTCTACTAAAAATACAAAATTAGCCTGGTGTGGTGGCGAATGCCTGTAATCTCAGCTACTTGGGAGACTGAGGCAGGAGAATCACTTGAACCGGGAAGGCAGAGATTGCAGTGACCCAAGATCACACCATTGCACTCCAGCCTGAGCAACAAGAGCGAAACTCCGTCTCAAAAAAAAAAGGGGGGGGTGGGCAGGGGGGAGAACATGGGAAGAGACCTTTAAAGGAGTTATTTATGTTAGATATGGAATATTTGAAAATATATTACTTGACACATTTAAGGCAGTAAAGTATGCATTTATTTTTAAATTCATAACACTATTACATAGTGCATTCAATATATTAAAAGATCACCACAGATCTGTTATTTTAAAACTTTATTCCTAAGTACTAAAAGTATATGCAGCAAGCTCTTAATATAACATGACACACTGTCCAGTTTAAAGATCAGTAAATACAGCCAATTTCTGTTATCTGAATCAAGTAGTTTTACATTCTGGAAAGTAAAAATATTGACAATTATAATGTAAACAAGCCATACACAAACATATACAGAGAAAGGCAGGATTAATTATTTCAAAATCTTTCTAACCTCTACCATGTACTGTTAACTTTTAAGGATTTCAAACTTTTTTTTTTTTTTTTTTTTTTGAGACGGAGTCTCACTCTGTCTCCCAGGCTGGAGTGCAGTGGTACCACCTCAGCTCACTGCAAGCTCTTCCTCCCGGGTTCATGCCATTCTCCTGCCTCAGCCTCCCGAGCAGCTGGGACTACAGGCGCCTGCCACCATGCTTGGCTAATTGTTTTTGTATTTTTTTTTTTTTAGCAGAGATGGGGTTTCACTGTGTTAGCCAGAATGGTCTCAATCTCCTGACCTCGTGATCCACCCACCTTGGCCTCCCAAAGTGCTGGGATTACAGGCGTGAGCCACTGCACCGGCCTCAAACTTTTGAAAATAGCATTTTAGGCTGGGCGCAGTGACTCATGCTTGTAATCACAAAACTTTGGGAGGCTGAGACAGGCGGATCACCTGAGGTCAGGAGTTCAAGACCAGCCTGGCTAACATGGTGAAACCCCGTCTCTACTAAAAATACAAAAATTAACTGGACATGGTGGCAGGCACCTGTAATTTCAGCTACTCAGGAGGCTGAGGCAGGAGAATCTCTTGAACCCAGGAGGTGGAGGCTGCAGTGAGCCGAGATCGTACTACTGCATTCCAGCCTGGGCAACAGAGTGAGACTTCATCCCCAAAAAAAAAAGGCATTCTAATAAACTAAACATTTCTATTCATTTAATATTGGTCCTAAATCCATTCTAGTAAGTTTTTTCACATTTCATTATTTTATCTAACCAGGATTTAAAATAAACAGATCACTTATTTTAACCAAATAAACTAAGACTTGTTTTCTGAATGCTGCATGTCACTGTAAAGTAGAATTCTGCTTTTAGTTCAGAATCCATATTCCTAATTAAAAATACATTTAGGTGAAGTCATAGTCCTTGACATCAATTCCACAACGTAAATAGGATCAACTCTAAAATACTATTGTGGCTCTTCAAAATAAAAAATAATTAATTTTAATGCTAATGCATTCATAAAAAACTAATAATAACTGTAATATTAGAAGTTCAAATACAGTCAGTAGATTCTACCACTATCTTTCCATACAGCTAGCCTGTGACCAAAATAAATATATAAATAAATGCAAAATTACCTCGAGATGAGCCTAGCCTGGAAAGTGATGAACGACGAAAAGAAGGGTAACCAAAATAGCTAATGTCTTCAGAAAACATGGCATCTGCATCAATAATGACACTTGGGTGGGCAGAATGAATGTCGGCATCAAGGAGAGACATAAGATCCTCTATAAACAGAAACAAACATCACTGCAGCATACACACAAAGAGCAACTGTAGACTGCTGAAAGAGCTCTAAAAATTCACATACATTTAAAAACTAGGGAATGACATCGCCTGAGGAAAAACACAACAACCTACATTATTAACAAAGATTTTAAAGAACATCAAATGCATAAATGTCGCCTGAGCTACTTACTACATAATCACAAGAAAGATCACTCGTTAAGATATAACACTTGTGGCCGGGCACGGTGGCTCACATCTGTAATCCCAGCACTTTGGGAGGCTGAGGCAGGCGGATCACAAGGTCAGGATATCAAGACCATCCTGGCTAACATGGTGAAACCCCGTCTCTACTAAAATACAAAAAATTAGCCAGGCGTGGTGGCGGGCGCCTGTAGTCCCAGCTACTCGGGAAGCTGAGGCAGGAGAATGGCATGAACACAGGAGGCAGAGCTTACAGTGAGCCGAGATCATGCCACTGCACTCCGGCCTGGGTAACAAAGCAAGGCTCCGTCTCAAAAAAGAAAAGAAAAAAATAAAAGAAACTTTACAATAAAATCAAGCAACTCTACAGTGAAAAATATCTACCACCTTGAAAAGAATATTCAGAAAAGTCTATTGTGCTTTAAATTCCACTCCCCAGTCGAAAGAGCACTCCAGAAATGAGAAAAACATGACGGTGATCCACCAACCTCCAGGCAAATAAGATTCGCTGGCTGTATCATCCCCATCATCTCCATCTTCATCATCCCGGCTAAGTAAATTATTTACAGCAAGGTTCACATCAAGATTTGTTCTCTGAAGTTCTCGAATAATGACACTTCTGGATTTGCCTTGTAAAACAACTTGGGCCTGAAATAAAAAATAAAAAGAAGTGCTATGGTAATTTTCTTTTGATTAAATTCTTTATCAAAATCAGCTTTCTAGGACAGGATGTGGTGGCTCAAGCCTGTAATCCCAGCACTTCGGGAGGCCAAGGTGGGCGGATCACCTGAGGTCAGTAGTTCAAGACCAGCCTGGCTAACATGGTGAAACCCCGTCTCTACTAAAAAATACAAAAATTAGCTGGGTGTGGTGGTGCACACCCATTAATTCCAGCTACTCGGGAGGCTGAGGCATGAGAATTGCTTGAACTCAGGGGACGGAGGTTGCAGTGAGCTGAGATCATGCCACTGTACTCCAGCCTGGGCAGCAGAGTGAGACTCCCTCTCAAAGGAAAAAAAAAAAGTTTTCTAGGATCAAAATAGGAAAACAGTTGTTTCAGAACTCATGATATGAGTCATGACTACAACCCACCATATTCAGTAAAACCTCACCTTGTCCTGTTGTCTGACATTAAGTGTTCTACGAGATCCATACCTGTGAAATCAGCTCCTCTGGAATGACAGATGCTGGAATAACTGGCTGGGGCTGACTGCCCAAAAGCCCAGACCCTCGATCCCGTCCTGTCCGAATAACTCGAGTCTGCCGGCGGGAATCTCGAGCTCCAGCTGATGACCTACCAGAGGATCCTCCACCACTTCCACCCACTCCAGAACTCCAGCGGCTTCTAAATATTGGAGAATTTATAAAATTAGCATTTTAAACAATCATTCTGATTGCTTGGTTTTCATTATTATTATTTTCAGCTAAGATAAAGTTATCTGTCTAATTGACATAACATGTTACATAGTGTTGTGACAAAAGAATAAGGTAATAGAACTGAGCTTTAAAATAATAATACTGTTTTTTAAAGAAATGGGGTCTTGCTATGTCACCCAGGCTGGAGAGCACTGGTTATTCACAAGTACAAAGTACACTACAGCCCAGAACTCCTGGGCTGAAGTGATCCTCCTGCCTCAGCCTCCCTAGTAGCTGGGGATTATAGGCACGCACTACCATACCTGACAAGTGTCCCAATTTTTTTGTGTTTTTGAGATGAGGTCTTGCTATGTTGCCCAGGCTAGTCTCAAAACTCCCGGGCTCAATCTTCCTGTCTCAGCCTCCTGAGCAGCTAGGATTACAGGTGTGTACTACCATGCCCAATTCCAATTTTTTAATGCTTAAATATAACTTCACTTTTTATAAAGATAAACATCACACTTTTGGATCCTTAAAAAAACTTTTTTTTTTGAGACAGGGTCTCCCTCTGTCGCCCAAGCTGGGGTTGCAGTAGCACGATCTCGGCTCACTGCAACCTCCGCCTCTGCCTCCTGCGTAGCTGGGATTACAGGTGAGGGCCACCATAGCCTGGCTAATTTTCATATTTTTAGTAGAGATGGGTTTTCACCATATTGGTCAGGCTAGTCTCGAACTCCCAACCTCAGGTGATCCACCCACCGTGGCCTCCCAAAGCGCTGCGAAAATAATTTTTTAAAGCCACCTATGTATTTCTAATCACAACTATAAAATGAACACATTGGTCAGGCATGGTGGCTCATGCCTTGTAATCCCAGCACTTTGAGAGGCCAAGGCAGGTGGATCACGAGGTCAGGAGTTCAAGACTAGCCTGGCCAACATAGAGAAACCCTGTCTCTATTAAAAATACAAAAATTAGCTGGGCATGGTGCACGTGCCTGTAATCCCAGCTACTCGGGAGGTTGAGGAAGAACTGCTTGAACCAGGACCCAGGAGGCAGAGGTAGCAGCGAGCCGAGATCGCGCCACTGCACTCCAGCCTGGGCAACAGAGCGAGACTCTGTCTCAAAAATAAATAAATTAATTAATTAAATGAAATAAAATGAACACATCTTGCCTTTGCATGAAAGACCTATCAGACTTAACTACCAACACTGTTACACAAAAAGTAAAATTCAGAGTTTAGAATTCAAAGTGCTTCACATGAAATAAACATTCATTTGCTGAGATAGTACTGCATTAATATTCAGCACTATCAACCACCTTGTCCAAGAGAAAGCTGCTATTTAAATAAGTTAATTTTTTCTTATGAGAAAACAACTTAGAAAGGGCATGACATCTACATCTTCTCTTACTGTCCAAACATGAACATCAAGAAGATTAAATCAAGTCATCTAGATAACCATGATTGCCTTCTGTACTTAATCACATCTTAAAGAAAATGGTCACACAAGTCACTTCAGCTTTTTAAATTAGGGCAGTGTCTTTTCTCTTCAAAATGAATCTAATAATTGGAGATCATATGACCTAGAGAGAGGTATTTTACTCTCAGTTCCTACCGTACTCGCCTAAGGCTGAAACCTTCAAACTCCCAATGCAAACAGATTTCATTTCAATTTGATTTTCCAAACCATTTCCCCCCTTAAAAAGTTTGGAATACATTAACCAATAATGATTCTCAAATCAATATACATCAAATTTCCATGGTTTCTCCTCTCACTTGACTGGAAAGCCCAATCTCTGGCTAAATAAAAAACTGTTTAAATAGTTTCCTCAGTAAAATGAAAAAATAAACCTAGAAAAGCTGTTGTCATCCTTTTGACGAGCTTCTGTACTTGCTGATGCACACTACCAATTCATGTTTATGCAGTATCTGTATCTATAGCCTAAGAACTGCCCAAGATAACTTTGGAGAAAAGCAATATAATGCATCCTCAAGGCTGCAGTATGAAACAGCATTTATTTCAGCTAGTAAATGTCATGTTTAAATAACTATTCATAGGCCAGATGAAAAACAAAGGGGCTTCATTAAAAGCACATTACATCAACAAAAAAAGGAAATTAAAAAAACAATCCAGGCTGGGCGTGGTAGCCCACACCTGTAATCCCAACACTTTGGAAGGCCCAAGAGGGAGGATCACCTGAGCCCAGAAGTTTGAAATCAGCCTAGGCAACATGGCAAGACCCCATCTCTACAAAAAATAAAAAAATTAGCCAGCCATGGTGGCACTCACGTGTAGTCCCAGCAGGGAGGCTGAAGTGGGAGGATGGCTTGAGCCCAGGAGGCGGAGGCTGCAGTGAGCCATGATTGTGCCACTGCACTCCAGCCTTGGCTACAGATCAAGACTCTGTCTCACAGAAAGAGACAAGAGGAGAGAAAGGGAGGGGAGAGGGGAGAGAGAAGAGCAAAGGGGGAAAGAGGACAGGAAGGGAGAGAGAGCCAAGTGGAGAGGAGAAGAAAGAAAAAAGAAAACAAGCCCCACTTAACAGTAGCGTCAAAAAAAAACAAACTACTTAGGAATAAAACCTAAGACTTATACACTGAAAAGTAAAAAACACTGCTGAAAGAAATTTAAAGATGACACAGATAAGAAAAGTATCTTGGGTTCATGAATTGAAAGACCGAATATTGCTAAGAGGTCTACCCTACCCAAAGCATTCAACACAATCCCTATCAAAATCCCAATGGCTTTTCTTCTTTAACAAATAAAAAAATTGGCTGGGCATAGTGGCTCATGTCTGTAATCCCAGCACTTTGGCAAGCAAAGGCGGGAGGATCGCTGGAGGCCAAGGCGGGAGGATCACTTGAGCCCAGGAGTTCTGGAACAGCCCTGGCAACACATTGAGACCTGTCTCTACAAAAAAAATCAAAACATTAGCCAGGCATGGTGGAACGTGTCAATGGTCTCAGCTATGCAGGAGACTGAGGCAGGCAGAAAGCTTGAGCCCAATAGGTCAAGGCTTCAGTGAGCCATCCATGTTTGTGCCACTGCACTCCAGCCTGGGTAACAGAGCAAAACCCTGTCTTAAAAACAAAACAAAACAAAAAAAGAATTGAAAAGTTTGTCCCTAAATATTCACATGGAATCTGAGGCAAGCCCAGACAGCCAAAACAGTTTGGAAAAAGAACAAAGTTGAAGGATTCACACTTCACAATTTCAAAGCATATAACAAAGCTGAAGTATTTAAAACAGTATGGGTATGGGCATAACGACAAAAAAGACCAATGAAACAAAATGGAACCCAGAAATAAACCCTCCTATATATCGCCAAATTATCTTACACAGGTGATAAGACCACTTAGGGGAAAAAAAAATAGTCTCTTCAACAAGTGGTGCTGGGAAAAGTGGATATCCACATGCAAAAGAATGAAGTTGAACCCTTATCTTACATTATATACAAAAATTAACAAAAAATGAATTAAAGACCTAAAACGATAAAACTCCTAGAAGGAAACATAAGGGAAAAGCTTCATGGACTTGGTGATTATTGCTTAGATATGATGCCAAAAAAACACAGGCAACAAAAGCAAAAATAAACAAACAGCACATCAAACTTTAAAACTCTGTGTATCAAAGGACACAATCAACAGACAACCTACAGAATGAGAGAAAATATTTGCAAATCATATATCTGATAAGAGGATAATATCCAGAATATATAAATAACTCCTACAACTCAACCAAAAAAAAATTAAATAGCCTAATTAAAAAATGGGCAAAGGACGTGAAATGATATTTCTCCAAACGTGATATATAAATGGCCAACAAGCAAATGAAAAGATGTTTAACACCATTAATCATCAGAGAAATCCAAACCAAACTACAACAAGAGATTAACTAATGCTGATTAGGATGGCTACTATCAAGAAAAAAAAAATTACAAGTGTTGCGAGTATGTGTAGAAACTGGAACCCATGTGCACTGTTGGTGGGATTGTAAAACGGAACAACCACTTTCGGAAAACAATATGGAGATTCCTCAAAACATTAAAAGAACTACCATATGATCCAGCAATTGCATGTCTGGTATATATTCGAAAGAATTGAAACCAGGGTCTTAAAGAGATACTTGCAAACCCATGTTCAAAGCAGCATCATTCACAATTGCCAAGTGGTAGAAGCTACCCAAATGTCCAACAAAAGGTGATACATACATACAATAGAATATTATTCAGCTTTTAAAAGGAAATCCTATCACATGCTACAACATGGATGAACTTTCAAAACATTATGATAACTGAAATAAGCCTGTCACACACACACACACAAAAAAAACCTCAGTGGTTCCACTTATATGAGGCATCTTAAATAGACATTCACAGAAACAAAGTAGAATTGGTGGCTGCCAGGGACTAGAGGGAGAGAAAAAAAGAGCTCTTGTTATTTAACGGGTATAAAGTTCCAACTTCACAAGATGAAAAAGTTCTAGAAAGCTGTTTCACAACAACAGTGTGGACATACTTAACACTACTAAACTGTATATACTTAAAAATGCTTATAATGGTAAATTTTATGGTTTTACAATTAAATTTTAAATTCACTTAAAACTGAAGTTGTATTAAAGTACTACTCTAGAAAGTAGACATGTTTTCTTTTCAAGTTATATATTAAAACAATTATGCATCAGAAAACAACAAAGAACGAATGAAACACAAATAGGGAATAAAATCAACTACTAATCAACTACTTGTGCGCCTACAGTCCCAGCTACTTAGAAGGCTGAGGCAGGAGGACTGCTTGAGCCCAGGAAATTGAGGCTGTGGTGAGCTATCAACACACTACTGCACTACAGGCTGGGTGGCAGAGTGAGACTCTGTCTCTAAAATAAGTTTTTAAATTGTTTTTAAAATTAAAAATCAACTATTGGCTGGGTGTGGTGGCTCACACCTGTAATCCCAGCACTTTGGGAGGCTGAGATGGGCGGATCACTTGAGGTCAGGAGTTCGGGACCAGCCTAGCCTACCTGGTGAAACCCCAGCTCTACGAAAAATATAAAAATTAGCCAGGTTTGGTGGTGGGTGCCTGTAGTCTCAGCTACTTGGGGGGACTGAGGCAGGAGAATCACTTGAACCCAGGAGGCAGAGGTTGCAGTGAGCCAAGATCGCACCACTGCACTCCAGCCTGGGTGACAGAGTGAGACTCTGTCTCCAACAACAACAACAAAAATCAACTATTAAATCAGCACTTTTACTTCATAGTTTCCTATGAGTTTTAAAAACTAAGTCTTTCAGGAAAAACTATCTTCAGTCATTTTTAAAAACATTCAAGAGCTAAATATGTAAATTATTTCAATGTGAAAACAGGAAAAACCACATTAAAGAGCCTTAAAATGATATAATTATAACTATATATACCAGTTTGCCTATGATAGTGCCAGTTTAAGCCTATTGGCTAAGCCTAACTATTAATTTCACTCAAAAACGTCCCTGTTCAGACAATAAATTATATGGCCATCACAGATTAAAGGGAAGACTCCATATTTTCACTAAGAAATGCATCACCATTTTTTTCCACAAGCAAGTACTATTACAAGCCTGATCAGAAATAGTATCCAAGTACACATCTGCTCCTGGGCAGACCTTACAAGTATCTCAAACTCATATCTCCATGAGAGGTAGATAAGCTACGTAAACAAGGGAAGCCAAGATAACAGGGAAGACAGGAGACTATCTGCCTATCTAAAAACACTCAAATTCTTTTCTATAAGCACTGCTGATTTAATCCATTACACCACCAGCAGCTGCCAGTTTACAATCTCTGCTACACAAGCCCTCCATTGAGTTTAAAGACAACCGTCAAAATATCTCTCCAGTTTCTCCATTCACCTGACTGTTACCATAGAGAATACAGGTATTCCCACTCTGGCCTGCTGTGTGCAGTGTTTTCTCCTATCAGAATCCAAACCACCTACCAGTCCCCGTACGTCAATCGCCATTAACATTCCTCTAACCAGCTCACTATCTATATAAAGATTAATGTGTTAAACTAAGCATATTCTAATAGAGGTCTATTGGTAGTCACAAAAGACAGTACTGGAATCAGTTGATTCCTTTTATCTATAATTACAGTGAGCAACATAATTTTTAATATTAAACTAACAAGTACTGGGAAAACCTGTTTCTACTTTCTGTGGTTTGCTTATCAAATTAATCCTACAATTTTGATCCCGTTATACAGTTCTCAAGGTACACAGAATGACTCAAAATGAACTAAGGATATCATACCTAGTATGGAATTAGTCCACAGCTTGCAAACTTAAAGCCCATGGGCCAAGTCTTGTCCATATAGGTGGCTGGTTTAAAATGTGTATTTATCATCAAAAACAAGGAAAAGTCTGAGAAACGGTCACAGTCAAGAGGAATCTAATGAGAAAGGGTGACTAAATATAAAGTGGAATCCTGGATGGGATCTTAGAACAGAAAAAGGGCATTATGAAAAACTAAGGAAATGTGAATAACCTATGGATGACTTTAGTATCACCACTCATTAATTGTAACACATGTACCATACTAACATTAGATTTTAATAATATTGGAAACTAGACATGGGGTACATGGGAACTCTCAGTATGATGTTTGAAATTTTGTCAATCTAAAACCATAGGCTGGGTTCACGCCTGTAATTCCAGAACTTTGAGAGACCAAGATGGGCAGATCTTGAGCTCAGGAGATCAAGACTAGCCTGGGCAACCTGTCAAAACCCAGTCTCCACAAAAAAATAATTAGCTGGGCATGGTGGTGCATGCCTGTAGTCCCAGCTACTTGAGAGGCTGAGGTAGGAGAATGGCTTGAGCCCAGGAGGCGGAGGCTGCAATAAGCCAAAATCATGCCACTGCATTCCAACCCGGGTGACAGAGCCAGATCCTGTCTCAAAAAAAAAAAAAAAAAACCCTATCCTAAAATAGTTTATTTTTAAAATGTACATAACATGTATGCACACACAAGTCTGAATGATGTGACTGTGTGTATGTGTATATTTATTTCCATGAAAATATCAATTAGTCCCAACATTTAAGATAAGAGATTATCACACAATCCAGATTTGCAGGTTTTCTTGGGACAAAATAAGGCAGGGAGGGACACAAGGATTTGAATTTGCCAACCATGGCCCTGTATTCTCCTATAGACAAAACCAGTTTACCAGCAGCCTCCTTGAAAAATGGGGAATCCAGTTTGTCAGAATCCTGCTACAAACTGTCTTACCCACCTGAAGGGGGCCTTCAACTATTTGCAAGTAAAATTATACATTTCAATTCACGTACTATTAGCTCAGATTAAACCCTAAAGGAATATGGTAGCTCAAATCAACGAAAAGCAGCTTATACCTATCATCTATTGTTCAACGGTCACAAGTAACAGAATAGGAACTTTCGATACAGGTCCATTTTCACCTTACTATTTATTAAACAAAAATAAACTCCCTTCTCTACCCCAAATAAATCTGGTGCTCTTACCCTTAAGCTGGTTTAAAATGAGTTTAAAAAAAATACCTAGGAGATTTTTGAAATACCTTGCAGGATAAACTTGAAGTAATTACTAAAGAAAGAAAACAGTAGCAGCTAGAAATCTTTAGCACACAAATCTGACAATTAGCAAAATCTTCTAAGGAAAAAACATTAAATGGATCAGTATGTATTCCTAAAAATAATCAGTCAAAATAAATGATCAATTCTCAATTATCCATGCTGGCCGGGCATAGTGGCTCATGCCTGTTACCTCAGCACTTTGGGAAGTTGGGGCAGGCAGACTGTTCAAGGTCAGGAGTTAAAGACCAGCCTGGGCAACATGGCAAAACCCTGCTCTACCAAAAATACAAAAATTAGCAGGGTGTGGTGGGGCATGCCTGTAGTCCTAGCTATTTGGGAGGCTGAGGTGGGAGGAACACTTGAGGCTGCGAAGTCAAGGCTGCAGTGGGTCAAGATCACATGACTGCAATCCAGCCTGGGCAACAGAGGGAGATCCTGTCTCTCAAAAAAAAAAAAAAAAAAAAAAAATCCATGCTAAAAAACTGTACCAATAATCCCAAACTCTTTAAAAATGTGGCTCTCAAAGAGACTATTCACTTCCTGATCCAGGACAACTCCCAGCAGCAAAAGTGAGCAGGCCTAGACTCTGCAGGACAGGAGTGAGGACCAAGGTCTCTGGGGACAGTCTCTTTCATATTGCATTGTATTTGGTAAATCTGTGGTTTAAAGACTCCCCTTTGAGGACACAAGATTTGCCTGTCCTAGATTCCCCAATACATGTTATAAATTGCAAGCTTCTCTAAAGTTAATTGTAATTAACACAGAAATTGAAAAAAAAAAAAAAAGAGCAATGTACAAATCAAGGAAACACATTTACTATAAAGGAAAATATGTGTGACTGTAAAAAAAAAATTTGATTTACAAAATAACTTAATCACAATTTCACCTTCAACAAACTGCAAAGATTTTTCATACAGCCCAAGAGAAACAATCAGAATTTAACTGCTTATACTTTGTAAACATCTGCAAACTCAAATATAAGTAAACAAATCACTGGCATCAAGTTGGTCAGGAGGCACTATGACATTTTACAGTATTGCAATCATGGACCTAATGCTTAAAGAACGCTTACACAGTCTGTTCTGGCAGAGAGAACAGAGGCACAAAGAGGGGTTTACGGGGAGTGTAAGAAATGGGTAAGGGGACTCAGAAAACTAAGGATTCTGTCTGCATTTTAAAGTCTTAAAATTAGCCCTAATCTTCTTCAGAGTAGGTCTACAGAGGTTTTATTCAAACATTATTATATTTGTTGTATATTTTTATTAACAAAGTCACAAAATTCTACCATCCTACTTTAGTCATTCTGTCATACATTCTATTATAATTGGTTATTTCCAAGTTTTAAGAGGATTTAAGCCTAAGACAATTTGAGCAACATAATAAGAGAAATGGGTTATAAACTGGAGAATAAAACAAATATCCATGAGACTATAATGATGTAAATAACATAAGAGAAAAAGAAATAAATAGAATAAAAAATAAGGCCAGGCGCGGTGGCTGACACCTGTAATCCTAGCACTTTGGGAGGCTAAGGCAAGGAGATCACTTGAGGTCAGGAGTTCAAGGCCAGCCTGGCCAACATGGTGAAACCCTGTCTCTACTAAAAATACAAAACTTAGTCAAGCGTGGTGGTGGGCGCCTGTAATTACAGCTACTCAGAAGTCTGAGGCACGAGAATCACTTGAACCCAGAAGCAGAGGTTGCAGTGAGCTGAGATCATGCCACTGCACTCCAGCCTGGGTGACAGAGGGAGACTCTGTCTCAAATTAGATAGATAAATAAATAAATAATGGGCCGGGTGCAGTGGCTCAGGCCTGTAATCCCAGCACTTTGGGAGGCCGAGGCAGTTGGATCACGAGGTCAGGAGATCGAGACCGTCCTGGCCAACATGGCAAAACCCTGTCTCTACTAAAAATACAAAAAAATTACCTGGGCATGTTGGTGAGCACCTGTAGTCCCAGCTACTCGAGAGGCTGAGGCAGGAGAATGGCACGAACCCAGGAGGCGGAGCTTGCAGTGAGCCGAGATCGCGCCACTGCACTCCAGCCTGGGTGACAGAGCGAGACTCCGTCTCAAAAAAAATAAACAAATAATAAAAAAAGTAAACAAATAAAGAAATGGGGTAGAGGAGGGAAAGTTCTTCCTTACAGTTGAATTCCAATTAATAAATGTAAAAGAAATGATAATTTTTTTAAAAAATCACCATTTGGCCAACACCACAGTAACAACTGATTCAGACAAAAAAAGAATCATCAATAAATGCTAAACTCAGTGAGCAAAAGTATGATGAGGAAGAGGATATTTGCAGAGTCACAAAGTATCTCCCCACAAAATGCATATTAAAGAAAAATGGGAAAATAGTAACTTTATAGTGGAGAAACAGGTAAACACCATCTTAACTAATCACAGGACACCTCCTTTCCAGTAATAAAACAACAGTAACATCACATGCCACCTGATATGATGCACTGAAAAGGGCACATCATCACTTCTGTGGTATTCTTGCAAAAAATGTATCACTTGAGTTTAATCACGAGAAATGATAAACAAATCCAAACATTCTACAAAATAACCACTGGTTTTTCAAACTCATCATGGCCAGAAAGATAAAGACTGAGGATCTGGCCCAGATTAGAGGAAACTAAAGAAGCATGGCTGCTTAGGGAACATAGTGAGAGACCCTGTCTCCACAAAAAATTTAAAAATTACCTACAAAACTTTAAAAAGTTAGCCAGGTGTGGTGGTGGCCCATACCTACATCCTAGCTACTTGGGAGGCTGAGGCAGGAGGATTGCATTAAGTCCAGGAGTTCAAGGTTATAGTGAGTTATCATTGTGCCACTGCCCTCTGGCCTGGGCAACAGAACAAGATCCTATCTCTATTTAAAAAAAAAGCAGCAGCAGCAGCAGCATGACAACTCAATGCAACTGGGATCCTGGACTGAATCCTGGACAAAAGGGTATTAGTGGACAACTGGAGAAACTTAAATAAACTCTGTATATTAATCAGTGATCAATGTTAATTTCTTGGTTTTGATAATATGATTATGTAAATGTAAAACATTAACACGGAAGCTGGGTGCAACGTACACATAAATTATTTGTGCTATTTTTGCAAACTTTTTATAAGGTCAAATTATTTCAAAATGAAAAATAAAATTTAAAAATAAATAAGAGTAGGCTGGGTGCGGTGGCTCAGGCCTGTAATCCCAGCACTTTGGGATGCTGAGATGGGTGGATCACCTGAGGTCCGGAGTTCAAGACCAACCTGGCCAAAATGGTGAAACCCTGTCTCTACTAAAAATACAAAAATTAGGAGGGCGTGGTGGCACGCGCCTATAGTCCCAGCTACTTGGGAGGCTGAGGCTGGAGAATTGCTTGAACCCGGGAGGCGGAGGTTGCAGTTAGTCGAGATTGTGCCACTGCACTCCAGCCTGGGTGACAGAGCAAGACTCTGTCTCAAAAAAAATTAAAAATTAAAAAATAAAAACTAAATAGAGTATAGGATTAGGAACAAATGCCAGTATATAAACTGATAAGCAAAACCTGGGATGAGCAGACTTTTACTGTAAAGGGCCAAATCATAAATAGTTTATGCTTTGGAGGCTAGTCTGTCCCAACTACTCATCTCTGCTGTTATAGTACAAAGACAGCCACAGATAATAAGTATGGCTGTCTTTCAATAAAAACTGGGGTGGCTGGATTTGGCATGCAGGCTATACTTTACTGATCCTTAAACTAAACAAAAAAATGTTCATCTTTAAGAAAGGTACTATTTGGCAACAGTATAACCGGTAATACTTATTCTTAAATATAATCAAAAATTTTTCAGTTTTATCACATGAAATAAAATTTCATGTTATTACATGCTATTTTCAGAATTCTTTATCATATACTGTGTGCCTAGGACCATTAAAAGAGCACATATAACATTTTAATAAAGACAAGAGCTATATTTAGTATAGCTAAAGGATGTACTCAACTAAAAACTTTCCTCACATTCTAAAATAAATTTAGTTCAGCATGAAAACACAAACGCAAAGAAAGTAATCATTTTGGTATCCCCCCCACAACCCTTTTCTTTTCTTTTTTTTTTTTTTTTTTGAGACGGGGGTCTCTCATTTCCATTGCCCAGGATGGCATACAGTGGCATTATCATGGCTCACTGCAGCCTCAACTTCCTGGGCTTAGATGATCCTCCCACCTCAGCCTCCTGGGTAGCTAGGACTACAGGCATGCGCCACCACATTCAGCTACATTTTTGTATTTTTAGTAAAAATGGCATTTTGCCATGTTGCCCAGGCTGGTCTTAAACTCTGGGACTCAACAGATCCACTCACCTTGGCCTCCCAACGTGCTGAGAGGTGTAAGCCACCACACCCAGGCCCAATTTTCAAATCTAACTTTTACTTTACCTACCAATTTGTGGTCTGGAGGGAAAAAAGCCAAACACTTCCTCCTCCATTTAATTATATTTTGAAACTAGTTACATTGCTTCTAGTTTTCTGTGATCAGCCTTCAAACACGTGGTGACTGAAGTAGCATAATCTAATCATTAACTGGGTATTTTCAGAAAATCTGGCCATTCAAGAATCAAGGTATAAAATGAGTAAAAGCACCTGACTTGAAATTTGTATATGGTTTCTTTAGTTTAACAGTATATAAACTTTAGATAAAAGTGTCTGAGTGCAATGCCTCAGACGTGTAATCCCAAAACTCTGGGAGGCCAAAGCAGGAGAATCACTTGAGGCCAGGAGTTCAAGACCAGCCTGGGCAACACAGCAAGACCCTATCTCTAGAAAAAAATAAAAGTAATAAATAACGTTTAATTACATCATTTACAAACTTCATTAAACTGATTCAGAAAGAACTACCAGAGTTGGATGCCAGAAATAAATAAATAGGATCAGGAACAAACGCCAGTATATAAATTGACAAGCAAAACCTGGGATGAGCAGACTTTTACTGTAAAGGGCCAAATCATAAATAAGTTTATGCTTTGGAGGCTAGTCTGTCCCAATTACTCATCTCTGCTGTTATAGTACAAAGAATAAGTTGTACCAAGAATAAGTTGTAAGAGAGGACCAAAGATAAAATCATTTAAAATTTTAAATGAAATAAATGGCGTGACATTATAAACATATGTAAACATTATATACATTTTTTAAAGGTCAAGAGCCTAGATTAATTGTAATTAGCCTGTGTGAGTTATTTTTATCATGGTGGCTCACCCTGAGCAATATGAACTTCCTGCCCAGAGTTCAGGAGAATTTTCTCACTCCATCACTAGATAGAATATTGAAGATGATCATTCAGACTGAGAGCACTCACAGGAAGATGATACAGACCATCTGTAAGATGGTGCCTTCAACTGGCCACAACTTACCCTAAGGTGTTGCCTGCCAGCCTGCCTAGAGTCTCAGAACCTGAGAGAAACCATGGAGAGTCGCTTGTCCTACCAGGCCTTGACGTCCTCCCTGCCCCCGAGTTGCTGTTCAACTTTGACCTGGGGGAAAGCAAGAGGTAAATTTTTGAAGACCAACATTTTTTACAACCCTGTTATTTCAAATTGCATTGCTTAATTTGGAAATGATCTATAAAATCATTTCAGTTAAAGAGCAGATTTGACTTGGTACCTACTAAACACGTAATATCATTCTTCTGGTAACCTGTTTCTGTTAAGTGATAACTGACTCCTCTGCTACTTTTAATGTTAGTACTTTGGGCTGTGAATCATCGCTTGCATAAAGATTAAAATTAAACTAGAAAGCAATAGTTTCACTGTTTTAAAAGATCTAATTTTCTGTGATGCTTTAAGTTGAGGGTTACCGAAATCAAAACACAGGTTTAATATAATACCTAAGAGCTAAATACATATTAAATAGAAAGGACATAATATCTTACCCATCATTATTATCAGGTTTACCCAATTCCAATCTGTCTGGCTGTACTGAAAAACCAATCCTGCAAACTCTACCATCCTAAAAGCAAAGAAAACAGAAAAAATTATCCAAGTAAAAATGTGTATTAAAATTTGAATTTATTCAACAAAGAGATTCTGTGCCCATCACTGTCAATTCAGAAGACGATAAATAAACTTCCTTCCAAAAGGTGCTTACACCTGAGATGGGGAAATATGACATACATAACATTATCAAGAAACCAGTCGAAAATAATTTACAACATCTCAATCTGACAAAATTCAAAGTAAGAAAATGACTGGATTTAGGAGACTCCCCTATTCTGTTACTAATTAGTTTCACACTCTGGCAAATCATGTAAGCTTTCTCTGGGCCAGAGGAGGAAAGAGAACTGGGAGCTCTTCAAGATAACTTTCAAGTAACTGCTGTTTTCCTGTTATAATGGAAGAGATACAATGATGCACAATTCTATTTTAACAGTTTATTTTTCATTTCTGTATCTTAGAGTGAATAATTTACCTCAAGAAGAAAGGCAGCATGATTTGGTCCCACCACACACTGTTTAATAGTAGCCTGTTCCAATACATTCAAAGGGGGGTGGCTGAGAGATAAAAAAAGAAAAAGTTAAATTATTTTTTAATGGTAAATACATCATAGGGTTTACTCTTAAATACAATTAGAAAAAAAAAGTTGGCAAAACCTATTTTTTAAACTAATATTTACTTTAAAGCAATAATTGAAAAATAATATCTCCATAATCATTTATATCTCCCTGTATGCCAGATTTAAAAAAAAAAAAGCATGAATGCAATCTATAATTCAAATAAGCCCAACCCATAAAAAGTTGACAGATTAAAAGATTCTTAAAGTCTAATAATCACATTAATCTTAATCATATCAGGCTGCCGCCTAAATGAGTTTTTTCTTAATAAAGAAAAATTGTTGTCAGAAGATTTAAATATTTTAAAACTCTTACCTGTTTAAATTATATTTGTTCAGCTTCTCAGAAACTTCTCGTAACCTTTAAAACAAAACATTAACAAACCACGTGTACAGATCTTTTGTAAACAAATACTTCTGACAGGTACTTGTACCATTATTTTGGTAATTTCCAATAGTAGTACACAAAACAACTGCTATGGTAAGAATGTTTTTCATATTTTCATTTTTGTCCCGAAAAGATCACAAGCAGACTCTGCAATTCCGTTCCCTCACCACCCCATTTGCAACCTCAGTAACAATGATAATCGTATTAATCCCATTTTCCCATTAATCCCAGGTGAGAAAACTGAAGCTTCTAGAGTTTATAGAAAAGGTAGCATAAAGTTGGTAGCTGAACCAATGCCCAACCAAAGGCTCAATTGTTTAAAAAAACAAAACAAAACAAAAAACTGTGTTATCCATGTCAAGAGATTCTTGAGTGCACATGGATATCATGAAATGAAAACAGAAAGCCTAATTGACTTAAGGTATCATCTCAAGTTCTTGAACGGTCTTATAGCACAAAATTGAACAAACCAGATCATCAATGTCCTTATCTATATAAAGTAAGGATAACACCTCCCATTTCTAACAGCATTTAAAACAGTACTGAACAGATTTAGAAAAACCCCAAAGGGCTACATAACAAAGAGATATTAACTTGTATTTTCTGTTATGATTTTGTTGTTTCTCTTAAGAAAACAGTCTTGAATGTAAAACACTATAATAGCTAAATTAAACTAGGTATTTTGTCAACCTAAGAAAGTCATTTTACAATGTAAAGATATAATCAAATGCAGAGATTTTAAGCAATTCTATTAAGTTATCAAAAAAAACACTGCCTGATCTGATCTTTTAAAACCGTTTTCCAGAAATAATTCTTGTAAAAGTAAACTGAGAA
The DNA here is from genome assembly GCF_000001405.40 of Homo sapiens. Classification (NCBI taxonomy): domain Eukaryota; kingdom Metazoa; phylum Chordata; class Mammalia; order Primates; family Hominidae; genus Homo; species Homo sapiens. Next base: position 102,362,488 of record NC_000008.11, read on the forward strand.
TTTTAGAAAGCAATGGGAAAAATCAGAACATTAAATCAATAGAAAAGTCCATGAATTCTGCTCTCTAAAGAGTCACAAAAATGAATAAAATCAAATTTCAATCATTTGTACTAACAGACAAAAATGTTATACATACTCCAAAAATAAATGACGTTAAAGCCAGTTTAGGGCTTAAAAACTGCCACAAAGCATATATAATCTAACTTAATTATTTCAGTAAGAGAAAATAACCTAATTATTTCAGTAAGAGATTCAATTAGGAGTCAGCTGTTCTATAACTTTATCCTATAAGTTCTATCATCCTAGTGAACAGCATCTTTCAAAGGCGTACAGTAACTGTCTAATATTGAATTGCATTCAGTAACTGAAATAACTTTTTTTTTTTTTTGAGTCTCGATCTGTTGCCCCAGCTGGAGTGCAATGGTGCGATCTCGGCTCACTACAACCTCCATCTCCTGGGTTCAAGTGATTCTCGTGCCTCAGCCTCCCGAGTAGCTGGAATTACAGGTACCCGCCACCACACCCGGCTAATTTTTGTAATTCAGTATAGATGGGGTTTCGCCATTTGGGCCAGGCTGGTCTCAAACTCCTGACCTCAATAGATCCACTTGCCTTGGCCTCCCAAAGCGCTGGGATTACAGGCGTGAGCCATGACGCCCAGCCTGAAGTAACTTTCAAATGCGGCCATATTTTATTTCTCTCTGAAGAAGTAGATACTTACTGGTGACCTTATTCTCACTCCTAAAGAACAGCATCTGATCATTTGTGATTTGGCCCCCAGAAAAATACATTTTCATTTTTGTAGCCCAGTTTTGCATTTACTTCCATTAACAAAACATGTTTTCATTAGTTCAAGAAAGTTAAGCTTTTTCAAAGAATTCCAGTTTGCCCATTTACAAAGCACACTTCTGTGTTCCAAGATAAAACACCTTAAGGGTAATGTATTGTGGAACCCATGAGCTCTAAGAGAAGGCTGACTAGAAAATAGGGAGAAGATAAACAAGGGTGGGTCTGCTCTGCAGAGTAACAGCAGCCTTTAGAAGACCCCAAGAAGCAGCAGGAGCTCTCACTTCCCCGGGTCCACATTTACTATGAGTAACCACAGTAGTGACACTTTCAGAAGATAACTTGTTCACTGGCATGCAACTAAACTCATTCATTTCCATTCCTTTGTTAGTAGCTCAAAACTTGTCTCCAGAGCTCTCGCAAAATATATAGCATTGGGAGAGAAAAATAATTGTCAAGGCCTTTTTCAAAACCGGACAATGCCTGAGATTAAGAATTAAATGTTGTTTCCACGTCTCCAAATATTCCAGACAATTATTTGTAAAACTAAAGTAAGCTTCGAGGATATGAGAATGCTAAAAAATATTTAAACTCAAGAACTCAACAGCGAATTTCAGGCTATCTGGGGAGATAGCACAAATGGTTACTGCTATCAATTAAATTTTCTAATCTTAAAAGTCCTGGTGAGACCCCTAACCACATCTGAAATACATGTCTGAAATGCACATCAATTTGTACTGGAAACAATGCCACCGAATAGCAAGAAATCCGGGGTTTACTCCCAGCTCATCTACTACTACCTGGACTCACTAAAAGTCCACTAGGTCTCAAGTTCTCATCTATGTGAGGAAGAACTCTTTTAGTCATCTCCGGTTCTGAAAATTCTTATTCCTGAAATTCTTATTTTTTGTTTTTTTGCCTCTTTTGAGACTGGGTCTCACTCTGTCGCCCAGGCTGGAGTGCAGTGGTCCAATCGTGGCTCACTACCACCTCAATCCCCCAGGCTCAATCTATCTTCCCGCCTTAGCCTCCTGAGTAAACAGAACTACAGGTGCGCACCATCTCACCCAGCTAATTTTTGTATTTTTTGTAGAGACAGCGTTTTAGCACGTTGCCCAGGCTTGTCTTAAACTCCTGGGCTCAACGGATCTACTTGTCTTGGCCTCCCAAAGTGCTGGGATTACAGGCATGGGACATAGTGCCCAGCCTCAGTCCTGAAATGCTTATGAATATATGAAAAGCAAGTGTATCAATGGAAGATATATACGTAATGTTTACAATGAAATAGCACTATCATATTCAATTTTTATCGTACCCATTTGAAACTTTCAAATGGATTTTATACAGACATTTAGATTGCTTCCCCAAATATCAAATTTTAAAAAACTCTTAAATTCAGTCCACAGATTTACACAAAATGTATCATCCTTTCAAATCTCAAGAGAGTTATGACTAAACTGGGCCCTACAAATTAGTTTATATGAATCCAGATAACAGTAACAAATAAATCTTCACCCCAAAAAAATAAACTATATTTAAGAAGTATTTGATTATCTTTTACATTAGAGAGTCCTCAGTAGACAGGCAAATCAAAGAATCACTGCAGGCCTGTGATAACATTCGTTTAAATTTGCTAAATTATCCATGCTGTTCCCCTCCTTTAGCCAAAAAAAAAACTGAAGTTTTTTTAGTTTGCTAATTATTCTATACAACAGAGATTCACCTACTTTAAAGGATCTTCATACAATGTTTACGATAGGCAGTATTAACAAAAGTTTACCCTCTCTTTAAAATAAAAAGAAACTCACACTGAAGCTCACCAAATTCCATTTCAGAATAAATTTTTACACGTGGTTATGATGAAAAACAATTTTAAGAATACAGCATGACATTAGAATATAACCTCACTGGCCAGGCACAGTGGCTCATGCCTGTAATCCCAGCACTTTGGGAGGCTGAGGTGGGCGGATCACCTGAGGTCAGGAGTTCAAGACATGCCTGACCAACATGGCTAAGCCTCGTTTCTATTAAAAATTCAAAAATTAGCCGGGTGTGGTGGTGCACGTCTGTAGTCCCAGCTACCCGGGAGGCTGAGGCAGGAGAATCGCTTGAACCCGGGAGGCAGAGAGCCAGGATCAGTGAGCCGAGATCGCGCCACCGTGCTCCAGCCTAGGTGACAGAGCAAGACTCCGTCTAAAAAAAAAAAAACACAAAGAAAATAACCTCATAATAGCATTTAATCTCATTCAAGGATAGATAGGTAGACAGGTGAACTTTGGTGAGGTGGTTGTAACACACAATGAATAGGTTAGCAAAAAGCTTCTGACAATCCTTGGGTACTCTACACTCCTATTTGCTACATTTATTCTATATTCTGATTAAATAAACTATTTCATTCCTTTAAATGTATAGATCACTTTACAGATCTAGAGGCTGAAATTTTTGTTTAAAGCAACAAAGTAAGGTAACAGCAAACTGATGTTAATTAACAGAGACAGGAAAACAGTGTAACGGTACTTGCTAGAAGCCAACATATTTCATTGCTATACTTTAAATCCCCTCTAATTTCAGTCTCATTCTCCCCAAATTTAACATTACAATTTCAAAGGTAATTTATCTTCTCACTGATCCTCAACTGGCAACAGCACTAAGTACAGGTTCTTCGGTTTCATAATTCTCTGCCTAACTCTAACATATAACATATCTGCATGTTCAAATACCCCTAAACTGGATTAAACCTGACAGATCCTTTCTTGCAGAATTTCTAAAGCAAAAAAAAAAACGTATAATTAAACCTTCAAAGGTTTCAATTCTCAAAGACAGAAAGGTATTTCTGACATCACATACTCTACAAGGTGATGGTTTCCATATACTTGGAACTGTTAAACAAGGTACATCCACTCATGTTTCATGACTCTCAGCAATCACGTTAATGGCAAAAGTGGCATCATCTGCCACCAGTGCAGTTCCTTCAGTCTCATTCCACTTATTTCCCACCCAGTTCAAATGCCACCTCCTCCATGAACCTTTCCTGGTAGTTGTAATTTCCTTCCTACAGAAGTCTACAAATTCTCTCATATCTAGTCATTTGTGTTTCTATCCGAACTGTCTTCACAGACTCTAAGCAAAGACAGAATACAACTTGCCAAGTCTTTCCTTACCCCTCTGCTTTTCTGGATACAGTTCCAACAACGAAAAAAAGTACATTACTGGTACGTAACTTATTTCAGAGGCAGAAAATGTTCCTGATCTTAATCTCAAAAAAACTAACTCTCCAGGTCTTCCGTCTCAAATTAAATACGTGAGCAGTGTGAATATACAGATTTAAGATAGTTTCCCATATAACTCTTAAAAGATCACTTACCATGGAAGGAAAAAAACACTAAGTAACTCAATAATCATATTAGGAAACTGCCTATAAAGTGACCCCACCTCACCCCAACTCTGGATATCCACTCATGGAATAAAACTTTTACATACCCATACAATTTTATTTTGAAGTAAAGGGCTTAATAATTCATGCAAAGAACCAACAGATACAGTCAATGAAGGTTACCTACAATACTAAATCACAGACTCCTGTAGAAAAAGTCTTCAAATTCACCTCTTGTCATCCATGTTGGAGAAAGCAGGTATTGCCAAAACAAAAATGCAGTACATGTAAAAAATCTGTGACCAGATAAATTCTGCTAGAAAAAGAAATACTGTAAGAATATTTCTGGCATTTCTCCAAAGGCAAACCATCTAAATCTTAAAGCCTAAGTCTTGGAGTGGTGGTCTTGCCTATACCATTTTTTTTTTTTTGGAGCAACTATTGTGTACTATATAGATGGTAGAGACAAGCACCTTTCTAAAAAGACAACCTATCTCTAACCACAGAACATGGTCCGCAGTTAAATTATCATGCACTTTCTTAAGTAAACAGGCAGTCAGTCCTCAATTTTTACACAGTTCTTTTAAACAACTCTTGCACCATACCACAAACACTGACACTTCTTAAACGCTGCTTCTCATGCCAACTGTTTCACGTTATCACTGATATCAATAAATTCAAACTATCACGTGGGGTGGTCCCACCTGCCAGCCACTATAGCTAGGGAAAAAGGCTATATAAACTTTGAGCCCTTTCTGATGATCATTTACTGGTGCCAACATCTAGAAGGCACATCCCCACTCCAGCCCCGCCCCCAGCAAACTGAGATCCTGGGCTAGTTTATTCAATGCAAAGGGTATCCCAACCCCAAATCCCTTTTCACACAGTCCTGGAGGAAGCCAATGGCGAACCACCTAAGGCAAGTTCATAGGGGAGCCCTTTTAAGGAGATCTTTGTTATAAGACCTCCTATATAAACTGAGTCTTCGGCTTGTGCTGCATCATGGATTTGTTTCTGGGTGAAGGGAACAATGCCTTTCCCCCATGCACTCTGTATTACGACAAACATTAGGAGCTACCTTGGCCTATGAGGCTGGGAATGACAAAGAGCCAGGAAGGATTATTCCTATAGCCTTAGAAGTATCCTTTCCCCCAGATGAACCACAATCTCACACAAATATATACACTCCACTGGGGTTGGGGCTAACATAAAGAGTCACACCAGCCTTCTGTTTGCCTCAGCCCAAGCAAGAAGCACCAACCCGTTAGAAATGAGTCTCTTCATCTGTGTATGAAAAACTTGCTCATTATATGCCTGAAAGTTGAATTAGACACTCAATTTTCAGACACATTTTTAAAAATCCATTTTTTAATGCTTGTATCTGAATTTAACCCTGATCTTCGGTACTCCAACTTTGGGATTTCATGGTGAAGGTAGGAAAATGAGAGATGTAATATAATTATTTTGACAACACACACAGAAAAAAAAATCACTACATTTTCACATCAAAAAATGCCAGTAAGGCCATAATCTTGCAATAAATAAACACAAAATTAGCTATATTTAAAACTCCCCATTTTGTCCTTAATTTTTTTCATCTCACAGTTGACCACAGGAAACTTAAGAGTTTAACAATGAGGAACCAATGAGTAAGACTGTTGTGATGGCCAAACAGGAACTAAAAATGTTACCAGGAACAAAAGAATTTAGGCTTCAAGAAAGCAAAGACCATATATGTTCATTTCTTTCTAGCTCTTTATAGGAGGGTTTTCTGTTTTCTTTTTTTTTTTCCCAAGGGGCACAGTCCTGCTCTGTCACCCAGACAGAGTGGTGGTGCAGTGGTGTAAGCATAGCTCACTGCAGCCTCAAACTCCTGGGTTCAAGAGATCCTCCTGCCTCACCTCCTGAGTAGGTGGGATTACAAGCACATGTCACCACACCAGGCTAATTTTTATTTTTTGTAGAGACGAGTGGGGTGGGTGAGGGTAGGGGGGAGGTGTCTTGCTGTGTTGCACAGGCTGGTCTCAAACTCCTGGCTTCAAATGATCCCGTCTGCCTTGGGCTGCCAAAGACCTGGTATTACTGGTGTCAGCCATCATGCCCAGCCTAGGAGGGTTTTCTCTGAAAGTAAATCAGAACCTTTGGTTGTGGTAGAAAATGCATATAATATTATTTAACACAGTTGCCTCAGCAGCTTCCTTTCTTCACCTCTTACAAGGTTTGATTCTCAAACTTGTTAAATCTCAAGACCACCTTATACTCTTAAAAACTACTGAAGACCCCAAAAATCTTTTGTTTATGTGGGTTACATCTGTTGATAACACTAAAGTTAACCAATAAAATTTGTGAATATTTTAAAAATAAACTAACTAAATATTGACATAAATTACCTACCTATAAAAAATTTTCCCAAAAATATTTGACAAGGGGGGCTGTTTTACATTTTTGCAAACCTCTTTATTATCAAGCTTCATATAAACTAGATTTCTCTGATCTGCTTCTGCCTTTATCTATCACAATATATTGTTTTGGTATATGAAGTATATGAAGAAAAGCTGGCCCTAGATAGAAAAGTTACGGAAAAGTGAGGTACATTTTAATATCCTTTCCAGATAACCACAGGTATTATTCTTTGATATTATACCAAAACTCAGCAAGTGATTTCTTAAAGGTTGAGAGCAATGTGGAAATCTGAAACCTATTAATGAACTTTGAATAACTCAAGTATGATTTTGTCATCTGGACCAGGATACACTGGTCATTTGGAAAACACTGATTTATTGACTGACACAGATACTCAAAAATCACATTTGCTAATGTTACTATCAATCTACAGTGTCAAACTCACAGTAATGGGTACAAGTTTCCCAAAATTCTAAAATTTGCTTGAAAGTTCAAATTTATCACCAGAAACAAATACCTTCATTGTTTTCTGTAAATTAACAGGCTTACTTGTTCATTTTCAAGAAAATGTCTGTTAAATATCCAAGTCTGAATAACCATTATTTGTCAGTCAGTCTCAAATAAAAATGGTTTCCATGAAGAAAGGGGCTTGTTTTAAAACGATCTTATGCTCAAAGGTATAGATTTAATACAGTTAATAACTCCTACTGTTTCATCAAGGACACTTTGAAGTGAAACTGGCTTTTTCCCCTACAAGTACAAGAAAAGCAAAGAATACAATGACAATTAGTTGTACAGTTTGGTGCCACTGCTTTGATTTCTGCCAAAAAGCCAGTATTTTACCCACCACTGCTTTTAAACCACAGCACAGATGTCAAAATGGTGAAAAAGCCTCCGTTTTATTATAAAGACAGTTTTGACCTCAGAGCCCCTGTAAGACTCTTGGAGGTCCACAGACCACACTCCGAGAACTGCCATACTCTAAATGCACAGTGCCATTAAAGTGACCAATACTAAATCGACATTGGGGGGAAAATGAGTAATAATTCATTCTTCTTACTAAAACAGCCACAAATGCCAACCAAAATAACCTCCTACTTATATACCTTTTAAATGCTTCTCAAATTATGGATATTCTTTTTAGTATCCCTCTGTGGCCCAAGCTGGAGTGCAATGGTGTGATCTCAACTCACTGCAGCCTCCGCCTCCCGGGTTCTAGCGATTCTCCTGCCTCAGCCTCCTAAGTAGCTGAGATTACAAGCACACGCCACCACGCCTGGCTAATTTTTGTATTTTTAGTAGAGACGGGCTTTCGCCATGTTGGCCAGGCTGGTCTCGAACTCCCGAACTCAGGTGATCCACCCACCTCAGCCTCCCAGGGATATTCTTTTTAACTGATAGATATATTTATGGGGTGCATGCATACAACATGTACATGTACACAATGTGTATACATGTATACAATGTGTTAATAATCAAATCAGGGTAATTGGGATTTCACCTCAAACATTTATCATTTGTGATAAGAACATTCCAGATCTTCTCTTCAAGCTATTTGGAAACATACAACAAATTATTGATAACTATAGTCACCATACTGTGCTACTGAACACTAGAACTTATTCCTTCTTAACTGTATTTTTGTACCCGTTAACCAACCTGTCTTCATCCTACCTTCCCCGCTACCTTTCCCAGCCTTTAGTAACCACCATTCTTTCTACTCTATACCTCTATGAGATCAACTTTTGATATATGGGATCATATATGGGATGATATATGGGATCATAGCTCCCACATATGAATGAGAACATGCAGTTTTTGTCTTCCTGTGCCTGGCTTATTTAACTTAATGTAATGTCCTCCTGGCTCATCCATGTTGTTGCAAATGACAAGATTTCATTATTTTTTATGGCTGAATAGTATTCCACTGTATATATACACCACATTTTTAACCAGTCATCTGCTGAGGGGACACTTAAGTTTTGATTCCCTATCTTGGCTATTGTGACTAGTGCTGCGATAAACATCTCTTAAATATACTGATTTCAATTCTTTTGGACATATACCCAGCAGTGGGACTGTTGGATTATATGGTGGTTCTATTTTTTAGTTTTCTGAGCATCCTCCATACTGTTTTCCATAATGGCTGTACTAATTTACATTCCCACCAACAGTATATGAGAGTTCTCCTTTCTCCACATTAAATTATGCATATCCTTTTTTTTTAAAAAAAAAAAAAAAAAAAAAAAAGACAAGGTCTTACTATGTTGCCCAGGCCTCAAACTCCTGGACTCAAATGATCCTCCCACCTCAGCCTCCCCAGTAGCTGAGACTATGGACGCATTCCACCATGGCCAGCATTGGATATTCTCTGATACTACATCAAAACTCAACAAGTCATAGTTCCTCAAAAATTAGTTACAATGTTAAATCTGACGCCCCATCAATGAATTTTTCATACTGTTATAAAAATCTATTGGTCTAATCCTGTACTTTGAGTACACTGTTTGTCCATGCCTGATTCTGGGTTGTTTGTTTTTTTTTTTTTTGAGACGGAGTCACGGAGTCTCGCTCTGTCGCCCAGGCTGGAGTGCAATGGCACGATCTCGGCTCACTGCAACCTCTGCGTCCCTGGTTCAAGCGATTCTCCTGCCTCAGCCTCCTGAGTAGCTGGAATTACAGGCACCTACGACCATGCCTGACTAATTCTTGTATTTTTAGTAGAGACAGGGTTTCGCCTTGTTGGCTAGGCTGGTCTCCAACTCCTGACCTCATGATCTGTCTGCCTCGGCCTCCCAAAGTGCTGGGATTACAGGTGTGAGCCACTGCACCCAGCCCCTGAATCTGTTCAGATTATAAAATGGTGTAGCAGCTGGTTATGATGGCTCATGCCTGTAATCTCATCAACTCAGGAGGCTGAGGCAGAAGGATCTCTTGAGTCCAGGAGTTTGAGGTAAAAGTGAGCTATGATCGCCCCACTGCACTCCAGCCTGGACACAGAGCTTAGCAACTATAGGCCTCCGGGTTTGACATATAAGAATTAAAGAATTGCTACAAGTTTATTTCTTTGGTGAAAAGCAATCTGATCACAGTCTTATACTTCAGATTTCAGCTTGCACATTGATCCCTGTTAACCAATGCTCAGTCACAAGCCTTAACCACATTTTATTTAAATTTGCATCAACAATTTCTAAATCAGTGGTCTCACTTTTCTCACTTACTGCCTACCCAAATAAATCTGTGCCAAGTAGCAAACATCTGACTGACTTTACTCTTGGGTTAAATGACCCCAAATTACACAAAAGACAAAACAAAACACAGAAAGACAAAACAAAAGATGGTTTTTGTGAGGTAAGTTTCATCTGTTGGCTTCTTGAATCATAGTTTGTAAGGAGGACTTACACTTTTATTAATGCTTATGAAGATGATAAATGCCAGTTTATATATAATGCATTCATGTTACCCTAAATAAGAACATTCACCTTCAAGATGCATTCAAAGAAGAAAATGAAGTTTCTAAATAAATATTGTAACTTCATAAAGGGATATAAACTTTTTTAATGTGAACTTCTAACTATTCCCCTTAGTTATCAGTTTTAGTTGAAACTGTCAAAAAGATTTCTATTAAACTCAGAAAATTCATGTTTCTCTAGTTTGCAGAGAAAAATGCTCTGCAAACTAGAGAAAAATTACATTATTCATGGTCATTTCATTAGCTAAACTGTTAAAATGTATACCTACAACCAATTTCTTCCTCTAACCTGAAAAATACTCTGATTAGAAATTCTTATATTGTACCACAAATAACACTTTTCCTAATTAAGTGAAAAGGAGACCAAAATCCCAAACTACTGGGGCCATTTGAAAGATAAACACATCTCTGAAAAACGAAATGCTGAACACACACACACACACACACACACACACACACACAATCAGTCATGTTCCTTTTTTGTTTTTGTTTTTCCTTTTTGTGGAGAACGGGGTCTCGCTATATTGCCCAGGCAGCTCTCGAACTCCTGGGCTCAAGCTGTCCTCCCACCTCTTGCCTCCCTGAGAGCTGGGATTACAGGTGTGAGCCACCGCACCCAGCCCAGTCATGTACCTTTAAAGCAAAATCAATCACGTTATTTTCAGCTCCGTTCGAAACAGGAAAAGGAAAAGAATGCACATGCCAAACAAGAAGAAATTTGGTAAGAAAAGATTCAAGATATGGCCTTTATACACTAATTATTCTTAATAATTTCATAAGTCCTTCTGTCTTACCTAATTTCATTTGTTTAACAGTAAGACTATATATACATTCATACAAGAATCAAACTATGCTAGCAGATAAGACCGAAAGACTTCTTCAGGGCTCCTGACCAAAAAAGTGTAGCATCCGACCAAAATTTCAAGAGAATATACTAGGCTTTCTTCACCATAGACCATCCACATTCTGAATACCTGTGACTTCATTCCGTAAAGCATCTCCCAAATGCAGATAATGTATTCAAATTACTACAAATCCAATTTTAACTCTACATACAAATAAAATATCTCAAGAGATAGCTGATGTACTTCATAGTATAAACACTGCTATTTGGTAAGTTATTCAGTCCTTGAGAAAGAACTGTAAACTGAAATAAAATACCTGAAATGAAATCTGATTTCTCTATAGAAACAAGACAATCGGGGTTATATTCCTGATCGAGGATCTTGATGCCATTAGATTCTGGAGAGTTTCTTTGTACGAGATTTACTGAGATGGCTTCTTGTTGCCGTTTTATTAACGTCAAAGATGAAATCGCAGTTTTGCTGCCTTTGAAATGGTCACTTTACGTCCTAAGCTGCCATTTCATCAGCCCCAGGCATCACACCTACTCTCTTGTGAGGGGCAGCTTGGTGAGGTGTGAAGAGTACGCTGTAGTGTCACAGAAACCTGGGTTTGATTCCATCTCTACTGTGAACTGGCTCTGGAACTTTGGTAGAGCTTATTTTAACATCCCAGAGGCATGGAAGGTTTCTTCATCTATTAAATGCAGATAGAACTACCACTTGTCTAGCAGTGATGCTGTAAGGATTCAAGATAATTTTGTAATATACCTTGGAAAGAGCAGGCACTTAAGTGTTCAATAAATGGCAGCCATTTATCAATATTACTGAAATGTATTTTTCATCCTTGGATAGCTCACTATATTGCTACTTCAACTCTGCCAAGCTCTGGCTTGAAGTGGTTCTCAAACTAAATAGGGCCTTATTTGATTCCTAAGATCTGCTAGGAACTTGAGGATCCAGGGAATGAAAGCTAAGTCTGGGAATTCTTGGAAAAAGAAATCTGTGAACACACTGTAACTCCTTGTTTCTTATACACGAGTTTTTATTTCAGCGTTTTTTTTTCTTCTGGTCACTACCGTCACTCTAATCGCATCTCTCTCTTCCAGAAGGAGCCTGTACTCCAAACACAATTCCCTAACTAAATCATACTCACAAACTACTCTTTTATTTTTGTTTACATAACTATTCCCTCAGCCTTAGAATAACCATATCCCTTCTGAATGGCACTGTCAGAAAAAAGAAAGCAGGTACGTAGGTAGGTAGGTGACATACAGATATTAGACAGACTGACAGAATAACTATATCCCTACTGCCTTCTGCACACATAGCTACTAGTCTCAGGCCTACACTGAAACAAACTGTGGGAAACCTTAATTTACCCTTCACTCCAGACTAAACTAGGCATTTCTCTGAATTCCAATATACCTAGTACATATTTCCCAACAGCAGTTCTTATACTCAAACTACTTGTACAATCAAATATCTGTCTCCCTCACTGCCAAACAAACTCTTAAGGCAAGAACTATGTTTTATTAATTTCAAAATTCCCAATACCTGACACATAGTAAATGCTTATTTATATGGATGGGGGAGCTTAACAAACGGACATTCATGTCTTAGCTCTAAGCCCTACACTGTCTCAAAATGGTGGATTTGCGACTTTTTAAAAAGTCTTTCTTTTAAAATGTTTAAACGTTTAAAAAGTAATTTTTGGCCGGGCACGGTGGCTCACACCTGCAATCCCAGCACTTTGGGAGACCAAGGCAGACAGATCACTTGAGGCCAGGAATTCGAGAACAGCCTGGGTAACATGGCAAAACCCCATCTCCACTAAAAATACAAAAATTAGTCAGGGGTGGTGGTGCACACCAGTGATCCCAGCTACTTGGGAGGCTGAGGTACAAGAATCACTTGAACCTGGGAGGCAGAGGTTGCAGTGAGCCAAGATTGTGTCCCTGGCACCCTAGCTTGGGCAACAGAGTGAGACTCTGTCTCAAAAAATAAAAATAAAATGAATAAAAAATAAAAGTGATTTTAAAACATTCTGCTGTGACCAATATTAGCAGACTAGGTTTTATAAAACACAACAAAGGAATGTTGTCCTGCAAAATAATCCCCCATAGGCTACATTATAATTCAAATGGTGCTATAAGAGTATGAGGAATTTCTGAAACTCTGAGAATTAGCCCCAGAAAGAGTTTACCAGACAAACAGGAAAGTTACTCAATACTTCATAGTTGTGGGATACTCTCCCAGTCCTCTTGCCTAAGAAGACAATCTTCTTTCTCCTCTCCCTCTCCCTCCCCTGCGGTTTGTATCTGGGCTGGTGTTAGGGAAATGTGCTACAGGGACCAAAAGGAAGCTGGAAGCAATAGCAAGGGGGAAGGAGAGCTTATCAGGAAGCAAAATTACAGATAAAAGCCTATTATAGTGCAGAGCCTGGCTGTCTAAGCGCCTTACATTGGTAACAGGAATCTAACTGGTGAAGTGCCTTAACATGAAAATTATAGGAAGTCCGATCACTGGAGGTCTTCCAATGGCAAGTAATACAATAAAATATTCTAACACCTAATGCTTACCAGAATAGGAATAATTGGATATAAACATACACATTAAATTGTTTCTTTGGTTTGGGCAATCATCAACATTGTAGCTTTCATGAAAAGGCAAAATTAGTGCCAGACTGGTCCTACCGAGTCAATCAAAAGCCCTGGGTTTTGACTCCCAGCTCTGACACCGTGTAACCTTGGATACCTCATTTAACATCTCTTGCTCTCATGTTCCCACTTCTGTCAAAAATTTATCTGTTTCACAAAGTTGTTTTAAGAAATAGGTAACATCACATGCAAAAGTAATGTGTACTCTCTAAAATAAGAGTGCCTAAATATGGCTCATCATCGAAATCCCTGGGGAACAATTAAAAAGACATATTCTTAGGCCCCATTTAAACCTACTAAATCAGAAATCTCTAAATACAAGGCTCAATAACTTATATTCTGGCTAAATAAATATTGGTATATGCATGAAATATCTCTGGAAGGAATAATACCAATCACCTATGAGGAAGGGAAGTAGAAGGCCAGGAAACAGAAGAGGGAGGGAGGCTTTTCACTGTATGCCAATTTACAATTATTTATTTATTTATTTTTATTTTTTGAGACGGAGTCTCGCAATGTTGCCCAGGCTGGAGTGCAGTGGTGCAATCTCAGCTCACTGCAATTCCACCTCCCAGGTTCAAGCAATTCTCCTGCCTCAGCCTCCCAAGTAGCTAGGATTACAGGCGCCCGCTACCACACCTGGCTAATTTTTTTGTATTTTTAGTAGAGACAGGGTTTCACTATGTTGGCCAGGCTGGTCTCGAACTCCTGACCTCGTGATCTGCCCGCCTAGGCTTCCCAAAGTGCTGGGATTACGGGCACAACTTTTTATTTTTAGACCACATGAACATATTACCAACTTAAAATTTTTTTAAAAAAATGTCTATGCATCCACAGTAATTCTGATGGCTCAACTAGGTTTGGAACTCACTACTCACTCTAAAACACCATAAATACACACAAGGATTAAAATATTCACAAAAGTAGGGGTCTGTTTAGGGAGGCAGTAAGTAAGCATACTATTTCAAGTTTGGAGACTGTTGCTTAGGACAGCCCCCTCTTAGAAATTCACAATTCATACACCTCCATTAAGCCTCCAATAAGCCCTACAATGAAAAGGCCTGTTTATGCTTAATCTTATGCTTCCCAAGTTGAAGCTGAACATGGAACACTCGCTAGTAAGATCTTGGGGAACCAGAGGACACTGGTTTGAGAGCTAAGGTTCCTGAAGTAGAGCAAGTCTTAGTCATCTCTACCCTAGAACCCAAGAGAGTGTATCTAGAACATAGAAACCTCCTCCAAAAGGCACAGCTCAACAGTGACAAACTGCTTTTCCTGTCTTTTCTCTTCGTCTAAAAATGGTTTCCCAATTTCCTTATTGTTTAATCAACTGAAAGGATTTTTTAAAGAGCATAATAATCCACTGTGCCTAAAATCATATCGTTAAAAAATGTACAATACTGGCCAGGCGTGGTGGCTCACGCCTGTAATCCCAGCACTTTGGGAGGCTGAGGCAGGTGGATCATGAGGTCAGGAGATTGAGGCCATGCTGGCCAACATGGTGAAATCCTGTCTCTATTAAAAATACAAAAATTAGCCGGGCATTGTTGGACGCGCCTATAGTCCCAGCTACTCAGGAGGCTAAGGCAGAAGAATCGCTGGAACCCAGGAGGCAGAGGTCGCAGCGAGCAGAGATCGCGCCACTGCACTTCAGCCTGGGCAACAAAGCGAGACTCTTATCTCACAAAAAAAAAAAGGTAAAATACCTACAGCCCAAATAAATGTTTTCAACCCAAATATGGCAGTAGGCATTTTTATTCCTTTAAGTGTGAAAATAAAAGATCTTTATGATTCAAAAGCGCCTTGTTTTAGGAGACAGCAATAGATTTCAGTATTGTTTTTCCTTCTCCAATATAAGCAGACCCTGCTGGGCATCTTTATTCCCATTAAGCCAGACTAATCAAGTGAGCTGTACAATCAAACCACTTGACAACCTCATTTTTTACTGAAAACCTACAGATCTGCATAATCAGAATGGGTCTAAAGGCTATATCAAATGGCTCTTTGAAGTCTGCACCTACTTCAATGCACTCTAATGGGTCTCTAATCTAGAAACCCTTCCTTCAACTATCTAAACCAAAGCAGTCAAACAAATGTCATCAAAATTAAAAAAAACTGCCATAGCCAAATTTAAGGACTCTATCATTGTGTTTTGTCACTATGGAGCACAAATTAACATAAATGATTCCTCTCTGTGTGGTATCACAACTACCACAATAAAGGCTTGGTTTTAGTCTTCAAGGATCCACCAGAAAATGCTTCCAGTTCTTTGTCTTATAATAAATATTAGGTTGGTACAAAAGTAATTGCAGTTTTGCCATTAAAATTGCAAGAACCAGGTCGGGTGCGGTGGCTCACACCTGTAATCCCACCACTTTGGGAGGCCGAGGTGGGTGGATCACTTGAGGTCAGAAGTTCCAGACCAGCCGGGCCAACATGGTGAAATCCCGTCTCTACTAAAAATACAAAAATTAGCCGGGTGTGGTGGCGCACGCCTGTAATCCCAGCTACCAGGGAGGCTGAGGCAGGAAAATCACTTGAACTCAGGAGGCGGAGGTTGCAGTGAGCCAAGATCGCGCCACTGCACTCCAGCCTGGGTGACAAGAGTGAAACTTGGTCTTGAAAAAAGGAGGAAAAAAAAAAAAAAAAAAATTGCAAGAACCGCAATTACTTTTGCACCAACCTAATAACTCAATGTACGCTGACTCAACAGACTCAACAAGCGGTTCCAGACTAATATTTTAGTTTACTGACTTAGTTTACAGCCTAATATTTTAGTTTACAGACTAATATTACTGACCAAGTAACATCTCACCCCATCTCAACGCCCACTCTCATCTTCTCCCAGTAGATACAGGGGGGTTAGGGGTAGCGGTGGGGGACAACTTGGCCTTTTAGATAGTGCATGGATATGACAGTAAGAGAGCTAATCTTGGGAAAGACTATGAAGAAGAGCTGCCTACCTTCCAGTCCCTAATTATCTTCCCCAATACTGCTGCCTTTTTTGCCGTGCTTTTTTTTTTTTTTAAAAATGCCTGGAAATCACTTGCTAGTTACAGAGATACATCTCAAAGCATAACAAGTTTATTGGTATCATCAGCTACCTCCTCTCTCGGTTTCTGAAAGGGGAAGATGGTGGAGGAGTGAGTAGGGGTATATGCGAACACTAAACTCATCTCCAGCCAGATGCTCTTTGTAACTGCCACCATCTCAAACCTGTCCTAGTAATTAATCACTATGTTAGGAGAACACAAATGTTTGTAAAACGCGGTCGCCATCATCATAGCTACAATACAGCAGTGTAGCCCTCCTGTTTTCTACAAAAATAACTGGCATCTATTTAATACTTCGGTGTGTATAAAAACAGAAAACAAACCTAACAAAATGGAGGCAGTCTTATTAGAATATTATCAATAAATAATATTGCCATAATATTGTCATAATAAGTGTCAATTCACACTTGGACCATACAGTTCCTTTGTCCCAGACTAAATTCTCTATACCTCCTTCTTACCCTGACCACTCCACCAACCCTGATTGTCGACAGTCAGTGTAAAAACCATTCTACAGATGTGGTTGGTCCTGTTATCTCCACTTTCTCTCCTTTCCATCAAAAGCTGAAAAAAGTGAGTAAAACTAAAACAAAAAGGAAAAAAATATAAGAAACACTTCTTAACAAGTATTTACTGAATATTATGTGCAGATATGCAAACCAGTAGAGTGAAAGAATGGCTGAAGTAGAGATGATGCATTGAGTTCACCCTGAGGAAGACTTCTCCTACTCTAAATATGTAGCTATGAAAGGCAACTGTAAAAAAGAGAAAACCAAAAGACAAAGCTGAGATGAGATACAAGATGAGTATCTCCACACAAGAAAAACAGAGTAAAAGAGACTGGGTGCCAGAGCTGGGTTCATCCTAGAAGCCAGTTAGGCCCACATTTTTAGTAGAAAACTTCGTAACTGAAAATTTTAACAGTAACCATTAAAATAATGGAAATATAGTCTATGACTTTCGAATCAAGAGGGAGGGAAAAAAAGGAGTGCAGAAAACTAACCATCTAACAGAAGAGGAAAAAAACAGCAAAGAGGCCGGGCGCGGTGGCTCAGGCCTGTAATCCCAGCACTTTGGGAGGCCAAGGCAGGCACATCACTTGAGGTCAGGAGTTCGAGACCAGCCTGACCAACATGGTAAAACCCCATCCATACTAAAAATACAAATATTAGCCACACATGGTGGTACACGCCTGTAGTCCCAGCTACTCGGGAGATTGACACAGGACAATCACTTGAACCTGGGAGGCTGAGACTGCAGGGAACCAAGATCGTGCAACTCCAGCCTGGGCAACAAAGCTAGACTCAAAAAAAAAAAAAAAACAAAAACAAAAACAAAACACACACACAGCAAAGTAAATGGATCAGAAAATATAAAATTCAGAGAGCAGAAATAAGTCTACTTATTCAAATAGATTAATCTCACATATTACAAGTCAAAGATTAAGGGGAAAAAAGTCAGGTATCAGTAGCGAAAAAGCATTAATAGGGATAGAGACTATATTACAATAAAAGGAACAAACTACAAAGAACATTGAATAATGTTCATGAATCTGAAAGTTTCTAACACACAGCCTCAACAATGTATATAACAAAAACTGACCATTTGAGAAGCTGTCAACTCTGATGAAAAATTTAACATGCTTTTTTTTTTTTTTTTTTTTTTTGGACATAGGATCTCCCTATGTTGCCCAGGCTGGTCTTAAATGATCCTTCCACCTCAGCCTCCCAAGTAGCTGGGACTACAGGCAAGCACCAACATGCTCAGCAGAGAAAGTTAACATATACTTCTGTATTAGTCTGTTTTCACACTGCTATAAAGACATACCCGATGCTGGGTAATTTATAAAGAAAAGAGGTTTAATTCATTCATAGTTCCACATGGCTGGGGAAGCCTCAGGAAACTTACAATTATGGCAGAAGGGGAAGAGACAAGTCTTCCATTGCAGCTGGAGAGAGAAAGCAAACGAGAACAGGGAAAACTGCCTTATAAACCAATCAGCTCTCGACCAGGCATGGTGGCTCATGCCTGTAATCTGAGCACTTTGGGAGGCCAAGGCAGGTGTTATCACTTGAGGCCAGGAGTTCAAGACCAGCCTGGTCAACATGGTGAAACCCCGTTTCTATGAAAAATACAAAAATCAGCCAGACATGGTGGTGTGCGCCTATAATCCCAGCTACTAGGAAGGCTGAGGCATGAGAATCACTTGAGCCCAGGAGGCAGAGTTTGCAATCAGCTGAGACCCCACCACTGCACCACTCTGCCTGGGTGACAGAGCAGGACCTTGTCTCAAACGAACAAACAAAACCATCAGATCTCATGAGAACTCACTATCACAAGAACAGCAGCATGGGGGAAACCACCCCCATGATCCAATCACCTCCCATCGTGTCCCTCCCTTGACATGTGGGGATTATGGGGATCACAATTCAAGATGAGAAGCCATATCCACTTCTATCAGATACTGACAGTTCAAGCAGACAAAATTATCAGTAAAAGGCAGAAACACTGACAAAGAACATTAATAACCTTTCTCTAACGAATATACAGAAACCTACCTCCAAAGTGAGGAGTCACAGATTTTTTTTTTAAGGTATAAAGCATGTATCTCTGACTTCTGAATTTAACAGATAAGTGAAACTTCCTTCAAATTATAAGAACAAATATAATTTTACCAACTTTTCATTTTTTCAAATGAGATTCAGAAAAGAACAACTACTATTACTAACATTTAAGAAAAGATGGTTTTTAAATTTAAAAAAGTCAAAAAAGAAAAAAGGCAATCTAAAATAAAAGCTTTTTCTCACTAATCATGGACTGTGAAGATTTTCTTAGAAAATGGCACCACAGCAAAGAATTGTACAGTTCAATATTTCTTAACTTTTTTGATCTCAGGAAAAAGAAACATACAGATATTTCCATTTAATAGTGAGTCTTTGGTATAACAGTTTCCTTGTTTTACATTTGAGAAAACAAGTGACTACAGAGGTGAAGTGATTTACTTGTAGTTACTCAGTTAAGAGGAAAGTGGGAAAGAAGGCATGAGACAAAACCTTCCCTCTATCCTTGCCATCATGCCACACCTGCCACGGGTCCAATTCAATTAACAAATACTTCCTGAATTCCCACAGTATAAGGTTTTACAAGAAATAAAATGAACTGTAAAATACAGCATGGGAGGAGGTCAGGGAGAGGAGACCAACAGAATCACCTGTGGAGGGGGCGTCTCTACATACTCGGGAATACCACCCTTAATAGTGGGCCACAGTTACAGAATACAGTGTAACCTACCCATCAGGAAGCCTAAACTTCAGGAAAAAAGGAAAGCTGAGAACCACTGATTCAAATCCATACATCTCAAGTAGTTTATAATCTACTTGTGAAAGCAAAGTAAGTAGAAAAACATTTCAAAAAAGGAAATATAACACAAGGGTAGAGAGAGACACACACAAAAAGAAAACACAAACCCTGATTACAGTGACTTTAGAATAATTTTTTTAAAGCCTGAAGATCAACAGAAGCCTCGCAAAATTAAATCTTGAGTAAGGCTTGAGTGCACTTTGATAAGTTAGTTAAATGTGCATATCCTGGGATACTCATTTTCAGGAGGAAAATGTAGAGTTATTGCAAAGACAAAAGCAGGCTTTAAGTCTCTCCTTGAGAGCAAACAGGACCACAGCCAAGAACCACAGATACATGAGCAGAGATTATGAGAAAAGTGTGTGTGCTAAAGAGAAAATCACATTAAAACACACACACACACACACACACACACACACACACACAGAGACACACACACTGGGTATGGAGAAGTTGTGTATTCAGAGAAAACAGGAATAATTTTCCTGCATGTAACTTCTAGTTAAGTGTATGTGTATCTCAAATACCTCCTGCAATTCCACTAAGATGAAAAATTTTGAAAAACAAATTAATTTTAAAGTTACAGGGACAAAGAGAAAGACGAGGCTAGTGCATTCAACAAATTTTGGAAGCTGGAAAGCCGACAGACAAGTGGCCAGTGAGTTCACGACAAGAGAAAACTTTTCAACCTAAACCCTACGTGGTAGGAGGAAGCCGAAAATGAACAGGTCAATTTTTAGGAATTGGAGGCATCACATTCCTCTGAAGCCTGAGGGTAACGCAAAACAGGAACTGTTGGAAATTAGCATAAGGAAATTAGCATAAGGAAATTAGCATTAGTTAAACCCCTAGCTCCCCACCCTCTAGACAGGAGACTGCTCCCCTTCCAGAGGCTAAACATTTCCTACTTAGCAAAATTCAGCCAGAGTACTAATAGCCTGGGAATACACCCAGAATCGGCGTGGGAGGGAGAAGGGGTGTCAGAGACCAGAAGAAAAAGTGAAAGCTGTCTGCTGAAATCAGTAATCAGCCCCCATCCCAGAATGCTTACAGCCACGCTCTTACCTGCCAGGATTCCTCTTTGGGGAAACCAGCCCAACAAGAAAAATATATATATTTAACAGAATATTTTTTAAGAAGTTGGTCTCATGGAAAACAGGGCAGAAAAGAAAATCACAGTAGCTATGAAGTTGTCATACATCCAACCACCAGGAATTCCAAAAAGAGAAAAATGATAAAATGGATGGGGAGGGAAAAGTATTAAAGAAATAACAAGAAAAACTTCCTGAATGACACGAGCTTCCAGAATAAAAGGACCCATGAAATATTTGGACCCAAAATACAATGAATGAGTAAAGGACCTACATCAAGGTACATCAGTGTGAAATTTCTCAACACAAGGGACTAAAGGAAGACCCTAAAATATCTCAGGGCATGAGTTCATAAGGCATAGGGTTAGGGAGATGTCAAGCAGAAAGAATCAAAACAGCACTGAACTCCTCAAAAGGGATACTGGAAGCTATGAAACAATGATGTAATGCCTTCAAAATTTTGAGGAAAAATTATTCCCAACCAGAAATCATATATCTAGCCAATACAATGTACAGCCAAAAAATAAATTTGCTTTCATCTTAATAAACCAAAAAAATGGCATATCAACAAGAGTAGGGACAAGCCTTTTTGAAAACGACACAGAACTTTCTAAACAATCAAAATAGATCCAAAATTCCTTAAAATGTCACTGAAACAGTTAACCGAAAAAAACAAACACAAAAAAATCAATCCTGCCTTTTTGGATGAAGAGCTCACTAGTCCAACTAACTTTACAGCAATGATTCTCATCTTTTCTTCAAAGGTGATAGAATATTAAAGGTATTATTTGTGTTTAAAATGTATATGGGCAATTTTAATCATCTTTCAATATTTTAAAGGTTAGTATACATTAACAGAAATCTTCAGGAGTGCCCTAAAGATCTGAACTGTGGCTGGGCATGATGGCTTACGCCTGTAATCCCAGCACTCAGGGAGGCCAAGGCAGGAGGAACACAGAGTCCATGAGTTTGAGACTAATGTGGGCAACATAATGAGACCCCGTCTCTACAAAAAATTTAAAAATTAGCTGGGCATGGTGGTACATGCCTATAGTCACAGCTACTTGGTGGGCAGGTGGAAGAGAGGAGCTTGAGGCGAAGAAGAGCAAGGAACAGAGCAAAGACCAAAATAAAACACACACACACAAATTTAGGGACAAGTCTCTTTAAAAACCAAAAGAGCTCTGCTGAGCTGCAAAGGAGTTCCAAGTTCCACCTGAAACCAGCAAGTCTAAAAGGGCCTTGACCTTACTTCTCTAAACTCTCTTACTAGTTTCTCAAGTTATTGGCTTGACCAGACAAGCAAGAAAAACTCTAACCATAACAATCAAGACCTAAAGGCCTGACCTTTAAACTAAATCAAGAGCTTTAATCTGAAATACCAACAAAGGGTTACTGAGTCCCTCAACACATACCAAAAAATAATTTGAAACAGAAATTCATTTGAATGATGGCAAGGTTTACTTAAGACATTGGCATCAACAGGGTATTACAGCACATAATATGCTTAGTACAGAGCCTAGTACAAAATGTTAGCTGCTCCTGCTGTTTCTTCCATCACCATTTCTGACTGAAAGAAAAACTGTTAAATGAGACGCGTAAAAAGGAATTTGGGGATGCAGAAATGCTGTTATTACAACTGCTACTACTTATAATCAGTACCACTTTGGATGAAGAGATCAAAGGTGAATCCAAGTATCTATCATTACACCCCAATAAAAAATAAGCACTGAAAGACATTCAAAATAGATCTCATAACTAACTCAATACCTGGACATAACTGAAGTTCATGTATAAATTGTTCTGTATTTCATACTTACTGTAAAAATAATGTGAAGCATGGAATCTATCAAATTCCTGGTTATCTCAACTTCTCCAAATTACATTTAGAATTACCTCTATCCCACCCAAGTGACCTATCAAAAATACCTACAAAAAGTATAATTAAGGTACCACAGTCCAGTAAGCACTTCCTCTTTTGACCTCTTCCAGAATTTCTTGACTCTGTTTTTTTTTTTTTTTTGAGACAGGTCTCACTGTGTTGCCCAGTCTGGAGTGTAGTGGCTATTCACAGACACGATCATGATGCACTACAGCCTCAAACTCTCAAACTCCTGGGTTCCAGTGATCCTTCCACCTCAGCCTTCCCTAGTAGCTGGGACTACAGGAACAAGCTACTGCACCCAGCTAATCCCATTCAATTTTCCAATTAATCACTTACTGCTTTGAAGTGTCATCTCTGATACTGCTATTCTACCTTTTACATTTCTATTTTCCCAACTATATAGTAAGCTTACCCTTAAGGATAAGTAAGGCCTGTAATTTTTTGCACATCCAGGCATTTTGTACAAAGTAGGTACTGTGTGGATTGACTAAAGATACTAGAATCTTACACAAAACCACAGACTAGTTAACTGTTCACAAACTTTCTCACCCAAACACATAAAAGATAGAAACAATTCAGTGTCACTATGGTAATGATATGATTCTAATATGATGTGCATAGTCCACCATCTCACACCCTAGCATGTAAGGATGGAGAAGCAAGAGCTTCATAAATAGGTAATGGCATACTGGCTTCAAAAATGAACAGTGGTCCCTGTTTCAATATTCAAATGGAGACCAGGTGCAGTGACTCACGCCTGTAATCCCTACACTCTGGGAGGCCAAGGCGGGTGGATCACCTGAGGTCAGGAGCTTGAGACCAGCCTGGCCAATATGATGAAACCCCGTCTCTACTAAAAACACAAAAATTAGCTGGGTGTGGTGATGCACGCCTGTAATCCTAACTACCTGGGAGGCTGAGGCAGGAGAATCGTTTGACCCCAGGAGGCAAAGGTTGCAGTTAGTCGATCACAGCACTGCACTCCAGCCAGGGCGACAGAGCAAGACTCCATCTCAAAAAAAGAAAAAAAGAAAAATGAGCACGGAGACTGTCACTTTATACATAGTCTCCTCTCCTCCATCAAACCCCATGCAAAAGGGAAGAAAAGATACATGATAGTGAACCTGTCCTCTGCCAACAGGTTAAAATTTTAATACAGTTTTTTAAAAAATTAACGTAGACAAAAGGTAACAGTTAATGTACTGTTTTTAAAGGCTGGAGCACAGTCCTTTACTATGACATTCTGTTTTTATCTACAAATATTTAAAACTTTAGTTCATATAGGCCGGGCGCGGTGGCTCATGCCTGTAATCCCAGCACTTTGGGAGGCCGAGGCAGGCGGATCACAAGGTCAGGAGTTTGAGACCAGCCTGGCCAATATGGTGAAACCCTGTCTCTACTAAAAATACAAAAATTAGCCTGGTGTGGTGGCGGGCACCTGTAGTCCCAGCTACTCAGGAGGCTGAGGCAGGAGAACTGCTTGAACCCAGGAGGCGAAGTTTGCAGTGAGCCGATATCACGCCACTGCACTCCAGCTGGGTGACAGAGCAAGACTCCGTCTCAAAAAAAAAAAAAAAAAAGACCTGTACTCAGGGACCCACCACTACACAGCTGTACAGCAAGGGAACCACAGTACCTCCTTCAACTCAAATTGCTTCCCCAACAACATTGTCAGGATGTTAAATAAAACAATGTTTGGAAAACACAGTGCTTCATGCGTAGTAACAATGCTAAATATAACACTTAAAATGTGCAAACCTCATGATTTACCTAATCAGCCTCTAAATATTATATAATTCTAGCCCAGAAACTTACATTCCTCGGTCTCCAAAGGGAGACCTCCACAAAACAATAATTTACTATAATGTCAGTTTCTATCAGCATTTCACATAATCACATAAATAAAACTTCTGTATCGATTATAAAACTCACAGTCCATTAGGTTTTTAAAATATCTCTAATGTAAAAGATTCTCCAACATTTATATCAAACCATGATTAACAAAAAGTTCCTGGTCAGGGGTGGTGGCTCATGCCTGTAATCCCAGCACTTTGGGAGGCCGAAGCAGATGGATCACTTGAGCCCACGAGTTCGAGATCAGTCTGGGCAACACAGTAAAACCCGAAACCTCACCTCTACTAAAAACACAAAAATTAGCCAGGCGTGGTAGCATGCACCTGTAATCCCAGCTACTCAAGAGGCTGAGGCATGAGAATCCCTTGAGCCTGGGAAGCAGAGGTCACACCACGGCACTCCAGCCCAGGCAACAGAGTGAGACTCTGTCAAAAAAAAAAAAAAAAAAAAAAAATGGAAGGAAGGAAGGAAGGAAGGAAAAGCTCCTCTGTGATACACTGAGCTTTGTAATTTTTTAGCCATTGTTTTTGTCTTGGCTTCAAGAAAATCTAAAAACTAATTCTACTTAATTTGACACTTCGCTAACATTTCTACCAACTTTCCCATCCAGAACTTATTCCTTCCCCTCTGTTAGACCTAGGCAGACCCTTAAAAACTGTCTAGTCTCACATCCTTGTCTTATGAGTAACAAGAAGGCTTTCAGATATAAGGCCTCTTTTGATTAGAAACAAAATATGTGATGTATAAAACATGTGTAAAACACACGCTCTTTTTCACATTCACACAAAAGATCCTGCAAGTTCATCACATATTCAATAAAAACTGCAAAATACCCAAGAAAAATGGCACATATGACTAATAACCCCTTGAAAACTGACCACAAATAATATCAAAATACTCTCTTAGGCACAGCTATGAAATAATAAGCCCTATTTCCAATAAACTTTACATGCAAACAGATGTGTCTTCTTCGTATTAATCATACTGGCAAGCTACACATTTATTTCAACAATAATGCCCCACACCCAAAAGATTTTTGGAGTTTTCCTTTTGGAAGTGGCATTAAGATTTCTTTAGAATGCCACTACATACCCAGTCCCCAGTACAATGCCTGACACACAGTAGGCACGCAAACTATTAAATGAATACACACAATAGTAGTATTTCAGTGCAGACATGTCTCTGAAAATAGAAAACATTCAGTCCTAAAGCTTACTAATTAAACGGATGATGAAGCCGAGTGGTTCTTCTTTTTTTCGTATCAGAAGAGTAACGTGCTGATGACGTCATAACAAGATTTGAGGGTGGCACATCTCACATATGCATATGAACACCCAATCATCACGCTTATAATAGACTACAAAACGATCCTGAGTAGGTTTTACAAAATACTATTTCATAGAAAATACACCCTGAGTCTGAGCAGAGTCATAGTAAAGAACTAATCGCTAGCTCACATTTCAATCTTTAAGTCTCAGAATACATCAAATATTTCACATTTCCTAAACAATGCACCTAATCAATCAACTGACTGTAAGTAATACTAGTGACGTCAAAGAAACACATTTATATTGACTTGCCTTGTGATTCTGACCTAGATGCTTTTAAGGGGGCCTCTGTGGTGTTAAACCAACTGTCGAGTTCAATAATTATCTCAGGAAATTGTTCGTTAGTAGTTACACTTCCATAATATGTATTATTCTGTCCAATGCCATAAATGTTAAGTCCTTATAATTTGTTTTCAAATACATGGTATCAGTCTTTTCTAAAACATTCATAGTACCCAAATCTCTTTCTAAATAATTATGCTTTACTATTATCACTATTCTTAACGATCACAGTGGTTTAAAAGAAATCTATAAATTATTTTATACTTCTTCCATCAAGAGGTAGAGTCTAATTACTCTTCCTCATATATAAGCTAGCCTGATGACTTGCTTCTTGCAAAGGTAATGAGGCAGAAGTGACGCTGCAAAACTTCTAAGGCTAGGTCACAAAAAGGAATTCCAGCCTGGTTTTATTTCTTGGGATGCATGCCTTTGAAACTCTGAGCTACCATATTAAGGACTCTGGCTAATCGAAGTCTCCATGATAAAGAGACTACACAGATAGAGATGCCTAAGGAATCCCAGCTGTTGCAGACCCCAGTTGTTTTGAGTCTTTAAATGAAGACACCCTCTACATGACTCCAGCATTTGACTGCAACTACATGAGAAACATAGAGTAAGAACCACCTACCAAGTACTGTCAATTCCCAGAAGAGATAATAATAATATATGATTGTTGTTTCACCCATTAAGTTTGGGTTGGTTTACTGCCCAGCAATAAAAAATCAGGATGATGAACAAAGAAAGAACCTCAACATTTTCTTGGGCCCTGGCTCCATTGGTATATGACTAAAGACTCATTTATGCTTCATCTTTACTATCTTCCTTACCATCTTCCTTTTACTGCACTACATTTAAAAAACAAATTTTCTTCCTATTAATATTAAGGATTTTTTTTTTTTTTTGAGACAGAGTCTCCTCTGTCGCTCAGGCTGGAGTGCAGTGGCACAATCTCAGCTCACTGCAAGCTCTGCCTCCTGGGTTCACGCCATTCTCCTGCCTCAGCCTCCCAAGTAGCTGGGACTACAGGTGCCCGCCACCACACCTGGCTAATTTTTTGTATTTTTAGTAGAGACAGGGTTTCACCGTGTTAGCCAGGATGGTCTCGATCTCCTGACCTCATGATCTGCCCGCCTCGGCCTCCCAAAGTGTTGGGATTACAGGCGTGAGCCACCACGCCCAGCCAAGAAGGATTATTTTTTAAAAAACAAAAAAACTTTCTATTAATTTACATCTATGAACTTCCTTCAACATTTATTTCAAATACTTATTTACAAATCTATTTAACCATAGGCTCATCTGAATAGTACATGTTTGCTCAAAATAAAAGCCAATCCTTACGTAGCATCAAGAAGCAACACTTTGGGCCAGGCATGGTGGCTCACGCCTGTAATCCCAGTACTTTGGGAAACTAAGGTGGGCAGATCACTTGAGGTCAGGAGTTCAAGACCAACTGGCCAAAATGGTGAAACCCCATCTCTACTAAAAATACAAAAATTAGCCTAGCGTGGTGGCAGGCACCTGTAATCCCAGCTACTCGGAAGGCCGAGCTGAGATCGTGCCACTGCACTCCAGCCTCGGCAACAGCGAGACTCTGTCTCAAAAAAAAAAAAAAAAAAAGCCACACTTTTATATATACAACTGACAGGCCAACTCTCAACAATCACACCCGGTAATGTATACTGATAGAATGTTATTTCCTCATCCCTGCAGTCAGGAGAGTGCATAAGGAAACAAAAGTTGACAAAGCCAAAACCCTCACCAACCATTAATCTCTTGGAAAAATGGTCTCCGAACATCCCTGTAAATTTAACAAGTGCACAAACTGGCCTATTGCTTCCACATCTTTTGAAGCTAAGCCACTGCTAGTCATAGGATGTTAATCTGACAATACCATGTAGTCCAACGCAAAATATCTGCAAAATGAAGTTGCGAATCTTGCAAAAGGTACAAGACTTCATGAGGTCTAGGGAAAGCAATGTTGAGAAATTCAACAAAACGTACATACACGTCAGTGAGAAACAAAGAAACATATACACAGACCAATTAAAAGACAATGAATATCGAGGCTGGGTGTGGTGGCTCACCCCTGTAATCCCAACAATTTGGGAGGCCGAGGCGGGAGAATCCCTAGAGCCCAAGAGTTTAAGATCAGCCTAGGCACCATAGTGAGACCCCACCTCTACTTCAGAGGCCAAAGTGGGAGAATCTCTTCAGCCTGGGAGGTTGATGCTGCAGCGTACAGTGATGGTGCCACTGCACTCCATCCTGGGCAGCAGAGCAAGAACCTGTCTCAAAGAAAAGAAAACTGAAAGTGACAATTGTGCTTTAACATAGAATGTCAACATCAAATGATTACATGTAGCCCTTGGAAAAACCACAAATATGTTTGTAAAAATTACTCCACGATAAAATTCAAATGAAACCAAATGCAGCATGTGAACTTTGACTGAACTCTGGTTTAAAAATTCCCACTATTATACACAGACATTTTGAGGACAGGTGGAGAAAAATGAATATACACTGAGTATTGGATGATATTAGGGAATTTTTGTTAATTTCCTATAAAGTGTGATAATGGTAAAGTGGCTATATAGAAAAAGGTTCATACTTAGACGATACAAGCACATGCATTTAAAAATGAAGTATTACAATGACTGCAACTTTCAAATAGTTCAAAGTTATTTATATACACACATATTTTGCAAATATAGCAAAATCTTAGTAAGTTAGGCAGGAATATCATCACCCTTACTCAGCCAAGAAGTTACAGAAGATACATCCTCCTCCATCTACAATCCTTAGGATTAAATGTTTTCTTATAAAAGGGAGGGGGGAAATATGTCAGAAGCATTCAAACCACAGCAAATCCATCCTGAATTGTAGACGCTGGTTAAAGTAAGGCTGAGACCTACTAGGTCGTGTTCCCAGACAGTTAGGCATTCTAAGTCACAGGATGAGATAGAAGGTCAGCACAAGATACAGGTCATAAAGACCTTGCTGATAAAACAGGTAGCAGTAAAGAAGCCAGCTAAAACCCACCAAAATCGAGAGAGCAATGTAAGTGACCTCTGGTAATCCTCACTGCTATACTCCCAACAGTGCCATGACAGTTTACAAATACCATGGCAACGTCAGGAAGTTACCCTATATGGTCTAAAAAGGGGAGGAACCCTCAGTTCCTAGTAATTGCCTACCCCCTTCCCAGAAAAACTCATGAATAATCCCTATTATTAAGATCAAAAAATAACATTCTATCAGTATATGTTACCAGTGTGATTGTTGAGAGTTGGCCTGTCAGGTGTATTATTTACTAGGGTATATGCTATTGTTTAGCATATAATCAAGAAATAACCATAAAAATTAGTAATCAGCAGCCTTTGGGGACTGCTCTGCCTATGGAGTAGCCATTCTCCATTCCTTTACCTTTTTAATAAACTTGCTTTCACTTAAAAAAAATTTACTGAATCTAGAAGGTACTATCTACCTTCTAAAAGGTTATCCAGATAATTCATTGTTCATTCTTTCAATTCTTCTGCATATTTGAAAATGTTTACAATAGAATACTGGAAAAAACAAAAATAAAAATCTCACTAAAGCTACACAAACACACACACACACCTCCCAGTCAAGAATCTCCACTTAAGGAAAGCCTCCTAAAGAAAATACAGGAAAAAAAAAAAGGTAAAGTTATAATGTGCTCTCTTTCAATGTTATCAGGACTATTAGATACCAAAAAAAAAAAAAAACAAAAAACAAAAAACAAAAACTTCCAATGCTTGATTCATTCTTTATCCTAAAGATCAGAATATAGTGACAAGAACTAGTTTTTATAAAAAGACAGGATTCTGCTTAGTTTTGAAGTTCAAATTAATTTAATATAGATATATGCTAATGTACCTCAGGCACTAGGGATGCAAAGGCAACAATGAGCCTGTTATCAGGTCTCCCCACAGCTCTCCCAGATGACACTCACAAGCACAAACTGAAGGAAGGCAAGTTTAAAGAGTAGCACTGCACCAAAGATAAGAATGTGTAATAAATCACTTAAAGATACTACAAAGAATAGTAGTTCAATGGGCTTTCCCATCATTTTCAACTGATTACAATTTTTAATAAGACATTTCAAATAGATAAAATGTATGAAGATTAAACGCTACATATTTCAAAAGTGTTTCATGCAACATCTTGTCACTAGAATGTGAACTCCACAGGGGCAGACATTTTTGCCTGTTTTCCTGACTGATGTAGTCCAAGTGTCTGGCCCAAAACAAGCCCTCAGTAAATTATTTGTTGACTAACAATGAATGAATGAAACTTTAAGTCAATTTTTTTTAAATGACTTATGGGAATCTTCATTTATATTTAAGTTATGATGAAAATTCTGGTCAATTTACTAGGGGAAAAAAAGGGCTTAAATTTTACTCCAATTTTTTTACAAGTTGTCTTCTCCCAAAGTTAATTCTGAATGTAAAAACGGAAACAACAGGCGGTGGTTCACACTAGTAATCCCAGCACTTTGGGAGGCCAAGATGGGCGGATCACGAGGTCAAGAGTTCGAGACCAGCGTGGCCAACATGGTGAAACCCCGTCTCTACTAAAAATACAAAAAATTAGCCACGCATGGTAGCACACGCCAGTAGTCCCAGCTACTCAGGAGGCTGAGGCAGGAGAATCGCTTGAACCTGGGAGGTGGAGGTTGCAATGAGCTGAGATCACGCCACTGCACCCCAGTCAGGGGGACAGAGCAAAGTTTCTTTTAAGAAGTTTCTAGAGCCAGGCATGGTGGCTCATGCCTGTAATCCCAGCACTTTGAGAGGCTGAGGAAGGCGGATCACTTGAGGCCAGGAGTTCGAGACCAGCCTGGCCAGCATGGTGAAACTCCATCTCTACTAAAAACACAAAAATTAGCCGAGCATGGTGGCACACGCCTGGAGTCCCAGCTGCTCTGGAGGCTGAGGCACAAGAATTGCTTGAACCAGGGAGACGGTGGTTGCAGTGAGCCAAGATCCTGCCACTGCACTCCAGCCTGGGCAACAGAGCAAGACTCTGTCTTAAAAAATAACAATAAAAAGTTTCTAGAGGAAAAAATATTTTAGGTGAAACTAAATTACTATTCTTTATTCAATGATTTTCACGTTCTTATTTTAGGTGAATAGTTAAATAAGCTAAAACACTTTCCTAGAAATTTATTCTTTTTCTTTTTCTTGAGACGGACTCTCGCCCTCGCCCAGGCTGGAGTGCAGTGGCACAGTCGGCTCACTGCAACCTCTGCCTCCCGGGTTCAAGCCATTCTCCTGCCTCAGCTTCCTGAGTAGCTGGGATTACATTCGCACACCACCACGCCCAGCTAATTTTTGTATTTTTAGTAGAGACAGGGTTTCACCATTTTGGTCAGGCTGGTCTCTTAACTCCTGACCTCATCATCTGTCCGCCTTGGCCTCCCAAAGTGCTGGGGTTACAGGCGCGAGCCACCGCATCCGGCCAGAATTTATTCTTTTTCTATTATTAAAATAATATATACTCATATACAGAAGTATATAAAATACAAAATCATATCAAGAAATATCAAAAGTAATCAACCATAACCCAGAGGCAAGTATACCGTCATTTTGTTTTAGCACTTATGAAACTTTAGTCTTTACCACAGTTAATATCATAGACTTTTTCACCTCTTAGATAGAAAAACACATTGTCTTTTATTCAGCTCCGTGATTCTACTGGTTTCTCCAAAAGATCTGCAGTTTTTTCCCAATAACAGTGAGGCATTTGAACTGAATCATCCATTCAAGCTTGATCATCCTCATTAACAATGGCAAACACCAACAACTTGGCTGGAGAGAGGTGAAGTACATTCTTTGTAGCCACAAAATCAAGCAACTTGCCTACATGGAAAATGGAATTCACACTCCTTAGTGCATTGGTTCCATTACTCTAAGCCTAACCAACTACATTAACCAGTTATGGCCAATTTATGGCCTAGCACATCTTATTTACTTGATCATGATATGACCAAAGTCATTATTGAAGATAATTAACAAGGTATCCTTTTCTACAAGAACATTATTCAACTGATTTGAAACTCTATGTATTCATCAGTCTAAGCATTCTGGGCTTCTTTTAGTTCCTCAAATACACAGCAGTCTCTCACGGTCTCCACATGTGCTGTTCCTTCTGCCTAGGGAGCTCTTCCAGTTCTTAACACCTTGTCCTACGTCCTACATCCTACAGCTCTCCCACCAGCCTCTCTCAGCCTACCTCCTTTTCATTCACAATCCCTATTCTCATTTTCAACACTTCTTCAGGTAAGCTTTTCCCCTGCCCAAGACTGAACTGGTGCTTCTAGTGAAGAATCCTGAACTTTCCCTTTTCACTGTACTTGTCACACTGTCCTGTAACTGTCTCTTTTTCATGAACCAAACACCACCACCAGACACCCAAGACTAGAACTGACAGGCAGCAGACGCCCCCAAATCTTGCTGAATAAACACTCTTTTAATGATTTCACATATATCTATTTATATATATACACACACACACACGTACCTGTTTACATATACACAAACACAGTGTATTCATATTTATAATTACATATATACACAAACATACATACACACAAACAGTGTGTGTTCACATTAATATATAATTACATACACACACACATAGAAAAACAAGTAACTTCCTCTACCCTTTTCAAAGGAAAAGCAATAAGGCTAAGTTAATGTAGGGTGGAGTCTTTGCCACTTAACTAATCTAAGCACTCCGGCCCTCAGTTTCCTCAGCTATAAAATAAAATCCTAAAATCGTCCTTGGTGTAAAGTTTTGATGAAACATCTCAAAACATTCTATTCAGCAGTGTCAAGTCACAAGGTAATATCTATTACAGTCTAATACACAGAACAATGGGTTTCCTGGAAAACAGAAGTTAAAAAGTTTCTCATTGAGCATGTGGCAGTACTAGGACCTAATAAACAGCATTTCCAAAAAACAAGAGCAACACTCTTAATCCATTAGAAATCAAAGGTAAACAAACATTTTCAAACTCAGAAGGTGATATGCCATCATCAATGTGCTTTTGCTTTATCATATACTTGATAAAGCTGCACTCCTGCCTGAGTGACAGAGTGAGACTCCATGTCAAAAATAAAATCAAATAAAGGGGGAAGGGGTGGGGGAGCAATACAGAAGACCTGGGCATGTTTTTTAAGAGCTCCTCTTCAGTTAAACTAACCAGACGGCAAGAGCTTAGAAAGCTCTATTTTCTGCCCACTACTCCTAAATACCTATTAGAGTAAGTACAAAAAAAGCAGAAGAGCAGGTCTGAGGCAGGAAATAAGAATCAAACCTTAAAATGGCAGAACTGGCCAACATATATCAAATGTAACTCATAAAACAGTATCTATAGCTCTACAGTCACACAGATTCAAGGCTGAAATGAACTTTCAGACATTAAATACACCTCCTCATCTTACAAATGAGTAAAATGAAACTCACTGCATGAAAATGACTATGTGACTGTTTAGTGGAATGACCAAGCCTCCTAACTCCAACTCTACAGTCTTTCCAGTTCTCAGAGCTGTCTTCCATAGGGCCTGTCTGTGGTAGGTACACAGTATCTTTCGGATACACAGTATCACTCTTCAAATTCTGCAGGAATTGCTTGATAATTAGTGTCAATATCATAAAACAAACTTTCCAAAGATAGATAAAATTTTATTACAAAACTTAACAGATATATCTAAATTCAAATATATATATATACACACATATATATATACACACACACACACACATATATATATATATACACACACACACACACACATATATATATATATTTTTTTTTTTCTTGAGACAGAGTCTCGCTCTGTCACCAGACTGGACTGCAGTGGCGCGATCTCGGCTCACTGCAACCTCCGACTCCCCGGTTCAAGCGATTCTCCTGCCTCAGCCTCCCAAGTAGCTGGGATTACAGGCACACGCCACCATGCCCAGCAAATTTTTTTGTATTTTTAGTAGAGACGGAGTTTCACTTTGTTGGCCAGGATGGTCTCGATCTCCTGACCTCGTGATCTGCCCATCTCGGCCTCCCTAAGTGCTGGGATTACAGGCGTGAGCCACCACGCCCGGCCTGGTCTCATTTTTAAGTATCTCTGTGAGAACAGCATTTGAAGAGGCCACATAGTCAATCCCAGCCTGTGCACAATGAGCAAAAAGACTCTCTGCAAGGCTCAGATATCCTATCTTCCCTCCATCAATGCCTATAAACCAAAATTCACCCAGCTCAAGAAAACTGAAGAGGATAAACCAGTCCCCACATCCTGCAACCTAGTCTTCAAAGTCTTTCCTACACAACCATTAGATCCTTCTTCCCTATCACTTATATATCAATTAGCACTTAATTCCTTCTTTACATGTCTGTCTCCTCATCAAACTGAAAGCTCCATGAGGGCAGAGGCCAGCCATCTTTGTATTCCAGTGTATACACAGGTTAGCTGGCAAAGTATTTGTTGTACTGAGTTAAAGAATAAAAATCTAGCCTGGTGCGGTGGCTCACGCCCGTAATCCCAGTACTTTGGGAGGCCAAGGCAGATGGATCACCTGAGGTCAGGAGTCAGGAGTTCGAGACCAGCCTGGCCAATATGCCGAAATCCCGTCTCTACTAAAAATACAAAAAATTAGCCAGGCATGGTGGCGGGCGCCTGTAATCCCAGCTACTCGGGAGGCTGAGGCAGGAGAATTGCTTGAACCCAGGAGGTGGAGGTTGCAGTGAGCCGAGATTGCCATTGCACTCCACCCTGGGCTACAAGAGCGAAACTCTACCACAAACAAACAAAAAAAAATCTTTTTCCCACTTCCCTTGTTCACTTATTTTCCATTCATCAACATAATTAAGTAAAAGAAATCATGGACAATCATAGATTCACAGTTCTTTCTCCAAGTAATTCTATAATATAAAAACCCTTTTCCAAATATTCCATGTTCATGGATTGGAAGAATCAGTATTGTTAAATGTCTATACTACCCAAAGCAATCTATACATTCAATGCAATCTCTATCAAAACACCAATGACATTCTTCACAGAAATAGAAAATACAATCCTAAAATTTATATGGAACCACAGAAGACCCAAAATAGCCAAAGTTATCCTGAGCAAAATAACAAAATTGGAGGAATCACATTACCTGACTTCAAACTATACTACAGAGCTATAGTAACCAAAAAAGCATGGTACTGGCATAAAAACAGACACACAGACCAATGGAACAGAAACGAGAACCCAAAAACAAATCCATACATTTACAGTGAACTCATTTTCAACAAAGGTGCCAAGAACATATACTGGGGAAAAAACAGTCTCTTCAATAAATGGTGCTCAGAGAATCGGATGTCCATATGCAGAAGAATAAAACTAGACCTCTGTCTCTCACCATACTCAGAAATCAAACTGAAATGCATTAAACTTAAATCTAAGAGCTCAAAGTTTGAAATTTCCCCCCAAAAAACTGGGAAAACTCTCCAGGACACTGGACTGGGCAAAGACTTCTTGAGTAATACCCTACAAGCACAAGCAACTAAAGTAAAAATGGACAAATGGGATCACGTCAAGTTAAAAAGCTTCTGCAGGCTGGGCGTGGTGGCTCATGCCTGTAATCCCAGCACTTTGGGAGGCCAAGGAGGCTGGATCACAAGGTCAGGAGTTCAAGACAAGTCTGGCCAACATGGTCAAACCCTGTCTCTACTAAAAATACAAAAATTAGCCGGGCATGGTGGTGGGCGCCTGTAATCCCAGGTACTCGGGAGGCTAAGGCAGGAGAATCACTTGAACCCAGGAGGTAGAGGTTGCAGTGAGGCGAGATCGCGCCACTGCACTCTAGCCTGGGCAACAGAGCAAGACTCCATCTCAAAAAATAAAAATATAAAGCTCTGCAAAGCAAAGAAAACAATCCACCAAGTGAAGAGACAATACACAAAATGGGAGAAAATATTTACAAACTATCCACCTGATAAGGGATTAATAATGAGAATATCTAAGGAGCTCAAACAACTCTACAAGAAAAAATCTAATAATCTAATTAAAAATGAGCAAAAGGTCTGAATAGACATTTCCCAAAAGACATATAAATGGCAAACAGGTATATGATGAAAAAAAGCTATTCCCTACCACAATCACAAGGGCATGGAAACAGGAGTTAAAAAAAGACCAAATGATCTAGCCCAACTCTCTCATTTTACAAATGAGTTGTATCATTTACTCAAGGTCATATCATCATATGGCCAGTTAGTGTCGGATACAAAGAACAAATTCACGATCCTGCTTACTCCAACTTACATTCTATCTACCACCACATCAGACTGTCTAAAAATTTAAATCACTACATAATATATATTATCTCATCAAATTTTTTTTTTTTTTTGAGACGGAGTCTCACTCTGTCGCCCAGGCTAGAGTGCAATGGCGCGATCTCGGCTTACTGCAACCTCCACCTCCCAGGTTCAAGTGATTCTCCTGCCTCAGCCTCCTAAGTAGCTGGGATTACAGGTGCTCACCATCATGCCCGGCTTATTTTTGTACTTTTAGTAAAAAGACAGGGTTTCGCCACATTGGCCGTGCTGGTCTCGAACTCCTGACCTCAGGTGATCAGCCAGCTTCGGCCTCCCAAAGTGCTGAGATTACAGGCGTGAGCCATTATGCCCAGCCTATATCTCATCAATTTACAATCACATCTAAAAAGGCAAAGTTTTCTTTAAACTATGTCTTCAAATCTATGTTATCTTAAACAATTTTTGGCTGGGTGCAGTGGCTCACACCTGTAATCCGAACACTTTGGGAGGCCAAAGCGGGTGGATCACGAGGTCAGGAGTTCGAGACCAGCCTGGCCAACATGGTGAAACCCAGTCTCTACTAAAATTACAAAAAATTAGCTGGGCGTGGTGGCAGGCGCCTGTAGTCCCAGCTACTCAGGAGGCTGAGGCAGGAGAATTGCTTGAACCCAGGAGGTGGGGGTTGCAGTGAGCCGAGATGGCACCGCTGCACTCCACCCTGGGTGACAGAGCAAGACTCTGTCTCAAAAAAAAAAAAAAAAAAAAATCAAAAATGCACATGGGGAAAATGTCTCTATCTCTAGTATTTTGACATGGATGCCAAAAATATCTGGCATAATATGTTACCATTGAAGGAAGTTGGGTGATGGATCCATGGTACCCCTCTGTACCAATTTTGCATCTTCTTTTGAGTCTGTAATTATTTCAAAATAAAAGGTTAGAAAAACAAGCTAGGTGCAGTGGCACTCACCTGTAATCCTAGCTACTTGTCTGTAATCCCAGCTACTCAGGAAGCTGAGGCAAGAGGGTTGCTTGAGCCCAGGAGTTCAAGATCAGCCTAGGCAACACAGCAAGACCCTGTCTCAAAAAAAAAGAAAGGTAGAAAAACAATACATGGCATACCCACCTGATGCCACTCCCTGAGCTCGCTAATCTATAACCTCACTCTTCTCCAAGCTTTCTCCCTGAGCCAGAAAAAGTTCCAAACACGTCTCAACCCGAAGTTTCAGGACGGTTTGGTGTGGCAATTGAAACACACCAGCTATCCCTGGCCTAGCACACTTTTTGCACATGAGAAGCACACAAGCATTTACTCAACAAGAAAAACTAATCTAACACTGTTCTCAAACTCTGTGCAAGCAATAGCATGGCAAATATTTACACAGCCCAAACTCTACCTCTTGTAGCAGTCTTTCATAGTGCTACTATCTATGGATGAGCCTCATTTCTCCCAACTAGACTGTGACCTTACAAGCACCGAAATGCATTTTAAAAAGCTATCCTTTCAGTATCTCACAGTTGTGTAGAGGACCTAGAATTTATGTAACTTAATCTAAATTTTTCCAATTTCGTGGTTAAAAAAAAAGAAGCGAACAAAAATAAACTACTCTAGCTTAGAGAGAGACACACAAAATCAAGGAACAGGAAAATACCCTATTCTCAAACAGACAGGTATAAAACCTGTAAGTCTAAGGGGAAAAGGAAGGTTGGAGGCAGTGAAGAACTGGCAAGTTTGGCCCTATTTGCCATCATCAATCAATGTTAAGACAAAGAAAAGAGGGTAAAAGAGCCTTTTTACTCAGTGGTCTTCAAGTTTTGCTGCTCCTGATGACGGTCCATCCCATGAGAAGCACTGTTTTAAATCAAGAGACCTCCTAACTGGGAAAAGCCACCACAATCCATGATTTTACTACAATTTGACTAGGTTATGTTACTCATACAATAATTTCAATTCAACTGTCCGAAAAACCTTCTACTTTAAAAAAGCTTAACCATATCATGTCCCCGATCCCCAAAAAATGCTATTACCTCTCAATAATGTCTTAAAATTGACCAAAGGAAGACAAAGACTGAATCTACATGTCAATTGAAGAAGCTTTTACATTCCCAGAGCCCTCTGAAGAGCAGAGAGACCCTAGAGAAAAGCAAAATACCAACTGTCCTCGAGTCCCTGCCACTCTAGAGTTTCATGAAACCAGAAACATTCAGGGATGGTATGGGGTGGCTGCTAATTCCTGTACTGTACTACAGTACTGACTCCTGTCTCTGCAGGCAAGTGTCGTATGTACTCTTCAGTAGCTCTCAGCTCTCAAAAGTAGCAGAAAGATGAACAGATGCCAACAAAATCAGTCCACATGTCATCTCTGACCTGCAAACCATGGCCTGCCAACCTACACTACAGAAGTCACTCATTTCTGTTTCTGCATCCCCTAGGCAGTGACAAAATCCTACCAGGAATCGTCTCAGGTAGCAGGAATTTGGGTTAATCTTCTATTGGCGACTATAGGAGGCAAAAAAAAAAAAGTACTTCCCCCAAAAAACAACTACAGAAACAAAAGGTCCCACTGCCCATACTCCCCCTACTCAATTATTCTCTAATCTACATGTAATAATCAGAATACCTGATAAGCAGAAAAAACACAATCACTTAAGGAAAACACCTAAGGATTTCCTGGAGATGAAGACAAGTTTAAACATCACTAGAAATATAAGCCTATTAAGAGAATGAATGTTTAGCCAGGCATGGTGGCTCATGCTTATAATCCAAGCACTTTGGGGGCTGAGGCAGGAGAATCACTTGAGTGTCAGAGTTTGAGACCAGCCTGGGCAACATGCTGAAACCCCATCTCTATGAAAAACACAAAAATTAGCCAGGTGTGGTGGCACGCACCTGTAGTCCCAGCTACTAGGGAAGCTGAGGTGGGAGAACTACCTGGGCCTGGGAGATTGAGATTGCAGTGAGCCAATATTGCATCACTGCACTCCAGCCTGAGTGACAGAGTGAGACCTTGTCTCAAAAAAAAGAGAAAGAGAATGAATGTTTATAAACTACACTCACCCACAATTTCATAAAAATCGTTTGATTGCTGATGCTTCCTTAAAAGACTTAAAGCAGGGTTTGTAGAGGCAGATGATGTTACAGAGCAATAATTGGACAAGTTCGAATTACTTCTGGACAAGAAACAAAGCCACTACTACAACATAAGAGAACAGATAATCAGCTGAACAATCTAATACCCCTCTCCCCAAAGCCTTCCATATAAAACTCTGTTTTCATCATTTAGAAATTAAAATAACCCTACCATATTGTCTGGGCTTTCTTAGCTTTCTCCATCAAATTAACTTCCTAATCTCAAATTTAGCTTTTCTTAAGGCTTAAAAAACCATCTTCCTCCACTTCTCACTTCATAACAAGGAGGCTGTCACGGAAAACACCCAAATGAATTTCCACCATGTCCCTAAGTAAGAGTCTTGGAGACACAGTTAAGGCCATCTCTGGAGTTCCAGGTTGTCTGTGAGGTAGACCTGGTATCTGAATTCAAGTAAAGACCTGGAATACCTCATCGCCTGAATTCTGAACAGCAGATTCATGCTGGAGCAGAGCCAATTTCTTGAAACGGCAGGTTCTCGACACTTCTATATCACAGAAATGGAGCCTGAACTCATGGGGAAGAAAATAAAAACTTATCTACTGATCCATTCATCACAGTGCTTTGTCGACTAGCCACTATCATCATCTTTATAACTAGCAATCTAGAATACAACCATTACATTTAATGGAATTCTAAAATATAATCTTTTTACATATACTAGTATGTTTTTTAATTAACACAAAAATTTGCTGTCAAGAAAAATCTAGGTTTTTATTATCAGTGGACTTTTCCTATGAAAAACATTGTGATAAATTGAAGCCAAGAAAAACTTCAGGCCAGCCATGGTGTCTCCTGCCTGTAATCCCAGCATTTTGGGAGGCCAAGGTGGGAAGACAGCTTGAGGCCAGGAGTCTGAGACCAGCCTAGGCAACACAGCAAGACCATGTCTCTAATTTTAAAGAAATAAATAAGGCGAGGCACAGTGGTTCATGCCTGTAATCCCAGCACCTTGGAGAGGCTGAGACGGGATAATTGCTTGAGCCCAGGAGTTCGAGACCAGCCTGGGCAACACAGAGAGACTCCATCTCTACAAAAAATTAAAAATTAGCCAGATGTGGTAATGCAAGCCTGTAGTCCCAGATACTCAGGAGGCTGAGGCAGGAGGATCGCTTGAGCCCAGAAGGTCAAGGCTGCAGTGAGCCATGTTCACATCACTACACTCCAGCCTGGGCAATAGCGCAAGAGCCTGTCTCAAAAAAAATTAAAATAATAAATAAACAAGAAAAAAATAAAGACTAGAGAATAGCTAGAAAGAGTAAACTACCCAAATTTATATCAGCTAGAAAGCAGATTTAAAAACTGTGGTACAGTCATGAAATAAGTACTACTTTTTTTGTTTGTTTTGAGACAGAGTCTCACTCTGTTGCCCAGGCTGGAATTCAATGACACAATCTTGATTCACTGCAACCTCCACCTTCCCAGGTCAAGCAATGAAAATACTACTTTTAATATAAAAGAAGAAACTACTACATGCTGCAACACAGATCTGTTGCAAAAGCACTGTTCTAAGCAAAAGAAAACAGACACATGATTCCATTTCTATGAAATTCAAAAAGGAAAAGCATTACAGTGAGAGAAAGCAGAACAATGGTTGCTAGGTAGCCAGGACCTAGCCTAGGGGGAAGTGACTGAAAATACAAAGGGAAACCAGGTAACTTTTTGGGGTGATGAAAATGTCCTGTACCTGGATTGTGGTGGTGATTACACAACTGTACACATTTGCCGAAATTCATCAAACTGTACACCTAAAATGGGTTAATTTTACTGAATGTAAAGTATAACTCAATAAAGATGAAAGAGTCAAAGACATTTTATTAAGTGATACTGTCAGAAATTGAACAAATAACAGTACTTTAGCTGTGCAAGTAACATAAATTGTGTATTTACAAGTAAAATAACATTAAATATTAATACCTTCTTTAATATCCTGACAAAATGACAATGTTACAAAGCATGGTTATCTAAGAATTTATCGTATTTCTAATTTGGAAGGGGTTTTGTTACCACTACACTGATTGTCTCAAGAAAGTAATAAGAAATATGATCTCAGAGAATAATTTCTTATAGCCAAGTTCAATTGACTAATACCTCACCTGTCTATTAGTTCATGAAAATGCTGCAAACTTTTCACATGACAATCTTATTTCTCAAAGTGACCCCATGGAAAAATCACTGAATTTCAAGAATCCTGTCTTATCATCCTTATCTAACAATTACAAGTGACTGCTGACAAAAAATGCTGTCATACCGGAGGTTAAGAAGTTATAGCACTGAGGCCTGGCACAGTGGCTCACGCCTGTAATCCCAACACCCTGGGAGGCTAAGGCAGGTGAACACCTGAGGTCGGGAGTTCGAGACCAGCCTGACCAACATGGTCAAACCCCGTCTCCACTAAAAATACAAAATTAGCCAGGCGTGGTGGCTCACACCTATAATCTCAGCCACTTGGGAAGCTGAGGCAGGAGAATCACTTGAACCCGGGAGGCGGAAGTTGCAGTGAGCAGAGATCACGCCACTGCACTCGAGCCTGGGCAACAAGAGCGAAACTCCATCTCAAAAAAAAAAAAAAAAAAAAAAAGTTACAGCACTGAGCTTTAAGGAACTAAATAATTCCCCAGTGGCCCCTTCTTCTAAGGTTACAATCCAAATTCTAAGGTTATTCTACAAATGTCAAATTTTTTAACATGTTAGAACCCAATCAGCTTTATTAAGTAAAATTATCAAAATTGTCAATCAGAAATAAGCATTTATGAGACAACAGGAAAATCTGGGCAATTTTGTTATTAAGGTTTTTTCAGGTTTTTTTTTAAAGGCTTCATATTTTGAAATATATAGTGAAGATACAGCAATTAAATTACCTGATAGAGGAGAATAAATGGGGAGAGAGTTGAAATCAGATTGGCCATGAGTTGACAACTGTTAAGACTGTGTGATGGGAACATGGTTGTTCATCATACTATTCTCTCTACTCTTGTATATGCTTAAAATTTTCCAAAATAAAAGGCTTAAAAATAATACTCAGGGGAAAACTTAAAAACCAGTTCTAAAAATAAACCAACAATTCATAACCACAGTGAGCCAAGAGAAGAGGCTATTTTCACATGACCAGAATGCCAAGGAGTCAAAATGACAGAAACATGGATGCTAACTAGAGTCTGTTTTCTTAATTAGAAATATGTATAATATGGGCGAGCGCAGTGGCTCCCGCCTGTAATCCCAACACTTTGGGAGGCCTAGGTGGGCAGATCACGAGGTCAGGAGTTCAAGACCAGCGTGATCAACACGGTGAAACCCCATCTCTACTAAAAATACAAAAATTAGCCAGGTATGGTGGCGTGCGCCTGTACTCCCAGCTACTCAGGAGGCTGAGGCAGCAGAATCGCTTGAACCCGGGAGGCGGAGGTTGCAGTGAGCCAAGATTGTGCCAAAATGGCACCACTGCATTCCAGCGTGGGCAAGAGCGAGACTCAAAAAACAAAATAAATATGTATGATAAAATGAGGG
The DNA here is from genome assembly GCF_000001405.40 of Homo sapiens. NCBI lineage: Eukaryota > Metazoa > Chordata > Mammalia > Primates > Hominidae > Homo > Homo sapiens. Next base: position 102,405,857 of record NC_000008.11, read on the forward strand.
AGGGGAGACATTAAGTACATCCTCCTGTAACATAAAATTGCTTCCTTTAATATACCTTATAAGATCTACGTCCATGTAACTCAGTCTTCAGCAATTAAATTTTCCTTTGGAAACTATTTCCTAAATAACCTAATGGTCTAATTGTTAGGGGAAAAAACCCTGACCTTTCCTAATTTCACCTATTATTCCTAGTCGTATTCCTGTGTATCCTGTAATTTTCTTCACAAGTGTCTGTTTATTCCTAGGCCTATGATTCAGTCACAGATATCCTGATTTATAAAATTGCTCTGCCTTTGTTTTGATTTTCTATTTTGCTTGGCTATTCTACACCCTGCTGTTAATCTTACTTAAGCAAATTCATTTAAACATTTTAGTTAGGCCAGACTGTACTTTTCCAATACAATAAATCTAGTATTGGTTTTTTATTGTTTGTTTTTGGTTTTGTTTTTGTTTTTGAGATGGAGTCTCGCTCTGTCACCCAAGCTGGAGTGCAGTGGCGCAATCTTGGCTCACTGCAACCTCCACCTCCCAGGTTCAAGCAATTCTCCTGCCTCAGCCTCTTGAGTAGCTGCAACTACAGGCATGCACCACCATGCCCAGCTAATTTTTGTATTTTTAGTAGAGATGGGGTTTCACCATGTTGGCCAGGCTGGTCTCAAACTTCTGACCTCAGATGATCCGCCCACCTCAGCCTCCCAAAGTGCTGGGATTACAGGCATGAGCCACCGCACCTGGCATAATGCATTTAGTATTGCTTTTAGGTAACAATCTCAATAATCAAATGGTGAGATTTTTCACTGATTTGGTAATATGATGCTCCATCCCACACAACCTAATGTCTGGGGGGTTTTTTTATTGATTTTTTTGTTTTTTTGTTTTTTGGTGCACCACAATAAAATTTCAAGCAGCTTTCAACTATTATAACCTCTACTCACCACAACCTTTGTTATGCTTCATATAATCCCTGGCATATTTTCTGGCTCCTACTGAGTGAAGATATGCCTGAGTCTTTAAAACCTCAAAGTTCTTAATAAACATAATGAGCACTCACTGAATGCCAAGACTTGTGCAAAAACACACTTTCTATGCCAACACTATCCAAGAGAACTTTCAGTGATGATGGCACTGCTCTGTATTTGCACTGTCCAATGTGGTAGTGAGTAGCTACGTGGCACTACAGTGCACTTAAAATGTGACTAGCTACAGATGAAGTGACTTAAATTTTTATTTAATTTTAATCAATCTTAATTAATTTTTTTTTCCTTTTTTTTGAGACAGAGTCTTGCTCTGTCGCCCAGGCTGGAGTGCAGTGGCGCGATCTTGGCTCACTGCAACCTCTGCCTCACGGGCTCAAGCTCTGTCTCACAGGCACAAGCAATTCTCCTGCCTCAACCTCTTGAGTAGCTGGGATTACAGGCGTCCACCACCACACCCAGCTAATTTTTGTATTTTTAGTAGAGATGGGGTTTCACCATGTTGGCCAGGCTAAGGGGTCTCGAACTCCTGACCTCAAGTGATTCGCCCGCCTCAGCCACCCAAAGTGCTGGGATTACAGGCATGAGCCACTGGCCGGGCCTTAATCTTAATTTAAACAGTCATGTTTTAAAAATTAAGAATATATATTGCGGCCAGGTACATTGGCTCATGCCTGTAATCCCAGCATTTTGGTAGGCTGAGGCAGATGGATCACCTGAGGTTAGGTTCAAGAGCAGCCTAGCCAACATGACGAAACCCCATCTCTACTAAAAATACAAAAATTAGCCAGACATAGTGGTATGCGTCTGTAACTTGGGAGGCTGAGGAAGGAGAATCGCTTGAACCCAGGAGGTGGACGTTGCATTGAGCCGAGATCCGGCCACTGCCTCCAGCCTAGGAGACAAAGCAAAACTGTGTCTCAAAAAAGAAAAAAAAAAAGAACGTATATTGCTTGAAATATTCTTCATAAAAGTCATTTTCACTTATTTTTACAACCAAATGCATTGAAGATCATCTAGGATGGGCTTCCTTAACCTTAGCACAACTGACATTTTGGACCCCGTAATTCTTTGTTGTGGGGGCTATCCTATGCATTATAGGATGTTTAGCAGCATCTCTGGCCTCCATCCACTAGAGGCCAGTAGCAATGCCCCAGCTGTGACAATAAAAAATGTCTCCAGACACTGCCCAATAAGGGGAGGGGGTTGTGTGTGGAGGGTGCAAAATCACACCAAGCTGAGAAGTACTAATCTAGAACTAAGAGTCGATTCTGCTCTGAATGCTAAGGATATTCTAGGGCAACTCTTTTGAGTTCCTGCTTTGCTATCTGGAAACCAGGCAACACGTAAAAAGTTAAAAGTAACCATCTCTTCGTAATGTTTTCCGTAGAATCCACATTATAATATTGATCTTTTCCCATCTACTGTCTCAACTGTTCCTCCCTGACCTTGAGGAGAGTGCTACACCTAATTCAGAGATTGATGTGGGGGGTTCTAAGAGGTTAAATGACTAGGCTACCAGCGCAGAGTTTGAAACTCCTGTCTATAGTATCTTACCTTGTGTTATGACACCTGAAAGGGAAACTCTAAGCTTAGAGAAAAATCCTTTTGATATGACAATCTCAATAAAGACTGTTTATGACTGCACAATACGTTGTAATGCCAAAAGGCAAATCTCACAGGAAAATTCCACATACAGACAAGCAATAAGAACTGGTTTGTTTCGTAACTAACCTGCATCTTGAGGAATAATTCAGGACAAGGACAATAAATGCCATAACCACATCACCTTAAGAAGACCTATCCTAACCTAGTACCAAGAAAAGGTTAAGAGCGTCAGCCTCTGAAAAAAAGGCATAAACCCATTAGGAGCCCTGGAAAGAGCAGTTGAGGGGAAAACGGAATCAAAACACTAAGACAGGTGGCCACACTGCCTGAAGGCTGGGATGTCTGAGACAGCAGAACCATTCTGGAATACAAGCCACGTGAAGTGGAATGGAGCCCTGGACTTTAAAGAAAAGTCAGAAGACCCATCAGGTGGACCTCAGCTGTCTCTCAGTAGTTGTATCCCTGCATAAACACTGTAAATCTCTGTGCCTATTTTTTCAGCTCATTAGTGAGGCACTTTCCAGGCTATTAGTGAGGCAGGCCTTTCAGCTCTCCCCTCAAGCTCGACGAACCACATTCTTTATATTGTTTTACTGTTTCTCTGAGACAATGTTTTAAGCAGGAACGTAGTACTAACTCAAGAAATCCATTGGAAAGGAGATCAAAATGTCCAAAGTATCTGAGCACTGAATGGTTTCAATTCAGCTCAATGAATATTTGCTTGAGGGCCCAGCATTCTGTGCCAGGCACCTTGTAATCATTCTGGGAAGTCACAGCCAACATCCTCTTCTTTCCACCCCAGCCATCCCCACCTGTATTTGTCAATTTCATCCTGGCATCATTATTATTCATTATTGGCAAGTCTGAAAACACAAATTATGAAAAAAAGATACTTTTTTATGCTTTGTACATTTTAGACACTTGAGACATCAGACTATGATGCTGAACAAAATATTTGACTTTTTAAGAGGATGTGGGTAAAGAAAGAAAACGTATTTGAAGAAAACACTACTGTTTTGAGGACCAAGTTTTCTTCAGCTGAGCAATTTATTTGCAGTACCATTCTGCCTGTCTAATCTTACTACTTTTATTCCAAAGTATAAAGTCTATTTACACCCTTTTCATACATAACTATGATTATCATTTTATTTGTGACTCTCATACATTTCTCATAATAAAAAAAGTCAAGCTACAGTAGCAGTAGCTTTTTTATTGCCCCAACTTACTAAAACTTGGTAAAGTTTTTATCTTTAGATGAAAATACGCTTATTCTAGTTAATTAAAAGGTTCCAGAAAACCAGTCTCTTTTGGAAACAGATTTTTCTCAAGTGACAGGTTGATCCTATTACAAGTAGGTATGCAAAAAGGAGCCCTCCTTTTGAAAGGGAAACACAGAACAGCTCCTGCCACAAATCAGCTACTTCAAAACTTAGGATATGTGCCTATCTTAAATGCTGCCTTCACAAATCTCAAAAGGCAAGACATGTTTACCGCTACTAGATACAACCATATAGCTCTTTATAATTTCACCTACGGCACCTTTCTATTTTTCAAATATCTGCCACCTTGATGCACATGTTATGACTCAAGTCTACTTTTTTCCTAATTTCATGAAATTAAAAGTCACTATGATCTAAATATTTTTAATGTTGTATAATGATAGAAGAATCAAACAAAGCTGATTGTTTATACTAGGAATGGAAAAAGAAGAGTTAGCATTTAAAAAGATACATTACTTGTAAATTTCTCAAATAGCTGAAGCAAAAGGAATGCTCAAAAATGAATCAAAGTGCCCAACACAACCGCAAAATAGGTTTTGGCATGCACAGCCAACTGAGTAAGCTAGTCAGGTTTCTTGGTACATAAAGTTAGGACTAATATAGAAAACATGCCCTACCTCTCTTCTCTCTGGTGCGGTTTTCTAAGTAACAAGACAAGCACTACCAACATGGTTCTGTTAATGACCGTAGAGCTATCCTCACTACTAGCCTGTTTCTAAATTTTACCAAAAAATTTTATGTTAATGTCTCCAAAAGATCTTTAATGAAGTAAAGTCAGGCTAAGAACCACATAACAAAATGTTAAATAACTAAAAAGTTATTTCAGAATTTAAAGGAACTATGTGACAACTCTGAGTAGTTAGTATTTTCAGTAAGTATTTCAAAAGATTCCCAAACATGTTAAATACAATATGGCTACAGCAAAGATTAGGCAAATCCGAACCAAGTGCAGAAACTAAACCGCCAGCTCTGGATTTAAAAGCTGTCTGCTCCACTTGAGGCGGTTAGATACACTGACACAAGAGGCCAGTATCTCAGCAGCAAGTTAGGCCTCTTCCTCCCTCTGGGAAGCGCATGACAAACAGGGCATCATGCAACTTAAGTCACCCGGTCACTTAGCAAAAATTCTATGTAACTTCTAAACTTGGGACCAGATGGCCTTCTATACGCAAAAGAAATGTAGAGAGCAGTGAAGTACTGGGAGAGAGGAAGACTTAAAATGCTCCACTTTGTGATCCTGTAAACATTTAGCCCATCATTAGATCTGAGTCTTAGATTCTAAGACATGCTTTAATGGAGGCCTCCCTCAACCTCCTGAGTCTGTTTTCCAACAGTGAAGGAACTTTTCCTGCCTTATCTCAGTTCCCTGAGAGCATGCGGCACTGCAATTCAATATCCTAAACTGGCAAGGAACGGTGGCGGAAGAAAAGGAGAAATCCAAACCAAAACAGCCTATAAAAGACAAAACATAAAATAAAATCATAATTCATCCTCCGCCCATAGCAAACCCAACCCAGAAATTTACAGCGTGTTAAGAAAAGCAGCATTGCGAACTGCAAACGTAAGAGTTTTCCTTTGACACTCTACGCACGGTTTTCAGCTGTCAAATTACAACTCAGGAAAACACTATCATTAGAATAGAAAAGGAAACAAAAAAGCTCGCACCACAGGGGCTAGTAGCAGGAGCTGCCAGCACCATTTCAGGAGGAGAGTAAAGGGAATCCAATGCACTTCCCCACCCCCGCTTGAATCCATCCCCTCCCGGGGCAGGCAAACCTCACTGCAGGGGCTCAAATTTAATAATAATAACAATAATCATGGCGCTTCCTCCCTCACTCCCTCCCCCAACTATCACCTTCCCCCCACCCCCCGCCCGCTCCCAGCAATCTGCCGGGAATCGGCTTCTCTCCCCAACCCGACCCCGGGATCCCCAGGTCCAGACCACCCCACCGGACACAGCTGCCGGGGGCCCGGGACAAGCCCAGCCCAGCCCACCCCGGGGCCCCTGGCCCCGCTTCTCCTCTTCCCTCTCTTTTTACCTCCACCATCCCCCATCCGCATTGTCTGTCTCAATTCAACTTTGACTAATATGGATTCCTCGGGCCTTGGCCGGGCAGTAATTACCGCCTGCCCCCCGGGAGCCAGAAACCACCCCCCCATCTCCGCCGAGTTCAACGCCGCTCCTTGCGGGAGGGGGAAGGGGGTTTACAGAGCGCTCTCCAGTCTACACCGCGAGTCCCGTCTACACCGCGCTCCCCCCGCGGCCCCCTGCCCCCGGGATGAGAAGTTTGCCCCGGAAGGAGCCTAGCAGGAGGCAGTAAGGACCCCCGCACCCCACCCCAGCTGGCCGGCCGGCGCGTAAACACCCGCACCCGCCCGGCACGGCCCGTGGGGGAGGGGAGGGAGGGAAGGGCGCCCCTCCCCCCGCGCCCGCCGACCCGCCAGCCCTATTACCTGTCATTGAGCTGGTCCTCGGTGCCCGGCAGCGGGTGAACCACGAAATGGATGGACGTCATGGTGCTTTCCTTCTCGTCCTCCACTCGAGGGCGGCCCCCTCCCGCTCTCGCCCGCCCCCCAGCCCTCTACCCCTCCCCAAAACCCACAGCCGCCGCCGCCTCCCAGTCCCCAAATGGAGGGAAGCAAATACGCAGGGGCCGCCGCCGCCTCCCTGCCGGGCGTGTGTCCGCGGCCCGGAGGGGCGGGCAGGAGGGCGAATCCACACGCCACCCGCTCCCCCGGCGACAGCGCGGAGTGCGAGGCAGGCGGCCGGGACCAGGGGCGCGCCGCCGGCCAGCGGCAGACGGGCGTTGGGAGAGGGGCGGCCGGGGGAGGAGAGGGGCGGCTGCTGGCTGCGGGCTACGGGGACGGTCTGGTCCCGGCGGCGGACGGGGTCCGGACTAGGGGAGGTGAGGAAGGAGGGGAAGGAGATGAGCCCGCACCGCGCGTCACTAGCGAGAAGCTGCCGCCGCCATCTTCACTTCTGCCCCAGTTTCTCCGTCTCGCAGGCTCCGCTCCGGAGCGGCGGGGGAGGGGCAAACGGGAGGAGGAGGAGGGAGGAGACCGGCGGGCGGGGGCGCGGCGGCGAGAGGCGGGGCTCCGGGAAACGGGCGGCAAGGCCCCCTCGATTGGGCTGCTCAACGTTGTCGGGCCACGACGCTGTAAGGCGCGTGCCGATTGGTCCGTTCGGCTCCCGAGCCCAGCCCCGCCGGGGGTGGGATGTCTCCAGAGTGAGTGTTCCGGAGAGCACGTGTTAGGGAAGGAGGAGGCTGCGGGCTAACCTGCCGGGAGGGAGGGTAAGTGTGTGTCCCAGAGGAGGCGAGGAGGAAGAGGGGCTCTTGTGTTCTTTCGCTCGGATTCCCCTGGGGCAGCCCTAATTATTTGGCGGATCCTTAGGGGTTTCTTGTTGCTTCTCATCCTTCATCCGCAGTTGTATTTATGGTGAAGTTGGTAAAATCAGTTAAGGGGCAAGACATATACAGCCTTTTATTGGAAAAGTAAGGAAATTATGTAAGGGCCTTTCCAGAAGGAGATAGTAGGATCCTGGAGTTGGCTTTGCAGCAACTTCTATTACCTCGGTCTCCCCAGTTTCCTCACCACCATCACATGCCCAAAGACAAAATGTGGAAATTTCCACTAATTTCCTGATATAAATGATTCGTGATTTTTTATTACTTTTAAATGAAAGATGATAAACCTGTTCTACAAAGGAGTTCAATTTATGATCAGTGGAATCAGAACGGAAAATTATTATTTTTTTTTTTTTTTTCCCCGAGACGGAGTTTCGCTCTTGTTGCCCAGGCTGGAGTGCAATGGCGCGGTCTCGGCTCACCTCAACCTCCGCCTCCCGGGTTCAAGCGATTTTCCTGTCTCAGTCTATGGAGTAGCTGGGATTACAGGCATGTGTCACCACGTCCGGCTAATTTTGTATTTCTTTTTTAGTAGAGATGTGGTTTCACCATGTTGGCCAGGCTGGTCTCGAACTCCTGACCTCAGGTGATCCACCCGCCTCGGCCTCCCAAAGTGCTGGGATTACAGGCCTGAGCCACCACGCCTGGCCGAGATAGGATCTTTTATACCGAGTTTCTACTATAAGACACTTTCAGAGTTTTGGCCACGGCGCACAGTGGCTCACGCCTGTAATCCCAGCACTTTGGAAGGCCGAGGATGTCGGATCACCTGAGGTTGGGAGTTCGAGACCAGCCTAGCCAACTTGGTGAAACCCCATCTCTACTAAAAATGCAAAAATTAGCCAGGCATGGCTGTGCGCGCCTGTAAACCCCACTACTCAGGAAGCTGAGGCAGAAGACTTGCTTGAACCTGGCAAGTTGCAGTGAGCTGAGATCATGCCACTGCACTCCAGCCCGGGCAACAGAACGAGACTCCATCTCAAAAAAAAATTTTTTTTAATCAAATAAGTCTGTTTTTTTTTCCCTAAGGAACCAATTCATGACTTTCTTCTCAAAGGTTTCTATGACCTCCTTTAAAAAATAAAGTACCTCTTCGAAGGCAAAAACTGAGAACATGACATTCCTTCTACAGAGGTGGTCTGTTAATGAATTACACACACACACACACAGTTTTGCTTAGGAAGTTCTTCTGAGCAAAATTTATGAAAAAATACTTACAAATCAGGACAGACCTGGTACCCTCAAGGCAGATAATGGAACACTTTTGTAGGTTACCAGCTCAACCATTGGCCCAGATTAGTTTAGACTAAAAAGTGATTTCAAGGTCACTATTAGATGTCCCTGGGAGCCCTGAGGAAGGAAGGTAGACCAGTAGACACTGCTAGATTTCAAGCCAAACAGATCTAAAAAAAATTTTTTTTTTTTGAGACGGAGTCTTTGCTCTGTCGCCCAGGCTGGAGTGCAATGGCACGATCTTGGCTCACTGCCACCTCCGCCTCCTGGGTTCAAGTGATTCTCCTGCCTCAGCCTCCCGAGTAGCTGGGATTACAGGCGCTGCCACCATGCCTGGGTAATTTTTGTATTTTTAGTAGAGACAAGGTTTCACCATGTTGGCCAGGTTGGTCTCGAACTCCTGACCTCAGGTGATCCACCCACCTCGGCCTCCCAAAGTGTTGGGATTACAGGCGTGAGCCACTGCGCCCAGCCCAGATCTAAATTTCAGTTGTTTCTGCTACTTAACTACGTGGCCTTACTTGGATTTAGATTAGTTAGATTTGGCCGGGTGCACTGGCTCACGCCCATAATCCCAGCACTTTGGGAGGCCGAGGTGGGTGGATCACCTGAGGTCAGGAGTTTGAGACCAGCCTGGCCAACATGGTGAAACCCTGTCTCTACTAAAAATACAAAAATTAGCCAGGAGTGTTGGTGTGGCTGTAGTCCCAGCTACTCCAGAGGCTGAGGCAGGAGAATTGCTTGCTCGAACCCGGGAGGTGGAGGTTGCAGTGAGCCAAGATTGTGCCACTGCACTCCAGCCTGGGCGACAGAATGAGAATCTGTCTTAAAAAAAAATTAGTTAGATTTAACCTATCATTGCATCTTTTTTCCTCATTTGTTAAATATTCCATACTAATAGATCTATCTACACAGAGTTGCAGTGAGATCTAAATAAGATAATGTATGTCAGACACCTAGGACAGTTCATATACATAGTAGGCTCAGCAAATGGAAACATTTACTTGTCTGGTGCTATGTTCCAGTTTTTTTTTTTGTTTTTGTTTTTGTTTTTGTTTTTTTGAGGCAGGATTTCACTCCCATCACCCAGGCTGGAGTGCAGTGACATGGCCTCGGCTCACTGCAACCTCCACCTAGCAGGCTCAAGCAATTCTCCTGCACTGGCCTCCCGAGTAGCTGGGTCTACAGGCACAGGCTACCACGCCTGGCTAATTTTTGTATTTTTTGTAAAGGCGGGGTTTTGCCATGTTGCTCAGGCTGGTCTTGATCTCCTGGGCTCAAGCGATCGACCCACCTCGGCCTCCCATCTATGTTCAACTTTTACACCTTATACCTTTTAATACTTGAATCACACTATAGGGTAAATTATAATATCCCTGTTATCTAGATGAGGACACTGGGGCTCAAACACCTGAGGTAAGGACTGAAGCTGATACTGAAACCCCGGTCTTCTGACTTGGATTCCATTGTTCTTTCCACTATACCACTGCTGCCATCTAGAAGTTAATAATTTAGAAGGAACAGACTATTCAAAGCCAATAGAGAAAAAAATTATATGATAAATGGAAGAAGAGTAATGTGGAGGTTGAAGGAGGAAGTGATTCCAGCCAAGAGAATTAAGAAAAGTCACTCAAGCTGAGCTTTCTTTTTTTTTTTTTTTTTTTTTTGAGACGGAGTTTCAACCTTGTTGCCCAGGCTGGAGTGCAGTGGCGCAATCTTGGCTCACTGCAACCTCCGCCTCCCAGATTCAAGCAATTCTCTTGCCTCAGCCTCCTGGGTGGCTAGGATTACAGGTGCCCGCCACAACACCCGGCTAATTTTTTGTATTTTTAGTAGAGACAGGGTTTCACCATGTTGTCCGGGCTGGTCTCGAACTCCTGACCTCAGGTGATCCACCCTCTTCAGCCTCCCAAAGTGCTGGGATTACAGGCTTGAGTCACCACGCCCAGCCAAGCTGAGCTTTCAAGAATGTTCTGAGCAAATAGAATACCTGGCTTAAATCTAATCTTTTTAGAATTGCCCCCAAACAGATCACACCATACCCATAGTTTGCCTTGCTTCTCTTTCTTCCAAATATCTCCTTTGTCTTTTCATTATGCTTTTATCCTGCTTTCAACTCGATTCACCCATTCCTAGTTTCCTAGGACTGAGACTTTTTCTCCTGGTTGAAAGTTGGTCTGCTTCCTCTAGACAGCCTATTGGGAAACTGCCTCTCTGGTCTTTGATAATCATCTTGGCTTTGCTACCTTTTTGTTGTCCCAGATGGCATATTAGGAAGACTTTTCCTCTCCCAGGGCTGTAACACCTTGGTGGGTCACACTTTGAACAGAGAAAAACAAGTAAAAGCATGGAGTTGTGAAAGACCATCACATGTGTGGGGGCTGAAGAAATACAGATAATGGAGATAAGCAGGGGTCAACAGAAGCTCTTTGAAGAGTCAAAGTGCAATACAACCTTAGAAAACAGACTCCTTTTTAAAGGGAGCTCCTTTCTAATAATTTGAACTAATTCTCCCTTTGAGGACAGCTAGAAAAGTTAGGCAAAATATTTCTTCAAATTTGCTTAATGGCACAAGAAAGCTAGCAAAATAATGATGGATTACCAAACCAGGGTCCAAGGGATGAATAAGCCCCAAGTGAGTCCTCTGTTTGGAGCCACTTTTCCCCTGGGATGCGTGTCAATTCCAGAAATACAAACTGAGAAGCTGAAGTAGAGCAGGTCTGACAGGTACTTGGGGCTAAGATAACAGGGATTGATGTCTAGTTTCACCCAATGCAGTGGGGAGTGCTAACGAACCCCTCTTACTCAGTGTTCAGACCTGAGGGACTGCCTCCCTGAAATAGGCCATATCTGAGATTTGGTTTCCCCAAAAGCAGAGCTTGAGAGAAGGATTTGGCTGTAAATCGTTTATTTAGGAGGTGATTGCAGGAAGCACTGTGTGGGAATGGAGAAATGTATAAGGGTGGGAGAAATGCCAATAAAAGGTGGGCTGATAAGTGTTTTACTACCACAGGCAACTGGGACCCAATCCCACTGGGAACCCTCTGAGAGACCAGGACATACCTGAGAATTAACCTACTGAGGAGGGAGGAAGCTAGGGGTATTTATCCATGAACCCCATCTCACAGTAGTTAAGGGTTGCTCCTAGGTTGTTTAACTAGCTAAGCTGTTAATAGCTAGGTTAATGTCCAACAAAAATTCATTGTCTTACATACAAAAAAAGAATTAGGACTTGAACATTTTTAAACACCATTTAAAATAATATTAAAAACGATTAAATATCTAATATATAAGAACAACCAATAAAAGATGCCAAAGCCGGTACACAGATTTAAAATGTTTTTGAGGAGCTTCCAGACTGCTGACGACGTGGAGGTGCTGGTAGAGTGGCATGAACACAGAAGGCATGGAAGCTCCTCACACTTCTCTCCCATACCTAGTCCTATGCATCTCTTCCATCCAGCTCTTCCTGGGTTGTATCCATTAGGATAAACTGGTAAACACCTCTTGGGTTCCAAGAGAAGGAAGAGGACACATACTGCTCTTCAGATCCGTATACTGATCCCCACTACAACCAGTGAACCGGAACATTGAATCTGGATAGGGGGCCCTGGTGACTAAGATGGCACGCTCTAAAGATCTAGGGCACTCTCTTGGCCCTGTTTTGCATCCTATGCAGGCTGTGTGTACACAGCAAGGATATTTCCTGGAGGGAATTCATGAAACAGCACTACCTAAGTCCAAGCCAAGAATTCAGAAAATACAAATGCAACGTCCTCATGAGGGAAAAAGAAGCTCTGAAAGACAAGAGCTCTTGGGTGTTCATCTATACCTCATGGTACAAATGGAGCATATATGCGTCAATGACAACTGAAATGACCGCTACAGAAATGTATGTATATAGGCCCAGAATGCCCTGAAAGAACTCAGTTGTCACCAGGAGAATTCAAAAAAAAGCAACACATTGTCTGGGTGCAGTGGCCATAACTATATTCCCAACACTTGAGGCCAGGAGTCAAGACCAGCCTGGGCAACATAGCCAGACCCCATCTATACAAAAAAATAAAATAAAATTACCTGACATAATGATGCACATGTGTAGTCCTAACTAGTGGGGAGGCCGAGGCAGGGGAATTGCTTGAACCCTGGAGATTGAGGTTGCTGTGAGCCATGATCACACCACTACACTCCATCCCAGGAAGCAGAGCAAGACCCTGTCTCTTTTTTTTTTTTTTTTTTTTTTTGAGACGGAATTTCGCTCTTGTCGCCCAGGCTGGAGTGCAATGGCACAATCTGGGCTCACTGCAACCTCCACCTCCTGGGTTCAAGCGATTCTCCTGTCTCAGCCTCCCGAGTAGCTGGGATTACAGACACCCACCACCACGCCTGGGTAATTTTTGTATTTTTAGTAGAGACGGGGTTTCACCATGTTGGCCAAGCTGATCTTGAGCTCCTGATCTCAGGTGACACCTTGGCTTTCCAAAGTGCTGGGATTATAGGTGTGAGCCACTGCACCCAGCCAACCCTGTCTCTTTAAAAAAAAAAAAAAAAAAAAAACTACCCAGAGAGCAGAAGTTTCAACTACATTGAATTCCACTAACGCGGATGAGTAGGTTGATAGCACAGAGGACCTGAAGATGATGAGCCTGTCAACTACTAGAAGGTCTACCCACATCCCCAAATTTTGCTACAGTATTCTGTGCTTGCCAAGCAGTGGCCCCGTCTACATCATTCGCCCCTGCCACTCTCTCCTTTGCATTTATGTATCAATGTTTTCAAACTACTTAGAGTTATGTATCACATGGTCTCTTGATACCATACCTTTGCCTGTGTTGTTTCTCTGCCTGGAATACACTTCTGTCCTATTTACCTAATTTACTCCTACTTTTTTTCCCCAAGATTCAGCTTATATGCCATCTCTTCTTGACTAACCCAAGACTTTTTCTGATAACAATTCTCCTTATATCTACCCAAGCTGAATGATCTTCCCTTCCTTTAAATAAATTATATTATATCAAAAAGAATTTTTCTTTAGAGAAATCAAAGATGATCTAAATACATGGAGGGATCAGGCATGATGGCTCACACCTATAATCCCAGCACTTTGGGAGGAGGAGGCAGGAGGATCGCTTGAGCCCACGAGTTCAAGGCCAGCCTAGGCAACATAATGACACCCATCTTTATTTAAAAAAAAATTTTTTAAATAAAAAATAGGCCGGGTGCAGTGGCTCATACCTGTAACTCCCGCACTTTGGGAAGCCAAGACAGGCAAATCACCTGAGGTCAGGAGTTCAAGACCAGCGTGGCCAACATGGTGAAACCCCATCTCTACTAAAAATACAAAAATTAGCTTGGTGTGGTGGTGCACACCTGTAATCCCAGCTACATGAGAAGCTGAGGCAGGAGAAATGCTTGAACAGAAAAGACACAGAAAAAGATGTTCATAGCAGCATTCTTTGTAAAAGCCCCAAACTGTAAATAATCCAAATAACCATCAAAAATAGAATATTATGGCATGTTCATGCAGTGTAATACCATGCAGTAATACATACGAATGAACCAAAGCTCTTTGCAAAACCTGAATGAATCTCACAAAAATAATGTTGAATAAAATAAATCAGAAATGTTACAATTTCATTGATATAAGCTTCAAAAACCAGCAAAGTGACACTCTGTTGTTACGGATGCATGTTTAGGGAGCAAAACTAAGAAAAGCAAATGAGGTTACCTTAAGGGGTAGCAGTTACTTTATGGGGGAGGAAGGAGTATCCATTAGAAAGTAGCACAAGGGGAATCTCTGGAGTGCTGACAGTGATCTATTTTTTGACCTGGGTGTTGGTTACAGGGTGTTCATTTATTATCATTTACTTGGCTGTACATTTTTTTTTTTTTTAGACAGAGTCTCGCTCTGTCACACAGGCTGGAGTACAGTGGTGTGATCTCGGCTCACTGCAACCTCCACCTCCTGGGTTCAAGTGATTCTCCTGCCTCAGCCTCCTGAGTAGCTGGGATTACAGATGCCCGCCACCACGCCCAGCTAATTTTTTGTATTTTAGTAGGGATGGGGTTTCGCCATGTTGGCCAGGCTGGTCTCGAACTGCTGACCTTGAGTGATTGACCCACCTTGGCCTCCAAAAGTGCTGGGATTACAGGCGTGAGCCACTGCTCCCAGCCTTAGCTGTACATTTTTGTTTTGCATAATTTTCTATATGTGTGCTAAATTTCACTATGAGAAACGATTTTTGGCTGGGCACAGTGGCTCACATCTGTAATCCCAGCACTTTAGAAGGCGAGGTGGGTAGATCACCTGAGGTCAGGAGTTCGAGACCAGCCTGACCAACATGGTAAAACCCCATCTCTACTAAAAATACAAAAATTAGCTGGGCGTGGTGGCAGGCACCTGTAATCCTAGCTACTGGGGAGGCTGAGGCAGGAGAATCGCTTGAACCCAGGAGGCGGAGGTTGCAGTGAGCTGAGATCGCACCACTGCACTCCAACCTGGGCAACAGAGCGAGACTCTGGCTAAAAAAAAAAAAAAAAAAATCTTTTTACGGTGGCTCATGCTTGTAAATTTAGCACTTTGGGAGTCTGAGGCGGCTGGATTGCTTGATTTCAGGAGTTGGAGACCAGCCTGGGCAACATGGCGAAACCCCGTCTCTACCAAAAACACCGAAAATTAGCCCGGCATGGTGGTGAACGCCTGTAGACCCAGCTACTGGGGATGCTGACATGGGAGGATCACTTGAGCCTGGGAGGTGAACTGAGGTTGTGTCACTGTACTCCATCCTGGGTAACAGAGTGAGACTGTCTCAAAAAAAAAAAAAAAGATAAAAATAATGTTTTGTATGAAAGGAGAGAACGTCAGCACTCCTCTTGACAAGGATGGAAGAGGCTCTCAGACCTGACAACATGCATGAAGTTAAGGCATTGCCACCTACTTCATGGCATCTAAACATGTTGTTGTGGTGGTTGTTTTTTAAAGACAGAGCCTACTTGATACCTATATACATATAGAAACATTAACTCAAGGTGAGTTGTAAACCTAAATGCAAGAACTAAAGCTCTAAAATTCAGAAGAAAACATATGAGTGCCAGGTGCGGTGGCTCACGCCTGTAATCCCAGCACTGTGGGAGGCCGAGGCCGGCGGATCACCAGCGCAAGAGATCGAGACCATCCTGGCTAACATGGTGAAACCCCGTCTCTACTAAAAATACAAAAAATTAGCCGGGCGTGGTGGCGGGCGCCTGTAGTCCCAGCTACTCGGGAGGCTGAGGCAGGAGAATGGCGTCAACCCGGGAGGCGGAGCTTGCAGTGAGCCGAGATTGCGCCACTGCATTCCAGCCTGGGAAACAGAGCAAGACTCCGTCTCAAAAAAAAAAAAAAAAAAAAAAAAAGGAGTGAATCTTTGTGACCTTGGATTAAGCAGTGGTTTCTTAGATATAAAAGCACAAACAGTGAAGAAAAAAAGATAAATTGAATTTAACTCATTTTATTTTAATTCAATGGATAAATTGGACTTAAACCAATTTAACACTTTTGTGTTTCAAAGGACGCCATCAAGAAAGGCAACCCATGGAATTGGAGAAGATATTTGCAAATTATATATTTGATAAGGGACTAGTGTCTGGAATATATATAAAACTCTTACAACTCAACAATAAAAGGACAATTAACCCCATTTTTAAAAGGGCAAAGGGGAAACAAGGGGCTGAAAATGAGCTCAAATTTATTTTTTTCAGACAGGGTATTTCTCTGTCATCCAAGGCTGGAGTACAGTAGCACGATCATGGCTCACCACAGCCTCAACCTCCCAGGCTGAAGTGATCCTCCCACCTCAGCCTCCCAAGTAGCTGGAACTACAGGCGTGCGCCACTATATCTGGAACTCCTGGGCTCAAGCAATCCTCCTGCTTCAGCCTCCCAAAGTGCTGAAGGATTACAGGTGTGAGCCACTGCGCCTGGTTTTAAACGTATGAAAGAAGATGAGTAAATAACAGTAAAGCCCTGGGTTGTGAAGATGTAATAATACAAAAAGCAGAGAGAAGGCAGGATGTTTGACTCCTGACTGTTCCATCAAGGACTGTAGTCTGGAAAATAAATATTTTGAAGGTGAAAAATTAAAGCTCATATTAGGATAAAAGACTATCAGAGAGCACTGAGTTGTCTTAAATTAAGTCAAGCCTCCTAACCCCAATAAAACACATCATAGTGCCAAATAAAGTTAAAAATCCAGCCAGGCGTGGTGGCTCACGCCTGTAATCCTAGTACTTTGGGAGGCCCAGGTGGGTGGATCTCTTTCAGCTCAGGAGTTCAAGACCAGCCTGGGCAACACGGTGAAATTCCATCTCTACAAAAAATACCAAAATGAGCTGGGTGTGGTGGCTCATGCCTGTGGTTCCAGCTGCTCAGGAGGCTGAGGCTGGAGGGTTGCTTGAAATGGGTGGCAGAGGTTGCAGTGAGCTGAGATCACGTCACTGCACCCCAGCCTGGGCAACAGAGTGAGACCTTGTCTGAAAAACAAATAAATAAATATATAAATATATAAATAAAATAAAGTTAAAAATCTGAAAAAATAAAACGGGTAAATTATTTCAATCAATATTTCTCTAAGGAATATATACAAATGGCCAATATGCACATAAAAATATTCTCAACATCATCAGTCATCAAAGAAATGCAAATCAAACCAGTGATGTGATACTACTTCTCAGCCACTAAGATGGCTAATATTAAAAAGACAGATAGGCCGGGCACAGCGGCTCATGCCTGTAATCCCAGCACTTTGGGAGGCCGAGGCAGGTGGATCACCTGAGGTTGGGAGTTCGAGACCAGCCTGGCCAACATGGAGAAACCCCGTCTCTACTAAAAATACAAAATTAACCGGGCATGGTGGCACATGCCTGTAATCCCAGCTAGTCAGGAGGCTGAGGTAGAAGAATCACTTGAACCTGGGAGGAGGAGGTTGCAGTGAGCAGAGATCGTGCCATTGCACTCCAGCCTGGGTGACAAGAGCAAAACTCCATTTCAAAGTAACAAAAATAATAATGCTATAATGAACATTTGTGTGTAAGTTTTTGTGTGAACATACATTTTCAATTCTCTTGGGTTGGTACCTAGGAATGGCCTATGGTAACTGTGTTTCACTTTTTGAGGAAATGTCAAAACGGTCAAACTGTTTTCCAAAGTAGCTGCTCTATTTTACATTCCCATCAACAATATATGAAGGTTTTAATTTTCCACATCCTTGCCAACATTTATCTGTCTCTTTTGTTAAAATCTTTTTTTTTTTTTTTTTTGAGACGGAGTTTCACTCTTGTTGCCCAGGCTGGAGTGCAATGGCACGATCTCGGCTCACCGCAACTTCTGCCCCCCAGGTTCAAGTGATTCTCCTGACTTAGCCTCCCTCGTAGCTGGGATTACTTGAACTTAGTAATTGCTTGAACTTAGGAGGCAGAGGTTGCAGTGAGCCAAGATCGTGCCACTGCACTCCAGTCTGGGTAACAGAGCAAGACATTGTCTCAAAAAACAAAACAAAGAAAAAAAATGTATGTATATACACACAAACACACACATATATATATATATGTATACATATATATACACATATACACATATATATACATATATATACACGTATATATATATGACTGTATGCCAAGCACTGTTACAGATACATGCAATGAGATAAGTAAAGTTTCTGCCAGCCTCATGGGGCTTACAGTCAGTGACAAGAGAGGTAAGATTTCAGATACTTCAACAAGAGGTTAAGTAACTTGCCCAAAGTCACACAGTAAGTAGTAGAGTCATTATGGAAAGCAAGATCAATCCCATGGGACCCTAGTGGTCATTTAACCTAATGTCCTCTTTTCACATAAGAATCTGAGGCTCAGGGAGGCTAAATTGCTCAGTATCACCTGACTTGTTACATACTGCCACAAATATAAAAGTGTCTGAAGTGTGGGAGTGCAAGGGGACCCTAGGTTCTCAAGGTCAATCCATCTGAGACCTCTTTCAACTAGCTTAATGCGCCTTGGCACCTTAAGATGCTCTCAGAAATATAAAAAGACCTCCAAGATGCATTAACAATTGTTTGTCGCTGTTTGCCACCTGCTAGGCATTGTGCCATGCACTGAGAACCTGGCAATGACCAAGACAGTTGCAGTTCATGCCCCGTGGGTGTATGGAATCTGGTGGTGCCCAAGTGCAGGTTTGATAGCTATTCCAGTGGCTACCTAAGACTCATCTTTGGAGACAAAGATACCTACAGATTTCTGGGCCCCTCCACACTACTGTGATTCCATTGATCTGGAGTCAGCCTGGAATCTGTGTTTTTGACGCTTTGCAGGTGTTTCTAGTGTACCAGTGATTTGAGGAACCACTGACCTGCTATACCCCACCACTTGGCTTTATTTTTTTTTCTTTTTATTATTTATTTAATTACTTATTTATTTTTACAACTTGACTGTTAGAGCTGAGAAAAGCAAGACTAAGAGAGACTTACGCAATCCCACAACCAGATCAAATATGTTTAATGCCCAGACCACAGGGCAAAGCATTCATTCGTTCACTGAACAAACATTGAGCTCCTACCATGTACCATGCAGTATGTTGGGCACTAGAATCACAGCAAAGAGTAAGAGCACAGGTCCTGCTCTCATGGGGCTTCCATTTGTTGGGGGTGGGTGTAGGAGGCAGGGAGAAAGCCAGAAAAGAAAGAAACCGTGATTCTAGTCATGGAAAGTACTACAAAATGAGACTGAGCACTGAGTCAGCAGAAGGTATACTAGGTTGAACCTCATAAAATAGCCAGTATTTGGCCATTTTGATCCACAGAAACAAAAATTTCATATGGTTCAGCTTTATAAATAGGAGTTCAAAGGAGATTGAGTCCTTTCTCCCCAGGATAAAAAGGGAAGGTGGCTGGCTGGGCACAGTGGCTCATGCCTATAATCCCAACACTTTGGGAGGCCGAGGCTGCGGATCACTTTGAGGTTGGACATTCGAGACCAGCCTGGCCAACATGGCGAAAACCCGTCTCTACTAAAAATACAAAAATTGGCCAGGCGTGGTGGCGTGCCTATAATCCCAGCTACTTGGGAGGCTGAGGCAGGAGAATCCCTTGAACCCGGGAGGTGGAGGTTGCAGTGAGCCGGAATTGTGCTACTGCACTCCAGCCTGGGCGACACAGCGAGACCCTGTCTCAAAAAAAAAAAAGTGAAGGTAGCCTCACAAGATGGATGTGATTTGAACATGTGAAGGACAAATAAAAGCCTAGAGGAAGGATGTGGTTAGAGCAGTGTCTCTGAGGAGAAATTGTGGACAAGAAGCGGGAAAGCAGGACAGAATGAGACATTGATTCCATGGATATAGAGGGAACACTGTGCTGGGAGCTGCACAGCTCATGAAAGAAGTATAATGCACACTCGCTGTTCTTAACAAGCCTACAAGGCCGGGCACAGTGGCTCACGCCTGTAATCCCAGCACTTTGGAAGACCAAGGCAGGCAGATCACCTGAGATCAGGAGTTTCAGACCAGCCTGACCAACATGGAGAATCCCCGTCTCTACTAAAAATACAAAATTAGCCGAGTGTGATGGCAGATGTCTGTAATCCCAGCTACTTGGGAGGCTGAGGCAGGAGAATCGCTTGAACCCAGGAGGCTGAGGTTGCAGTGAGCCAAGATCGCACCATTGCACTCCAATCTGGGCAACAAGAGTGAAACTCCGTCTCAAAAAAAAAAAAAAAAAAAAAAGCCTACACTTTGGTTAAAGACATGGTAAAACCCGTGAATATAAAGAATCAAATACCCACTTCCACACAAAGATTCATGCCATAGCCACTGCCCTAAACACCCTTCCTGCCATTGGTTGCCCTGCCAAAAGCTACCTGTCCTCACTCCCTGACCCCACTGCTACTCCCCTCTATGACGTTATTCTCTTCTCCGCAGTTAGGAGAGATGGCTCCCACCCCTGATTCCATGGCTCACTCTTTATAGGTCTTCTCTTTTTCTCTATTATTATTATTTTTTTCTTTTGAGGCGGGGTCTCAAAAGGAGTGCAGTAGCACAATCACAGCTCACTGCAGCCTTAACTGTCTGAGCTCAAGTGATCGTCCTGTCTCAGCCTCCTGAGTAGCTGGGACTACAGTTTGGCGCCACCACGTTGGCTAATTTCTTTTTTTTTTGAGACAGAGTCTTGCTCTGTCACCAGGCTGGAGTGTAATGGCATGATCTCGGCTCAGTGCAACCTCCGCCTCCCAGGCTCAAGAGATTCTCCTGCGTTGGCCTCCCAAGTAGCTGGGACTGCAGGCGCCCACCACCATGCCTGGCTAATGCTTTTTATGTTTTTACTAGAGATTGGGTTTCGCCATGTTGCTCAGGCTGGTCTCGAACTCCTGACCTCCAGTAATCCACCTGCCTCTGCCTCCCAAAGTGCGGGATTACAGGCATGAGCCACCATGCCCAGCCTAATTAATTTTTTTATTTTTTGTATAGACAGGGTCTTGTTATGTTGCCCCGACTGGTCTCGAACCCCTAGTCTCAAGCCATCCCCCTGCCTTGGCCTTCCATTCCTCTACTTTATACCACGGTTATTCACCAAGCTTGTCTTTGTTCAGTGTACTTCCTCATGGAAAAACTGAGGTGATATTTACCCTGGTTTTTCTACCAGTGTGTAACTGTCGCTAGTACCAGCTCAAAAAATAAGAAATGAATAAATGAGTGATGACTATCACTATGTTGCTCAGGCTGGACTTGAACCCCTGGGTTCCAGTGATCCTCCCACCTCAGCCTCCCAAGTAGCTGGGATTACAGACATGCCCCATCATGCCCAGCTCGGAATTTTGCTGTGTATTTAGGGTTATGTAAGGCTGTAGTAAATTGTCACAAGGAACAAATTTAGGGATTAAAGTACAGTTTAGTTCTGGGGTGAGCTACCTGCCAAAGTAGGGTTCCTGTCCTAGGGGCATCTTTTAGCTCCATCTCACAAAGACAAAACTTTCACTGTGAGGGGCCAGCCTGTTTATTCAACATGACCAAACTCCATGCTGCTGTCTCCCCTGCTCCGCTCCGCCTGCCAGGGGCTATCAGCTGAGTACATGACCAGCTCACAGCAGCTCTAGAGCCGGCTTTGGCCTGCCCCATTGCTGTATGGTACAGAAAACTCCCACTCTGCCCATCCAAACAAATCCTCAGTGGACACCTGTCAGCCCCTTCTCTGTGGAAATGGTGCGCAGCTGCTGGCCACATTTCCCAAGGCTGCCTGTGTGTACTTGGAAAGCGCGGGTTCCTTCTCATCTATCTTTTCTGTAGAAGAAACAGTCCCTTCAGCTTTTCCTGATAGGCCTCATTTTCCAGCCACTGAAGTTGCTACCAGAGCTCTACATTGGACCCAGGCTGGCTAAGTCTATATGATTCCGGAGTTGATTATTCCAGTTTGTGAATTATCCAGGCCTTTTGCTCCCCAACCTCTGCCACGCCCCTCCCCCCACCCCCCCATTCTCTCTACTTCTGCTGTTTACGTGTCAGGAAATTTTAGTGCTCAGTAACATCTCCCTCAGTGTCTGGGAAGAATACCAATACTTAGATTTGTTTGGTGCTTTGCAGTCTACAAAATGACATTTCATGCACAAACTTACTTTAGCCTCCTAAAAGTCCTGCAGAGTAGATTGCATTATTCTCTTTTCCAGCTAAGCAGTGATAAATGACTTGTCTGTGATCACACAATCAGCAAGTACAATTGGGCCTTGAACTCAGCTCACAATTCTCTGTCCAGTGTTATCACTATCAAACCCACGGGGAATGCAAATTTTCCAATTTTGCTATCCATTAGAAGTCATGGAAAGAGCTGGTTGGGAGACGGTTTTCCTGATACTTACGATGAGGTTGATTTAATTCTGTCTGCCTCAGTGGCTGGAACACTTCACTTTGGCAGCCAGGCTGGAGGGCAGTGGATCCCTTGAGGGGTCCACAGATTCAACAACCGTATGCATGGACCCCAAATGGATACACTTTCTGAGAAGTGTATTTTTTAAAATTGTCACTCTTGGGGTAATAGTGTGTATCCTGCTGGCATTCTGTCCACTGGATCATGTACTAATCACCCAAACAAACAAAAATCAACATCTACATCATGTTTTACAATTTCTGAAGCATTTTGCACTAACTAACTCTCTGATCTATACATGGAAAGAACCTAACTGTGTGAATATCCCCACTTTACAGATGAGAAAAATAAGTCTGAGAGAGCAACTCTGAGTAACTTTCCCAAGGTCACACAATTAGGGACCATTGGGGAAGAGCAGATATTTGACTCCTAATCTTTGGACTAGTTATCCATAATATTTATATCCCATATACTGATGCTAATTAACGTGTGTATAGGCCTTTAAAGTTTTATTTTATTTTATTTTTTTGAGACAGAGGAGTCTGTCGCCACGCTGGAGTGCAGTGACACAATCTCGGCTCACTTACAACCTCTGCCTTCTGGGTTCAAGCGATTCTCCTGCCTCAGCCTCCTGAGTAGCTGGGACTACAGGCACGAGCCACCACACCCTGCTAATTTTTGTATTTTTAGTAGAGACGGGGTTTCACCATGTTGGCCAGGATGGTCTTGATCTCTTGACCTCATGATCTGTCCACCTCAGCCTCCCAGAGTGCTGGGATTACAGGCGTGAGCCACCACACCTGGCCTTTTTTTTTTTTTTTTTCCCTGAGACAGAGTCTCACTCTGTTGCCCAGGCTGGAGTACAGTGGCACGATCTCGGCTCACTGCAATCTCCACCTCCTGAGTTTAAGCGATTCTTGTGCCTCAGTCTCCCAAGTAGCTGGGATTACAGGTGCCCACCACCACACCCAGCTAATTTTTGCATTTTTAGTAGAGATGGGGTTTTGCCATGTTGGCCAGGCTGGTCTCAAACTCCTGACCTCAGGTGATCCGCCCACCTTGGCTTCCCAAACTGCTGGGATTACAGGCATGAGCCACTGCACCCAGCCAGGGTTTTAAAGTTTTAATGGACATTTTCACAATATTAGTTCATTCCATCTTCAACAACACCTTTGAGCAGATACTGTTATTATCCCAATAGTGCATTTATTTATTTATTTATTTATTTATTTATTTAGAGACTGAGTTTCACTCTTGTTGCCCAGGCTGGAGTGCAGTGGTGTGATCTCAGCTCACCGCAACCTCCTCCTCCGGGTTCAAGCAATTCTCCTGCCACAGCCTCTCGAGTAGCTGGGATTACAGGCATGCGCCACCACACCCAGCTAATTTTGTATTTTTAGTAGAGACGGGGTTTTGCCATGTTGGTCAGGCTGGTCTCGAACTCCCGACCTCAGGTGATCCACCTGCCTCGGCCTCCCATCGTGCTGGGATCACAGGTGTGAGCCAACACCCGGCCCCAATATTGCTTTTAAATTCTCTCAGATTATCACTACACCCTTTCACCTTGGAGTAGTAAAGACAACTCTCAAAAACATGTATTTATTCTTTCAACAGATGTTTTGAGTACTTAATGTGTAAAACCCTACACTCATTACTGTGGTCAGAGCCTATGACTTCTGTATTCCTGATTTTCCTTGGTATTTAGCAGAATCAGAACATCCTACTTGTGATTAGCTAGAAACAAGGGCAGACAGACTAACCTAGTATTCTGTAATCAGAAATGGATGATGAGTTTTGCAGAAGGGAAATGACTAGGCAAAATAGGCGGGTGCACAAATGGCACCAGATGCTTTAATGAGTGGCTGTTTCCACAGACTAGAAATCGGTTTTATGGCCAGGCGTGGTGGCTCATGCCTGTAATCCCAGCACTTTGGGAGGCCAAGGTGGACGGATCACGAGGTCAGGAGATCAAGACCATCCTGGCCAACATGGTGAAACCCCGTCTCTACTAAAAATATAAAAATTAGCTGGGCGTGGTGGCATGTGCCTGTAATCCCAGCTACTAGGGAGACTGAGGCAGGAGAATCGCTTGAACCAGGGAGTCAGAGGTTGCAGTGAGCCGAGATCGCACCACTGTACTCCAGCCTGGTGACAGAGCGAGACTCCATCGCAAAAAAAAAAAAAAAATCAGTTTTATATGTGCAGTCTATAAAGGACCATTAGCCTAGCCTTGGTCTTTCAGCCATGTTCACACAGAGATACCAATCATTATGAGTAATGTCATTGTCAAATGCTGAGAATAATATTACAGGACATGGTTATTGAATCAACCAATGATTAAAGGTTTGCTCTGGCACCTGCCTTGAACTGGCTCAAGTTCTGGAGTTCCCATGCATAGGGAAATCAGTGGTGTATTATTTCAGTGATTAAGAGAAGAGGAAAAGGTCACACACCTTTTCTTTTTTTATCTTTTCTTCACTTCTTCTGTTTTTACTCTCTTTTCTCTATAGCTACCCAATGAGGGAAGGTTAATGATTAAATGGAGACACAAGATTGAAAGGGATTGTCAAAAGACTAAGTTACAACAAATTTAGTTTTAGATCTTTTTTTTTTTTTTTTGAGACGGAGTTTTGCCCTTGTCTGTCACCCAGACTGGAGTGCAATGGTGCGATCTCAGCTCACTGCAGCCTCCACCTCCTGGGTTCAAGCGATTCTCCTGCCTCGGCCTCCTGAGTAGCTGGGACTACAGGCGCCGGCCACCATGCCTGGCTAATTTTTGTATTTTTAGTAGAGACAGGGTTTCACCATATTGGCCAGGCTGGTCTCGAACTCTGACCTTGTGATCCACCCGTCTCGGCCTCCCAAAGTGCTGGGATTACAGGCGTGAGCTACCGTGCCTGGCCTCAGTTACCTCTTTTTTTTTTTTTTTTTTTTTTTTTTTTTGATGGAGTTTCGTTCTTGTTGCCCAGGCTGGAGTGCAATGACATGATCTTGGCTCACCGCAACCTCTGCCTCCCGGGTTCAAGCGATTCTCCTGCCTCAGCCTCCTGGGATTACAAGCATGTGCCACCACACCCAGCCAATTTTATATTTTTAGTAGAGACAGGGTTTCTCCACGTTGGTCAACCTGGTCTCAAACTCCCAACCTCAAGCGATCCACCCGCCTCAACCTCCCAAAGTGTTGGGATTACGGGCGTGAGCCACCACGCCCGGCCCAGATGGTACTCTTAAAAGAGGTAACTGAGCCGGGCGCCGTGGCTCACACCGGTAATCCCAGCACTTTGGGAGGCCAAGGCGGGCAGATTGCCTGAGCTCAGGAGTTCGCGACCAGCCTGGGCAACACGGTGAAACCCTGTCTCTACTAAAATACAAAAAATTAGCCAGGCATGGCAGTGGGCACCTGTATTCCTGGCTACTTGGAGGCTGAGGCAGGAGAATTGCTTTAACCTGGGAGGTGGAGGTTGCAGTGAGCCAAGATCGTGCCACTGCACTCCAGCCTGGGTGACAGAGCGAGACTCCATCTCAAAAAAGAGTGCCATCTGATTCCAGGCAGGTCCCTAACTTTTTTTTTTTTTGAGACAGAGTCTCACTCTGTGGCCCAGGCTGGACTGTAGTGGTATGATCTTGGCTCACTGCAACCTGTGCCTCCCAGGTTCAAGCAATTCTCCTGCCTCAGCCTCCCAAGTAGCTGGGACTACAGGCGTGCAGCATCATGACTGGCTAATTTTTGTATTTTTAGTAGATACGGGGTTTCCCTATGTTGGCCAGGCTGGTCTCAAACTCCTGACTTCGGGTGATCCTCCCACCTCAGCCTCCCAAAGTGCTGGGATTACAGGCATGAGCCACTGTGCCCGACCAGGTCCCTAACTCTTATACATCCCAAAGCTTCAACCTGTCTGTGTCTACCTTCCGCCCCTTTCCTGAGATCCTCTCTTATTTTCCTCTTGCTTTCCTCTGTTTCTCATGTTACAAAAATCAAAGCTCATCTTTTTCCTTGTCAGTTCCTTTAGTACTAAGCTGGGTCATTTCAATTGATCTATACTAAATGAAGGCAATGTTTCTTGACCTTAATGACAAGAAAATCCCCTTTAACAGAATTGTCAGGCCCACTTTTGAAGTGAATTTCATCCAAAATAAATGTAAAGCAAATCAAATCAATGCGTTAAAGGCAGCCTTGTAAACTAGGCCCTCCTCTCATTTTAATAAGCCCAATAAAAGGGGTTGTCTCCCCCAGTGCCTGGGAATCTCTAAAATATGGGTGAGATTTCATGTCAATAAGGGTCATTTGCATTAGGTCTTGCTCTATTGCTCAGGGTGGAGTGCAGTGGTGCGATCTCTGGTCACTGCAGCCTCAACCTCCTGGATTTAAGTGATTCTCCCACCTCAGCCTCCTGAATAGCTGGGACCACAGGTAGGCACCACCACACACAGCTAATCTTGTTTATTTTTTTGTAGAAATGACGTCTCACTATAATGCCCAGGCTGGTCTCAAACTCCTGGGCTCAAGTGATCCTCCTGCCTCAGCCTTCCAGGGTGTTAGAATTACAGGCATGAGTCACTGCCTGGCTGAAATTGTTTTTTAAATTCTAAATGAACTTGCAAAGATGAGAATAAAAGGAGACTTTGAAGCTGTCCTTACAGGATTAACAAAAATTCTGTGACTCACGCCTGTAATCCTAGCACTTTGGGAGGCTGAGGCAGGCGAATCGCTTGAGTCCAGGAGTTCAAGACCAGCCTGGGCAACATGGTGAAAACCCATCTCTACAAAAATATACAAAAATTAGCTGGGCATGGTGGCACACGCCTGTAGTTCCAGCTACTCAGGAGGCTAAGACGGGAGGATTGCTTGTGCCTGAGAGGAAGAGGCTGCAGTGAGCCGAGACTGTGCCACTGCACTGCAGCCTGGGCAACAGAAACAGTCCCTGTCTCAAAAAAATAAAATAAAATAAACACACACACACACACACACACACACACACACACACACACACACACAAACCAAAAATAACCAACCAAACAAAAACTCTGGACAAAATGTATTTATAATTAAGCATGAATCAGGCTGCACTAATACTGAGCATTTGCATCCTGATTGTTCCTATGGATAGGATCTCTGACATTAGAATCATAAGGCTTTTAAGAATTGCTTAAGATGTTTTTCAGATCCTGAATGCCAGCCAAACAGCTGACATCAACCAGTTTGAAGACCCCCATAGAAGAATGAAATCAGCATGAGAACACAATTTCTTCATCCCTGTCCCACGACTTCACCCTGCCATCTTCGGCCCACTCCCAAACTCTTAACATCTCTAGCCCCAAACGGTCGGGCCTGGTGGCTCACGCCTGTAATCCCAGCACTTTGGGAAACCGAGGCAGGCGGATCACAAGGTCAGGAGATCAAGACCATCCTGGCTAACACGGTGAAACCCTATCTCTACTAAAAATACAAAAAATTAGCCGAGCATGGTGGCGGGCGCCTGTAGTCCCACCTACTCAGGAGGCTGAGTCAGGAGAATGGTGTGAACCCTGGAGGCGGAGCTTGCAGTGAGCGGAGATTGTGCCACTGCACTCCAGCCTGGGGGACAGAGCAAGACTCCGACTAAAAAAAAAAAACAACAAACAAAAAAACCCTCTAGCCCCAAACTTCTTGGGGAGATAGATTTGAGGTTTCCCCTTGTTGCCTTGTTCAGTGGCCCTATGATGAACCCTCTTTCTCTGCTGTAACATGGTGTCTCCACGAATTGACTTGTTGAGTGCATCGGGCAACAGACCTATTATGGTTGCAATTTGGGGTGTTTTCCCTGGAATCTATTCCCTGGGGTGACTTCTGGTACTTTATAATTAACAGTAAGTGGAATAAAATATTTAATCCAGGAGATCTGCGATGAGATTTATTGTGTAGGAAGGATGCCAACCAAATTTGGAACTCTTGTCCATATTCTAGATAGAGGAGTCTTTGTTCTGAAAAATCCAAAGACTCCCGCATCTTGAATATGGAGAAAGAGAAAAAAAAAAAAAAAGAAGGAAGACTAGAACTGCATGAATTTCCATTTCTAGAACTATTAGGGGGATAACATAAAAATCTTGCAGCCAGACGTGGTGGCTCACGCCTATAATCCCAGCACTTTGGGGAGGCCAAGGCGGGGAGATCACTTGAGGTCAGGAGTTGGAGACCAGCTTGGCCAATGTGGGCATGGTGGGCATGGTGGGGGCCTGTAATCCCAGCTACTCAGGAGGCTGAGGCAGGAGAATCGCTTGGACCTGGGAGGTGGAGGTTGCAGTGAGCCGAGATCACGCCACTGCACCCCAGCCTGGGCAACAGAGTGAGACTCCATCTGAAAAAAAAAAAAAAAAAAAAACTTCCTGCTACAAACTTCTTTAAATGCTGGATAAAACACAACAAACATCCCTTTAATTGTGTAGCTAAGCCCCTGAGAAAGCAAGGGAAATCTCCAAAGACCAAAATCAAAGCTGAAACTGGAAACTAGAGAGAGAAGGGCTAAGGCTGCCACTGCAGCAGCTCGGCTGTGGGTATTAGCCTCCATCTAGGGCATCAGGGCACTTGGGTTTTCATGACCACAAGGGGACAGTAGAGTAGGCATAGAGTTGGAACTGAGACCCCCTGCTTGTAGCTAAAAACTTTGAATGGTTATGCCCCTAGGGAAGGGAAGAACTAAAAAACATCCACTCACTAACACAGGGAAATGACAAGGAAGCTTGTCTGTTTCAGCTTAGACTTTAGATAGGGATAAAAAAAAAAGTCACATCTGATAATTTCACACTATGGCTTGCCCTCACATGAGTTTGGGGCTCAGTTTATTCCACTTCCATGATTCGCACATCTTCAAGCTATGACATTAATGTAGAATGTGGAGCTGAGCATGGTGGTGTGCACTTGTAATCCCAGCTATACAAGAGGCTCAGGCAGGAGGATCATTTGAGCCTAGGAGTTCGAGATGAGCCACCAGCAGCCTGGGCAACATAGGAAATTTCTGTCTCAAACAAAACAAAACAAAACAAAAAAACAGGACTCTGGCAGAAGCAAACACACACACGCACACACACACACACACACACACACACACACACGTTTCTGAAAAACATACCTTCAACTCAGGTTGCACAGAGGCTGTCCTGGTAAAAGCCTGCTGAAGCTGAAGATGAAATTACAATAGAAGTTTAGTGTTCACGCTAAGTTCCAAGCAGAATACATTTTTTTTTTTTTTGAGATGGAGTCTCACTCTGTCGCCCAGGCTGGAGTGCAGTGGTGCGATCTCGACTCACTGCAACCTCCGCCTCCTGGGCTCAAGTGATTCTCCTGCCTCGGACTCCCGAGTAGCTGGGATTACAGGTGCCCGCCACTATGCCTGTCTAATTTTTTATATTTAGTAGAGACGGGGTTTCACCATGTTGGCCAGGCTGGTCTCAAACTCCTGACCTCAAGTAATCCACCTGCTTTGGCCTCCCAAAGCGTTGGGATTACAGGCGAGAGCCATTGCACCCGGCCCATAATAAATAAAATTAACTCTACACCTTGACATGTTGTAGAAAATTTCAAAATACCAAAAAGTATGAGCTAGAGAACAATTTACCTACAAAGGCTGACAAGACAAGCAACAATAAAACCCAAAAGCTAATGGAATAATATCTTCAAAGTGCTGAGAAAAAATAACTGCCATCCTAGTTTACCTATCGTGGTGGAGAAACAGTGAAGTATAGACATTTCAAGCATACGAGAGAGCTCGCCATCAAGAGAGCCTCACTGTAGCGACTACTCACAGAGGTATATTCAGAAGAAGGACACTGAACTCAGGAGAGAGCAACACTCAAGAAACAATGATGACCAAAGAAATCAGGAAACACTTGGGCAAATTCAACAAGTGTTAATTATAGAAAAGAACAATAA
Organism: Homo sapiens; assembly: GCF_000001405.40. Lineage (NCBI taxonomy): Eukaryota > Metazoa > Chordata > Mammalia > Primates > Hominidae > Homo > Homo sapiens. Next base: position 102,436,147 of record NC_000008.11, read on the forward strand.
AAACAACGTAACAAGAAAAAGCGAGAGTAAACTATGGAACAATATGGAAGTGAGGGGGAATAATCCAAGTGAAGTCACTCTACAGTCTAGTATGGTTTCACAGAGGAGGAAAGCTATGGCAATGATGATTAACTTACACATCGTCAAGTTACATGTGCTTACTTAAAAATTTAACGGTAACCACAAAAGTAATAGAAATTCAGTGAATGGCTTCTAAACCAGAAGAGAGGAAAATGGATGGTGGTTTCAGAGAGGAGAAAAAGAATTTTACCAGGATAGTTTGGAAGGAATTTTCCACACCCAGAATGGTCAGTGCACCTGGAGAAGTCCAGGCTGTGAAGAGGGGAAACTTATTCTTAAATGACAATGAATCCAGAATGGGTCTTCCAAGAGACCAGTCAATGGAATTCCAGGAAAGTCAAGAAGCCTGAGTAGGGACACAAATGTCTGAGCGCAGGATTTAAGCATGGGATGAATGAACACTTAGTGGCCAAGGTTGTCCAGGAAAGCTGTTTCTCCAAGCTGTTTGCAGTCCATTCAATTAGCATTTGAAATGTATGTGCTATCTACTATTTTCGATCACACTTCAAAAGTAGCATTTAATTCTGATTTTAAAATAATATATATCAAATGTAGAACATTCTAGAAATTCAGAAAATATAAAGAATAATTCAACTTCTTAATGTAATTATACGGTTAGAGCATCTCTACTATATTTTAAGTGTTACACCAACTCAGCAGTATGTCCTGAAAACTACCTGCTGTGGAACTTTGCATTCAAATGCAGTGAGAGAGGAAATTCCTGCAGTAACTCCACCTTATCCCAGGAGGTGCCTCCCAACCTCCATTGTGAGTAGAAAAGCATAAAAACAAAGGGTCATAATTCAGAGGACGAGTTTAGCCATCTCAGTAAAATCTGAGGGTTTTGAACTGGAAATCAAGTTCACAAATGCAGAGAGCCTTTCCACGTCCTAATCGCACAAGGAAAATAAAAATAATGTAAAAAAAATGTAAATAAAAGCATTACATTGTTCATGCAGTCTTCTCTTAGTGTGTATTCTCTTAAATACAGTATTCCACTTTCATACTGATTTTTCCGCCTATTATAGTTAAACAACAGTTCTATGCTAGGTCATTTGTGGTCCATTTATCACTTGATTTGTTTAGTTTTCTTATGAGACATTTTGCTACCTACAGAAGTGATTGTCAATGCTATCCTAACCTCCCTAAGCCGCAATGTCCTCATTGTGTTATAGAGATGATTGTACCTAGTGCATTGAGTTACTTGAAATATAAATAAACTTATTTTATATATATAACCTGGCATTTAATTAATACAAATGTCATCCTTCTTCTGGTAATCTAGAGATGGTTGGCAAGCTGAATCCAGGCAGTATAGGTTTTGCTGGATTCACAGGGTTTGTTTGTTTGTTTGTTTGTTTGTTTAATTTAATATTTATTTATTTTGAGACAGAGTTGTGCTCTGTCGCCCAGGCTGGAATGCAATGGCACAATCTCAGCTCACTGCAACCTCCGCCTCCTGGGTTGAAGAGATTCTTCTGCCTCAGTCTCCTGAGTAGCTGGGATTATAGGAGCCTGCCACCACTGGGTAGCAAAAATACAAAATTTTTGTATTTTTTAGTAGAGACAGGGTTTCACCATATTGGCCAGGCTGGACTCGAACTCCTGACTGCATGATCCTCCTGCCTCGGCCTTCCAAACTGCTGGGATTACAGGCGTGAGCCACTGTGCCCAGCCGACTAATTTTATTTAACTCCACAAGTGCTAACTGCCAGGTTTTGTTTGTTTTTTGTTTTGTTTTGTTTTGTTTTGTTTTGTTTTTTTGAGACAGAGTCTCACTCTGTCGTCCAGGCTGGAGTGCAATGGTGCTATCTCGGCTAACTGCAACCTCCGCCTCCTGGGTTCAAGCGATTCTCCTGCCTCAGCCTCCCACGTAGCTGGGATTACAGGCACGCACCACCACACCCGGTCAATTTTTTATATTTTTAGTAGAGATGTGGTTTCACCATGTTGGCCAGGCTGGTCTCGAATTCCTGACCTCAAGTGATTCACTCTCCTCAGCCTCCCAGTGTTGGGATTACAGGCGTGAGCCACCGCACCTGGCAGGTTTTTGTTTTAAATTGAATTATTTGCTAAATTAAAAATCAGGAGATGACACACAAAAATCCCTATATCCAAAGTCACTTAAAATTTTTGGAGATCATGTCGCCCACATTCCCATCTGTCAACAGCTGTCCCTTTCTAATGGAATTTACACTCCCAGTTGGTCCCTGTCTCTGTGCTTTCATACCAGGCCACCCTCATTTACTGTGTCCTATACCTGGCCCTTGTAGGCATATGACTTTGACACTAATCTTGTATTTCCTGTCCTGGATTATTGCCTAAAATAATCACTCAAAACTCCATGTTTATGGCAAAACAGTCTTATTTAAGTACACATAAGTTATAAAATGTCAAAAACTAAAGTCCCCTACTATGTGTTACATTTCATTTTATCTAGTTACTTAAGGTTACAATATCAAATATTTTAACCTTTCATATTAATAATTAACCCATGAATTATACAAGTTGTAACTGATTTGCCGTTATTCTAAATTTTATTTCTAGATGCTGCTGCCTGTTTCCTATTAGTGACAACCCACCTCCTAATCACGTCCTGCTTCAAACAAGGTAACATTACAGGACAGCCTCCGAAACAATAACTGTTTGAATATCCTTAATCTTCGGCAACTTCAATAACTCCCCCAAATATATGTAATCAGAGAATTAACTTTTACAACTTTTGGTTATTGTTTGCTTGAACCATAAAGCAGAGCTCTTTCTGGGTGTTTGGTTCTGATGCATTTTAGTTAGTTTTTAATTTTTTATTATTACAACTCTAATTTTCTCACACAATTATCTACTTCTAATAGGTTTTCATTTAAAAAGGCATGTAACTGATGCCTAATTTTATACTGCTGGCCTATTTGCTTTGTTTTAGCCAGAGTTTGGCAGACTTTGTAGACAAAATGAAACGTTGCTCTAAAACTTTTAACACTTAAATAATCATAATACACTCGATTTTTGCTCTGCCGAAAATCTTCCCACTAATGCTCTAATGCAATTGATTGGTGGAAAACAATATACACAGTTTTTTTTCTCAAAGGGATTTGGAAGTCACTCAAAATTAATTCCCCACTGATGAGCAGAGAAGAATCTCTCAAGAAGAATTCCTCAAAAGCACGTGGAAAATTTTCATGACCTCTGCAGAGTGTAAGACAGTATTTAAAAAGTCACTGGGGGCCAGGCATGGTGGCTCACACCTGTAATCCTGGCAATTTGGGAGGCCAAGGCAGGCGGATCACTTGAGGTCACAAGTTGGAGACCAGCCTGGCCAACATGGTGAAACCCCATCTCTACTAAAAAAATTAGCTGGGCACAGTGGTGGGCACCTGTAATCTCAGCTACTCAGGAGGTTGAGGCAGGAGAATTGCTTGAACCTGGGAGGCGAAGGTTGCAGTGAACTGAGATTATGGCACTGCGCTCCAGCCTGGATAACAGAGCAAGACTCTATCTGAAAAAATAAATAAATAAAAAGTAATTGAATATTATTGAACTTACTTTGAAACAGACTATGTACCCATAATCTAGAAAACTACATTTTCTGAGTCAGTCATTAAAAATTTCAAAGGCTGTTTTTGTACTGCCTCTCAAAATTTTTATTTTGCTCTTCTTTATTTTTCAGTTCTGTCTTCTTCAACTTCTCTTTTTCTTTTCCCTTTTTTGAGACAGAGTCTCTCTCTGATGCCAAGGCTGGAGGGCAGTGGCACAATCTTGGCTCACTGCAACCTCCGCCTCCCAGGCTTAAGCAGTTCTCCTGCCTCGGCCTCCCCAGTAGCTGAGATTACAGGCACCCGCCACCACACCCGGCTAAGTTTTGTATTTTTAGTAAGACAGGGTTTGACCATGTTGGCCAGGCTGGTCTCGAACTCCTGACCTCAGGTGATCTGCCCACCTCAAGCCTTCTGAAGTCCTGGGATTACAGACATGAGCCACTGCACCCAGGCCCTTTCTCCTGCTTTTCTCATGTAGGTTACCTGCTTTGCCCCTAAAGCATTTCAGTTTCCAGCCTCTGAAACAGTAACAACCTGAGATGCTGTAGACAGGAATGTATCAGCTTAGTGATTCAGGGACTTCTATGCAATAGGGAGACTGTTTCAGATCCTACCCCACCTGGAAACGAAAAATTTCTGTGAAAATTCATGTCAACCGCTGGGGCGTGGTGGCTCACACCTGTAATCCCAGCACTTTGGGAGGCCGAGGTGGGTAGATCACCTGAGGTCAGGAGTTCAAGACCAGCCTGGCTAACATGCTGAAACCCTGTCTCCACTAAAAATACAAAAATTAGCCGGGTGCGGTGGCGCATGCCTGTAATCCCAACTACTTGGGAGGCTGAGGCAGGAGAATTACTTGAACCTGGGAGGCGGAGGTTGCAGCGAGCTGAGATCATGCCACTGCACTCCAACCTGGGCGACAGAGCGAGACTCTGCCTCAAAAAAAAAAAAAAAAAGAAAATTCGTGGCAACCTCCTCACAGATATAACATAGAGAGCTGTAACTGGAGAGCTACAGGTCAGCACAGTAAGGAAAGCTCACCCACCACAATAGGCACCTTTCCACTGAGTGCACAAAGTGAAAGACCCCACTGCGCAAGCCTGGGACAAGAGGGGTTTAGAGCTTTTGAAAAGCATTTGATGATTCTCTATTTTACGGGAAAAGCTCTCTTTCCAGAGGCAATCAAGATGGATAGTTTGCCTGTTAATCAAAAGACTTGCTTACAGCATGGAGTTTTTGGGGAAAAAAAAATAAAAGACACATAGATATACCAGATACATTTTATTTTAACTCAAAACATAAAAGCATGTATAACATATAAACACCAGTCTTTAAATGTAGAGCGAAATCTTTTCTTTTAGCATGGATCAATAGGTTGCAATTATGAGCTGTCTTTCCTGCGTAAGCCAGACCCATGATGCCCTTGATAAGGCAATCAGATGGCAGGCATTCCTCTTACTCAGACTTTTTGTTCTATTCAGGCCATCAACTGATTGGATGAGACTCACCCATACTGGGGAGGGTAATTGGCTTTACCCAGTCTACCAATTCAAACGTAAATCTCAACCAGAAACATCCTCACAGATACACCCAGGATGATGTTTGATCAAATATCTAAATACCCTATGTCCAAGTCAACTGGCACATAAAATTAATCATCACAGTTACTAATTAAAAACAGAGATGCCTACGTCGAATTCAAAGAAAGATGTTTACATAAAAGACGCATTTAAAACAGAAAGAGAAGTTAGAAATAGAAAGATAAAAACAGATACATACTAGGCAATCATAAGAAGTTAAGTGGCCGGGCGCAGTGGCTCACGCCTGTAATCCCCGCACTTTGGGAGGCTGAGGCGGGCAGATCACGAGGTCAGGAGATGGAGACCATCCTGGCTAAGACGGTGAAACCCCATCTCTACTGAAAAATACAAAAAATTAGCCGGACGTGGAGGCAGGCACCTGTAGTCCCAGCTACTCAGGAGGCTGAGGAAGGAGAATGGCTTGAACCCGGGAGGCGGAGCTTGCAGTGAGCCGAGATCGTGCCACTGCACTCCAGCCTGGGCGACAGAGTGAGACTCCATCTCAAAAAAAATAAAATAACATTTAAAATAAATTAAAAGAAAGCCAAGGGAGCCATTTTTTTTTTCTTTCAGACAGAGTCACTCTGTTGCCCAGGCTGCTGCGATCTTGGCACACTGCAACCTCTGCCTCCTGGGTTCAAGTGATTCTCCTGCCTCAGTCCCACAAGTAGCTAGGATTACAAGCGTCCGACCCCACACCTGGCTAATTTTTTTGTATTTTTAGTAGAGACAAGGTTTCACCATGTTGGCCAGGCTGGCCTCAAGCTCCTGACCTCAAGTGATCCACCCACTTCAGCCTCCCAATGTGTTGGGATTACAGGCGTGAGCCACTACGCCTGGCCTGGGAGCAATCTTAGTATCTGACAAAATGGAAGTTAAGTAAAAAATAGCATAAGAGTTAGTACAGGATAGTCTATGTTAATAAATACAAGATGGTATAACCACCATGTACATATAAACAATAAATCAGCTTCAAATACATATTAAATGAAGAATGATAGAAATAGATGAATTAACAATTATAGTTGGATATTTTATTTTATTTTTTAAGAGACAGGGTCTCACTATGTTGCCCAGGCTGGAATGTAGTGGGCTAGTCACAGGTGTGATCATAGCTCACTGCAGCCTTGAACTGCTGGGCTCAAGCAATCCACCAGCCTCAGCTTCCCAAATAGCTGAGACTACAAGTACATGCCTTTTTTTTTTTTTTTTTTTTAATTGTAGTAACGGAGGTGTCCCTATGTTCCCCAGGCTCATCTTGAAATCCTGGGCTGAATGATCCTCCCACCTCAGCCTCCCAGAGTGTTGGGATTATAGGTGTGAGCTACTGAGCATGAGCTACTACTGGGCCTGGCCTGAAAAATGTAATTAATAAGCTTGAGCTGATTGAAAAAAAAATAAAAAGGTGAATAAGATCTTTAACACAATTTCATTTGTGTAGATTAAAAATAAGTTTACAAAGAATAATGATGCCTGTTTTATTTGGATGCATACAAATAGATAAATTAAAAAAAAAATGAGAGGCTTTGCATGAATCCATAATTACAGAAATAATAACTCAGGTCTTAAAAAATAATGATAGAGGCTGGGAGCAGTGGCTCACACCTGTAATCCCAACACTTTGGGAGGCTGAGGCGGGCGGATCACCTGAGGTTGGGAGTTTGAGACCAGCCTGACCAACATGAAGAAACCCCATCTCTACTAAAAATACAAAAATTAGCCAGGCGTGGTGGTGCATTCCTGTAATCCCAGCTACTAGGGAGACTGAGGCAGGAGAATCGCATGAACCCGGGAGGCGGAGGTTGCAGTGAGCCAAGATCATGCCATTGCACTCCAGCCTGGGCAACAAGAGTGAAATTCCATCTCAAAAGATAAATAGGCCAGGCGTGGTGGCTCATGCCTGTAATCCCAGCACTTTGGGAGGCAGAGGTGGGTGGATCACCTGAGGTCGGGAGTTCAAGACCAGCCTGACCGACATGAAGAAACCCATCTCTACTAAAAATACAAAAATTAGCCAGGTGTGGTGGTGCATTCCTGTAATCCCAGCTACTTGTGAGGCTGAGGCAGGAGAATCACAAAAACTCCATCTCGAAAAAAAAAAAAAGATAATAAATAAATAAATAAATAAATAAATAAATAAATAAAATAATGGCAGCAACACTTCCCTGTCCATAACTCTTCTTATCCCCTTCCAAAAGAGATATTCCTCTGTATGAAGAGTAAATCTCAAATAATATTAAACATGAGTTGAGGCTGGGCACAGTAGCTTACGCCTGTAATACCACAGTATTTTGGGAGACTGAGGCAGATGGGTTGCTTGAGGCCAGGAGTTTGAGATCAGTCTGGGCAACATAGTGAGATGCTGTCTCTACAAAAAAATTAGCTGGGCATAGCGGTGCGCACCTGTAGTTCCAGCTGCTCGGGAGGCTGAGGCAGGAGAATCATTTGAGCTTGGGAGTTTGAGGCTGCAGTGAGCCGTGATTGTGCCACTGCACTCCAGCCTGGGTGACAGAGAGTAAGACCTTGTTTCTAAAAATTAAAAAAAAAAAAAAATGAGCCTTCTGTTCAAGATAGTGAGCTGATGAGAGAGGTCATCCACATTTCTGGAGACAGAAAGCAGAAAATGGAGTGGTAGCTGACAAAGCACAGTGCTGGAAACTGTATTGTGAATATTTCAGGTGTGGCCTTCAACTGAGGAAGGGGCTGATTTCCCTGTGGCAACTCAGAGACATCCAAGACTCAAAGACCCAAAAGTGGCAAGTATAACAGAGGGCAGATGTGAAATGGGAAACAGACTCCTGAAAACAGGAGTCTGCCTGTGGAGCAGTCGCCTTTCCTTCCCCTGCTCACAGAATGTCAGGCTGCCTAGTGTTTACCCTTGAGGCTAAAATAGATAAGAAGATCCTTTTCTAAGAAAATTGACCAGCCTGTCTGGAGAGAACTAGATGACAGTGTAGGAACTGTGCATTTTAGTATTTTGGGGTCTCAAAGCAAGTTGGCTGATTCCCAACTACTCCTCTGAGATCAAAGCCTTCCTTTCCACAAGCTCATCCACATAGTCAAGCTCCCAATAAACAAGCTTTCCTATTGCCTAATTTTTAACATCAATGAGCAACCCAGGATCACTAGACAGTCAAGAAAAGGCTGCAGCAAGAAAGAGAAGAACCAAATTAAACAGAGAAATTGGCCCTACAAGAGACAAATGATTCAGAGAACATTGGATAACTTAAAAACAATACCCTGTTATATATTCAGAAACAGTTGGGAAATAAAAATTCCACCCTAAAAACTAGAAAAATGTAACAATGCTTGAATCAGAGAACAAGAGATAAATTTAGGAAATTTAATTTTTATTTATTTTTGAGATGGAGTCTCGCTGTGTCACCCAAGCTGAAGTGCAGTGGCGCCATCTCGGCTCACTACAACCTCCACCGCCCGGGTTCAAGTGATTCCCCTGCCTCAGCCTCTCAAGTAGCTGGGATTACAGGTGCCCACCACCATGCCTGTCTAATTTTTTATATTTAGTAGAGACAAGTTTTGACCATGTTGGCCAGGCTGGTCTTGAACTCCTGACCTCAAGTGGTCCACCCGCCTTGGCTTTAAATGATTGTTAAACTTTAAGAATTTAATAGAAGGCTTGGGAGGTAAAGTTGAAGAAATCTCTCAGAAAGCAGAACAAATAAACAGAGGAAGGAAATGTGAGAGTACAGTAATGAAGTCTTTATCTCATTAATTAGAATTACAGAAAACAGAACAGAAACAAAGGGGTAGGGGTAGAAATAAAGTCATGGAGAAGAATTGATTTTTGCCAACTCCTTGTATCCACAGACAACCTAAGGTTGCAACTAATAAATATAATTGCAAATTAAATATTTGTTAATAGTTTTCTTTATATTAACGAGTAAGACAAAAATGAAACAACCAAGAGGTATGTCTGAACTTAACTCATTAGTCAATGATGTGAGCAACTTCTTTGCTGAATTGGATAATAGTTTTCAAGTACTGGAAAAATGTGTCCTCATTTTTTGGTGCTATTTACAATGTAACAGCTATCGATGTGACATACTTTTTTTTTTTTTTTTTTTTTTCTGAGACAGACTTGTGCTCTTGTTGCCCAGGCTGGAGTGCAATGGTGCGTTCCTGGCTCACTGCAACCTCCACCTCCCAGGTTCAAGTGATTATCCTGCATCAGCCTCCCAAGTAGCTGGGATAACAGGTGCCCGCCACCACGCCTGGCTAATTTGTGTATTTTTAGTAGAGTGGGGTTTCACCATGTTGGCCCGGCCATCTCGGCCTCCCAAAGTGCTGGGATTACAGGCATGAACCACCGTGCCTGGCCTGATGTGACATACTTTCAAGTTTAATCTGCATTATTAACATTTTCTCCACTACTTTCCTAAGTTTAGAAGATCAAGGAAACAATAACTCAAGCCCTGGCTTGTAGCATTTGTCAATTTCTATGGTGCAAATACTCCCACCATGGCCAATTTCAGACGACCAACATGACATTACTGAATACAGAGGTGGGAAGAGATATGCAGTAACACACAAACAAACACCTGTATATGTTATATATTATCATCATGTAGATACAAGACATATAAATAACCTCAATCTAGTATATATATATATATACACACTCAATATGGTAGTTCATATAGTAAAATAATCAGGAAGTTTTGACTTTTTTTAGCATACTTCTTTTAATTGTAGGTTTATATACTTTAATTTTTCTTGGGGTTTTTTTTGTTGTTGTTGTTGTTTTTGTTGTTGTTTGCTTGTGAGACACGGTCTCACTCTGTTGCCCAGGCTGGAGTGCAGTGGCATGATCACAGGTCACTGCAGCCTCAACCTCCTGGGCTCAAGTGATCCTTCCACCTCAGCCTCCCAAGTAAGTGGGGCTACAGGTGCATGCCACCATATCCAGCTAATTAAAATTTTTTTTTATTTTAAATGAGATAGGGTCTCTCTATGTTGCTCAGGCTGGTCTTGAACTTCTGGGCTCAAGCAGTTCTCTTGCCTCAGCTTCCCAAAGTGTTGGGATTACAGGCATGAGCCACAGCACCTCACCTTATACTTTAATTTTTAATGATGCAATGTTTAACAACCAGTTCATACATCTCTGAAAATTAAAACAATCGGCTCTCAGAGCTGGTTTGCAGAGACTCTAACCACCATTGGAACACATCCATGCAAAAAGCCCAAGGTGAGACAGACCATTGCCAATACCCTAGAGGGCCCCTTGATGCCCCCTTCCCAGTCATGGCCAATCTCATGGGCCACCACTATCCTGACTTTGCGGGGTGTCCTACTGAGGTAAAAATATTTTATTCAGGAACATTTTAAATACAATTTGAATGTTTATAATGTTCTTAAATACCACAGCAACAAATAAAAACAAACTATAATAAGCAATGAATACTTACAATTTATTACCAACTGTATCTAAATTATATTTCTGTTGCTTTTAATTCTATTTTTGAGAATGTCTTATTTCTTTTATGATTTAGTTTCTTTTTTCTATTTTTATCATCTTTTTATAAAAGATTCTTTTATTCATCAGTCTATGTTTAAGATCGCTGCTTTTCACTTTGGTTGCTATATACATGCACTATCGGTCACACTAATTGCACAACCTCTGTGCAACAAATGAATGCCCAGGCCCAGAGGGTCATTGAGACTCTATAGGGCAAGGAAGACCAACTAGCTTTGAGCTCTTCCTCAGAACCTGGGAACATACGACCTAGTGGACATCACTCTGTTCCTAGTCCTCACCTACATGCACATTTTAGAAAGAGGAGTCATTAACAGATCACAGTGGCCATTTACACTGTCACATTTCCATTCACTGCAGCCTCAACCTCCTGGGCTCAGGTGACTCTCCCACCTCAGCCACCCGTGTAGCTGGGACTACAGGCAAATGCCACCACAGCCTGCTAAGTTTTTTGTATTTTTTGTAGACATGGGGTTTCGCCACGTTGCCCAGTCTGGTCTCGAACTTGTGGGCTCAAGCAATCTGCCTGCCTCAGGCTCCCAAAGTGCTGGGATTACAGGCGTGAGCCTCCACATCCAACTGTCCTCCATTTTTCTATAAGCTGTAACACATTATCAATTTTATTGACTTTGAGCCCTTGATTTGCATGCAAAGTAGTTTGTGCAGTCTCCAGTGCACAAACTACTGGTCAGGAGTTCTTTGAAAGTTCTTTACTCTGCATGGAGTACCTCAATTGCTCATGAAACCATTCTCTGGGTTCCTATGATGTCCCTGTCACTTATTTGCACATTCATGGCAACTATTACACTTGATATTTTGCTACTAGGCTTTGCATCCTTTCCAGTTCCTTTTGTAATCTTGTCATTTTTTTCTCTGAAGCCATTGTCAAATGTACTTGTAAACATACTTTAAAATCTTACTGTGCCAGGCGTGGTGGTTCACACCGGTAATCTCAGCACTTTGGGAGGCCAAGGCAGAAAGATAGCTTGAGCCCAGGAGTTCAAGACCAACCTGGGCAACAATGTGACCCTACCTACAAAAAATTTAAAATTTAGCCAGATATGGTGGCTTGTGCCTGTAGTTCCAGCTACTCGAGAGGCTGATGTGGGAGGATCACTTGAGCCTGGGAGGTGGAGGCTGCAGTAAGCCATGATCATACCATTGCACTTCAGCCTGGGTGACAGAGTGAGACTGTATCTGAAAAAAAAAAATAAAATAAAATCTTACTGGTTATTAACCTCAAAGGAGAACACCATTGCCCACTTTTCTTTTCTTTCTTTCTTTTCTTTTTTTTTTTTTGAGACAGAGTCTCAATCTGTCGCCCAGGCTGGAGTGCAGTGGTGCGATCTCGGCTCACTGCAACCTCCGCCTCCCGGGTTCAAGCAATTCTTTGCCTCAGCCTCCTGAGCAGCTGGGACTATAGGTGCCAACCACCATGCCCGGCTAATTTTTTATATTTTTAGTAGAGATGGGGTTTCACCACCTTGGCTAGGCTGGTCTTGAACTCCTGACCTTGTGATTCACCCTCCTCGGCCTCCCAAAGTGCTGAGATTACAAGCATGAGCCACCTCGCCTGGCCCCACTGCCCCCTTTTCTCAACTATAGGATAATAAAGTACTTAAGCTTTTAGAAAAATATCATATGCTAAAAACCAAGCTTATGCCTAAGTGGTTATTTGGTTTCTGGAAGGACTGTATGGTGTCAACGTAGGGAGGGGCATGAGCTAGTGGTAGAGATTGGGGAGGCATTGCCATGGGCCTGCTCTGCATCCCAGAAGCATAACGATAATTATGCCTCTCAAACAAGCTATGCAAATTGTAAAATATAAGTCATGGTAATCTTTGCTTTGAGAAAACATAAAAATATCCCACTTTTCATCTAGACAAAATTTTAAAACAAAGAAAAACTAGGGACATTACTGAGCATCTCACCTAAAATGATAGTGAACCTGGCATTGTTCTACAGTTGGTGTTTTGCCTGCTCCCCATGTGGTCTCATTTGTTTTTGTCAACAACTGCACAGTTTTGCAAGGCTTGGTGCACACAGTTTTTTGCTATTGTTCTTTTTTAGTGTCTGATTTTTTCAACTGTTGTCGGTTATGTATACCTATGTGAGTTTTGTTTGTTTGGAACTGTCACTATTTTAAAACATTGTCAAAACAAAAGTCTTTTATTATCTTTTACAAAATGTGCTAATATTTCATTGTAAATCAAGGAACGACACCAATGATCGTAACGTGCAGTGAAGAGCTTTATCATTATTAATAATTAATCACATTTCATCTATTGGCCAGATTATGATTCAGCTTCCACTAGAATGATTTAGCTTCCACTTGGAAAGCTATAGAAAGCTTGAAGTTCGGCCGGGCGCAGTGGCTGACGCCTGTAATCCCAGCACTTTGGGAGGCCGAGGTGGGCGGATCACGAGGTCAGGAGATTGAGACCATCCTGGCTAACATGATGAAACCCCGTCTCTACTAAAAATACAAAAAATTAGCCGGGTGTGGTGGCGGGTGCCTGTAGTCCCAGCTACTGGGGAGACTGAGGCAGGAGAATGGCGTGAACCCGGGAGGCGGAGCTTGCAGTGAGCCGAGATTGCACCACTGCACTCCAGCCTGGGCAACAGAGCGAGACTCCGTCTCAAAAAAAAAAAAAAAAAAAAAAAAAAAAGCTTGAGGTTCATAAAATTATGTGATAAGCAGTATCAGTGCAAACTTACCTGCAAATTACAAAGCATCTTAGGTAAATTGCAAAGCTTTAAGGATACAATTTTGGTGGGATATGGACTTCAAAGTGAATGCAATATTCTGTTACTTATTGTTCTCTCCCACTTAAAAAAAAAATCAGTCGTGAAGAACTTCTGATGGAAAATTGCTTTGACAATTTTTAGGAAGCATTGACAAGTTTCAGAAAGCATGAAACAGTTGAAGTTTATTTTAAAACATTGCAACTTGAGAGTACACATTTATTTATTTATTTATTTATTTATTTATTGAGACGGAGTCTTGCTCTGTTGCCAGGCTGGAGTAGAGTGGCACGATCTCGGCTCACTGCAACCTCCGCCTCCCGGGTTCAAGTGATTCTCCTGCCTCAGCCTCCCGAGTAGCTAGGACTACAGGCTAGCGCCACTATGCCTAGCTAATTTTTGTATTTTTAGTAGAGACAGGGTTTCACCATGTTGGCCAGGTTGGTCTCAATCTCTTGACCTCGTGATCCACCTGCCTCGGCCTTTCAAAATGCTGGGATTACAGGCATGAGTCACCATGCCCAGCCTGATATTTGTGATAAAACTTCTGCTAATAGATTACCTTCACTCATTCTAGACAAGTTGAAAAGATAAGACATTCTTAGGTGAAAATATTTCACTTTTCTTGGAAAACAGCACTTTTTTTTTTTTTTTTTTTTTTTTTTTTTAAACAGGGTCTCTCTTTCTCTTTTGCCCAGGCTGGAGTGCAGTGGCACAATCTTGGCTCACTACACCCTCAGCCTTCTGGGCTCAAGAGATCCTCCCTCCTCAGCCTCTCGAGTAGCTGGGACTACAGGTGCACACCACCACACCTGGCTAATTTTAAAATTTTTTTTTAGAAACAGGTTTTCACTGTGTTGCCCAGGCTTGTCTGGAACTCCTGGGCTCAAGTGATCCACCCACCTCAGCCTCCCAAAGTGCTGGGATTACAAGTGTGAGCCACCGTGGCCAGCCAGCACGTGCTTTTAAGAGTTCATTTCTTCTGATAATAAAAATCATTTTTTGGTGTCCATGAATTGATTTCTATAAATATAGAAATTCACAATCACTGAAATGATAAAAACAGGATAGTTGCAGGACATCATAAATAAGATTATTTTCCTCGGCTTATTCAATGCTGCATTATAAGACTGATAGTACAAAGAAAAAACTTGGTTTATGCAAGATGACCACAGAAAATATCAACGACTACTTTTTTTTAAGAGGTCACAAGATGTTTTCTTATTATGTAATCTAATCGATACTGGACATCAATGCTACGAGATAGGTTGGGCAAGCATTTAGCATCCTTCATTATTTCCTTTTCCTTCTAGTTGATACATAATTACTGTACAAATTTATGGGTTCAGAGTGATATTGCAATACATGTATATAATGTGTAACAATCAAATCAGGGTAATTAGCATGTAGATCACCTCAAATATTTATCATTTCTTTGTGTTGGGAATATTCAAAATCTCTTCTAGGTTTTTGAACATATACACGAAATTATTGTTAACCAGCCATGCGTGGTGGTGCGTGCCATAGTTCCAGCTACTCGGGAAGCTGAGGCAGAAGACTAGCTTCAGCCCGAGAGTTGCTGGGCAACGCAGACCGTCTCCCTTTAAAGAAAAAAAAATTATGCCGGGCGTGGTGGCGGGCGCCTGTAGTCCCAGCTACTCAGGAGGCTGAGGCAGGAGAACGGCGTGAACCCGGGAGGCGGAGCTTGCAGTGAGCTGAGATCGTGCCACTGTACTCCAGCCTGGGTGACAGAGCAAGACTCTGTCTCAAAAAAAAAAAAAAAAAAAAGAAAGAAAGAAAAAGAAAAAAAAATTGGCAGTTGTAGTAGTTCATGCCTGTAATCCCAGTATTTTGGGAGGCTGAGGCCGGTGTATGGCTTGAGCTCAGGAGTTCGAGACCAGCCTGGACAACATGGCAAAACCCCATCTCTACAAAAAATACAGACACACAAAAAATTAGCTGGGCATATCTGTGAGTGCCTGTAGTCCCAGCACTCAGGAGGCTGAGGCAAGAAGATCACTTGAGCCCAGGAGGTTTGTGCTGCAGTGAGCCATGATCACGCCACTGCACTCCATCCTAGGTGACAGAACGAGACCCTGTCTCAAATAAAATAAAATAATTTTTTTAATTTAAATTATTGGAGGTCTCTATTTGCAGGGCAGTGTGAGAGCAGAGTACTATCGGTGGCAGCGGGAGCACTTAGAAAGTTCCTTCCACTCTTTGACAAAGTATTGGTTGAAAGAAGTGTCACCGAAGCTGTAACCAAAGGGGGCATTATGCTTCCAGCAAAAATCTCAAGGAAAGGTATGGCAGTAGCTGTTGGATCAGGGTCTAAAGCAAAGGGCAAAGAAATTCAACCAGTTAGTGTGAAAGTTGAAGATAAAGTTTTCCCACAATATGAAGGCACGAAAGTAGTTCTAGATGACAAGGATTATTTTTTTTCCTTCCTTCCTTCCTTCCTCTTTTCCTCTTTCTTTTTCCTTTCTTCTCTTTTCTCTTTTCTTCTCTTCTCTCTTCCTTCCTTCCTTCCTTCCTTCCTTCCTTCCTTCCTTCCTTCCTTCCATTTGACAGGGTCTTACTGTGTCACCCAGGCAGGAAGGAGTGCAGTGGCACAATCACAGCTCACTGCAGCCCTCAACCTCCCAGGCTCAAGCAATCCTCCCACCTCAGCCTCTCGAATACCTGGAACTACAGGTGCACACCACCACACCCAGCAAATTTTTGTATTTTTTGTAGAGATGGGGTTTCACCATGTTGTCCAGGCTGGTCTTCAACTCCTGGGCTCAAGCCACCCCCTTGGCTTCCCAAAGTGCTGGGATTACAGGTATCAGCCATCATGCTGGGCCCTGCCAAGAATTATTTCTTATTTAGAGATGGTGACATTCTTGGAAAATATGTAGACTGAAATAAATCACTCTTGAAATGCATCAACATGAAGCTGCCATTCCACTGAAGTTATGAAACCTTTCATCATGTAAGTAGTTTCCATGTCTGTCTTTTATAATAAACTAATGATAGCTAAAGTGAATAAATAAAATAAATTATTGTTAACCATACTCATCCTACAGTGCTATAGATCACTATAACTTATTCCTTTTCTCTATCTGGAATTTTGTACTTGTTAACCAATCTCTCCCTACCTTACCTTCTCCTTTACCCTTCCCATCCTCTAATAACAACAGTTCTGCTCTCTATTTCTATGGGCTCATTTTTTTTTTTTAGCTCCCACATAGGAGTGAGAACACATGGTATTTATCTTTCTGTGCCTGACTTATTTCACTTAACATAGTGTCCTCCAGCCTCATCCATGTGCAAATGACAGAATTTCATTCTTTTTTGTTGAGATGATGGAGTCACGTTCTGTTGCCCAGGCTGGAGTGCAGTGGTGCCATCTCTGCTCACTGCAACCTCTGCCTCCTGGGTTCAAGCAATTCTCCTGCCTCAGCCTCCTGAGTAGCTGAGATTACAGGCACGCGCCACCACACCTGGCTAATTTTTGTATTTTTAGTAGAGACGGGGTTTCATCATGTTGGTCAGGCTGGTCTCCAACTCCTGACCACGTGATCCGCCCACCTTGGCCTCCCAAAGTGCTGGGATTACAGGCATGAAGCACCACGCCGGGCCGAATTTCATTCTTTTTTATGGCTGAATAGTATTCTATTGTGTATATATACCACATTTTCTTTATCCATTTATCTGTTAATGGACATTTTTAGGTGGATTCCATATCTTGGCTATTGTGATAATGCTGCAATAAACATGGGGGTGGGCAGTGCAGATATCTCTCCAATAAACTGATTTCCTTTTCTCAAAGTCTACTTTTTTTTGTTTGTTTGTTTGTTTTGTTTTTTTTAGACAGGGTATTGCTCTGTTGCCTAGGCTGGAGTGCAGTGGTGTGATCTCAGCTCACTGCAGCCTTGACCTCCTGGGCTTAAGGGGTTGTTCTGCCTTAGCCTCCTGAATAGCTGGGACCACAGGTATGTACCAACACACGTGGTTAATTTTTGTATTTTTAGTAGAGACCGGGTTTTATCATGTTGCCCAGGCTAGTCTTGAATTCCTGGGCTCAAGCTATCCACCCACCTCGGTCTCCCGAAGTCCTGGGATTACAGGCATGAGCCACCACACCTGGCCAAGACACTCTTTGAAAGTAGTCTTTTGCCAGGCATAGTGGCTCACACCTGAAATCCCAGCACTTCAGGAGGCCAAGGTGGGCAGATCACTTGAAGTTAGAAGTTCGAGACCAGCCTGACCAACATGGTGAAACCCTGTCTCTACTAAAAATACAAAAATTAGACGGGCGTTGTGGCGTGTGCCTGTAATCCCAGCTACTTGGGAGGCTGAGGCAGGAGAATCGCTTGAATGTGGGAGGCAGAGGTTTCAGTGAGCCAATATCATGCCACTGCGTTCCAGCCTGGGGGACAGAGTGAGACTCTGTCTCAAAAAAAAAAAAAAGGGAAAAAAAAAAAAAGAGAGCGTCTTATTGATGATGAAGACATGGCCAAGACTAGCTCTCCAGGGTTATATAATTATTTGCTGGAAATCAGAGTCAATATGAATAAGGCACAAAATTATGCCCAAGATACTGCTGCTAACATGAGTGAAAAGTTAACAGAGTGTTGTAGTCAAGTGTATGTAAGAAAAGTCAAGACTGTTATTCTATGTGGTCTTGTCACACTCATCCTCTAAATTAGTCATATGAGGTCTAGAAGGAAATGAAAGAACATTACAATTTTCTAGTTTCAATTTTTTATATTCTACTTCTCCTGTACCTGTGAAGATACTGACAGTATAAAATAGTTTATAAGCCTGGGCAATTTGGTGAAACCCCATCTCTACAAAACCTTAAAAATAATTAGCTGGGGTGGTGGTGCACACCTGTAGTCCCAGATACTCAAGAGGCTGAGGCAGGATAGCTTGAGCCTGGAAGGTGGAGGTTGCAGTCAGCTGAGATCGCACCACTGCACTCCAGACTGGGCAGCAGAGCAAGACTCTGTCTCAAAAAATAGAATAGAATAGAATAGAATAGAATAGAATAGAATAGAATAGAATAGAATAGAATAGAATAGAATAGAATAATAGAACAGAATAGAATAGGTTTATAAATGTAGTTGAAAGTGTAACATGCTAGAAGATGTGTAATTCTTTCTAAACCTATAGAATTGGTCATCATAGTTCATTATATAGTTCACTACTGTGGAGAACTTCTAGAGATTATTCAAAGACTCCCAAGCTTTTGCAATCAGCTCTTTAATCACACAGGTAACTAGTGAATTGAGCAGTTTGCTGGAATAGATTTTCAAATTTTACTTTCTGCTTGCTTAAACTGTCTTTATCACATGAAAAGTAAGTATGTGGTTTGATAATACACAATTGTTACTGTTGCTACTTAAAGATTTCTAAAATAGTTTACCATTGATGAAAATGAAATAAAGTATACTCTATTATTTTGAATAAAAATGTCTGCCTTTGCTTTTGTTGGGTCTAGCTTAATTTTAAAAATGTTGAAAAAAAAAGAAAGTACACTATGACTAAATTTTAATGCCCTGTGATCTTTCATTGCTAATGCAATTGGATACCAGCTCTCGGTGCTTCTAATGAGGGAAGATTGTGCCAATGAGAACCTGACTCCAACAAAGCTGAAAAAACAGCTGACATCTCCATATCCTGAAATATATCTCAGACAGTGTGGATTCATGAGAAGGATCCTGTCTGGGGAAGACTAGAATCTTGTCAAATGGATTCATCCCCAAATCAAGAACCTTATTTGGAAGCATCTTATAAGTTTTTTTTTTTTTTTTTTTTTTTTTTTTGAGAAGAGTTTTGCTCTTGTCACTCAGGCTGGAGTGCAATAGCATGATCTCGGCTCAGTGCAACCTCCACCTCCGGGGTTCAAGCAATTCTCCTGCCTCAGCCTCCTGAGCAGCTGGGATTACAGGCACACGCCACCACGCCCCACTAATTTTGTATTTTTAGTAGAGGCCAGATTTTGCCATGTTGGCCAGGCTAGTCTCAAACTCCTGACCTCAGGTGATCCACCCACCTCGGCCTCCCAAAGTGCTGGGATTACAGGCATGAGCCACCGTGCCCGGCCACATCTTATAAGATGTCTTATCCCATTACCAAGCCAAACAATATCTGTGTGATTGGAGAGATGTTGGTGAAGGCACATGTCTTGAAATTGGTCTCTTTGAGGGCTTGAAGCTGAGGCGGCAGAATATTTCCATTGGTGTCACCCACTCCAAAATGTGTAATATTCCTTTCTTATACTTTATATGTATAATATCTCTTATGTTTTAAAGCAGATCTTTGAATAATTGAAAGTGATACTCTTTCTCTGCAGCACGGAAAAGAACAAAACTACAAACATTTGTTTGTGGCTTTCTGGGTCTTGTGCATTATTTGCATACTGACCAATGCCCTCTAAATAAAAACAAAAATGAAAACAAAAACCATATTTCGTGAGACCATTTTGGAAAATATAGATTCTACTAACCTCTTCAAAACTGTGAAAAGCCTTTGCCAAGTACACATTGATGGAAAGAAAACTCCGGCTCGGGTCCTAGGAGGGACCCCTTTGAGGTGTGGCAGCCCATCCAGTCATACTGCCTTTTATTTTTTTATTTTTATTTTATTTATTTATTTTTTGAGACAAAGCCTAGCTCCGTCACCCAGGCTGGAGTGTAGTGGCGTGATCTCAGCTCACTGCAACCTCTGCCTCACAGGTTCAAGTGATTCTCCTGCCTCAGCCTCCCGAGTAGCTGGGATTACAGGCATGTGCCACCATGCCCGGCTAATTTTTTTTTGTATTTTTATTAGAGACAGAGTTTCACCATGTTGGCCAGGCTGGTCTTGAACTACTGGCCTCAAGTGATCCACCTGCCTCAGCCTTTCAAAGTGCTGGGATTACAGGTGTGAGCCACTGTGCCCAACCCCACACTGCCTTTTAGAGGAAAGCAGCTCTGCATGTTGGCCGGCATGCATTGGTGTCAAAGACCCTGTCAACAGCCTCAACCACATTGTCTACTGCTGTGGATATCTTCAACTTCCTGCAAGCCAGATCCTCGAATCACCATCTTTTCAAGAGGGTTTGTCAAATAATAGTAGCACAATATCATCAACTAGAGTAAGACAGGGTGATGAAGTCCTTATTGAACTTGAAGAGAAGCTCGTGTGTGTACTTAAGAAAAAAAAAGAAATGCCAGTTTTCCAAACAATTCTACTGGGAGGAATTCACTTACTGCTTGGTTTGTTAGGCAGATAGTTTGGTTGTACTGAAAGAAGAAAATCTTCCAGTTCAGGTCCTGGAATCACAAACATATTTCTGGTGCAGAAACAAAAACAAAAACAGAACTACAAGCTCTTTTGGCTAAGCCTATATACTTGGAAGAATAACTTGGAAGGACAAAGCTTCAGACTTTTCATCACTGAAGCAGATTCTTCTGCAGGCTGGAATTGAGTGTGACAAAGACACTTTCTCGATTTCTCTGCAGTCAGGAAACTGTGGTAACCGGAAAACCCTCAGAATACTTTGGAGTGTTACTTCTGTTTCAACAGTCTTCAAGTGGAAAGTGAATCCCTAATCCCTTCCCTGTTGACAAAGACAGCAGTAACAAGGCCAGTACTGCCAAAAATGACTTCATTGACTTGAGAACAAAGGAAATGAAATAACAGGAATTGAACTCAAAGAGTTGTAGAGGATCCTGGTGTTCTAATTTTTTTTTTTTTTTTTTTGAGATGGAGTCTCGCTCTGTGTCACCCAGGTTGGAGTGCGTGGTGCCATCTCGGCTTACTGCAACCTCCACCTCCCAGGTTCAAGCAATTCTCCCACTTCAGCCTCCTGAGTATCCGGGATTACAGGTGCCCATCACCACGCCCTGCTAAATTTTGTATTTTTTAGTAGAGATGGGTTTTCGCCATGTTGGCCAGGCTGGTCTTGAACTTCTGACCTCAGGTGATCTGCTTGCCTCGGCCTCTCAAAGTGCTGGGATTACAGGCGTGAGCCACCATGCCCAACCGATCCTGGTGTTCTTGATCCGAGCCCATCCTCAACTGGTCACCGGACCACAGATTCCATTTACTAACACAAACCTTTATGAGGCAGGGTTTCAACACTCATTTCCATCAAAGCAAGACTTAAAGTCAATTCTATGGTAATGAACATATTTGTCTTTTTTTTTTAAAAGATCACACACTTATTAAACCAAAGGGGCAGCATTGTTTTTGTTGAAATTACTTTTGAGCAGAATTAAAATTTACTTTTTGTTTTATTTTTCTCTATGTGCACAACTTGTATTTATTTTAATTTTAATTAAACATTAAAATTAATGTATTTTATTTACATTCATTTAATTTTTAAATTTATTTTAATTTTCAAGAAGTGGTCATTAGTTTTTGCTTGAAAAACCAAATCAGAAAAGCAAAACTTTTTAAATAATTTTCTAAGAGAAGGAAAAACATTTCCAAGGCAATACAGTTAATCATATGCAAAGTTTTATGTATGTATTTATATGCGTTTTTCTGGGAGCAAAGTCTATCGCTTTCATTAGACTCTCAGTGTGGTTCACAACTCAAGAAATGTTTTGAACCATCGGCATAATTGGAAATTACATCTTAGTTTTCATAATGTAAGTAAGAATCAAGATTGATTTTTGGAAATCTTTGGGTGGGAACACATGCACCCATTGATATCTACTTTCACCAATACTAAACATCTTTCATTTCCTCTCCTACCATCTAGGTTTTAGTACGTTTGATTTTGTTTTTTATTAGTGATTAGGGAATTTAAGCCCATTTTGTTTAGATGATCTTAGGTTGCTTTCATCTTTTTTAATTTAAATGAGTGAGTAGCAGTAAGGATAACTTTTAGGCCAGCTCATGCCTGCAATCCCAGCACTTTGGGAGGTCAAGGTGGGTGGATCGCTCGAACCCAGGAGTTCAAGATTAGTCTGGGCAATACAGTGAGATCTCTACAAAAAAAAAAAAAAAAAAAAGGAACTAGCCAAGCATGGTGGTGTGTGCCTGTAGTAGAGGCTGAAGTGGGAGGATGTCTCTTTTTTTTTTTTTTTTTTTCATGACCAGCTCTGTCACCACGCTGGAGTGCAGTGGCGCGATCTTGGCTCACTGCAACCTCAGCCTCCCAGGTTCAAGTGATTCTCCTGCCTCAGCCTCCCAAGTAGCTGGGATTACAGTCATGCACCACCACGCCCAGCTAATTTTTGTAATTTTTGTACTTTTAGTAGAGACAGGGTTTCGCCATGTTGGCCAGGATGGTCTCGATCTCCTGATCTCGTGATCTGCCCACCTGTGCCTCCGAAAGTGCTGGGATTATAGGTGTGAGCCACTGTGCCTGGCTTGATGTGGGAGGATCTCTTGAGCCCAGGAGTTCAAGGATGCTGTGAGCTGTGTTTGCACCACGGCACTCCAGCCTGGGTGACAGAGCTATATCCTGTCCCTAAATAAACTAATGAAAACTAAATATAAATTTTTTGAAGACCCTGTCTTATTAAAAACAAAAAGATAACTTAAGTGGAAGCAAAACACAGATACGATGTCCAGCTCTATTCATTTTGTGATTTTTTTTTTTTTTTTTTTTTTTTGAGATGGAGTCTCGCTCTGTCACCCAGGCTGGAGTGCAGTGGCGCAATCTTGGCTCACTGCAAGCTCCGCCTCCCGGGTTCATGCCATTCTCCTGCCTCAGCCTCCCGAGTAGCTAGGATTACAGGTGTCTGACACCACGCCCAGCTAGTTTTTATATTTTTAGTGGAGACAGGGTTTCACCATGTTGGCCAGGCTGGTCTCAAACTCCTGACCTCAGGTGATCTGCCCACCTCGGCCTCCCTAAGTGCCGGGATTACAGGCATGAGCCACCATGCCCAGCCAGGATTTAATGTTTCTAATTCTCCAATTTCCTTAATTGTCTGTCGCCAGCAGCCTATCTCTGACACCACTTTTTATAACATTGTATTTCACTGACATACCACTTCCAACAAGGTAGACTTCAAGGCTCCTTCTATCTTGTGGTTCTGCTGCCTTTTAGAGCCTGGGAGAGCTCCACTGCACTGTTTGCATCTGGTGGCAGAGATGATTGCACCAGAGGTTTTAGGGACCAGGCCTGATATAGTTTGGATATTTATTCTCTCCAAATCTTATGTTGAAATTTGATCCTCAAGGTTGGAGTTGGGGCTTGGCAGGAAGTGTTTGGGTCATGGGGCAGATCTCTCATGAATAACTTGGTGCCCTCCTCGAGATAATGAGTGAGTCCTTGCTTTATTCGTTCACAGGAGATCTGGTTGTTAAAAAGAGTCTGGGGCCAGGCATGGTGGCTCACAACTGTAATCCCAGCACTTTGGGAGGCCAAGGTGCAGGAGGATCAGAGCCCAGGAATTCCAGACTAGCCTAGGCAACATAGTGCGACACATCTCATATATATTATATGTGTTATATATATGTAGACCAGTTGCGGTCGCTTACGCCTATAATCCCAGCACTTTGGGAGGCCGAGGCGGGCAGATCACCTGAGGTCAGGAGTTTGAGACCAGCCTGGCCAACGGAGTGAAACCCCGTCTCTACTAAAAATACAAAAACTTAGCTGAGAGCAGTGACATGCGCCTGTAATCCCAGCTACAGGGATTGGGAGGCTGAGGCAGGAGAATTGCTTGAACCCGGGAGGCGGAGGTTTCAGTGAGCCAAGATTGCACCACTGCACTCCAGCCATAATGACAGAGAGAGACTCTGTCTCAAAAAAAAAAAAAAAATATATATATATATATATATATATATGTAGCCAGGTGTGGTGACATGCACCTGTAGACCCAACTACTTGGGAGGCTGGGATGGGAGGATTGCTTGACCCCAGAAGGTGGAGGCTGCAGTGAGCCATGATTGTGCCATTGCACTCCAGCCAGGATGACAAAGCGAGGCTCTGTCTCTAACAAACAAAACAAAACAAAAAAGAGTCTGGGACCTCCTTCCCATTGCTCTTTCTCCCTCTCTTGCCATGTGACACACCTACTCCCCCTTTGCCTTCCACTATGATTGAAAGCTTCTTGAGGCCCTCACCAGAAGTTGATGCTGGTGCCATGCTGCTTGTATAGACTACAGAACATGAGTCAAATAATCCTTCTTTCTTTATAAATTGCCAAGTCTCAGATATTCCTTTATAGCAATGCAAAATGGACTAACACAAGGCCTAAAGTTGCATACTATTCTGTTGGACAGCATACATTCTACTGGACAGGACACAGTCACATGGCCCCACTCGGATGCAAAGGAACAAGGAAACATGGCCTACTGGTGCGCCAAGGAAGTGAAAGAAGAGGTGTTGGGGAACAGCCAATATTTGCTTCTGCTCACCAAATATTTGTTTCATTTTTCCTTTTACACATAGAACACTGCCCCTTCCACCTGCGAAGATGAAGAGTTCAAAGTCCCAGCCAGTTACTACATTCAGCTCAAAAAACGAGACCTACAAGGTAGGTGTTGATGTGCATCACCTACCGTCAGGTGTGGATGTGGCTCCTTCTGTGCCAAATCAGCACTTACACCAGCCTGAGAATGAATACCCCCTTACATTTTGTGCCCTAGCCATCTCACTTGCCTCATTCTAGTCCTGGCCCTGCCTCTTGCCATGCTAATATAAAATGATGGAACACAGAATTGCTGCCTTTTTCACTCATGTTTGGAAGAGAAAATAGAAGACACACAGCAGTCATTGGTCAAGAGAAAATTTGAAATCCTCTAGGTGTTCATGCCTTCAATTAGGCTCTAATTTTTCTCTCTGGGAGGAACTTTCTATTGGTTTCTGTGGCTCCTGCAGCCACCCTCTAGCATGGTTTTCATTCATTGCACATCATCTTCCCTGGCCACAGTTGAAGTGTTTATTTGGGGAATGCCTTTCTTGAGCAAGACTAGGGGCTCAAAGCTTTGAACAGTCAAAAAGCAAAAAGCTTGGGATCCTGGATTCAAAAACTTTGTAGGCTTCTTGTCTCTTTACCTCCAGTCAGTTCCATGTGCCAGTAACCCAAAGTTTCTCCCTAGACACACTTTTTAAGCCTGCCTTATTTTCTTTAGTTCCCTTCTGCCTCCCTCTTCCCCCACGCCTCTTTCAACTTAATGGTTGCCACCTCACACTACCATACCTGGCTTAGAAGGCCACTCCCTTAATTTGATCTTTGGCACAAGGCTCATCCACTTTGTTCAACTCAGAAATTTTCTTGGAACTTTGTTACTCAAAGCCTTGTTTTTTCTCATATCTTCCAGTTCAGAGTCTAAAAAAAGTTGGCGTTTCCGACTCAGCAGGACACTGAATTTCTGGACTGTATTCCTTTTTTACTTCTGCTTGTAAATTGGCCAATTGTTTGTTTTTGTTTTTTTGTTTTTTGTTTTTTTTTTTTTTTGAGACAGAGTCTGGCTCTGTCGCCCAGGCTGGAGTGCAGTGGCACGATCTCAGCTGACTGCAAGCTCCGCCTCCCGGGTTCACGCCATTCTCCTGCCTCAGCCTCCCGAGTACTTGGGACTATGAGTAGCTGGGACTACAGGCGCCTGCCAACATGCCTGGCTAATTTTTTTGTATTTTTAGTAGAGACGGGGTTTCACCGTGTTAGCCAGGATGGTCTCGATCTCCTGACCTCATGATTCGCCTGCCTCAGCCTCCCAAAGTGCTGGGATTACAGGCGCGAGCCACCGCACCCGGCCAATAAATTGGCCAATTTTTCCGGTGACCATCACTTTCTTGTAATAGTCTGTCCAGTGCAGTCAATAACAACCAACACACAGTACTAATGTGCTGCTTTCTAATTTCTTCCTATAGAGCTACAGGTTCAATAGGCACAGGTGACAATTTTATCAAATTTTTTGCCAGTTTTTTTTTTAAATATTTATTTTTATTTTTGACATAGAGTCTCACTTTGTCAACTAGGCTGGAGTGCCGTGGTGTAATCTCAGCTCACTGCAACCTCTGCCTCCTGGACTCAAACAATTCTCCTGCCTCAGCCTCACGGGCAGCTGGGATTACAGGTGCCCACCACCATGCCCAGCTAATTTTTTGTATTTTTCTTTTTTTGAGATGGAGTCCTGCTCTGTCACCCAGGCTGGAGGGCAGTGGTGCGATCTCGGCTCACTGCAACCTCTGTCTCCCGGGTTCAAGCAATTCTCCTGCCTCAACCTCCCGAGTAGCTGGGATTACAACTGCGCCCGGCTAATTTTTTGTATTTTTAGTAGAGACGGGGTTTCACCATGCTGGCCAGGCTGGTCTTGAACTCCTGACCTTGTGATCCACCCGCCTCGGCCTCCCAAAGTGCTGGGATTACAGGCGTGAGCCACCTCACCTGGCTTTTTTTCTTTCTTTTTTTTTTTTTTGAGAGAGAGAGAGAGTCTCACTCTTCACCCAGGCTGGAGTGCAGTAGCATGATCTCTGCTCACTGCAACCTCCACCTCCTGGTGCAAGCGATTCTCATGTCTCACCCTCCCAAGTGTCTGGTATTACAAGCATACGCCACCACGCCCAGCTAATTTTTGTATTTTAGTAGAGACAGGGGTCTCACCATGTTGGCCAGGCTGGTCTCGAACTCCTGACTTCGGATGATCCACCCACCTTGGCCTCCCAAAGTGCTGGGATTACAGGAGTGAGCCACCGCTCCCAGCTTGCCACTCTATAAAATGGATCTCCAGCCATCCACTCTGCCAAATGTTTCCTTACTGCATACTACCTGATGCACAAGTTGGTGTGTGTGTGTGTTAACAGCACTTTTGGTCCTAATTTCTGTATCAGTTGGGATGAGAAATTCTGGCTACTGTTTCAAACAACCCTGAAACCTCACTACCTTAACCCAACAGAGTATTTCTTGCTGGCTTCACAGTCCAGGGTGGGGCTGTAGAAGTGCTCTGCACCCCGCAATCACTCCACTTGGGGACCAGCCTGCTATGTGGGCCTCCAGTATGTTCCAGGGCCTCAGACTCCATCTCAGAATCCTCTGGATTTGGGGACATGTGAGAGAGACAGAATGAAGTATTTTACAAGAAATTTTAAAGACCATACCTGAATGCAGCACATAGCCCTTTTGTCTACATTCTGTTGGCCAGAATCCTAATATGCTTGGAAATTGGAAGCTGGGTAACATGCTTATTAGAATTGTGTGCAGTACAAGATTACATGGGCTGTGAGTCAGGATCCAGTGGCTATGCTTGGCTTCTTTAGGGAAAAAATGCACAGATGCTTATAAAATCACAGGCATCCCTCAGAGATATTGCAGGTTCAGTTCCAGACCACCACAATAAAGCAAATATTGTAGTAAAGTGAGTCACACAAATTTTTTTGTTTCCGAGTACATATAAAAGTTATGTTTACACTATACCATAACCTATTAAATGTGCAATAGCATTATGTTTAAAAAAACAGGCCAAGCACAATGGCTCATGCATATAATTCCAGCACTTTGGGAGGCTGAAGCAGGTGGATTGCTTGAGCTCAGGAGTTTGAGATCAGCCTGGGCAACATGGTGATACCAAAAATACAAAAATTAGCTGAGCATGGTGGCCTGCGCATGTGGTCCCAGCTACTCAAGAAGCTGAAATGGGAGGATCACTGCAGCCAGGGAAGTCGAGGTTGCAGTGAGCTGTGATCATGCCACTGCACTCCAGCCTGGGTGACAGAATGAGACCCTGTCTCAAAAAAATAAAAATAAAAATAAACAAAAAATAAAAAATACTGTATTTAAAAAACCCCAATGTACATACTTTAAAATATTTTATTTATTTATTTTTTTGAGACAGTCTCACTCTTGTCCCCCAGGCTGGAGTCCAGTGGTGTGATCTTGGCTCACTGCAACCTCCACCTCCCGGGTTCAAACAATTCTCCTGCCTCAGCCTCCCGAGTAGCTGGGATTACAGGCACCTGCCACCACCCCCGGCTAATTTTTGTATTTTTAGTAGAGCTGGGGTTTCACCATGTTGGACAGGCTGGTCTCGAACTCCTGACCTCAGGTGATCCACCTGCCTTGGCCTCCCAAAGTGCTGGAATTACAGGCGTGAGCCACCGCACCCGGCCTAAAATATTTTATTGTTAAAAATGCTAATGATCATCTGAGCCTTCAGTGAGTTGTAATCTTTTCGTTGGGAAGGGTCTTGCCTTGATGTTGATGGCTGCTGACTGATTAGGGTGGTGGTTACTGAAGGTTGGGGTGGCTGGGGCAATTTCTTAAAATAAGACAACAATGAAGTCTGCCACATTGATTGACTCTTCTTTTCACAAAGGATTTCTCTGTATCATTCGATGCTGGTAGATAGCATTTTACCCACGGTAGAACCTCTTTCAAAATTGGAGTCAGCTGACTCTGGGCACACTGCCTAAGAGTTAGCCCTGCTCTGTAAGGAGCAGCCAAAAAAGAAAAAGAAAAAAAATGGAAGCAATCCTCTCAAACCCTGCCGTCCTTTATCAGCTCAGAATGTGGAATATTCTAAATCCTTTGTTGCTATTTCAACATTGTTCACCAGGAGTAGCTTCCATCTCAAGAAACCACTTTTTTTTTTTTTTTTTTGAGAAGGAGTCTCGCTCTGTCGCCCAGGTTGGAGTGCAGTGACACGATCTCGGCTCACTGCAAGCTCCGCCTCCCGGGTTCACGCCATTCTCCTGCCTCAGCCTCCCAAGTAGCTCGGACTACAGGCGCCCGCCACCACTCCCAGCTAATTTTTTTGTATTTTTAGTAGAGACGGGGTTTCACCATGTTAGCCAGAATGGTCTCAATCTCCTGACCTCGTGATCCGCTCACCTCGGCTTCCCAAAGTGCTGGGATTACAGGTGTGAGCCACTGCGCCTGGCCCCTTTCCAAAAGGTTTTCAATTTACCTTCCCAGAGCCATCAGAGGAATCACTCTGTGGCAACTATAGCCTTATGAAATGTATTCTTTAAATAACAAGACTTGAAAATCAAAATTACTCTTTGACCCATGGATTCTCAGAATGGATGTTATGTTAGCAAGCATAGAGACAACATTAATTTCCTTGTATATCTTCACTAGAGCTCTTGAGCAGTAACATTTTGAAAGGAATATTTTTTCTTTTTTTTTTCTGAACAGTACATCTCAACAGTGGGCTTAAAATATTTAATAAACCATGCTGTAAACAGATATGCCATCATGCAGGTTTTGTTCTTCCATTTATAGAGCACAGGCAGGGTAGATTTAGCATAATTCTTAGGGGCCCTGGAATTTTTAGAACAGTCAGTGAGCACCGGCTTCAAATTAAAATCACCAGTGGCATTAGCCCTTAATAAGAGAGTAAGCCTGTCCTTTGAAGCTTTAAAACCAGGCATTGCCTACTCTTCTGTAGCTATGAAAGTCCTAGATTGCCTCTTCTTCTAATAGAAGGCTGTTTTGTCTACACTGAAAACCTGTTGTTTAGTGTAGCCATCTTCATTAATGATCTTAGCTAGATCTTCTGGATAATTTGCTGCAGCTTCTCCATCAGCACTTGCTGCTTCACCTTGTACTTTTAGGTTATGGAGATGGCTCCTTTCTTTAAACCTCATGGACCAACCTCTGCTAGCTTCAAACATTTCTCCTGCAGATTCCTCACCTCTCAGCCTTCATAGAACTGAAGTGAGTTAAGGCCTTGATCTGGATTAGGTTTTGGCTTAAGGGAGTGTTGTGGCGAATTTAATCTTTTTTTTTTTTTGAGACAGTTTCACTTTGTCACCCAGGCTGGAGTGCAGTGGCGCTATCTTGGCTCACTGCAGCTTCTACCTCCCAAGTTCAAGCGATTCTCCTGCCTCAGCCTCCTGAATAGCTGGGATTACAGGCATGAGCCACTGTGCCTGGCTAATTTTTGTATTTTTAGTAAAGACAGGGTTTCACCATGTTGGCCAGGCTGGTCTCGAACTCCTGACCTCAAGTGATCCACCCACCTCGGCCTCCCAAAGTACTGGGATTATAGGCATGAGCCACTGCACCCGGCCTAGATTTGTTCTTCTATTCAAACCACTCTAACTTTCTCCATATCAGCAATAAGTCTGTTTAGTTTTATCACTCAGGTGTTCACTGGAGTAGCACTTTTAATTTCCTTCAAGAACTTTCCCTTTGCATCCACAACTTGGTCAACTGTTTGGTATAACAGACTCGGCTTTCATCCTGCCTCAGCTTTCAATGTGCCGTCTTCACTAAGCCTAATCATTTCCAGCTTTTGATTTAAAATGAGAGACATGCAACTCTTCTTTTTTACTTCAACACTTACAGGACATTGTAGGATTATTAATTGACGTAATTTCAATATTGCTTTGTCTCAGTGAATAGGGAGGCCTATTCCTGAGACGGAAAAAGGACAGAGATGCAGAATGGCCGGTCAGTGGAGCAGTCAGAACACATATGTTATTAAGTTTTCCATCTTACATGGGCACAGTTTGTAGTGCCCCAAAACAATTATTTAGGTTGGTGCAAAAATAATTGCAGTTCTTGCTATTACTTTTAATGTCAAAAACTGCAATTACTTTTGCACCAACCTAATACAATAGTAACATTAAAGATCACTGATCACAAATCACCATAACAGATACAATAATGAGAAAATCTGAAATATGAGAATCACCAAAATGTGACACAGACATGAAGTGAGCACTTGCCGTTTGAAAAATGGTGCTGATAGACTTGCTTAAAGCAGGTTGGGAGGCCGAGGTGGGCAGATCACCTGAGATCAGGAGTTCGAGACCAGTCTGGCCAACATGGTGAAATCCCATCTCTACAAAACATGAACAAAAATTAGCTGAGCGACGTGGTGTGCACCTGTAATCCCACCTGCTCGGGAGAAGTGCAGTAAAGTGGCATGCCATAAAATGAGGTATACCTGTATTTTATTTTTTCATAGACATGTGTGGTTCAGTTTTTTTTTCTTAGCTGTGTTCCTGAGCAGCTGCAGATTGCTGAGCCTAGAGAAGTGAGAGGTTGTGAACTGGTAAACTTTTACTTTATTTTATTTTGAGACAGGTTCTTGCTCTTTTGCCCAGGTTGAGGTTCAGTGGTGCAATCATAGCTCACTGCAACCTCCAACTCCTGGGCTCAAGAGACCCTCCAGCCTGAGCCTCTGGAGTAGCTGGCTTTACAGGTATTTGCCACCACACCTGGATAACATCTTAAAAATCTTTTTAGAGATGGGGTCTTGCTGTATTGCCCAGGCTGGAGTAAACTTTTATTTTAAAGCAGAGAAGTCTCAGCAGACAATTTTTTATTTTGGTAAACTTCAGAGACAGCTACTTAGTTCTTAGTCCCTGGTGCCATGGCAAGTGGGTACTCGAAAATTCTGAACCTTTTAATGTTGTTTTTTCAGGCGGGTTATCACATTGTATGCTTACCACTGACCAAGACTTTTTTTCTTTTTCTTTTTCTTTTTTTTTTTTTTTTTTTTGAGACAGAGTCTTGCTCTGTCGCCCAGGCTGGAGTGCAGTGGTGCAATCTTGGCTCACTGCAACCTCCACCTCTCGGGTTCAAGTGATTCTTGTGCCTCAGCCTCCTGAGTAGCTGGGATCACAGGTGTGTACCACCATCCCTGGATAATTTTTTTGTATTTTTAGTAGAGACAGGGCTTCACTATGTTGGCCAGTTTGTCTCAAACTCCTGACCTCAAGCGATCAGCCTGCCTCCACCTCCCAAAGTGCTGGGATAACAGGTGTGAGCCACTGTGCCTGGCCCTGACCCAGACTTTAAAATAAATCATCCTGTATTCACGGATTTATTTTTCCAGTTTTGGAGGGAAATTATGAGAAGGGTGGATTAGTCACTCAAATCTCTGCTAAATTCAAGGAGACTGGAGCTTCCTACAGTTTAGATCTGGTTCCCTGGCAAATTGCCTGTGATTTGCTTTAACATTTATACTTCTCCTGCCAAGGGCATGCTATTTTCCTGGAACTGTGGTCTCTTTGCCATGATATTTATTCTGTATTTATCCCACAGACTCCATGGCCGAGTTAATCGCTGATGGAGCCTGAACTGAACCCAAAGCCTTCCGGTGATTCTGATCACACACTTGGAGCGGCTAGAGAAGACCTAGACAGATATAGTCATCAAATGGAAAAATCCTCAACATCCTTGTGAATGGCAGCATGTGAAGGTAAATCAGGGGTTGGGGTGGTCACCCATAGACAGCATTATGAATTCTTATTATTGTTAATATCTGTAACAGAAATTATTTGCCTCCAGGCCAAGCACAGTGGCTCATGCCTGTAATCCCAGCATTTTGGGAGGCCAAGGTGGGAGGATTGCTTCAGGCCAGGAGTTCAAAACCAGCCTGGGCAATATAGTGAGAGCCTATTTCTACAAAATAATTTTTAAAATAATAAAAAAAAAGAAGCCAGGTGTGGTGGCTCACCCCTGTAATCCCAGCACTTTGGGAGGCCAAGGCGGGTGGAT
This sequence comes from Homo sapiens, assembly GCF_000001405.40. Taxonomy (NCBI): domain Eukaryota; kingdom Metazoa; phylum Chordata; class Mammalia; order Primates; family Hominidae; genus Homo; species Homo sapiens. The sequence goes on from NC_000008.11 coordinate 102,468,971, forward strand.
CACCTGAGTGATGCTGAGTGACCTGATTGTTGAGAACCAAAAATCAGCCTGGGCACATGGTGAAACCCCATCTCTACTAAAAATTAAAAAAATATTTAGCTGGGCATGGTGACACACGTTTGTGGTCCCAGCTACTTGGGAGGCTGAGAGCAAGAAATTTGGAAGGGGTCTGGGTCCCTGATGAATCCAGACCTCCCATTCCAGTTCTGGAATGCCCTTCCAGATTTTTATGTAAGAGAGAAATGAATTGCTATCCTGTTTAAGCCACTGTCACTGTGATCTTTCTGTCACTTGCAGCTGAGTGGAATCCTAAATGATAAAGTCTTCCATCTTTAGAATGAATATTCTGGATCAAGTAATCTTTTCTCTCTCTCTTCTCTTCTTTTCTTTGTCTTTCTGAATCTGAATGCACATGTGATTGGAATGAGGAGGTCTGGTCTTTCCACTGCTGACCTCTTGCTGGCCAAGATCTCCTTAAAACTCTGACTTCTCTCACAACTTAGCCATTGTTGAGAACCAAAAATGAGTTCTACCCACAAAATGTCCCGGCAAACCTGGTAGACATTCTCCAAATACCCGTGTGGACAAAGTTTGAGGATGTGACTAAAATATCATCAAAATTAAAGTTAATTATAAATTTCCCATCATCTAAGAAAAGTAGGAATTATAAATCCCAGTGGGGAGATGTGAATTTGGCTGTTAGCAATAGTGATGAGTGTAGATTCTGGGGATAGTTAGTGAAGACATAAAACTTGGCAACTAAAGTCGTGGAGACAAAGCTCCTGCTTGGGACATGGGTGACCCGCACCGTACAAAACAACGGCAACCACTCAGATCTTCCTTCAACCGGAAACTGGTAATTATCCCTTATTTTAAATAGTTGATTTAAAAAACATCAAGCAGCCAGGCATGGTGGCTCACGCCTGTAATACCAACACTTTGGAAGGCCGAGGCAGGTGGCTCACTTGAGGTCAGGAGTTCAAGACCAGCCTGGCCAACATGGTGAAACCCTGTCTCTACTAAAATACAAAAATTAGCCAGGCTTGGTACTGCATGCGTGTAATCTCAGCTACTCGGGAGGCCGAGGCAGGAGAATCACTTGAAACTGGGAGGTGGAGGTTGCAGTGAGCCAAGATTGTGCCACTGCACTCCAGCTTGGGTGACAGAGCGAGACTTCATCTCAAATAAATAAATTAATCAATTAAATAAAAAACATCAAGCCAAACAAATGGCTGCAGGAGATTCCTGGCCCCCAGAGTTACCAAGAGTAACACCCAGAAGAGTCAGCTCAAATGCTCAGTAACCTTGGATGGTTCTCTCTGGTTTGCCCCAGAGTATGGGTTTTGTCTATTTTTCAAGATAGCCAACTAGGGACTTCTGGTTCTGGGAAGATGAAATAGACATATTTCTCCCTAGTTTTTCCCACTGAGTATAACTAAAAACCCTGAAAAATTATATAAAAACAAACATAAGAAACCCAGAGAGATGGAGAGAAGAAGACAGACCAACTAAGGACATTGAGTCCAGCATGGTGGTGAATCCCTGGGTTTTCCTTTTGATTCTGGCCCTTACCCCTGCAAATGCTACCAAATGTTGAGTGGGAGACTAGATGTCCCATCTCATGAGGCTGTAATGTAAACTGTGAATATAAAATGCATAGGTAGAGCCTACTGCCAGGGTGGTATGAGAGAGGGCAGAATAGAGGGCCAAGAATTTCATCCCTAATAGGAGATAATGACCCCCACCCCCGCAACCCCACTTTATGGAATCCATGGAGACCACGTGAGGGTCCTGGACTTCTACCCCTAACTCACAGTAATGAGCCCCTGCAATGGCCTTTCCACTGGAGTGGTGGCAGAGGAGCCCTAGCAGAGAGTCAGGACTTTCACCACTGCCTAGCAGTAACAAGGTCACTCTGCACCTTGTGGCCTCAGTGGCCATATGTAGTGTAGTAACCAGGCATCCCTACCTCTACCAGCCAGGGAAGTATCAATGCAGGCCTATTGGAAGGCTGGAACTCTCACTCCCACCTAGCAATAAAAATAAGTACTTTTTCCTCTATCAGATATAAACAGAGTCAACTGAGAGATCTGGATTTCTACCTCCATTTAGCAGTAATGAGGCAGAACTCCTTCTTCCCTTGCCAGAATAATGTCACAGAAAGCCACCAGAAACAGAAGGTATTGATAAGATCCAAAGTCTCATAACACCCCCAAATTCCAAGTTTAAATAAAAAATCGTTCATTATGAATGATCCAAAAACCATGCAGGTCTCAAATTGAATGGAAAAAAAAATCAGTGGATGCCAACACCAAGATGACAGAGATGTTAGAATGATCTTGAAAAGATTTTAAAGTAGCCATTATAAAAATGCCTCAATGAGCAATCAAGAACAAGCTTAAAACAAACAAATAAGCAAACAAAAACACTCAGCAAAGAAATAGAAAGCCTCAGCAAAGAAGTGGAAGATATGAAGTAGAACCAAATTAAAACTTTAGATGTGAAAAATACAATAACAGAAATTATAAGCTCAGTGAATGGGCTCATCAGCAAAATAGAAGGCACAGAGGAACAAATCAGTAAACTTGAAGATGGAATGACAGACATTACCCAATCTGAACAGAGAGAAAATAGACTTTAAAAAAATGAACAGAATTGCAAGGACTTGTGGGACTGTAACAAAAGGGCTAATATTTGTGTCACTGAATTCCTGGAAGAAGAAGAAAAAAAAGAGGGCAATGCTGAAAAGTATTGGAAGAAATAATGGTGAAAAATTTCCAAGTTTGGCAGAAACATAAGCTACAGATTCCAGAAGATGAGTAAAACCCAAACAGAATAAAACAAAAAAAATCCAGGCCAACACACTTCATAATCAAATTTCTAAAAACTGAAGATGAAGAAAAAATCTTGAAAGCAGCAAGAAAAGAACAACATGTTACTTACAGAGGGAAAGAAATCAATCTTAATGACAGTAGATTTTTCATCAGAAACCATGGATTCTGGAAGGAAGTGGCACAACATTTTTCAAGTGCTGAAAGAAAAGAACTGCCAACCAAGAATCCTGTACGCAGTGAAAATATCCTTCAGGAAACAAAGGGAAGTCAAGGCATCCTCAAATAAAGGAAAACTAAAACTGTGTCATCAACAGACATGTTTTAAATAGGGAAAAGGAGTTCTTGGAAAAAAAAGAAAATGATAAAAGAAGTAATCTCGGAATATCTGGGAAGAAGAAAACACATGGTAATAAAAATATGGGTAAATATAATAGATTTTCCTTTCCTAAATTGTGTTTGATGGTTGAAGCAGAAATTATAACACTGTTTGATGAGGTTCTAAATGTATGTATAGGAAAAACTTAAGACAATTATGTTAGAAATAGGGAAAAGTAAAGGGGCATAAAAGGAGGTAAAGTTTCTACCGTTCACTCAAACTGGCAAAATGAAAACTATAAGAAGTTATGTATATGTAATGAAGAGTAACCACTGAAAAAAGATTTGCAAGGAGATATACTAGAAAACACCGAAAATCGGCTGGATGTGGTGGCTTATGTCTGTGATCCCAGTACTTTGAGAGGCCAGGGTGGGAGAATCACTTGAGGCCAGGAGCTTGAGACAAGCCTGGGCAACATAGTGAGACCCCATATCTAAAAAAAAAAAAATTAGCTCGGTGTGGTGGTATGCACTTGTAGTCCCAGCTATTCCGGAGGCTGAGGCAGGAGGATCACCAGAGCCAAATGGAAGAAGGTCAAGTTTACAGTGAGCCATGATCACGCCACTGCACTCTAGTCTAGGTGACAGAGTGAGGCCTCTTTTCTAAAACAAACAAACAAGATAAATCAAAATGGAATTCTAATAAATGTTTAAGTAACCTACAAGAAAGTAGTAAAAAGAAAACAGAGAAATAAATTTTAAAAAACCAGAAAGAACAAACAGAAAACAAAAAATAAAATGGCAAAGTTAGGCTGGGTGCGATGGCTCATGCCTGTAATCCCAGCACTTTGGGAGGCAGAGGTGGGTGGATCACTTGACGTCAGGAGTTCAAGACCAGCCTTGCCAACATGATCTCTACTAAAAATACAAAAATTAGCCAGGCATGGTGGTACACACCTATGGTCCCAGCTACTCAGGAGGCTGAGGCAGGAGAATCGGTTGAACCCAGGAGGCAGAGGTTGCAGTGAACTGAGATTGCGTCACTGTACTCCAGCCTGGATGACAGAGTGAGACTGCATCTCAAAAATAAATAAATAAGTAAATAAATAAAAATAAAAGAACAAAAACGTGATCCAACTATATGCTATGTACAAGAACCTCTCTTCAAATATAATGACAGAGGCAGGTGGAAAGTAAAAGGATGAAATAAGAAGTATCAAAAAGATTAATCAAAGGAAAGCAGAAATGGCTATATTAATATTAGATAAAGTAGACTTTAGAGAAAAGAAAATTACTAGGGACATAGAAGGACATTACATAATAAAAGATTTAATCCTCCAATAACAGACAGCAATCCTAAGTGTGTATGCACCAAACAACTGAGCTGCAAAAATATATGAGGCAAAAACTAATAGAACTGTGCTATGGTTTGAATGTTTGTTCCTTACAAATCTCATGTTCATATTTAATCCCCATTGTTGGAGGTGGGATCTGGTGGGAGGTGTTTGATCATAGGGAAAGATTCCTCATGAATAGCTTAGCAGCCTCCCCTTGGTGATGAGTGAGTTCTTGCTCTGAGTTCATGCAAGATCTGGTGTTTAAAAGTGTGTGGCACCTTCCTCCCCATCTCTCTCTCCTGCTCCCTCTCCCACCATGTGATATGTCTGCTCCCTCTTGGCCTTCTACCATGACTGTAAGCCTCCTGAAGCCCTCACCAGAGGCAGATGCTGGCACCATGCTTCTTGTACAGCCTACAGAACTATGAGCCAACTAAACCTCTTTTCTTTATAAATTACCCAGTCTCAGATACTCCTTATAGCAATGCAAAAACAGTCTAACAAAACTGAAAAGAGAAACAGACACATCTACAATTATAGCTGGAGGTTTCTACACCTCTCTCTCAATAATTGCTTAGAACAAGCAGACAGAAAATCAAAAGATTGTAAGAAGGCTTAACAACATCATCAACCAACAGGATCTAATTAAACTTTATAGAGCATTCCACCTAACAACAGCAGAATACATATTCTTTTCCAGTACCCATGGGACACATACCAAGATAGATTACATCCTGGTCCATGAAACAAACTTCAGAAAATTTTAAATAATTGAAAACATAGAGTGTGTTCTCTGACCAGTGGAATCAAATTAGAAATCAATAAAAGAAAGATGAGGAGTACAACTACAAACACTTGAAAAATAAGCAACACACTTTGAAGTAATCTACGAGTCAGAGGAAGTCTCAAGGGGAATTAAAAATGCGTTGAATTGAATGAAAATAAAATGGCAGCCTACCAAAATTTGTGGGACACAGCTAAAGCAGTGCCAAGAAGGAAATCTAGAATTTTGGGGCTCAAGTGATCCTCCTGCTTCAGCCACCAGAGTAACTGGGACTATGCATGCCACCAAGCCAGCAGTTTGGCAGTTAAAAAAAAAAAAAAAAACAAACACGCAGCTACCACGTGACGCAGCAATTGCACTTGTGGGCATTTAACTCAGAGAAATGGAAATTTATGTTCACAGAAAACTAACTATACATAAATATTTATAGAAATTTTGTTCATTACTGCTAAAAATTGGAAACAACCTAGATGTCCTTCCATAGATGAATGATTAAACTTTGGTACATCCATACCATGGAATACTACTCAGCAATAAAAGGGAGCCAACTACTGATACACATATTGATAACATGTGTGAATCTCTAGAGGATTATGCTGAGTGAAAAAAGTCAATGCGCAAAGGTTACATACTATATAATTCCATCTAGATAACATTCCCCCCACATTTTTTTTTTTTTTGAGATGGAGTTTTGCTCTTGTTGCCCAGGCTGGAGTGCAGTGGCATGATCTCAGCTCACTGCAACCTCAGCCTCCTGGGTTCAAGCAATTCTCCTGCTTCAGCCTGCCTTGGTCAGGCTGATCTTGAACTCCCAACTCCCAACCTCAGGTGATCCTCCCACTTCGGCCTCCCAAAGTGCTGGGATTACAGGCGTGAGCCACCGCACCCGTTTTTTGTTTTTTTTTTTTTCTGAAATGGCGTCTTGCTGTTGCCCAGGCTGGAGTGTAAGTGGCCTCTCAGCTCACTGCAACCTCTACCAACAGGGTTCAAGCAATTCTTGTGCTTCAGCCACCAAGTAGCTGGGCCTACAGGCACACCACCACACCCGGCTAATTTTTGTATTTTTAGTAGAGACAAGGTTTTGCCATGTTGGCCAGGCTGGTCTCGAACTCCTGGCCTCAAGTGATCTGCCCACCTCGGCCTCTCAGAGTGCTGGGATTACAGGCATGAGCCACCATTTCCAGCCTATATAATACTCTTGAAATGACAAAGTTATAGAAATGGAGAATAGATTAGTGGTTGCCAGGGATTACAGAATGATAGGAAGAAAGGCCCATGGCTATGAAAGGGCTTCATGATAATCCTTGTGATGGAAATGTTCTGTATCTTGACGGTATCAATGTCAATATCCTGATTGTGATCTAGTTTTGCAACATGTTACCATTGAGGGAAACTGGATAAAAAAATACACAGGATTTCTCTTTCTTTCTTTCCTTCCTTCCTTCCTTCCTTCCTTCCCTCCCTCCCTCCCTCCTTCCTTCCTTTTTTTTTTTCACACCCAGGAAAGACCTGAGAATCTATTTCTTTTTTCTTTTTTTTTTTTTGAGTCAGGGTCTCGCTTGTTGCCCAGCCTGGAGTGCAGTGGTGCGATCTTGGCTCACTGCAACCTCCCCACTCCATGGGCTCAAATGATTCCCCCACTTCAGCCTCAGGAGTAGTTGGGGTTACAGGCATGCGCCACCACATCTGGCTTACTTCTTTGTTTTTAATTTTCTTTCCGCTTAGTTTTGTATTTTTTGTAGAGACAGGGTTTCGCCATGTAGCCCAGGCTGGTCTCAAACTTCTGAGCTCAGGCCATCTGCCTGCCTCACCTCCCAAAGTGTTGGGATTACAGGCGTGAGCCACTGCACCTGGCCTGAGAATCTATTTCTTATAATTGCATATGAGTCTACAGTTATCCCAAACAAAATTTTTTATTTTTTTATTTTTTACTTTTTTTGAGACGGAGTCTTGTTCTGTCGCCCAGGCTGGAGTGCAGTGGCGTGATCTCGGCTCATGCAGCCTCTGCCTCCTGGGTTCAAGTGATTCTCCTGCGTCAACCTCCCGAGTAGCTGGGATTATAGCTGCGTGCCAGCACGCCTGGCTAATTTTTGTATTTTTAGTAGAGACAGGGTTTCACCATGTTGTCCAGGCTGGTCTTGAACTTCTGACCTCAGGTGATCCACCCGCCTCAGCCTCCCAAAGTGCTAGGATTACAGGCGTGAGCCACTGCGTCCAGCCCAAAACATAATTTTTTTTTTTAGATGGGGTCTCTCTCTGTCACCCAGGTTGGAGTGCAGTGGCGCGATCTTGGCTCACCGCAACCTCCGCCTGCCAGGTTCAAGCAATTCTCCTGTCTTAGACTCCCGAGTAGCTGGGACTACAGGCACCACACTTAATTAAATTTATGTTTCAGGCCAGGAGCGGTGGCTCATTCCTGTAATCCCAGCACTTTGAGAGGCTAAGAAGGGCGGATCACCTGAGGTCGGGAGATTGAGACCAGCCTGGCCAACATGGAGAAACCTCATCTCCACTAAAAATACAAAAATTAGCTGGGTGTGGCAGTGTGTGCCTGTAGTCCCAGCTACTGGGGAGGCTGAGGCAGGAGAATCACTTGAAACCAGGAGGCAGAGGTTGCGGTGGGCTGAGATCACGCCATTGCACTACAGCCTGGGCAACAAGAGTGAAACTCTGTCTCAAAAAAAAAAAAAAAAACGAAAAACAAACAAAAAAAACACCTGAAAACTTGAGGCCAGGCGCGGTGGATCACGCCTGTAATCCCAGCACTGTGGGAGGCCAAGGTGGGTGGATCACCTGAGGTCAGGAGTTCGAGACCAGCCTGGCCAACATGGCGAAACCCCGTCTCTACTAAAAATACAAAAATTAGCCAGCCATGGTGGTGCATGCCTGTCGTCCCAGCTACTTGGGGGACTGAGTCAGGACAATTGCCTGAATCCGGGAGGCAGAGGTTGCAGTGAGCCAAGATCGCACCATTGAACTCCAGCTTGGGTGACAGAATGAGACTCCACCTCAAAAAAATAATAATAATAATTATTATAATAATAAACTGAAAACTTGGACAAGCCCAATGGCTCACACCTATAATCCCAGCATTTTAGGAAGCAGAGGCGGGAAGATCCCTTGAGCCCAAGAGTTTGAGACCAGCCTGGGCAACACACAGAGACCTTGTCTCTACAAAAAATGAACAAAATTAGCCAGGCTTCGTGGTATGTGCCTGTAGTCCCAGCTACTCAGGAGGCTGAGGTGGGAGGATGACTTAAGCCCGGGAGACAGAGGTTGCAGTGAGCTGAGATGGCGCCACTGCACTCCAGCTTGGGTGACAGAGGGAGACCCTGTCTCAAAAATGACAACAACAAACAAAACAACAACAACAAAACATAACAAAAAACCCCAAAAACTCCTTTATCTGTCTGATTACAGATGTATTAATTTATTAGATGTTCCATGCAAAAGGCAGCCAGTTTTTACACAGATTTATAAAAAATCGAAGTCTGGGGTTTTCAGGTCAGTACTTAATATGAGGAACCAGAGGTCTTCAGTGTAACTATTTCACTATAAGCCACTGTCCATACACACATGAAGTGGTGGCCTTTTCTTGGGTCATGACTCAATTAGGTCCAAGTTAAGTAGCATGAGCCCTGACGAGTCATTCTCATAAGCACCAACACCATAACCCACCTTGAGAGGCAGGGGGGTTCTTTTGAGAATTTGCTAATAATATCCAGTCAGAAAAAAATGGTTTTGTTTTGGCCTCCCCTCCTTTAGCTTAGACTTAGAGCATAATGTTATCTTTCCTGTTCTGGCTTACCTAGATGCATAACTTTCTAGTGTGAAAGAATGAAAAGATAAGCATTCTTTTCTATGCAGACTACACATGAAGATTTGTTATCACGACACAGGAGTGGCCTTAACAGGCATTTTTATTGCCCGAAAGAACAGCTTCAGGTCAACTATTCAAAAGCCAAGTTCACTGTTTTTTTGTTTGTTTGTTTTGTTTTTGTTTTTGTTTTTGTTTTGAGACTGAGTCTCACTCTGTTGCCCAGGCTGGAGTGCACTGGCACGATCTTGGCTCACTGCAACCTCCACCTCCTGGGTTCAAGCGATTCTCTTACCTGGCCGCCTGAGTAGCTGGGATTACAGGCACCTGCCACCACACCCAGCTAATTTGTTATATTTTTGGTAGAGATGAGGTTTCACCATGTTGGCCAGGCTGGTCTTAAACTCCTGACCTCAAGTGATCCGCCCGCCTCGGCCTCCCAAAGTGCTGGGATTACAGGCGTGAGTCACTGCATCCAGCCTTTAGGTTCACTGTTTAGAGCAGATATCCCATAATGTTTTCCCAGTTTGCCCCACATAAGCCCCTAAGACCAGTAAGTTCACTCATGGTCTGTGGCTTGGGTAGAAAATGAAAAGGGGCATGTACTGTCCACCCAGAGACAAGGGGTATGCCTCTCTAGGGAAGGCAGGCAGACTGGTTCTTAGGAGGCCTCAGGTGGCACTTGTCACCTCCAGCAATTTTCCATGGTCTGCTGGGTGGTCTTTGGTCTTACAGGCTAAGAAACCTAGTTTTGCCAGTTACACTCACCAGGCCTATGAGATTAGATAGAAAAGCAAAACTCGATGCATTAATTTACTGAGAGGCACGTTCCATATTTGCTTTCATCAATGCTTTCAGACTACAAAGAAGTCTCTAAGAACCAGGAAATGAGGGTGCCCACTGAGACTTAAGCTACAAAATCAAAATATAATGGATGCCATAGACTGAGATATCTGCATGGGCACAGGCAGCCCATTCTCTCCCTGTAGTCAAGTTGTGTGGGAAGCAAAATCATAAACTGAATAACAATTAAATTCATTTACAATGTCAAAGATAATTGTTATGAAGATGGGAATACATGGCATCCATATTCTCCATACAGAATTTCTCTGCAGGGACACTGACATGAGGAGCCAGAGTCATCAGGAGATTGCTTATCAACGTGGAATGAAAACAAGAAGAGTCAGATTAATTGAATTTTTTTTTTGGCAGTGAGTTGTTACACACTTGTTAGCAGACTGCCACCGTCCTGCTAGATTAATTGAATCTATAATGGTATCAGGCACACATAGCGTGATACACACCGCTCACATTAGGGAAAGTCTTGTCTACGGGATCTAAACATTTATATTCCCTTGGTGACAATCTCCTATGTCTAGCCCCACATTGGGAATGGCCTTTCTAGGCAAAAAATTGTCAAGATTCAAAAGCTGTTGGCTGAAATTTCTGCTCCCCTAGGCAGCGCTTGGCTGTGCTTTGCCCAGTTTCCCTCCAGGCTTTTTCTAGGTAGCCAAGTCCTGCCTGGGTGTCATTCTCTTTCTTTAAAGGCGATTTTGCATATTTGTACTTTAACCCACTATGGGTTTTTGTTTGTTTTTTGAGACGGGGTCTCAGTCTGTCACATCGGCTGGATTGCAGTGGTGCGATCTCGGCTCATTGCAATCTCCACCTCCCCAGCTCAAGCAATCTTCCCACTCAGTCTCCAGAGTAGACGCGACTACAGGCATGCGCCATCATGCCTGGCTAATTTTTGTATTTTTTGTAGAGATGGGGTTTTGCCATGTTGGCCAGGCTGGTCTTGAACTTCTGGGCTTAAAGTGATTTGCCTGTCTTGGCCTCCCAAATTGCTGGGATTATAGGCCACTGAGCCTGGCCAACCCATTATGTTTTGATTTTATAGTTTAGTTCTCAGAGGATCATCTCATTCCAAGCTCTTGGGATGCTGCTTGGTAGCCTACAAATAATGACAAGCAAATATCTTGCAACTTATTTATCTTGGAAGCCACCCCAAGAAGCTGTGCAGCTGAAATCAATAAAGATTTTTCTTTTATTGACCCACGTGGTCATTGGTACACCTGCTCTAAAACTTCAAGGTCAAAATGACTTCTGTATTGTTACAGGGGTGGAGGCTGTGGGCTTTTTTCCATAGTCCGTGTCAAATGGGGCTCCTACTCTCAGTACGGTGTAAATAAAATAACACAACATTGAGCCTGCACATGTCGGTAGCTCACTAAACTGAATGTTACTTCAAACAGATTGATATGTAATATTTATTTATTTATTTATTTATTTAGAGACAGGATCTTGCTGTGTCACTCAGGCTGGAGTGCAGTGGCACAAACATGGCTTACTGCAGCCTCAACCTCCTGGGCTCGAGCAATCCTCTAGCTGTAGCCTCCCAAGGTGCTAAGACTATAGGCATGTACCACCACACCTGGCTAGTTTTTATAAGAACTGACATATGTATATGAAAATAGTTTTTATTCACCCCTCTGAAGAATCTGTATTTGTCTCTTTTCTACAGTTGATTTTGAATGTTATACTTTTGCCATAGGGTGACATGGGGTGACAAAGCATTCATCTACCAGAAAGAAGTATGAACTCCTTTCTTGTGGCTTGGTTCATAAGCATAATCTGTTTATGCTGCTGACAATAATTCCCCTTTTTAGCTCTGACATTGCTAGAGAAAAGTGAATACATTTACTATGGAATTTTAAGCACTAAAGCACTAAATCTCTCTAAGTGGAATGATGACGGATCTTTGCTTGTTTTGCATCTTTAGTGGGCAGACAGCCTTATTCAGGGGCTTATCATTAGTGATGGTAAGGACGCACACTGGTTTCTTCACCTGGCTTCCCTAGTTCAAGTCAGGTTGCATGATGACTTACCTTTGCTGCCACACCCTTTATTAGTTGTCATCAGATGAAGGAATCTGAACCAGGAATTCGAGTCTAGGTACCTTCATTGCCAGCAGGCAGGCGAGCCTGGAACTGAATTAGGGAGAGCCTCAGAGCAAGTGTTTCCTGAACAGGACTGGGCTCCTGGGGCACAACCATTTTCAGAGCATAGAGCCCTGAACTGTACACATTTACAACATACACATGCCAAGCAGAGACCCCCACTGCAAATAAAATCCAAGGGTTTGATATATACAACACCATTCCCATCGACCCACTTCCATCCCTCCCAGATTCTCTTTTTTTTTTTTTCTTTTTTAGACAGGGTCTCCCTCTGTTGCCCAGGCTGGAGTGCAGCCTTGAACTCCTGGGCTCAGGATCCTCCTGCTTTAGCCTCTTGATAGCTGGGACTACAAGTGTCAGCCACCACACCTGGCTAATTTTTTTATTTTGAATTTTTTTAGAGACAGGGGTTTTGCTCTGTTGCCCAGGCTGGCCTTGAACTCCTAGGCTAAAACGATCCTCCTGCCTCAGCCTCCCAGAGTGCTGGGATTCCAGGCATGAGCCACTGTGCCCAGCCTCCCAGATTCTCATTTATGGGTCTCTGCTGAGAAAACAGACTGTTACTGTTACAATATATTGTAAAGGCAATTCATATAGAATTTCTTATCTCATTATGACCTTTATATATTTCTTTGAAATTAATCAATCTAAAAATCACTGCATTTCCTGGAAAGTTATTGCTTGGAAAGTTACCTCACTGTAGTAGCCAATGAATTGTCAGTTGAACTAATATATTAGACCATTTGGCTCTCAGTAGAAATGTATCAATGCAGTTATGATGTCTTTCTTTTCAACTATCACTAATCTATCTCATGGCCTTGCAAAAATAATTTGGCTTTTTTGTTCTGAGCAATTTCCCTTCTGCCTACATCACTGCATGATGTGGAGTTATGATAATAAAAGTAATACCAACCACCGTCATCATCACCACAATAATAGTTGACATTTAATTTTATGTGTCAGCTTGACTGGGCTGAGGAGTACCCAGACTGCTAGTAAAACATGATTTCTGCTGGGCGCTGTGGCTCACGCCTGTAATCCCAGCACTTTGGGAGGCCGAAGCGGGTGGATCACCTGAGGTCAGGAGTTTGAGACCAGCCTGACCAACATGGAGAAACCTCGTCTCTACTAAAAATACAAAATTAGCCAGGCGTTATGGCACACGCCTGTAATCCCAGCTACTCGGGAGGCTGAGGCAGGATAATCGATTGAACCTGGGAGGTGGAAGTTGTGGTGAGCCGAGATCATGCCATTGCACTCCAGCCTGGGCAACAAGAGCAAAACTGTCTCAAAAACAAACAAACAAACAAAAAACAAACAATCAAAAAACATGATTTCTCAGTATGTCTATGAGGGTGTTTCTGGAAGAGATTAGCATTTGAACTGGTGGACTGAGTAAAGATCTGCCCTCACCAGTTGAGTGAGCATCATCCAATTCATTGAGGACCTGAATAGAATAAAAAGGCAGAGGAAGGGTGAATATGCCTTCTGTTTGATCTGGGATTTCAATCCTCCTGGTTTTGGGGCCTCTGGACTCAGACCAATACTTAAACCATCCCTGGACTCAAGCCCTCTGATTGGTTTTCTTGGTTCCCCAACTTGCAGATGGCAGATTGTGGGACTTCATCTCTGTAATTCTGTGAGCCAATTCCTGTAATTAATCTCTCTCTCTCTCTCTCTATATATATCTCCTGGAATATTACATCACTGAGTCATTTTTACTCCTGGACTTTTAGCTGTAGTAGCCAACTAATTGTCAGTTACATATATGGTCAGATTTATCACCTATCAATATTCTTTTGATTCTATTTCCCTGTAAAACCCTAATACAAATAGCACTGAACATTTCAATGTTTTAAGCACTGTTCTACGTACTTCACATATATTAATACACTTAATCCTCGCAGTCTCGTGAAGTAGAAACTATTGTTATCTCCATTTTATAATGAGGAAACTGAGGGACAGAGAGGTTAGCTAACTTGCCTAAGGTTATACGCGTATCAAAAGATAGGTATATAACTGCTTTTAAAAAATAGTTTGTTTTTAGGCTATAAAAATGATACATACAGTTTTTACAGAGTTCTTATTATACAAATAATTATAATTCTTCCAAACATTTCTTTATGTATCTAGGGATATGCGGACTCATTATTATCATAACATAAATGAAATTAAGCACACAATACTTTTCTGTAATCTGCCTTTCTCTCTTTTCTTTCTTTCTCTCTCCCCTCCCCCTCCCTCCCTCCTTTTCTTCTTTCCTTCCTTCCTTCCTTCTGACTTTGTTTTCTAAGATGATCTCTTTTCTTTTCTTTTTTTTTTTTTAAAGAAGGAGTCTCGCTCTGTTGCCCAGGCTGGAGTACAGTTGTGCGATCTCAGCTCATTGCAACCTCCACCTCCTGGGTTCAAGCAATTCTCCTGCCTCAGCCTCCCGAGTAGCTGGGATTACAGGCGCATGACACCACACTCAGCTAATTTTTGTATTTTTAGTAGAGATGGGGTTTCACCATGTTGAACAGGCTGGTCTTGAAGTCCTGACCTCAAGTGATCCCCCCGTATTGGCCTCCCAAAATGCTGGGATTACAGGCGTGAGCCACTGTGCCCAGCCCAGACTGGTCTTGAACTCCTGGCATTAAGCGATCTTCCCACCTTAGTTTCCCAAAGTGCTGGGATTACAGGCATGAGCCACAACACCCAGCCTGCAATCTACTTTTTCTCCTCCATTAGATGATCCAGCATAGGTAGACATCAACAGTCCTTTTAACACTCTTTGGTTATTAGAATGATTGGGCTGAGGGGAACCTCCCAGCCGCATCAGAAGGGTGGACTTGATCAGTGTTTCCAGTCCATGATGGATTCTTTACAGCAAGTTTTATTTTAGTCTGATTTTTAATGTAGCTCTCCTTGAGAATGCCACAAAAATCTTTTCTGGAATGCAAGCCAGGAAGGGCTGCTGGTCACTGACTCTGAACTGGGAGCCTGATCTTCTTCTCCAGCTCTCTGGAGAACTGGCACCAAACTTTGGGCTGACCACTAGTTTGGTGACATCTGAGGTCATATGCTAGCTGGCACCAGCTAGCAGTGCATGGAGACACATACCCGCAGAGGTGAAGCTGAGCCGAGAGCTATCCCTGGGCTGTGTTATTTCAGCAGTACCATGGCATGTGATGAGCTAGCGAGGAAAGAAGTTGAAATGGCTCCAAGAAACCAGGTAAGTTTTGTGATGAGGGCTTCCATGCACCACACTAGGCAACACTACTCACACCACAGTCTACATGGATGACACTTCTGAGTTGTGCAGTACCCAGCATGAGTAGTCCTAAGTGATGGGCCCACTGTGGATCAGCTGAGGCTGGGCCTGCAGGGCAGAGTTACATCCTGTGGCCAGTTGATAGAAGATAAATAATGCTAATAATAATGACTATGACTAGCAACAGAACCTCCAATGTGCCACACACTCTATTTTTCAGAGACGGGGTCTTACTCTGTTGCCCAGGTTGGTCTTAGACTCAAGCCTTGAATTCAAGCAATCCTCCCACCTCAGCCTCCTGCATAGTTGGGATTACAGGCATGCGCTACCACGCTCAGCTGAAACATTCTACACCTTTAGGTGTTTGATATGTATCATATTGTGTCTGGAATTGGTGGGTTCTTGGTCTCACTGACTTCAAGAATGAAGCTGTGGACCCTTGCGGTGAGTGTTACAGCTCTTAAGGTGGCGCGTCTGGAGTTTGTTCCTCCTGATGTTCAGATGTGTTCGGAGTTTCTTCCTTCTGGTGGGTTCTTGGTCTGGCTGGCTCAGGAGTGAAGCTGCAGACCTTCGCAGTGAGTGTTACAGCTCTTACCACGGCGCGTCTGGAATTGTTCGTTCCTCCCGGTGGGTTCTTGGTCTTGCTGGCTTCAGGAGTGAAGCTGCAGACCTTCGCGGTGAGTGTTACAGCTCATAAAAGCAGTGTGGACCCAAAAAGTGAGCAGTAGCAAGATTTATCGCAAAGAGCGAAAGAACAAAGCTTCTACAACGTGGAAAGGGACCCGAGCAGGTTGCCACCGCTCGCTTGGGCAGCCTGCTTTTATTCTCTTATCTGGCCCCACCCACATCCTGCTGATTGGTAGAGCCCAGTGGTCTGTTTTGACAGGGCGCTGATTGGTGCGTTTACAATCCCTGAGCTAGATCCAAAGGTTCTCCACATCCCCATCAGGTTAGTTAGATACAGAGTATCGACACAAAGGTTGTCCAAGGCCCCACCAGAGCAGCTAGATACAGAGTGTGGATTGGTGCATTCACAAACCCTGAGCTAGACACAGGGTGCTGATTGGTGTGTTTACAAACCTTGAGCTAGATACAGAGTGCCGATTGGTGTATTTACAATCCCTGAGCTAGACATAAAAGTTCTTCAAGGCCCCACCAGACTCAGGAGCCCAGCTGGCTTCACCCAATGGATCCCGCACCAGGGCTGCAGGTGGAGCTGCCTGCCAGTCCCGCGCCATACACCTGCACTCCTCAGCCCTTGGGTGGTCAATGGGACTGGGCGCCGTGGAGCAGGGGGCAGCGCTCGTCGGGGAGGCTCGGGCTGCACAGGAGCCCACGGAGGCGGGGGAAGGCTCAGGCATGGCGGGCTGCATTCCCGAGGCCTGCCCCGCGGGAAGGCAGCTAAGGCCCGGCGAGAAATCGAGCGCAGCGCCGGTGGGCTGGCACTGCTGGGGGACCCAGTACACCCTCCGTAGCTGCTGGCCCGGGTGCTAAGTCCCTCATTGCCCGGGGCGGCAGGGCAGGCCAGCTGCTCCGAGTGCGGGGCCCGCCAAGCCCACGCCCACTCGGAACTCCAGCTGGCCCGCAAGCGCCACATGCAGCCCCGGTTCCCGCTCGCGCCTCTCTCTCCACACCTCCCTGCAAGCTGAGGGAGTGGGCTCCGGCCTTGGCCAGCCCAGAAAGGGGCTCCCACAGTGCAGCGGTGGGCTGAAGGGCTCCTCAAGTGCCACCAAAGTGGGAGCCCAGGCAGAGGACGTGCCCAGAGCGAGCGAGGGCTGTGAGGACTGCCAGCACACCGTCACCTCTCAATATCATTGGAGTTTTCCAACAGCCTATGTGGGAAGTGTTAGTATTATCATCTCATCATCCCATTTTACAGAAGAGAAAAGGCCAACACAGAAAATTTCATTAACTTGTTCAAAGTTTCACAGATAGTAACTGGCAGAGCAAGGGCCCACACCCCGGCGCTCTGAGTTGAAGGTCTGTGTGTCTAACCACCTTCCATGCTGCCTCCAGGGAAATGAGGCAGATATTTAAGGCTCCCAATATATATCTTTTCTTTTCTGGTGAAATCCTCCTGGCTCATTCAAGCTAAGGAAAATGGTAGAGTGTAGTGGTTAAGACCTAGGTATGTCCCTTGAAAATGGTGTGGCTGCAGCAAGTAACTTACCTTCCCTGAGCCCTGGTTCCCTCCTCTGTCTCTTGAAGCTAGTGCTTCTTCCCTCATGGCATGTGGTGAGGAGTTACAGTGGGCTGGCACACACATAGGAAACACTCAATATGTGGTAGTTATGGAGAGGCGTAAGGGTAGGGCAGTAAACCCTAAGGGGTCAATCGGCTTTCAACAACAGTCTCTTATTGGGGCAAAAAGAACTACGGGCTGAACCACACTTTTTCTTTTCTTTTCTTTTCTTTTTTTTTTGAGACCAAGTTTCACTCTTGCCACCCAGGCTCGGGTGCAATGGTGCGATCTCGGCTCACTGCAACCTCCACCTCCTGGGTTCAAGAGATTCTTCTGCCTCAGCCTCCCGCATAGCTGGGATTACAGGGGCACACCACTGTGCCCGGCTAATTTTTGTATTTTTAGTAGAGAAGGTGTTTCTCCATGTTGGCCAACCTGGTCTCAAGCTCCTGACCTCAGGTGATCCGCCTGCCTCAGCCTCCCAAAGTGCTGGGATTACAGGCTTGAGCCACCGCACCCAGCCTGTTGTTTTGTTCTGTTTTGAGACAGGGTCTCGCTCCATCTCACTCCTGGGTAGCTGGGATTACATTCAGGCATATGCCTGTAAAGATGGGTCTTCATCTTTAAAATGAGGACCCTGATTTTTTTTTTTTTTGAGATGGAGTTTCGCTCTTGTTGCCTGGGCTGGAGTGCAATGGCAGAATCTCGCCTCACCGCAACCTCTGCCTCCCGGGTTCAAGCGATTCTCCTGCCTCAGCCTCCCGAGTAGCTGGGATTATAGGCATGCGCCACCACGCCTGACTAATTTTGTATTTTTAGTAGAGATGGGGTTTTTCCATGTTGGTCAGGCTGGTCTCAAACTCCCGACCTCAGGTGATCCACCGGCCTCGGCCTCCCAAAGTGCTGGGATTACAGGTGTGAGCCATCGCACCAGGCCGAGGACCCTGATTTTAAGAGGGTCAGCAGCAGATCTGCTCCACCAGGAAGAGAAGGAATGGGGACTAGCACCTATTGAGCCGCTGATATGTCCGACACTCTTTTTTAAAAAATGTAATGTAATGTAATTTTTTTTAGAGACTAATTTTGTTTTTAGTTGCCCAGGCTATAGTGCAGTGGCACAATCACAGCTTACTGCAGCCTTGACCTCCTGGGCTCAAGCAATCCTCCCACCTCAGACTACTGAGTAGCTGGGACTACTGGCATGCACCATCATACCAGGCTAAATTTTTGATTTTTTGTAGAGACAGTGTCTCACTATGATGCCCAGGCTTGTCTTAAACTCCTGGGCTTAAGTAATCCTCCCACCTCGGCCTCCCAAAGTGCTGGGATTACAGGCATGAGCCACCACAACAGGCTGTTAAGGTTTCTAACCAAAGTGTACCTGTAACTGGTACATTTCAGAGATTAAGAGTGTGGTTTTGACCAACAAATCCTGTTGTCTGTGACATGCCTCCCCCGGGCGCCGTCAGCCTGGTCATCTGGTTCGGGCTGCCTGTGCTCCTTACCTGCGTGGGTACTCTGGCTCCAGCCTGCTGGCTACTTCCAGGGCCCCACCCAAGCCTGGAGCACTGGCCTCAACCCTGGTGTGTGGCTCCAGCTTGGCATTCTTGAAGCTGAGCAGGACTTGACCTCAGTAACCCAGTGGCCGAGCTTAGCAAACAGGCTCTAGGTCTCTGCTCTCCTCGAACCTCCAGCTTCTGCGTATTCCTGGATCTGGGTGGACCCTTCCACTTGCTTTCTCCTTTAATTGTTAGTCTTTGCCTTGGCTGAAGCCTGGTCTTGCTCGTTAGTCCTAAAGGGGCTCTTTTCTAGGGCACTTGTGGTAGCCTGAGTTCTCTAGAAAAAAGCAGAGGTAAAACTTACGCGCGAATTCTTTATTGACAGACACAATCCTAGGGCAGCAGGAATGAGCAGAGGGACTGGAGGCCAGGAAGGAAGGAAAGCAAGCACAGAGTAGGGTATTTCTTTTTCTTTTAAACTTTTTTTTTTTTTTTTTTTTGACAGAGTTTTTGCTCTATTGCCCAGGCTGGAGTGCAATGGTGCCATCTTGGCTCACTGCAACCTCCACCTTCTGAGTTCACGTGATTCTTCTGCCTCAGCCTCCCAAATAGCTGGAATTACAGGCGTCTGCTACCACGCCTGGCTAATTTTTGTATTTTGAGTAGAGACAAGGTTTCACCATGTTGCCCAGGCTGGTCTCGAACTCCTGACCTCAGGTGATCCACCTGCCTCAGCCTCCCAAAATGCTAGGATTACAGGTGTGAGCCACCACACCCAGGTTATTTTAAATTTTTTTTTAGAGATGGGTTTCCCCCTGTCGCCCAGGCTGGAAGGCAGTGGTGCAATCAGAGCTCACTGCAGCCCTGAACTCCTGGGCTCAAGTGATCCTCCCGCTTCAACCTCCTGAGTAGCTGAGACTACAGCCTTGGACTCAAGCAATCCTCCCAGGTGCAGGCCACCACAACTGGCTTTTAAAAATTTTTTTATAGCTGGGCATGGTGGTTCACGCCTGTAATCCCAGCACTTTGGGAGGCCGAGGCAGGTGGATCACGAGGTCGGGAGTTCAAGACCAGCCTGGCCAAGATGGTAAAACCTCGTCTCTACTAAAAATACAAAAATTAGCTGGGCGTGGTGGCGGTCGCCTGTAATCCCAGCTACTCAGGAGGCTGAGGCAGAGAATTGCTTGAACCCAGGAGGCAGAGGTTGCAGTGAGCCGAGATCAGGCCACTGCACTCTAGCCTGGGTGACAGGCCGAGACTCCGTCTCAAAAAAAAAATTTTTTTTTGTAGAGATGGGGGGGTCTCACTATGTCATCCAGGCTGGTCTCAAACTCCCGGCCTCAAGTGATCCTCCCACCTCAGCCTCCCAAAGCTCTGGGATTACAGGCATGAGCCACTGCGCCCTGCCAGCCCTACCTTCCTGAGAAACCCAGTGAGCCATTTGGTCAGACAGGACAACCTGCGCCAAACTGTTGAAGGGAAAAAGAAGAAGGAATGTTTCTGCCAGCTCTGTCTTGTCTCCTATATCTCACTGGTTAAAACTCCCCCTCACCCTGGGTCAGGTGTCATGCCTCATAGGACTTCCTCTGAGTCCAGGTTTTAGGAGTTCAGGCCTGATAGAGGCAGCTCAGGAGCAAGCCCTCCCCTCAGGGAAGGCACAGACAGCTCATGCAGTCAGAGATGAAGTGATGGTGGCAGCAGGCAAGACTGTCCATGCAGCAAGCAGCCCTGGGCCCGGGAGGCAGGTGGAGCCAGGAAGAACGGGAAAGACCCATCAGTCAGGTCTCTGACAGCCCCTACTTCCAACAACTCCGGCCTGAGCAGTATGTCATAGAAGCCTAAGCCTCAGATCTGGCCCTCCCAACTGTGCTAGGCTGACCAGTGTCCCCCAAAATTCACGTCCACCCAGAACCTCAGGATGTGACCTTATTTGGAAATAGGGTCTTTGTAGACATAGTTCGTTGAAAGGGGATTATACTGGATTAGGGTGGGCCCTACGTCCAAAATGACTGGTGTCCTCATAAGAAGAGAGGACACAGGTCAGGCACGGTGGCTCATGCCTGTAATTCCAGCACTTTGGGAGGCTGAGGCGGGCAGATCACGAGGTCAGGAGATAGAGACCATCCTGGTAAATGCAGTGAAACCCCGTGTCTACTAAAAATACAAAACCAAAATTAGTTGGGCGTGGTGGCGGGTGCCTGTAGTCCCAGCTACTCCGGAGGCTGAGGCGGGAGAATGGCGTGAACCCAGGAGGTGGAGCTTGCAATGAGCTGAGATTGCGCCACTGCACTCCAGCCTGGGTGACAGAACGAGACTCTGTCTCAAAAAATAAAAAAGAAAAGACACAGAGACACACACACACAAACACACAGACACACACACATACACACAGATACATACACAATCACACACACAGACACATACACAATCACACGCACAGATACACAAACACACACAGGGAAGATGGCCATATGATGATGGAGGGGGAATTTGGAGTGATGCATCTACAAGCCAAGGAATGCCAGCGATTTCCAGGAGCCACCAGAAGCTGGAAGAGGCAAGGCAGGATTCTCCCCTAGAAACTTCAGGGGGAGCATGGACCTGCAGACACTTTGATCTTAGACTTCTGGCCTCCAGAATTATGAACGAATAGACTTCTGTTACCTTAAGCCACCCAGTTTGTGGTAGTTTGTTACAGCAGTCCAAGGAAACGAATGCTTTTCCAACTGTAAAAGCTGATCCTTTGCAGAAAATTTGCAGCTCTTAGTATCATAGCTGATAATAACAATAAGAGCACTGGTTGAGGGCTTACATGCCAGCCTCTGTTCTTAGTATTTACAGGTAGTGACTGATCCCGTCCTTACAGTAACACCCCAGGGTCCTCATTTTAAAGATAAAGACTCAGAGGGATGGTGTGTACAACCACGCCGACTGACTCCACCAGGAAGGGAAAGGATGGGGACTAAAATTTATTGAGCTGCTATGTCCCAGGCTCTTTTCTTTTTAAAATTTAATTTAATATAAATTAAATTTCTTTTTTTAGGCTCGGGGTCTCATTCTGTCACCCAGGCTGAAGTGCAGTGGTGAAATTATGGCTCATCGTAACCCCGAACTCTGGGGCTCAAGTGATCCTCTCACTTCAGCTTCCCAAGTAGCTAGGGCTACAGGTGTGCACCACCATGCCCAGCTAATTTATTTTTATTTTTTGTAGAGATAGGGGCTACTGCTCTGTTGCCCAGGCTGGTCTTGAACTACTGGCCTCAAGTGATCCTCCTTTCTCAGCCTTCTGAGCAGCTGGGACTACAGGCACACACCACCATGCATGGCTAATTTTAAAACTGTTTCTTTGTAGAGATGGGGTCTTGCTATGTTGCCCAGTCTAGTCTCAAACTCCAGGGGTCAAACAATCCTCTTGCCTTGGCCTGCCAAAGCACTGGGATTACAGGTATAAGCCACTGTGCCCGGCCGCAGGCTCCTAATGTTTCACTTACATTGATGGTAGGGAGAAAAAAGTTGTTTTTCTGAAAGCTGGAGACAGAATTCCTCTTGGGGAGATGTTATATTGGGTTTAGGCCCCTTTGGGAAGAAAGGTGCAGCTCCTCTTCTCCCTTCACTCCCCTTGCTTGAAAAGCAAGAGGAGTGGATTTGGACTGTGAGGGGCAGATGTCTTGACAGAGAAGGGATGACGACTGAGAGGCAAAGGGAACTTAGTGGCTTGAGGGAAGGCTAGTGTGCGCTTGAAGAGAAGGGTAGACTGTGCTGGGAATGGCTGAGGAATTGTGAAGAACAAGGATATAACATATTGATTCTGATTTTTTTCTTTGTGCTTCCCTGAATTATAATTTTCCTCCGTAGTCTTGAACCCTCAGAAGACATCTGAGCCACCATGGCTGGCCTTTCTGGGGAGGGCAGGCATGGGGCCATGGCCTCAGCAGGGCAGACAGTTCTTGAAAGTGGGCAGCACAGAGAAGATCTGAGATGAAAGCAGTGATCCGTGGAAGAATAGATGTTGTCAGAGGAGACAAGGAGAAATGGCAGTCCTGTGAGAACCCTTAAGATAAGAGGAGGCTGCTGTATTTCTCCCTGCCAGAGGAATGGGAGTTTGTATCACTTTTATTTAATGGTAAAGGACTGGGTGACCCTAGCAGCTTGGAAGATTTGGGGTTAAACAGACATCTGAAATCAGGTTAAGACATCTGATTCTTCAGTTACGCATTTGCTCCTTTGATCTTTACAACAATCACATGAAAGAGTCCTTGCCCCCCACTCAGCACTCCATGCGGACGCGGTCTTTGTCTCTTTCATCACTGTTGTGTTCTCAGCACCTAGAACACTCCATGACTCAGAGAAGGTGCTCGGTAAATATTTGTTACATTAATGAAAGAATTATCCCTATTTTACAAATGAGGAAACTGAAGCATGGGAATGTAAATAACTTTCCCATAGTCACACAGATCAAGTTGGTTTTGACCTCAAAATGTACACTTTCTTCTACAAAGGACCCCTTGTACCTCTGGGGTTCTCAGTGGAGGTTTGAAAAATTTTATTGATTCTTCTGCAAAATCTTGTTGAAGCACCAAGTTAGGGAAAGTGGTAAAGAGTAGAAGTGCCTACATGAGAAAATGGATTCCTAGGCTGATTTTTTTTTTTTTTTTTTTTTTTGAGACGGAGTTTCACTTTTGTTGCCCAGTCTGGAGTACGATGGTGCGATCTCAGTTCACTGCAACTTCCGCCTCCCACATTCAAGTGATTCTCCTGCCTCGGCCACCCAAGTAGCTGGGATTGCAGGCATGCGCCACCACACCCAGTTAATTTTTGTAGTTTTAGTAGAGACAGGGTTTTGCTGTGTTGGTCAGGCTGGTCTCGAACTCCTGACCTCAGGTGATCCACCCACCTCGGCCTCCCAAAGTGTTGGGATTACAGGCGTGAGCCACCGCGCCCAGCCCTAGGCTGATTTTTGAAGGAGAAAAATCTCTGAGGCACACACACTTATGTGACTAAATCTCTTCTGGGCCTGTCAGTGTTTGTTAGTGTGGGTAAAACTCCAGCTCACCAGAAGCACTTCTAGCACATTTTAAGAAATGTTTTAAATGTTATCTTCTGACTTAAATTAACAAAAAGTATAACCCTCCTCCAATTATCCATAATTCTTCTACCTTCACCCAAAATAATCATGGTTAATATTTAGGTATATTTTCTTAGAGTTTTTTCTATTTAGTATTTTTTTAAGAGAATTGGCTATCTATATAGACAAGTTCACAATATTTATCATAAACATATTTCCCAGTATCATTAAAAAATTGTCAACAAATGTAAAGTTTAATGGCTTTATAATAGTTCACTATATAGTTCTTTCCAAAGTTATGTAGTCACTATTATGGTCTCAATGTCTGTGTGTCCCCAAAATTTATATATTTAAACCTAATCTGCAACGCAATAGTATTAGAAGGTGGGGACTTTGGGGGATAATTAGGTCGTGAGGGTGGAGCTCTCATGCATGGAATTTGTGCTCTCAAAAAGACTCCTTTCCCCTTCCACCACGTGAGGACACAGTGGAGAAGGCATCATCTATGAACCAGAGAGCCCTCGCCAGATGCTCTGTCTGCCATGCCCTTGATCTTGGACTTCCCAGCCTCCAGAACTGTGAGCAGTAGATTTCTATGGTTTATAAGCTACCCAATTTGTGATATTTTTGCTATAGCAGCCTGAAAAGACTAAGGAATCACAATAGTCTTTTAAAGCAATTAAAGAGATTGTCTGGGACAGCCTGGGCAACATAGTGAAACCCCACCTTTACAAAAAATATTTTAAAAATAGCTGGGTATGTTAGGGTGGACCTGGAGTCCCAGCTACTCAACAGATTGAGGTGGGAGGATCACCCGAGCTTGGGAGGTCAAGGCTGCAGTGAGCCATGATTGTGCCACTGCACTCCAGCCTGGGTGACAAGAGTGAGACCCTGTCTTTAAAAAAAAAAAATGTGTCTGGGAACCAATGCTTAGATCATTCCCCCCAAAATAGATTTCTTCCAAAAGTCTGAGTAGCCCCTGTAGTCTAGGGTGATAGCATTAATAAAAGGACACCCCTATTTTTTTTTTGAGATGTGGGCCTCGTTCTGTCACCTAGGCTGTAGTGCAGTGGCACAAACATAGCTCACAGCAGCCTCGACCTCCCAGCATCAAGCGATCCTCCCACCTCAGCCCCCCAGTAGCTGGGACTACAGGTATGCACCACCACTCCTGGCTAATTCTTAATTTTTTTTTTTTTTTTTTTGGTAGAGACAGGATCTCCCTATGTTGCCCAGGCTAGTCTTGAACTCCTGGGCTCAAGTGATCCTCCTGCCTCTGCCTCCCAAAGTGCTGGGATTACGGGCATGAACCGCTCGCTGCACCTTGCTCAGAACATCCCTCTTGTTTTCATTTTAAATTTAACTATTTTAAATTAATTCCTGCCTTTGGAAACAAATAAACAAAACAACTAGCAAACTTCAAAGTATTACATGTATATATATATAAAAGAAAAAGCTCATTCCTCTCTCCCCAAATTTCCCTCCCTAGAGGTGACCTACTGCCCGTTTCTTGGGCCTTCTTCCAAAGATGTTCTGTGCATATGCAAACATGTATGTCATAGTCATCCCCAGTTTCTTTTCACACAATGATATCATACTCGGTACACTGTTCTCATCTTGCTTTGAGCACTTAATGGAGATAGACAGCGTGGTCTAGTGGTTAAGAGCACAAGGCTTGGGAGCCAGACTTCCTGGGTTTAAACTCGAGTACCACCATTAACTAGCCATGCATTTTTGGGCAAATGACCTCATTTCTTTGTGCTGCAATTTCCTTTTCTTGCATGGTGTTATGGGTTGAATTGTGCTTCCCAAAAAAGATATGTTAAAGTCCTTATCTTCTGTATCTTAGAAGGTAACTTTATTTGGAAATAGGGTCTTTGCAGAAGTAGTCAAATTAAAATGAGGTCATTAGGGTGAGCCCTAATCCAATATGACTGGTGTCCTTAGAAAAAGGGGAAATTTGGACCAGACACACAGACATGCACACTGGGAGAATACCATGTGAATACTGGATTTATGCTGCCACAAGACAAGGAACGTCTGCGGCTACTAGAAGCTAGATGAAGCAAGAAAGGATCCTTCGCCTTCAGGTCAGAGTGGGCGTGA
Source organism: Homo sapiens (assembly GCF_000001405.40). Classification (NCBI taxonomy): domain Eukaryota; kingdom Metazoa; phylum Chordata; class Mammalia; order Primates; family Hominidae; genus Homo; species Homo sapiens. The sequence goes on from NC_000008.11 coordinate 102,495,120, forward strand.
GCCTGCCAACACCTTGATTTCTGACTCTAGCCTGTAGAACTGTGAGACAATATCTTTCTGTTGTTCTAAGCCACCCAGTTACCCAGTTTATTGTACTTTGTGACAGCAATCCTAGGAAACCAATATACATACATTAAATGAATTAGTATAGGCCCAGAATCTAAGACTATGCCTGATATTCATGAAATACTATATAAGTGTTAGCTATTCTTATTACATAGATATACATCATTCTTTTTTTTTTTTTCTTTTGAGACAGGGTCTTGCTCTGTCACCCAGGCTGCAGGGCAGTGATGTGATCTCAGTTCACTGCAACTCCTTCCTCGTGGGCTTAAGCAATCCTCCCATCTCTGCCTCCCAATTAGCTGGGGCTACAGGTGTGAGCCATCACGCCTGGCTAATTTTTCTATTTTTTGTAGAGAGGGGGTTTTGCCACATTGCCCAGGCTGTTCTCAAACTCCTGGGCTCAGGTGATCTGCTTGCCTCAGCCTCCCAAAATGCTAGGATTACAGGCATGAGCCACTGTGCCTGACCTGCCTCATTCTTTGTAACGACTGCATAATATTTTCTTTGTGGCTTTGGCAAAATTTATCACTTAAATAGTTTTGTTATTATCAAAATAATACATTGTTAAAAAAATGTAATACTACTAAAGGCTTGCAATGAAAAATAGCAGCGTCTTCCCCTACTCTTGTTCAATCCCCTAGTCTCACTTCCCAAAGGCAAGCGTTTGCAGTTACTCAGGTCCTCCTTCTGCTGTTTGTCTCTATCTTTCTAAATGCTGTGCTTACACTGCCACATCCTGATTTATCAGTTTCACAAACTCTCTTCTGTCTCCCTGTTATGATAGATGAGGATTTTGGTTTATGACACCCCACACCCTCCACACACACACACAGACACACACACCCTTTTGTCATCTTCACAGTATGATTATATAACTATTTTTAGTTATGTAATAGGTTGTTAAAATAGAATTTTAAACCTTTGAGATCCAACTGAGACTCTAAAGCTGAGAACAATAGGTGCAAAGGGCCCCTACATTCTACACAGAAATTCTAGACAATCCAGGTAGGGCTTGCAAATGAGGTGTCCCCAGAGTGACTCTTCCAGCCTTGGCCACTGACTACCTCTAGTCTATAAAAAAGAAGGCCAAGAATTAAGCAGGGGGCTGAAGGGCCAGTACTGGGGACTGCTCTGGAGAGAGTTATCAGAGTACTGCATTTCCTACCCCATCCTCAACATGCAGTGGGAGAAAGACTCCTCACATTCATCCTAAACTAGTGAGGGGGATTTCAAGAGCATCCTCAGAGAGTCAGACAGGCGTTTCCTGAAGTTTGGGAAGATAGTCACATACTCAGTATACTCACTGACTGACTCACACCTGAAAAAAAAAATGGTGTGTGAAAGCCAGGAGCTGGCTGGAGCAGACTGCCTCACAGCAGAACAGAGTCAAGGTTGACCAGCATTTCCAGGGGCTGCCGGGGTTTTCTATGGGTCTGATTGGATTCTGTGGTAAACAGCTGCCAATGGGTTGCTTTTGAAATTCTCCACCAGGCCGGCCGGGCTCGGTGGCTCACACCTGTAATTCCAGCAGTTTGGGAGGTCAAGGGGGGTGGATCACTTGAGGTCAGGAGTTCGAGACCAGCCAGGCCAACATGATGAAACCCAATTTCTACCAAAAATACAAAAATTAGGCTGGGTGCGGTGGCTCACACCTGTAATCCCAGCACTTTGGGAGGCTGAGGCGGGTGGATCATGAGGTCAAGAAATCAAGACCATCCTGGCCAACATGGTGAAGCCCCGTCTCTACGAAAAATACAAAAAGTAGCCGGGCGCGGCGGCATGTGCCTGTAGTCCCACCTACTCCAGAGGCTGAGGCAGGAGAATCGCTTGAACCTGGGAGGTGGAGGTTGCAGTGAGCTGAGATGGTGCCACTGCACTCCAGCCTAGTTAGTGACAGAGCAAGACTCCATCTCAAAAAACAAACAAACAAACAAAAAACAAAAATTAGCTGGGCATGGTGGCACATGCCTGTAATCCCAGCAAAACAAAACAAAACAAAAAATTAGCTGGGCATGGTGGCACACACCTGTAATCCCAGCTACTCAGGAGGCTGAGGCAGGAGAATCGCTTGAACCTGGGACGCAGAGGTTGCAGTGAGCCAAGATTGTGCCACTGCACCCCAGCCTGGGCGACAGAGAGAGACTCTGTCTCAACAAAAAACAACAACAACAACAGCAACAAAAAACCCACCGAACACTACCCTCTGGAAGGATGGAAAGTGACCCCAACCAAGAGTGAGCCACCAGAAGCCAGGCACCAAGGGGACAGTTGTCAGTGGCCAGCCCAATGAGGTGTCTCCCAGGTCAAGGGAAGTACATCTAAAACATCCCCAGTGATGAGCCTGCTCCCATGACTCACCCTTGGGCAGCTGATACACCAAGAGGGCACACATGCAGATGACAACCATGCAGGCCAAGAGCTCTCCTTTTCCTCACGTCTATCTTTTCCATGTCTGCCTCTAACCCTAGAGGAGCCAGAGGCAACACAGTGAGCAAGATGGGACATAGTGACATTGGCCCTGAACCGAGGGTTGCCAGGTTTAGCAAATAAAAATAACTCGATGCCCAGTTTAATTTGAATTTTAGATAAACAATAAATGCCTTTTTAGTATAAGTATATCCCATGCCATATTTGGGACATAATTATATTAAAAGTACTTGTTGCTTTCTTGAATTCACATTTAGCTGAGCATCCTATATTTTATTTGGCTGCCCTACTCATACTTCTTGCCCACTGCAAACTTCAAGCCTGTGTCAGGCCCAAGCTGCAGGAGAGAGCTATAAATTGGATAAGAGCTTGGTATTCTGATATTAGACTAAATTGGACTTTGGGTTACCTTGGGGGAAAAAGAGACTGTTCATTAATAACCCAAGAGTACTCAGAAAAGCTACAAAGATTGGTATTTTATCCATCGAGCTGAAAAGGTGAGATGGAAAGGTTTGTACTGGAACATCTCAAGTCCATTTTGTTCAGTAAGCTAGTTATAGGTATATTAAATTCATCATTTAGGGTATTAATATCACATAAATATTATCTGTTGCTGAGCCAAGTTGGGAATCAGATTGCATTTCTTATAAAACTTTTTATTTTTTCGGAGTTAACAATTGCCTGGTTTAAGCATTTTCCATTTTTAAAAGCCATTTGTGTTTCTTTTTCTGTGAACTGCTTATTCATGTCCTCTGTGGGGTTGTGGAGCTTTCTCTTACTAATTTATAAAAGTTTATTTATATACTAAAAATTAATGTAAAAGAAAGCTCTTTTATTAGGGAACTGGAAATTGCAAGTAAGATAGGATAAGTGGATCTTTTCTGACGTTTGTGTTGGGAAACTTAGATTTCACTGTGCCCAGCTGCTAATATCTAGAACTGCTCTTCCAAAACAAACTTTCTCAAATCAATAGTTTCTTTAAATATTCCTTTAATGCTTATGTGCTCATTTCTTGGTTAAAAATTTCCCAAGAAGAATGTGTACAATTAAGACACAGCTCATCAGCATTTTTCTCTTTTAAACATGATCATTCATCATTGGGACTTATTTCCATGAAATTAACCCATACCAGGAAAATAGCTGCAATGATCACCTCACTGATATTGTGAGAAATTTCTCTTGAGAAACTATTGCTATGTAGTATTGTTATAACAAGAGTCACAAAGATTAAAATCATGAATATTTTTTCTTACTCTGTTCATGGTTTTGTAATTCTGATCTGATAACAAATGTTATTGTAATGTTCCGTTTCTGATTAGAATATCAGGACCTTACTCTTTTCACTTGCTGGTGAGATTTAGTCTCTGAGGTTTCTCTATATAATGGGAATCGTATGATAAGGTAAATGTAACATTTTGGATTACTGCCACTGCATGTAAATTTTCACTGTAAATGATGGCAAACCACTCAGCTAATTTTTACATATGATTCTTTTTAAAGAATTCCTTAATTCTTGAGGGAAATAAAACATTCCAAAAACAAATACATTAAAATATGAATTCAGAAATGATTTGAGAGAACAATAGATAGGAAAATTGCATTTCAGATGAGCTGTCAGTCAAATCTCATATTTGTCGATAATTTCTCAGAAGGGTCCAGGGTGTGCTTCATTTCTAATTTTTATTTATAAATTCAGTTTTAAGATTGCATCGAGGCATGGTGATTCTCCTGTTTCATTATCTAATTTATTTATTTTTCTAGAATGAACAATATGTAGGAAGGGCTGGATTCCAGAATCCCATGGCCCTTGATTAAAAAATCTTTGCATGTCTTGCGGATGCCAGCTCTGTTTAGTCTTGGCAAAATCATCCTCAGCATATGTAATATCTTGCACTCCTGTTCTCCTTTTATCTCTACTCAGTGGGAAACTAGCTTTTTGGGCACCTCTATCTTGAAAATTGTCAAATGTTTCCTCCCTTTATTCCTCTGCAGGACACAAGTTTATCTATCAGGCCTGGCGTTTCTTTAACAGAGTGGTGATAAGATAAAAATCTGATCAGTGTACCAATCATTCAATCAATAAAATGTACTCCAGGATATCTAAGGCATTGTGGAGGAAGAATGTGGCTGTTTACTGAGGGATAGTCATATTCCTGGCACAATGTTAGGTGTTTTCACTGTGCAGTTAATTTTATTATTTTAGTGATGGGGTCTCACTCTGTCACCCAGGCTGGAGTGCAGTGGCACAAGCATCATAGCTCACTGAAAGCTAGAACCCCTGGGCTCAAGTGATCCACCTTCCCCAGCCTTCTGAGTAGCTGGGACTATGGGTGTGTACCACCACACCTGGCTAATTAAAAACAAATTTTTAAAAGAGATAGGGTATCTCTATGTTGCCCAGGCTGGTCTCTAACAGGCGGCCTCAAGTGATCCTCCCACTTCAGCCTCCCAAGTTGCTGGGATTACAGATACAAGCCACTGCACCGGCCATGTGTGCAATTTACTTGAACTCTTGAAACAATTTCCTCAAGGTAGATGAGGAATCTGAAGGTCAGAAAGTTGGAGTTACTTTGTGAAGGCCTCTAGCTGGTAAATGTCAGCATTTGTCCACTGCTCCCTGCCTCACACTCTCATACTCAGCTGCAGGCAGTTCTTCAGCTGGTCTCATCCAAGGGTCTCTGGTTAGTTTGAGACACAAAAGTAATCATACTTTGAATAACCTTCGTGCAAGTTTCATGCAGCTGATGAAAGTGATGTTGTAGAATTGCTAGAATCATAAGCAAACATGGAGTTAATCAGATAACAATTAAAGAGGAATAAATTGACAAGAATGAGAACATAATAGGATCTTCAAAAGAGAAGCATTTAACAATCATAGGTTAAGGGAGGCCATTGAGAAAAAACTAATACTTCAACATATTTGTCAAATGTGCTACTGGACAAGTTTTTAGAAAAAGTAGACCTCAAACCCTAAATCAACACTGACTTTGGTTTTTGTTCTAAATATTAGAACAGACTTACAATTACTATCTAAATTTTATTGTATATATAACAACATTGTTGTTATTATTATTATTATTGAGATGGAGTCTTGCTCTGTTGCCCAGGCTGGAGTACAGTGGCAACATCTCAGCTCACTGCAACCTCTGCCTACCAGGTTCAAGTGATTCTGGTGCCTCAGCCTCCTGAGTAGCTGGGACTACAGGTGCCTGCCACCATGCCCAGCTAATTTTTGTATTTTTAGTAGAGACAAGGTTTCACCATATTGGCCAGGCTGGTCTCGAACTTGTGACCTCAAATGATCTGCCTACCTTGGCCTCCCAAAGTGGTGGGATTACAGGCATGAGCCACCACACCCAGCCTACATAGAATATTATTCTGATCAATTTTTTCCATATCTTATATGAAATTTTTGTGTGGGAATCTGTTTGTCTCTTCCGGAGGCCAAAGAGTGACTGAGAGAACTCCTATTCTTTGTCATGCTGTTTTGTGCTTCTGAACCTGTGTCCATGGTGTTCCGATTGCCTGCAGGAACTTCTCTTATTCTGCAGGAAAACACTTCTTGGCTGCTCTCAACCTTCAATATCACCTCTTATGTGAGAGTTTCCTTTAACCTTTCCTGCCCATTAGCTGTCCTCCTACTGTGTTCCTGTAACACTTGGCGCACATCTCCATAGCCGCTCCCCTCTGCATGTAATGATTAGTTGACGTGTATCTTTCCCTCTGGGCTGTAACCACCTCTTCAAAAGCAAGCTTATCTCTCATCCACTCTGTCACCCAGACTGAGTTCAGTGGTGCAATCACGGGACTGCAGCCATGACCCCCAGGCTCAAGCCATCCTCCCACCTCAGCCTCCTGAGTAGCTGGGACTACCTGTATGCCACCATGCCTGCCTTATTTTTTTGTATTTTTTTAAAGATGGGGTTTTGCCATGTTGCCCAGTCTGGTCTTAAACATCTGGACTCAAGCCATCCACCCACCTCAGCCTCCTAGCTGAAATTACAGGAGTGAGACACCGTACTCAGCCTGTTTTTATTTTTTAAATTAAAAAAATTTTTTTTAGAGACAAGGTCTCACTGTGTCACTCAGATTAGACTGCAGTGGCACAATCAGGGCTTATCACAAAACCTTGAACTCCTGGGCTCAATTAATAACAATAATTATATTATTGTTTAATAATCTTTTAAGTTCCAACTGAAGTGCTACATATTCCACCCAGCCTTCCCATTTTCCTGCAGCTGCAACGAATCACTCAGAATGCTCAACCTTCACGTCTCAGGCCTTTTTTTTTTTTTTTTTTTGAGACAGGGTCTTGCTCTGTTGCCAAGTACATTTTATTGATTGAATGATCGGTACACTGATCAGATTTTTATCTTATCACCACTCTATGTTGGAGTGCAGTGGCACAATCTCGGCTCACTGCAGCCTCCACCTTCCAGGATCAAGAGATCCTCCCACTTCAGCCTCCTGAGTAGCTGCGACCACAGGCGTGCACCACCACACCTGGCTAATTTTTTGTATTTTTTTGTAGAGATGGGGGTCTGATGGGGGGGGGGGTCTCACTTTGTTGCCTGGGCTCAAGGGATCCTCCCACCTCAGCCTCCCAAAGTGCTGAGATTACAGGTGTGAGCCTCTGCACCTAGCCGGCTTCACATGCCTTTTAACTGTGGTTTTTACCTCCTGTCTAGATGACTGCTTCTTGAGTTCAGAGACATATTTAGTTCATCTCTGTGTCTTTCAGTGTCTTGCGTGTAGAAAGTGCTCAATAGACTTAATGCATTATTGGTCAGCTTTGGTTGTCTTAATGACCAATCCATCACCTCACAATTTACTGCCAAAGTTATATGTTTTATTCTGACATCTCTGATTTGGTTGGAGTTTCCACAGTGCCACAGCCTCTGCTTTCTTCACTGCAATGTCTGTGCATGCTGATGACAGATTAATAAAATTGGATGTCCCAGCCATTGAAATTCCCTTTTGCCTCCCTCCAACCCCCCGCATCAGAGTCTTATTCCCATTCAGTCTCATGACAGAATTTCACAGGTAACTCTGCTATCTGCAGCTCAAAGAAGCCACTCTTGGTGACAATGAGCTGACCATTAAAATGGGCTGTAAATCAAAAGGATAGCACAGCTATCCCAATTGTTGAGGATTTTAGAATGCTGCTTAGGTTATTGATAGGTTTATGTCCAAATGCACTCTAATTGAGGAATCTCTGATGAATTCATTCAACATTCTTTTAGCAAATATTTAGCACCTATTGTCTGCCACAAGCCATGCCACAGCTAGAGATGGACCAGGAGACATGACAGACACAGTTCCTGTCATCATAAAGCTTAGTTTAGTGGGGATAAGAAGATGCAGAATGTAGGTGCTGGGAATTATAACTGAAAAGGGCAGGGTGCTCTGGGAGGATGTTGGAGAGGTCCTTACCAGTGACAGAGGCAAGACAAGGAAATGATCGTGAAGCTAAGACTAGAGTAGAAATTAAGTAGGTGTGTGTGTTTGGGGCATGGGGGTGGGGATTGGTTTGACAAGAGAGTCCCAAGAAGAGTGACCGTGAGTGGGGATAACATGAAGGGGCACACAAGATGCTCTGGAAGAAGTACACCATGCCCTGAGATGGCTCTAATTCTGCAAAGAAATTCATGATTATTTGCATTGTGCCTGTATGGAAAAACAAAAGAATATAATCTAAATGTGAATTAAGCACCAGAAGAAATAGCCTCTTCTGGTTATACTAGGTCAGGATAATGAGAAGAGATGATGTGTCCACAGGTTTCCTATTAATTTCTTATTTTCAGTATTTATTCATTTCACACTTATCACATGTCAAGTGGTGGTAAGAATTCTATCAAGAAACTCATTGAGTGCCCCAAATAGACTAGAGGTGTTACATAATGAATGGAAGTTCGTGATCTTTCTATCTTCAGAAGATTTTTGTTCCAATAGAACTCACATCTTATTGATAGACATAGTAATTATGAGTAGAATATCAGATTTTGGTTTCCAGTGCAGTGTGTCCAAAATGTGACATTTCAGAAGCCCTAGTAGTTCATATTAAAAATGTATATCCATTACCCCCCTTCAGCTACCCAGTTGTGGGAGGCGAGGGCTTGGGTGCATTGAAGATTCAGCTGCCGTGGCTGAGGGGGGCATTGCTATTGGAGGCATCGTGGGCATTAATACTGCTTTACAAGAGGTGCTGACCACTCTCATCCATAATGGCCTAGCATATGTAATTCTGAAAGCTGTCTGTCTTAGACAAGTGCCACGTCCACCTCTGTGTGCTTGCATCCCACCGTGATGGCCTGTGGATTTCAAGCTGGTGGAGGCCCTCCGTGCTGAACACCAAATCCACCCAAATAAGCTGATGACATCAAGAAACTGAGACTGGGTAGGCCTTGGTGAAATTGACAGAGAGGGAAAGCCCAGTAATGTGGTTGGTTGCAGTTCTGGTGTAGTTAAGGGCTATGGCAAATAATCTAAGGCCAAGAATGTCATCAAAGAGTACTGTACTTCCAAAGCAAGAGATAAGCAAATAAAAACTTGGCTCTTGTTTTTGTTTAAAAAAAGCAGGCTGGGTGCAATGGTTCATGCCTATAACCCTAGCACTTTGGGAGGGCCAGGTAGGCAGATCACTTGAGCCTAGGAGTTGGAAACCAGCCTGATCAACATGATGAAACCCCATTTTTACAAAAAAAATACAAAAAAATTTAGTCGGGCATGGTGGTGTGTGCCTGTAGTCCTAGCTACTCGGGAGGCTGAGGTGGGAGGATAGATTGAGCACGGGAGGCGAAGGATGCAGTCAGCCGAGATTGTGCCACTCCATTCCAGGCTGGGTGACAGAATGAAACCATGTCTTTAAAATAATAATAATAATAAAGCATATTCACAAGCCTGCCATGGACCTACTTAATCAGAATGCCCATCATGGGATCTACAGGACTAGCAACTCTCTGGGGGTTCTATTGCACGCTTAACTTTGAGAACCTCCACGCTATTAAAGGGCCTCTAAGTGCTTCATGGCAGCCTGGAGCCAAGCTGGCTACATAAGAACTGCCTGGGGTTTTGTTTCTAATTATTAACTAAACTCTATACTTTATTTGGATTTCACTAGTTTTTCTACTAATATTCTTTTCTCATTCCAGGATCCCATCTGGAGTACCATATCACATCTAGTCATCATGTCTGTTTGGTCTCCTCTGGTCTGTGACAGTTTTGTGGAGTTTTCTTGTTTTTCATAGCCTTGATCGTTTTTGTTTTGTTTTGTTTTTGTTTTTGTTTTGTTTTGTTTTGTCACCCAGGCTGAAGTACAATGGAGCGATCTTGGCTCACTGCAATCTCTGCCTCCCAGGTTCAAGTGATTCTCCTGCCTCAGTGTTCCCCGTAGCTGGGACTACAGGCATGCGCCACCACGCCCAGCTAATTTTTTGTATTTTTAGTAGAGATGGGGTTTTGCCATGTTGACCAGGCTGGTCTCGAACTCCTGACCTCCGGTGATCTACCCGCCTTGGCCTCCCGAAGTGCTGGGATTACAGGCGTGAGCCACTGCACCTGGCCCTTGATAGTTTTGAAAAGTACTTTTTGGGTATCTTGTACAATGTCCTTCAATTTGGGTTTATCTGATGTTTTTCTCATGATCAGACTGAGGTTATGGATTTAGGGAAGAATACTGCAAAGGTGAAGTAGCCTTCTTATCACGTCATATCAAAGATAGACACTATCAGCATAACTTACCAACTTTGATTGCCAATCTTTGGCTACCTGGCCAGGGAAAGGATTGCCAGTTTTCTCCACTCTAAAATCATTCCCCCAGCAATCCCCTCCCACAGCACTGTATTCTTTGGAAGAGAGTCACAAAGTGAAACCCACAGTCAAGGTGAAGGTGGGAATTAAGCCTTCCTTTCTGGAGAAGGGAATGTCTACATAAAGTGTTTGGAATTCTTGGAATTCTTCTGTAAGGGAGATGTGCCTCTTCTTCCCCCTTTATTTATTCAGTCATTTATGTATACCAATATGGGCTCACAGATGTTTATTTTATATTCTGGGTTATAATTCACCACTATGTTATTTATTTTATTGCTCGAAATGTCCAGCTTTGGCCATGGAAAACTCTTTCAGATTGGCTCCTGTGTCCCTTGAACGTACCCTGTCCTTTTGGTTTTGTGATGCTTCGTTCTTTTTGGCACTATAAGATGCTCCGGGATCATCTTGTATATTCCCTGTCCCAGTCCTAGAATCAACCATTTCCCCAAGTGGAGTTTTTTTTTTTTTTTTTTTTTTTTAACAAACATATTTTTGCCTCTTACTCCCAGAGGGTCTAGAAAAACCCAAGAATATGATTTTAAATTATTATTATTCAATGAAATAACACATGCTCATGGTAAAAATAAATTCAAACAATGCAAAGGTACTATCAATGGTAAAAGTAAGAGCGTGTCAGTCTTCCTGCTCAAAGGCAACCTATTGCCATAAATGGTCTACACATATTTCTGAATACATATATATGTACATATGTCCATATCACCCATATTTTCACAGAAATGAAAGTACTCTACCAACACTGTATTGAACCTTGTTTTCACTTAACAACACATCCTGGAGATTGTTATATGATCACAGATCAACATTGTCTTAGTCTGTTTGTCCTGCTATAACAAAATACCCAAGACTGGGTAATTTTTTTTTTTTTTTTTTGAGATAGAGTCTCGCTCTGTTGCCCAGGCTGGAGTGCAGTGGCATGATCTCAGCTCACTGCAGCCTCTGCCTCCCGGGTTCAAGTGATTCTCCTGCCTCAGCCTCCTGAGTAGCTGGGACTACAGGCGTGCACCACCACACTCAGCTAATTTTTGTATTTTTAGTAGAGATGGGGTTTCACCATGTTGGCCAGGTTGGTCTCGATTTCTTGACCTGGTGATCCGCCCACCTCGGCCTCCCAAAGTGCTGGGATTACAGGCATGAGCCACTGTGCCTGGCCAGACTGGGTAATTTATAAAGAACAGACATTTATTTTCTCACAGTTCTGGAGACTGAGAAGTCCAAGATCAAAGCACCAGCAGGCTGAGTGTCTGGTGAAGGCTTCTCTCCACTTCCAAGATGGTGCCTTGTTGCTGTGTCCCAACATGGAAGAGCAGAAGAGAACAAATCCACTTTCCCAAGCCCTTCTACAAGGGCCCAAGTCCCATCCATGAGAGGGGTGTGTTCTCATGACCTCCTAGAGGCCCCACCTTTTTTTTTTTTTTAGATGGAGTCTCACTCTGTCCCCAGGCTGGAGTGCAGTGGCATTATCTCAGTTCACTGCAACCTCCACCTTCCAGGTTCAAGCGATTCTCCTGCCTCAGCCTCCTTAGCAGCTGGGACTACAGGCATGAGCCACCACGCCCAGCTAATTTTTGTATTTTTAGTAGAGACAGGGTTTCACCATGTTGGCCAGGTTGGTCGTGATCTCTTGACTTCGTGATCCACCCGCCTTGGCCTCTGAAAATGCTAGGATTACAGGCATGAGCCACCATGCCCAGCCATGGCCCCACTTCTTAATACTATTACATGGGCCCTTAAATTTCAACACATGAATTTTAGGGAATACATTTAGACCATAGCAGACATCATTCTTTTCTGCAGTGGCATAGAGATTCAGTGGCTAGCCATGGTGTAGTTTATTTAACCCCTTGCTTGTTGATAAACATTTAGGTTGCGTATGGGTTGTGCCATTATGAGCAATGCTGCTATGAACTTCCTGTAGATGCATTTTTATACATGCATTAGGATATCACTGCAGTGAACTCAGAGCAGTGAAATCATTGGGTCAAATGGAACATGTCTGCAGCATTTTTTGTTTCATTTTGTTGTTTTTAGTCCTTTAGCTTTCTCTGACCAAGGTATATGCCTGTAGCATTTTTTGTTTTGTTTTGTTTTGTTGCTTTTATTCCTTTAGCTGTCTCTGACCAAGGAAGATGCCTGTAGCATTTTGATAGATATTGATGAGCTGCCATGCAAAAAGGTTATGTCAACATCCACTCCCACGTGGAGCATGTCCTTTCTCCACATTCTGTACAACACAGTGCACTGCTGAATTTTTTTAACTTTTGCCAATCTGGGAGGTGGAAAATGGTACCTCAACATTTTAAATGTCCATGACTTTAATAATGAGTGATAACAATTATATTTTTATCTGTTTACGAATATTTTGAATTTTTATGAGTATGTGAACTGCCTATTCATACCTTTTGTCCTTTTTCTTTATTGAATTAACAGGCTTTTCTTGTTGATTTGTAAGTACTCTTTATATATTAAGGAAACAAATATACCCTTGCCTTTTGTGTTGTACATATTTTTCAGAATATGCATTTTAAAAATGCTTCTCCTAGAGAGTGAAATAATAGACATTGGAGACTTGGAAAGGTGGGAGGGGGCGCAGAATGAGAAATTACATAATGGGCACAATGTACATTATTAGGGTCATGGTTACACAAAAGCCTAGACTTCACCACTATGCAATATATCCATGTCACAAAATTTGTGCCCCCTAAATCTATTTAAAAAAAATACATTTTTAAAAGTGTTTCCCAGGTGACTCTAATGACAGCCAGGTTGGGGAACCACTGCTAGGGAATGGCATATTAACCAGCGTTAATATGTCCCATGTGTGGGCCACCTCCAGCTGTAGGTAAAGGTAAGAGCTGCTGAGCAGGTGTGGTCTGAAGATTACAAAACTCCCTGTCTGAAATCTTCACAGCTACTTGAGTAGAGATTCCCAGCATTAAACCCACCTTTAAAGGGTAAGGCAGTGTTACCAGAGAGGTTAGCAGCACTGACCCCTTATTGTGCAGTGGCAGGACTGCTTCTCCTCCCATGTCCTTGAGTTTAGAGGATGACAGAGGGAGACTTTTGGCATAATACCATGAGACATAGCCACGGCCTTGTTAACGAGGCTGAGCGAAAGTTCTGATTCTCTTGTAAGCACCACATCCTGAGGGCAGACAAGGCGGAGGCCTCTCCTCCCCTTTTCTGTCTTTCACACCCCAGGTCCTGAAGCCTCATACTATCAAGATGCAAAGGAACAATGCACAGCTCAGCAGAAGAAAGGAACCAAAAGAGGGGCTGTGTGGGGAAAGGGGACAGGATAGAATGTCCAGGGCAAAAGGCTCTTCCTCCAAAGGGAAGGAGCTGCCACCTGGATGCCGGAGGGTCACAATGAAGCCCTTGTTAGTGAGAGAAACCCAAGAAGGGCAAGCTGCTGAGAGAGGAGCAGAGGAGCAACTCCAGACTCTTGGCCCCTTTGCGGTCTATCGGGTGGGAATGTTCAACTGTACGTGAAAGGGTTGTTTTATACATAACTCTGGACTCCATGTATGTTTCACTGGATAACTATAGGACCATCTGCTCCATCCCCTTCCTCCCATGATGATTGTGTAGAGAAGGTTGTCTTTGAGCCTACATTCTGGGATCAGACCCAAACTGAGGAATGAGGATATTTTAAATGAAATGCGTAGACCAGTGGTTCTCCAAGAGTGGTCATAGAACTGGCAGCATCAGCATCACCTGGGAACTGATTAGAGATGCAAATTCTGGGCCCTCACACCAGAGTGACAGAATTAGAAACTCAGGGTGGGGGTGCTAGCTGTCTAGGTTTTAATAAACCCTCCAGATGATTCTAAAGCTCGAGTTTGAGAACCACAGCTCTAGAAAGGAGTCACTGACGTCTGCCACGGCTTCCAAATTTAACAGAATGGAGCCTGTAAACAAAATGAAGGCAAGAGGAGGGCCACTCTGCATAGTCTTTTTGGGATAGAGATGTTTTCACCGGAGAGCTGGCACCCGAGTGCTGTGTGCATTTGCCACAAAGGTTTCTGAACAAGAACTCCTGCAGGAGATTCCGGGGGAGGCCCAGGAGCCAAAGCCTGTCTATAGACAAGGAATTTTTAAAGATCCGCCCCCATCTGCAGAGGTGGAATTTTTAAAGAGAGTTACATTGCTATAGGAATGGAGGCATTAATTTTTCTTATTTTGTCTGGCGCAGTGGCTCACGCTTGTAATCTCAGCACTTTGGGAGGCTGAGGTGGGAGGACTGCTTGAGCCCAGGAGTTTGAGACCAGCCCGGGCAACATAGCGAGACCCCATCTCTACAAAAAATAAAAAAAATTAGCTGGGCATGGTGGTGCACACCTGGAGTCCCAGTTACTTGGGAGGCTGAGGCAGGAGAATTGCTTGAGCCTGGGAGTTCCAGGCCATAGTGAGCTGTGACTGCACCAGTGCATCTGAAGCTGGGTGACAAAGCAAGACCCTGTCTCAAAAAATTTTTTTAATTGTTTCAACATAAGTGGAGTGAGGGCCCTGTGTTAGTGTCCCATGGCCCCTCACTTCTCTGGATTTGAACTGAGCTCATTGTGCTTTAGGGTCCCTCTGGTTTTACCCAACCCCCAAACAATTCCCCCTGGCAAAGTTACAGAACAGGTTAAAAACAACAACAACAATAATTATCTATATCTGTATCTATATCTATATCTGTATCTATATCTTGACAACTGGATCATTATTTCAACTTTAATGAGTCAGCGAGTAACCTTAATGAGTACCATGCTGTGATTTATTGCCAAGTCACCTATTTTTTCAAATATTTTTTGTATAAAATATTTAAGGCTACATCTGACTTTGGGTCTTTGGAAGTGATTAAGTTTCCTCTAAATGTCAAATGCATCCCCTAGTGTTTTGGCCACAGCCCTGCCAACAAGCTTGCTTGACGAGAAGCTCAGTGCTCTGGGGGTGCTGGCAGTTCGTCACTCCAACTCAACAGATGTTTGCATCAACTAGAAAAGATGCAGCAGACCTAAATATTATCAGAATTGTTTTAAAAGTTAAAATTAAGGCCAGGAACTGTGGTTCATGCCTGTAATCCCAACACTTTGGGAGGCCGAGATGGGCGGATCACCTGAGGTCAGGAGTTCAAGACCAGTCTGGCCAACATAGTGAAACCCCTTCTCTACTAAAAATACAAAAATTAGCTGGGCATGGTGGCGTGCAACTGTAATCTCAGCTACTTGGGAGGCTGAGGTAGGAGAATTGCTTGAACCCAGGAGGTGGAGGTTGCAGTGAGCTGAGATTGCGCCACTGCACTCCAGCCTGGGCCACAGAGTGAGACTCTATGTAAAAAAAAAAATTAAATTTTCTCTATTTTTCCTTATTTGATAGAAAGAAATTAATAAACTCCAAATACCAAAATGGTTTTTTAAATGACGTATCCTGTCTCCAGACCAAAATGATTAAAAAAAAAAAAAAATGTTTAGAGCCAGGAACGCTGGCTCACACCTGTAATCCCAGCATTTTGGGAGGCTGAGGTAGGCGGATTGCTTGAGGCTAGGAGTTTAAGACCAGCCTGGCCAACATAGTGAGACTCCCCATCTGTTTTTTTTTTTTGAGACTGTGTCTCGCTCTGTCACGCAGGCTGGAGTGCAGTGGTGCCATCTCAGCTCACTGCAACCTCTTCCTCCCGGGTTCAAGCGATTCTCCTGCCTCAGCCTCTTAAGTAGCTGGGATTACAGGCACCGGCCACCAGGCCCGGCTAATTTTTGTACTTTTAGTAGAGACAGAGTTTCACCCTGTTGGCCAGGCTGGTCTCAAACTCCTGTCCTCAGGTGATACACCCGCCTCGGCCTCCCAAAGTGCTGGGATTACAGGTGTGAGTCACTGCACCTGGCCAAGACCCCCATCTTTAAAAAAAAAAAAAAAGATCCGGGTATGTTGGTGCATGCCTGTAGTGCTAGCTACTGGGGAGGCTGAGGCAGGAGGATTGCTTGAGCTAAGGAGTTTGAGGTTGCAGTGAGCTATAATTATACCACTGTACTCCAGCCTGGCTGACAGAATGAGACCTTGTCTTCAGATAGATAGATAGATAGATAGATAGATAGATAGATAGATAGATAGATAGATAAATGAAATTTAGTTTAAAAAACCATCTTAATCCCAGCCTAAGGTAGGCAGGGAAAAGAGGACTGCCTGGGCGCTGGATGGGAAGACTCTGTCCCCATTAGGGAGGTTGGGTGAATCCCCAAGGCCTTCCAGCAAGGAATGTTGGAGGCTGCCAGTGCCCTGAGCAAGCTGTTCATCCTGACCAAAGTCTGCCCACCGCATGGTCCCTGCAGGGAGAGCAAACAGAGCAGTCCTTCTGCAAGACCAAACGTGTTTCTCTAAATTTCCTGCTCCAGGCTGAGGGAGGCTCATTCCAAGGACCCGAATGCTGGCATTTACACTGGCAGAAGCTGGGCTCCCTAAGTCTCAAGTTTCCCAGAATGATCTGACTTGTTTACATTACAGTTCAGGAGGCAAACTGAGAGCTCGTGAGAAGCTGTGCTTATTTTTTTAGGGCTTCAGCAGTTACACACACACATGCACACACACACACAGATTGAGAGTCCAAACCTTCTTTCTTCCAAGAGAAGGTTGTATTTATATTTTAACAAGTCTTCTTGGTCTCTCTGCTACGCATTTCTACTTAACTGTTCTAAAGGTCAGAACAAGCCAACCACATGATATTCTGTAGTAGTGCAGACTCTTCACCTAAGGGCTACAACACCCCTGAAATTATATGCCAAACTGTATGTGCATTCTCCCCCCTAGAATCAAGAGGACATGGCTTCCATCAAAGGGTCAAAAAGGGCTGTAGGTGTTTAAAGGCCTCAGCCAACTGTTCGAATTTCAATGCCATGGCAATGATTAATTTCTGTTGTCAGCAAGAGAATATTTCTAAAGGATCATAGTCAAAGTTTTTCACCAGTCCCTCCCTGCCCAACACAATACAACGCAACATACGTATCCCAAACCAGACTACAGAAGCCATATTTTTGTTTTCTGAGAAAAAAATACTTTTTCAGATAGAAAAGTATCCTTGTACCCCAACCATCATCCTGAATTCAATTGTTAATATTTGTCCTTCAAAACTCTAAACTTGTTCGTGTTTGAAAGAGAGAAAACATTACAGATAAAACTGAAGCCCTCTTGGTTCCCAAATTCCCCTTCCCAAAAGTAACTGCAATGAATTTAGCGTGTACCCCTTCAGCCCAGTGTTCGAAACTTGTGCAGACATGTAGTCCTGAATAATATTACAGTATTGCTTTTATATCTTATGTATTTATTTATTTTTGAGATGGAGTCTTGTTCTATCCCCCAGGCTGGAGTGCAGGGGCATGATATCGGCTCAATGTAGCTTCTGTTTTCTTGGTTCAAGCGATTCTCCTGCCTCAGCCTCCCAAGTAGCTGGGACTACAGGCATGTACCACCATTAATTTTTGTATTTTTAGTAGAGACAGGGTTTCACCATGTTGGCCAGGCTGGTCTTGAGCTCCTGACCTCAAGTGATCCACCCACCTTGGCCTCCCAAAGTGCTGGAATTACAGGCGTAAGCCACTGTAATTACGGGCTGCTTTTATATCTTTAAGTGGTATCATATTGATTGCATGTTTCTTCATTCAATATTATACTTTTGAAATCTGTCCATATTGATACACAAAAATCTTGCTCATGCCTTTGCATTTGCCAATTTGTATTTTAACACTTAAATGCGTCAAATTTTATTTATTCACCATTAATAGATACTCAGGTTGCTTTAATTTCTTGATTTTGTAAATAATGCAACAATGCATTACTTTGGACACATCTCCTTGTGAGACACAAGGAGACACATCTAGACACATCTCCTTGTCTAGAGTAGAGACCTAGAAGTGCTGGGCCACAGGGTATATGCACCTTCTGCCAAATGGGTCTCCAAGGTAGACTGTAGCAATTTTCACTCCTCCAGCATCACATGGAATTCTGTCCACTCAGGCTAAGATGGGAAAGTACCTAGTCCGAGACCTCCTGCCTCCTTCCACCTTTCTGTGTTCAGGAGCCTACTTCTCTGAACATAGAGAGGCTTCTGTGGGGAATCTAAACTGGGTTTGATCCATGAAACATGCTCACTCGCTGTGGTCTGCACCGTGGGGTTGTGCCACAGCCCAACTGTTAAACCTCTTAGTTTCTATTTTCTCCTGACTTGATAAACCAAGTGGAAACTCTTCACCTGCTCATACCTGTGTCCTAAGCTAACCCCTGAGCAGGGGGCCTAGCATTACATTGGTTTGATCTTAGATTCCCTAAGGTCGACGTTGCTGCTTGGTTTGGCTTGTCCATTTATTACTTGAGTATTTATTGAGCACCTAGGTGAGGGGTGCAAAGGTGAACAAGACAATACTTATGGATTCGTTACCATCTGGAGAGGTGGGCACTGGCAGCTGATCTCAACCAGTCCTTCCAACCTGCCTATGAAATAGGTACCATTATTAGCCCCATTTTACAGAGCAGGACACTAAGCCTTTGAGTCCAGGAAGATCTCACTTGCCCAGGCTTAGCTAGGATTCCAGCCCACATCTGTCCACAGATGCAGTCTGAATAACTGCCTTATTCTTCCACAATGTATTAGAAGTTAGCTGGGATGACAGGCCACTTTGGTTAAGGGGATCAAAGGAGAAAGGAAGGGATATTTGAAATGGGCCTAGAAGGCCATTTTCAATTTTAATGGGAAATGATGGTGAGAAGGACAGAGGATGCACACGGGCATCAGGTGGGAAAGGGCAGAATACATTTGGGGAGTGGTGGGGGAATGGATGGAGTTAAGAAAACTGTAGAAGTGGAGTAGGACATACACCAGAAATACAAGTAGGGATCTCATCACAGAGGGCCTTGAATGACAGATAAGGAAATGGTGAGTTACCTGAGGCTTTTGAGCTGGGGAGTGATGTGATTAGAGTCAGCAGCAAGAAAGAGAATGGAATTGTAGGGGAGAGCAGGGAAGCTGGGAGGCAGGGCTGGGAGGGGAGGGAGACGTGGAGGCCAGCCCTGCTCAGCATCCATTCCAGCCTATGCTGGTAATGTCAGAAACCTGAAGACTGCAATTCACACACTTCTTTGTAGCTAGAGTTCTGGACAAGGATTCATGTAGCCTGCATGGGTGATACAGAGGCTGCTTGGTGCTGGGGTCATTTGCTTCTTCATTCGAGGACTTCCGCATGGCAATGGTGGCTTTCCAGTTTTTTTGTTTTTTGTTTTTTTTTACACAGAGGTAATAGGATTCCAAGAGTTAGGTATTGTTCCTGGAAGCTCTGCTTCAAATATCTTTCCCAGATTTTTCAGCAATGTGTTAGTTACCTGAACCCGAGTTCTCCTAAAACTAGCTTGAGTGGCTGTTTCTCCAAATGAACTGACACCATTGCAATAGAATTAGTAAGGACTTCAACTTGGATGAAAAGCATCAGGGCTGGAAAAAAGGAGGAATGGACGAGCACATTTTGGAGGTAGAAATGGGCAGGTTGAGGTAAATCTTTGAATGTGGGATGGAGGAAATTGTCAAAGATTATGCTGAGGCTTTACACAGGGACAATGCAAGGAGTGACAGAGTCATTAATGGGTACAAACAGTAGATTTTGAGAAGCTGCCCTTAATCTGAAGCTTTGGGGAATCAATTGCCTGCCCAGAAGCGTCTGTGTCCTGGAAGCTAAAGCTCTATGAGGACAGCTCTTTGCCAATTTATTCACTATCATAATCACTTTGGCTATGTGCTTGGCATGTGGTAGACACTCAAGACATACCTGCTGAGGAATGAAATTAGGGTCCAACATGCAAAAGGAATTATGGGAGGAAAATATTTTTAGAGCAAGAGGATAGGAAATTGTGTAGGAAGGATAAAAGGAGTTGAGAAGTCAGAAAAAGACTACTAGAGGCCAGGCATGGTGGCTCATGCCTGTAATCCCAGCACTTTGGGAGGGTGAAGTGGGAGGATCGCTTGAGGCCAGGAGTTCAAGACCAGCCTGGGCAACACAGTGTGACCCCATCTCTACAAAATATATTAATACAAATGTTTTTCAAATTTTTAAAAAGAAAAAGACTACAAGATATAAATAGATAAAACAGAACTTTTTTTTTTGAGACAGAGTATTACTCTATTGCCCAGGCTGGAGTGCAGTGGCATAACCTCAGCTTATTGCAACCTCCACCTCATGGGTTCAAGCAATACTCCTGCCTCAGCCTCCTAAGTAGCTGGGACTACAGGCGCCCACCACCACGTCTGGCTAATTTTTGTGTTTTTAGTAGAGACGGGGTTTCAACATGTTGGCCAGGCTGGTGTCGAACTCCTGACCTCAAGTGATCTGCCCACATCAGCCTCCCAAAGTGCTGGGATTACAGGTGTGAGCCACTGTGCTTGGTAAAACAGAACATTTCAAATGCTTTTCTAAAAATAACTTTTTAAAAACAGTTGAAGTAAACATAAATACAGAAAGTATATATCATACATGTATAGCATAAAGAATTATCACAATCAAGTAACCACCTTCCTGATTTAAAAAACCAGAATATCCCTAGCATAGCTGGAACCTCCTGAATGACCCCTCTTAGCCATTAACTGCCACCACCTAAAAGAAACCACTGTCCTTCTTCTAACAGCATAGATTAGTTTTGCCCATTTTGAACTTTATATAGTTATATAGCACGTATTCATCTATATCTGACTTCTTTGGCTCAACATTATGCTTGTGAAATTCGTCCATGTTGTTGCATGTAGCAGTAATTTATTCATTTTCATTGCTGTATAGCATTCTGTAGTATGAAAGTACCAAATTTATTTATCTATTCTACTGTTGATGGACTTTTAGCTTGCTTCCTGGCTTTGACTTTAATAAAGCTGCCGTGGGCCGGGCGTGGTGGCTTACGCCTGTAATCCCAGCACTTTCGGAGCCAAGGAGGGTGGATCACCTGAGGTCAGGAGTTCAAGACCAGCCTGGCCAATGTGGCAAAACCCCATCTCTACTAAAAATACAAAATTAACCAGGCGTGGTGGCGCACACCTGTGATCCCAGCTACTCAGGAGGCTGAGGCAGGAGAATTGCTTGAACCCAGGAGGCAGAGGTTGCAGTGAGCCAAGATTGCACCACTGCACTCCAGCCTGCGTGACAGAGCAAGACTCCATTTCAAAATAATAATAATAATAAAGCTGCCATGAACATTTTACTTCAAGTGTTTGGTGTACCTATGTACACATTTATATTGGGTACATATCTAGAAGTGAAATAGCTGGAATATATTCAACTTTAGTAAATACTGTCACACTGTTCCAAAGTAGTTGAATTAATTTATATTCTACGCAACAAGCATATTTTACAATTATCCTACATCTTCTCCAAAAAGGCTTAGTGGTTTCTGTATTCTGTTTAGCAAACCTTATCAAACCTTAAAGTCATGGAAATCATGTCACATTTTATCTTTTAAAAGATTTATTGTTTTATTTTTCACATTTGGGTCAATAATATGCATGATGTTCATGTTTATATATGTTGTGAGGTAAGGTTCATGTTTATATATGTTGTGAGGTAAAGATTAATGTATGTTCCATTTGTACATCCAGTTATGTCAGCCACTATTTATTTGAAATAACTTTCTCCATTGTTCAGCAGAACCATTTCTAACATATATTACGTATCTTCATAAATGTGACTCTGATTATGGATTCTCTATTCTGAAATTTTGACCCTACCATCTATCCAGATCCTATAAATTTTCCCTCTTAATATTCTTTATTCCTTGTTCCAAGAAATAGATATTAATGATCAGTCATTTATCCAATTTGCAATGAACACAATGAGTTTTATAATGAATGTTATGCTGGATTATTCTATTGGGAACTATGTTCCCTAGAATTTCTTTCTCTGTATGATTCTGGGTCAAGTTGGCAAAAAGTGAAGTTGTGTGAGATTTAGGAAGCAGAGATGAAGCAGGCACCATTGTGATCTAAAGACTGATGTTGGTGAGAGGTGATGAGACACAGACACAGACACACCAGCAGTTTCATTTGCCCTGGTTCTTCCCACTCTGGGTCCACCTGTCCTTTCTCCCTGCTAACTCTGCCAACAACAGCAACCCCAGGACTACCAGCACATGCTGTGCTGTGAACTCAGAGGCTGCAGTCATGAAGAGCCAACAGCCTTTTGTAGACTGAAGTTTGAAGCATGGCTTCCAGGCTTCCCTGCAAGCTGGGGCTAGTAAGTAACTTTTCTCTAATTCTTCATCTCCTCTTTCCAGACCTTTACCTTCCAGCTCCTCCCCAAATTGTGCAAAGTCCATTTCCTGTAATAAATTCCTTATCTCATAACTTATAGTGGTCCTGCTTCCCTGAATGAACCCTGACTGATACGCTCACGCTGAAATAGTCAACAAATGTAAAAGTGGCAAGCCCTAAAACTGCATATGGTAAAATCTGCAATTGATGAAAAATTGACAGAAGAACTGCATATGGATATTCTGGGCTGACAACATTGGCAACATCATCACGTTGTTGTTTTGAATTTAAGATCTTGAAGCTGGCTAATTTGCTTCTGTTCTAGAATCCTTCCTCTACCCCATCCCTAGCCTCCTTGGATCATTCCCTTGTCTCTACCCCCTTGTGTATATTTCCCTCCAGATTAGGGGCTTGTCTTGTCCTATTTGTCTTTGCACTCTTTGCCAGAAGGGAAGCAAACCCTGTGTTGTAAGAATTCAAGGAAGGAGTGATTAGTTCTGCTCAGGAGAGCTCCCAAACGTCTCCATGGGGGTGCTGGCACGTGACCTGGGCCTAAGTGTCTGATCAGGACCTCAGTGGGCAGGAAGAGGGAAGAAGTAAGAATAGATAACATTTATCTCCACGTTGTGTGCCAAGCACTGTGCTAAGGGCTTTACGCATTAACTTATTATCACATCAATTATGTGAAGCAAGCACTATTATATCCTCGTTTTACATATGGGGCAACTGGGAATCAGAGTAATTAGAAAACTAAACCATCATCACATTCCCCTACTAATATGCAAGCAAAGTCCAGGGGTGGGGGTTGGTTTGTCCCAGAATTTAACAGCCCTTCCTTAAGAGTGGTACTTTTTAAACTGCAATATAGGGAGCTAAGCTATGAGGACGCAAAGGCATAAGAATGACACAATGGACTTTAGGCACAGGAGGAAAGGGTGGGAATGTGGTGAGGGATAAAAGACTACACATTGGGTACAGTGTATACTGCTTGGGTGATGGGTGCACCAGAATCTCAGAAATCACCAGTAAAGAACTTATCCGTGTAACCAAATACCACCTGTTCCCCAAAAAACTATTGAAATAAAAATAAATAAATAAATAAATACAGGCCGGTTTGATGGGTCACGCCTGTAATCCCAGCACTTTGGGAGACCGAGGTGGGCGGGTCACTTGAGGTCAGGAGTTTGAGACCAGCCTGGCCAACATGGTGAAACCCCGTCTCTACTAAAAATACAAAAATTAGCTGAGCATGGGGGTAGGCGCCTGTAATCTCAGCTACTCGGGAGGTTGAGGCAGGAGAATTGCTTGAACCCGGGAGGCAAGGTTGCAGTAAGCTGAGATTGCACTACGGCACTCCAGCCTGGATGACTGACTGGGGCTCCATCTCAAAACAAAAAACCAAACAAACAAAAAAGTAAAAAACAAACAAACGAAAACAAAGATGTTTTTCCAGACATGAAAAACAAACAAACAAACTGCAATACAGTCCTTGAATATGTGAGGGAAGCCTGGAAAATGGGAGGAGTGTGTGTGAGTGTGTGTGTGTGTGTATGTGTGTGTTGGCGGTGGTACTGATGTTTTGTGTTGTTTTCTTTTCTCCTGGGAGAACAGAAAAGAGGCAAGAAGAGAAAAGGAAAAAATAGAGGGATGATTCTGTAACCTCATAGAAGGTGGTAGAAATGGCTGAGGGATGTTTTTAAGAACACGACCAAGGAGATTATAAAGTATGACTAATGTTCACTTTTAAGTTGCCTGACTTTTGCTGGACGTGGTAGCTCACGCTTGTAGTGCCAGCTACTGGAGCGGCCGAGGTGGGAGGATCACTTGAGACCAGGAGTTTGAGATCAGCCTGGGCAACATAGCAAGACTGTCGCTAAAAAGTTGCCTGATTTTCTTTAGTGTAAAGCTCTCCATCTTCCTGAATTTTTAGTAAAAATAGAGTCTGCTGCACACGCAAAGACATGTCAGTGTGAATTTATGGAAAATAAGGAAATGGCTGAGGCTTGCATTTGAGTTATACAAAATAGCAAGATGAGCCCTATGCTGAACTAATTCACAGAAGCAGAAGGTCAGAACAAGAGGCAACCCAGACCTCAGGTCTCCTGGGAACTTGCAGAAGTCTTAGAGGAGGCACTGGGCTTTCTAGTCTGTAGAATGGTGTACTCCAGAAAATCTTCTCTGGATCTTAAGGGGCAAGAAGGCTCCAGGTAACTCTTCTATTATTTAAGAAACTGGGTGTGTGTATCCAACCTGGAGGCAGGATCTGTGAGCTTGGAGACAGGCTAGTAGCAAATGTTGCTGGAGGTTGGGGGCCAAAATAGAGTGCTGTGGGGAGTTGAGAGGGGACAGATGTAGCCCTTATGCTCATGGAATTCAACAACTATTAGGAGACTCAAAAATATACAGATGAAAGGATGGGAAAGCAATGCAAGAAGGTATCCAGCTCGGCGAGGGGGCTCACACTTGTAATCCCAACATTCTGGGAAGCCAAGGCAGGAGTATTGCTTGAGCCCAGGAGTTTGAGACTATCTGGGCAATATAGTGAGATCCCATCTGTTAAAAAAAAACATAGGCCAGGTGTGGTGGCTCACGCCTGTAATCCCAGCACTTTGGGAGGCTGAGGCAGGCGGATCACAAGGTCAGAAGATCAAGACCATCCTGGCTAACATGGTGAAACCCCGTCTCTACTAAAACAACAAAAAATTAGCCAGGCGTGGTGGCAGGCGCCTGTAGTCCCAGCTACTCAGGAGGCTGAGGCAGGAGAATGGCGTGAACCCGGGAGGCGGAGCTTGCAGTGAGCAGAGATTGCGCTACTGCGCTCCGGCCTGGGTGACAGAGCAAGACTCCATCTCAAAAAAAAAAAAAAAAAAATAGCCAGGTGTAGTGGCACACCTGTAGTCCCAGCTACACGGCAGGGTGAGGTGGGAGGATCACTTGAGCCCAGGAGGTTGAGGCTGCAGTAAGCCATGATTGCACCACTGCACTCCAGCCTGGGTGAAAAAGCAAGACACTGTCTTAGAAAAAAAAAAAAAAAGGTATTTAATTCAACATCAAAGGGAAAGATTCATATGGCCTCCCACTTTTGTTTTTATTTTTTAAATAAAAAATTTTTTTAGAGACAGAGTCTTACTCTGTTGCCCAGGCTGGAGTGTAGTGGTGTAGTCATGGCTCACTTCAGCCTAGAACTCTCAGACTCAGGCAGTCCTCCCACCTGAGCCTCCTGAGTAGCTGTGGTGTGCCACTACAATGGGCTTTTTTTTTTTTTTTTTTAAATAGAGTCAGAGTAGAGTCTCTCTATGTTGCCCAGGCTTAAACTCCTGACCTCAAGCAATCCTCCTGCTTTGGCCTCCCAAAGTGCTGGGATTACAGGTGTGAGCCACCTCACCCAGCCTAGATCCCTTCCAAAATCGACTTGCTGTTTAGTTATTTTGAATGGCCTTTGGTAGTGAAAGCTTTTGAAAATAGTCAACAGGCTGCCTAAAAACACTAGCCTTCTGAGATCAGATGATATTGGGCGCATTCAGGGTGGCATGGCCGTAGACTAAAAACACCAGCCTTAATGTGTGTATACAGCACAGACAAATGCACCAGCCACCTGCCATCTTCCCCCACATTCCCCCAAACCCTGCCCTGGGAACTACCCTCTTTCAAATCCTGATCAAAATTAGTAGGGAACAAGGAAATTTAGGCCCTTTTGATCAGGAACTTCATTTTGACTTCCAAAATATTTTGACCTTTGAAAATATTCTAGAACAAGATCCTAACTTATCTCTCAGTGTTGATGGTCTCCTATGAACGCCCAAGTCAACAAATGTTTATTGAGCACAGACCATGTCAGGCACTGGGAGTTACAGAGAGAACCAAGACCCAGCCCCACCCTTGAAGAGCACAATGACTTACTAAAATCCAGAAAAGACTTTTAAATACACAATGACCTGGCCTCTAAACAGTCTTGAAGAAACATTCAACATTTAAGCTTTAAAATACTCTTTCTGGCCAGGCGTGGTGGCTCATGCCTGTAATCCCAGCACTTTGGGAGGCCGAGGCAGGCAGATCACCCGAGGTCAGGAGTTCGAGACCAGCCTGGCCAACATGGTGAAACCCCATCTCTACTAAAATACAAAATTAGCTGGACGTGGTGGTGGGTGCCTGTAATCCCAGCTACTTGGGAGGCTGAGGCAGGAGAATCGCTTGAACCCGGGAGGCAGAAGTTGCAGTGAGCTGAGATTGCACCATTGCACTCCAGCCTGGGAGACAGCAAGACTCCGTCTCAAAATAAATAAAATAAAATAAAATAAAATACTCTTTCCCAGACTTAACCTTCTTTCTTTTGGTACCTTACCTTGCCAAAAGAGGGTTTTGTTGTTGTTGTTGTTGTTAAATATTAAAATGTCAGGGATGTTCTTTCTTTTAAGAGATTGCTCAACAGGGCCTTATGTTTCTCAAAAGAGAACTTACATACAAATTCAGTAACTTCATGGAATAGAATGAGAGGCACTATCAAGCAGGCTTGAAGTTGAGTGACATTAAATCTACTTTTCAGACTTAATTAAGCCTGAAGCCCACAAATACCCTCACTCCCAAATCACCATTTATTGTGGAAGATAAAAGCAAATGACTTAAAATAAAGAAGAAAACCTGCAAAACAACATCTTAGCGTTCTGTCAGAAAACACGGAGTCCTCTGAGGACAGTTAATAACAAAATTAATCCCAAAGAGCTAATACCCACCCCCTGTACTGCTGTAGAGTAGCTAATCACGATTTCCTCTTGCCTGAAGGCTGTTTCTGGAAACAAGGACAGGTCCTGCCCTTCCCAGGTGAGCACTCTCAGGTGGGTTGGGACTGCTGCTAGGCCACTGTTTCTTAAGACTGCCTTCTTTTCCAGGCTCAGGGAAACACCATTGCCTTTTCCTAGATTGCTGAGAATTTCCAGAGGCCTACGGCCAAAGCATCTTCTTCTGTGGCATATGTAAGTTCATGGATGGATCGCTTGCTGCCCTCAAGTGTGGTCGCTGCTCAGCACTCTGTGAACCCGGAAAGAAATCTTAGCCCCTTAGAGTGACCATTAAAAGCCTCTCACAAAGGAATCTGTGTGTGTGTGTGTGTGTGTGTGTGTGTGTGTGTGTGTGTGTGTGTGTGTGTAGAGAGAGAGAGAGCATGTGTAGCAAGCTTGATTAATGGTTTGGTAAAATGGAGGAGTCTTATATTCCAGCAACACAACATCAAACATTTTAGCAAGCTCTGCTCTTACAAATCTTTCTGCCACCCCACTTGTGGCCAGAAGGGTTTGCTCCTACTCTCCCTCCTTGAAATTGCATTTGCAAAAATTAGAACAGTGAGAAAATTATGATAATGAAAGAGATCTGATCTAACAAACTCCCTCTTGCCGCTAACCTTCAAACTGCACTTGATCATTCCTGGGTGTAGCCCAAGCTAACTTTGGGAGAATTTTAATTTATAGCTTAAATAATAGTCCTTCCTAAAACTAAACTGCCTTTGTAAAAGTAATGAAAGACTACTAGGTTTGGAGGATGAGAGGGGTCTGAATTCTGCTAAAATGTAGGCATAGTTAATTACCAGCCATTGTTCTGGAGGTCATAACATTTGTGACTTCCCCAATTACTTCTGTAAATAACATTACTATTGTAGAACTTAAGCTTGGCCTTTTGAGATGTCTTTTCAGACTTTTGCATTTCTGATGACCGGGTGACTCCACTGGGACCAGAGACTCAACCCTCAACAGGTCCTGTGGCCCCCACCTAGAAGTGGACTCAGCGCACAAAGACCATTTCCACACCCCTATGACTGTATCCCCAACCAGTCAGCAGCAGCCATTCCCTAGCCCCTCCTGCCAAACTATCTTTAGAAAACTCTAGCCTCCAATTTTTGGGGAGGCTGATTTGAGTAACCAAAAATTCCAGTCTCCTGTTTAGCCAGCTTTATGTGCATTAAACTCTTTCTCTATTGCAATTCCCCTGTCTTGATCCATTGGCTATCTGGGCAGCAGGCAAAATGAACCAATCATGCAGTTACATCCTCTCTCCTCACTCCCCTTTTTATCTTCTTCTCTTCTTTTGACCTCAAATTCAAGTTCTTCCCATTGGATTGCAACACCTTGGGACAATTTAGCACTGCTCAGCCCCTGCTCCTAAACCCAGCTCCAGCCTGCCTCTGCACCACTCATAGTGGCTTGGCTAAAGAGCCTGATTCTGTTCCTAGACAAAGGCCATCTCTCCCCCATGGGTAGCGTGGTAGTTCTTAAATATGTCTACAGATTCTTTGATACTTCTTTCAAAGGGTGACACCTATGTCTCCTCCCCTTTAGTATGGGCTATGCTTACTGACTCAATTCCAGTCAATAAAGGGCCACAGAAGTGACATGTGACTTTCCAGATGAGGGCAACAAAGACACTGTGACTTCCTCCTTAGATCACCCACTCTGGGGCAAGTCAGCTGCCCTCACAAGGACTCAGAGAAGCTTCTCTCTCTCTTCCCATCCTCCATTACTAATTCTTCCCAATAAACACCACCACACATAACTCTGGGTCAATGTGCAAAGTGTGGAAGGGGTAGAGGGGGAGGTGCTGGGTCACAGCAGAGAAGTAGAGAGATGAGACTAAGGCAATTGAGTGCAGCAGAGCAGTGCATGGGCTCCAAGCCACAGCAACCTGTGTTGGAGCCCCAGTTCTGGCTCAGATAGGCTTGGTATAAGGCTTGGCCCAATGTAAGTATTCTTGTGATGATAGCAATTATGGTGATTATTATTGGTTGAGCACACACTGTGTGTCAAGCTCTATGCTAGCTACATTACACACATTACCATATCATTTTCTTCCTTTCTTTTTCTTTTTTTCTTTTTGAGAAGTAGTCTCACTCTGTTGCCAAGGCTGGAGTGCAGTGGTGCAGTCTTGGCTCACTGCAACCTCTGCCTCCCAGGTTCAAGCTATTCTCCTGCCTCGGCCTCCTGAGTAGCTGGGATTACATTCGCACACCACCACGCCCAGCTAATTTTTGTACTTTAGAGACCGGGTTTCACCATGTTGGCCAGGCTGGTCTCAAACTCCTGACCTCAGGTGATCCGCCTGCCTTGGCCTCCCAAAGTATTGGGATGACAGGCGTGATCCACCACATCGGCCTGCTTTCTTTCTTTCTTTTAGATGGAGTCTCGCTCTGTCGCCCAGGTTGGAGTGCAGTGGCGCGATCTCGGCTCAATGCAAGCTCCGCCTCCCGGGTTCATGCCATTCTCCTGCCTCAGTCTCCTGAGTAGCTGGGACTACAGGTGCCCACCACCACACCCGGCTAATTTTTTTGTATATTTAGTAGAGACGGGGTTTCACCGTTTTAGCCAGGATGGTCTCGATCTCCTGACCTCGTGATCCACCCGCCTCGGCCTCCCAAAGAGCTGGGATTACAGGCATGAGCCACCGCACCCAGCGTCTGTTTTTTTTTTTTAGAGACAGGGTCTCACTCTATCACTTAGGCTGGAGTGCAGTGGTACAATCATAGCTCACTGCAGCCTTGATCTCTCAGGCTCAAGTGATCCTCCTGACAGCCTCCCAAGTAGCTGGGACTATGGGCATGCACTACCATGCACAGCTAATTAAAAAAAAAACTTTTGTAGAGCTGGGGTCTCACTATGTTACCCAGGCTGGTCTCAAACTCCTGCCCTCAAGCGGTCCTTCTACCTTGGCCTCCCAAAGCACTGGGATTACAGGTATTGGCCACCATGCCCAGCCTCGTGTTTCATGTTAATACTCACAGAGCAACTCAACAAGATTGATATGTTGTAGTGATAGAATAGTGTTTCCCCAAAATATATGTCCAAATTGTGACTCTAGATACCTGTGAATGTGACCTTATTTGAAAATAGGGTCTTTGCAGATAGAACAGAGTTATTGATTTGGGGATGAAATTATCGTGGATTTACAGTAAATCTAATGACTGGTGTCCTTACAAGACAGAGGAAAAAAAGATTTGAAACAGGAGAGACACAGGAAAGAAGGCCATGTGAGGATAGAAGCAGAAGGTGAAATCTTTGTTGCCACAAGTCAGAGAAGGCCAGAGCTGGAAGGATCCTCCCCTTCCAGGATTCTCTTTGGAGGGAGAATCAAAGGCCAAGATGTCAGCTTGGCCTTGCTGACATCTCAATTCTGTGCTTCTGGCCTCTAAAACTATAAAAGAATACATTTCTATTGTTTTAAGCCACCCAGTTTGAGGTCATTTGTTACAGCATCCCAGGAAACAAATACATACACATATATATATATTTTTTTAGATGGAGTCTCACTCTATCGCCCAGACTCGAGTGCACTGGTGCAATCTCAGCTCACCTCCTGGGTTCAAGTGATTCTCCTGCTGCAGCCTGGGACTACAGGCGTGCGCTACCATACCTGGCTAATTTTTGTATTTTTAGTAGAGATAGGGTTTCGCCATGTCGGTCAGGTTGGTCTCGAACTCCTGAACTCAAGTGATCGGCCCCCCCCCCTTGGCCTCCCCAGGTGTTGGGATTACAGATGTGAGCCACTGCATCTGGCCTGAATACACATGTTTTTGTCCCCACTTTACAGATGAGGAAATGAAGGCTCAGAAAGACAAACAAATTTGCTGAGTCTGTTTTTATGCAAAGAGTCAATTTATGCTAGATACACATAAAGCTACAGAGTGCTCATAAGATAAATGATCAGGAACCCAAAACAGGAAAATTAGGACAAATGTGTAGCTCTAGGTCCCTACTGAAAAAAGGAAAATAGGTTCACATCATTTCAATGGGCAAATTCACACAAATACCAGAACTCATTTAATTAGGTCAGGAGAAACCCTCTTGGAAGGAGAAAACTAGCAAAGTAGAAGGTTGGGTAACATGTAAAACAACTCAGCAAAACTGTCTATGGAGAAGACCAGTCCATACCAGACAGAGCCAGCCCCAAAGGCGGATGACCTAGACTCTTGGGAGACTTTGAGCAGATTAAATTAATAGAGCAATTAGGGGCAGGAAGCAGACTAAGCGTCTTAAAATCTGGGAATCCAAGAGGAAATTTTCAGAACAATTTAGCTTGTAGGAAGGAATCGAGTCATGCACTTTTAATTTCTCTCTGTTTGGTTTCTTTTCAATATGCTGAAATGGCAAGTCTGAAGAGCAATAAATAAACACAGGTTTCTTCTGAGACACAAACAGCAGGGAATCATTAATTTTTAAGGTCCACCCATTTCCCAAGGAGCCTTGCCTGGTGTTTGAGCTTTAATCAACTCACGGGAACAAGTTTCTCCTAACCTACACCATTATCATCCCAGGAGCCTTCTCTTGTCTTTTGGGGGGAAAGAAAATTGGCATTTTCCATAGTTGCAAAAATAACAAATGCTCAATATACAAACTTTGGAAAATTTGAAAGGGCACAAAGTAAAGAAAAGGAAAAAAGTAAGCACCATAATCCCATCTCCTACTTTTGTTTTCTTTGAGACAGGGTCTCATTCTGTCACACAGGCTGAAGTGCAACAGTGCAATCACAGCTCACTGCAGACTGGACCTCCCAGGCTCAAACGATCCTCCCATCTCAGCCTCCTGAGTAGCTGGGACTACAGGTGCACACCACCATGCGCGGCTAACTTTTTTTGTATTTTTTGTAGAGACGGGGTTTCACCATGTTGCCCAGGCTGGTGTTGAACTCCTGGACTCAAGTGATCCACCCCCCTCAGCCTCCCAAAGTGCTGGGATTACAGGTGTGAGAGCCACCTCGCCCAGCCCCATCTCCTACATTTTGAAATATATTCTTCTGCTAGTTTAGATATAAGGATAAACATGTAATTCAAAACCAAATTGCCTTTAGCTGCTCCTGCATGTTTATGGGAGGGATGGTGAAACCGCCTTTGTAAAATCATGACTGAGACAGTGAAAGAGATCTAACTTAACTGACTCCATCTTGCCTCTAACCCCCAAGCTGTCCTTGTTCATTCCTGGGCATAGGCTGAACTAACTTTGGGAGAGACTTAGTTTTTCTAATTTAAACAAAGACGGTAACAGCCCTTTCCCAAAGCAGACCGCCTTCTTGCCTGGGGAGTAGATTGCCTTTGTAGGACTAACATTACCCACAAGATTAAAAATTATGGTTTAGGAGTCATGCAGCTGGAAGTCTACAAGATTCTGACCCTCCTTAAACTGGTCCTAAGATCAGTGCTGGAGATATTTTGCAGACCCTGCACTTGATAGATCAGCTGGCACCACCCAGATCAATAAACTGGTTCATCGGATCTTGTGCCCCTGGACCCCCCGGAACTGATTCAGCACAAGACAACAGTTTCGACTTCCTATGATTTCATCCCTGACCAATCAGCACTCCTGGCTCACTGGCTTCCCCCCACTCACCAAGTTATCCTTAAAAACTCGACTCCCCGAATGCTTGGCGAGACTGATTTGAGTAATAAAAAAAACTCCGGTCTCCTGCACAGCCGGCTCTGCGTAAATTACTCTTTCTCTATTGCAATTCCCCTGTCTTGATGAATCGGCTCAGTCTAGGCAGCAGGCAAGGTGAACCCCTTGGGCAGTTACGGTGGCTGAGGACATAATTCGTATTTGTGGAGAAAAACATAACATCGAATATTATTTACTATGTGCCAAACACTAAGCACTTCATACATATTAACTCTAAGAAACTTTTGTCTACTGCCTGCCAAGTTCAAAGATATTCTTCTATATTTAACTCATTTAATTCTCAGCAACCCTACTAAATATTAGTCCCACCCCATTCTGTAGATAAATAAACTAAGGCAGGGGAAGAACTGTGCCCCAAACCGCACAGCTGGTAAGTGGCGGAACCAGGACTTCCTCCAGAATCTGCTCCAGAAGCCTGCGCTGTGCTGTGCACTCCGTGCGCTGTGTGCTCCGTGCGCTGTGTGGTCCGTGCTCGCTGTGTGCTGTGCACGCGGTGCGCTCTGTGCTGTGTTGCATGCTCTGTGCTGTGTGCGCTGTGCTGTGTGCGCTGTGCTGTGTGCTCTGTGCTGTGCTCCGTGCGCTGTGTGCTGCGCGTGTGTGCTCTGTGCTGTGCTCCGTGCGCTGTGTGCTTTGTTGTGCGCTGTGTTCTACGTGCTCTGTGCTGTGCGCTGTGCTGTGTGCTGAGCTGTGCTGGCATCGTTCTCACTCCTCCTGGTGGCTGTGGGAGGATGGACTGGTAAGGCTTTCTCTTTGTTATCTTCTGTCCCAGACCGGATGTCTGTCACAGTCATCAAGGGGTCTTGTCTGTAATGCCAGGAGGTGTAGCACGAGATGGGAAGGTGGGGGACACACTGAAGCGAGGAAATCCTAGAGGGAGGGCCAGCCTGGAGGGGCGCAAATACCGTCGCCCCCAGGCCCCGCCCCACCCCGGCAGCCAGAGCCCTGCAAGCAGTGGGGGCTTTCTACATAAGAGGCATCCACGCTGTGCTGCTCTGAACATTGAGAGAATGTTAGGCTGGGCGTGGTACAGGCTATGCCTGTAATCCCAGCACTTTGGGAGGCCGAGGTGGGAGGATTGCTTGAGCCCAGGAGTTCAAGACGAGCCTGGGCAACAGAGCCAGATCCGATCTCTAAAAAGAAAAAAAAAAGAAGAAAGAAAACATCTGCCACATGCTCATTTTCCTTGCGAAGGTGGTTTTGGAGGAATCCAGAGAAATGGCTGAATCCCACCTCTGAGCTGGAGCAGAGAAGGGAAAAAAGAAGTCTGGTTGGTCTGAGAATGAACCCCACAGTCCAGAGGCAGCAGTGAGCTCCTGGGAATCTGGATAAACTTGAGGAGGACACTGTTCATTGTACTTTACGCCAACGTGGACTGGAGGATACAACCCGTTTTATTTCAGTCCCAGAGTGACCTCGGATGACACGTGGGAGAGCGCTGTACATTCATGCATATATATACATGTATGTGATTTGTAACATGTATATTATGTGGTTTATATAACAGATGCATGACATAAACATGTACCGGTAGAGACGTAGAGAATTCTTTATAAAAAGTGACATAATATAATGAATCAATAAATCTATATATATAGTATACATTGTATATTATGTAAATGTAACATGGCATATTATAAAACATCTATAAAACAAACATAACACATATACTGTTTTATATATGATATGTAAGCACATATTTATATACTCTTTATTAAAATGTAACATTATATGATTTAATGTTTTTCCCTTTAAATTTTTTTAACAAAATGGGACATTATTATATACACAATTTTGCGTGTTTTTAATTTAGGAATATACTGTGTATGCTTTATCTTTTCAGTAATATTCTTTAAGAAGATGATTGTTAATATATTTTTATATTCTTCTGTTTGTTTTTGAGGCGGGGGTCTTACCATGTTGTTCAGACTAGCCTTGAACTCCTGGGTTCAAGTGATCCTCCTTCCTCAGCCTCCCAAGTAGTTAGGATTACAGGCACACACCACTGCACCCATCTATATTTTTATATTCTATATGCAGGTACCATAATTTGCTTAATCAGTCTCTTATTTTGGTTATTTGTTTCTGTTTTGAGTTTTTGCTATTATAGGTAATGCTGCTAATGAACTTTCTTATAAATAGAACTTAGATTCTGATTTCGTACATCTTGCCAGCACCAGTCAGGGTCGACAGAAAACAGGTGGCACACTAAACCTGGGCAATTGAGGGACATCTAATAAAAAAGGTACAAAGGTGTAAGCTGGGTTTACGGAAACCAGCCAGGGATGATGCAGTGCCTCAGGGATATTACCTCCTCTCCAATATTTTGTTATTGCTTCATTTTTCACTTCTTTTATTACTCATGAGGTCAAGTCCTTTTTATATGTTTAATTTTCTTTTGTGAATTGCTTTTGCCCATCAGGGAGTTCACTTATTCTGCTTAGTTTGTGGCGTGTTTTATAAGTATATTAACTATTGGTTTGTTTCCTCAAATATTTCAGTTGGTTTGTTATTTTTTATATGTGGTTCCTGTTGTTTTGATACACAGGAGTTTAAAATTTTTACACTGTTAAACTATTAACCTTTGCTTATATGTTTTAGAATGATGCCAATTTAGTAAGACTCTATAAATGGAACTTAGAGTCTATTTTATAGTTTCTTTTTAACCTCTAATTCTTATCTTCTTAACCAGAGCTATAACTTTCATTATCAAGTAACCATTTATGCTAAACCTGAAAAAACTGAATATGAGTCTTCCCCCTAAAAAATCTTTACAAACACAGGTGTCAACATGAATCATCGTATTTCCTGACCTTGTGGTCTTCCATTACGGTTTCAAAGCAGAGAAGAGTAACTCTGCTATTTTTTTTTTAAGCAAATTCATCTTCTAGGTGCTGCAAATATGATAAACTCTGCTTTTTTAAGGAGAATGCTTGCCTGAGCCGTAGCAGACATGCCCTGACTTAACACATCTAAGTGAAGCTAGAGTATTTTTTTCAGGAATCATCTTTATGATGTTCAAGATGAATTAAATGGAGGAAAAGTAGGTTTTAAAAATAAAATTAGGCTGGACGCAGTGGCTGGCCGGGCGCGGTAGCTCACGTCTGTAATCCCAACACTTTGGGAGGCTGAGGCAGACGGATCACTTGAGATCAGGAGTTCAAGACCAGCCTGGCCAAAATGGAGAAACCCCGTCTTTACTAAAAATACAAAGATTAGCCGGGCATGGTGGTGCATGCCTGTAGTCCCGGCTACTTGGGAGGCTGAGGCAGGAAAATCGCTTGAACCCGGGAGGCAGAGGTTGCAGTGAGCTGAGATCGTGCCACTGCACTCCAGCCTGGGCAACAGAGCAAGATTCCATCTCAAAAAAATATAAATAAATAAAATAAAATAAAATCAGGCCAGGCGCGGTGGCTCACACCTGTAATCCCAACACTTTGGGAGGCTGAGGTGGGCAGATCACTTGAGGTCAGGAGTTTGAGACCAGTATGGCCAACATGGTGAAACCCCGTCTCTAATAAAAATACAAGAAAATTAGCCGGTGTGGGGGCGGGCACCTGTAATCCCAGCTACTCGGGAGGCTAAGGCAGGAGAATTGCTTGAACCCAGGATGGGGAGGTTGCAGTGAGCCGAGATTGTACCACTGTACTCCAGCTTGGGTGACAAAGCGAGACTCCATCTCAAAAAAATAAAGTAAAATAAAATAAAAAATAAAAATAAATCAGTTCGTAGACTATGATACAAATATAAAAAATAATATATAAGCATAGGCTTGGGGCTAGTCATTCTGTGTTGCAATCCAACTTCACTACTTACAAGCTGAATAATAGGAAAAAAACCTTTTCCTTTCTATACTCACACTCATTCTTGTACTTCATTTCTGATACCAAACGTGTGGTTTTTTTTTCTTCCCACACATCCATTCTCCAGTGGACACCAGCTTGTCCTAAATTTCAGTCAATTCTGACACCATCTACCTGGAGTTAGCTTCAGAACTCATAAGTTAAAGGCTCAGTCCTGCAAGACAGGCTCCTACTTCAGGTCCCAGTTGCAAGTACAGGCCTCCTGTGCTTCTGACCAAGGCTATAAATCAGAGGTTTCCATAAGCCACTCCTTGGGTTTGATCATTCATTAGAATGGCTCATAGAACTCAGGGAAACACTTAAGTTTACCAGTTTGTTATAAAGGATATTCCAAGGACACAGAAGAACAACCAGAGGAGATTCTGTAAATACCTTCCCAGCAATAAATATGCTCAACTAAAATTATATGCTCATAAATTGCTATCAGTATTTGGTAGTACCTGTCTAAAAAGACATTTTTACAGTTGAAATACATAAAATTTCATTACACATTAGTATTAACAGATGAACGTCTGCAATAGATTTTGATGATAGGGAACACCAATTTTGAACCTCAATCAAAATTTTATCCTCTCTCAATGAAAAAAACAATTTTTTTTGAGACAAGGTGTCACTCTGTCTCCCAGGCTGGAATGCAGTGGCACAATCACAGCTCACTGTAACCTCTACCTTCTGGGCTCAAGCAATCCTCCCTCCTCAGCCTCCTGAGTAGCTAGGACTACAGGCACACACTGCCATGCTTGGTTAATTTTTTAAATTTTTTGTAGAAATTCCTGGACTCAAGCAATCCTCCTGTCTCCACCTCCCAAAGTACTGGGAGTCCAGGCATGAGACACGGAGCCTGGTCTAAAAATAAAAAACTTAAATTAGGTTTAGTTGGGCCTCAGCATCAAGTGTTTCCTCCTGTCTGATGGTTCTGTTACATGGAATCAATAAAATCCTGATCCCCACCTATGTGTGATTGCAAATGGTCACGGCCTTTAACAACATGCTGGTACTCTCAGGATATCCTTCAACTAAACTAATCTAAATGCTTGAAAAAGCAGATTTTTGTTTAAAAACTGAATCTGCTGCCAACATGTCTTGTCACGAATACAAGTCCACTGAGTAGCATCCAAATCATAATAAACATTCAAATGATTAATATGTTCTGTTTACCACCTGGTACCCTCACTTGCCAGTTATTGCACAGCTCACTATTATGCTGGGCTTGATTTTAAGTGAATGGGTAAGTACAGCCTGAATTTTTTTTCCGTTTCTTTTTTATATGGAACATTTCATGAATTTTCATATCATCCTTGGGCAGCAGCCATGATAATTGTGTATCATTCCAACTTTAGGATGTTTGCTGCCAAAGCAAGAACCAGATCTGAGTATTTTTAAGAAATGAGGGTAGAGGCCAGGCACAGTGGCTTATGTCTGTAATCCCAGCACTTTGGGAGGCTGAGGCGAGTGGATTACTTGAGGTCATGAGTTCGAGACCAACCTGACCAACATGGTGAAACCCTGTCTCTACTAAAAATACAAAATTAGCTGGGCATGGTGGTGCTCACCTATAATCCCACCTACTTGGGAGGCTGAGGCAGGAGAATCACTTGAACCCACGAGGCGGAGGTTGCAGTGAGCAACAAACGACCTGGTTTGTAGGATTTGCCAATTACCATGGTGTAAATACTTCCACTATGGCCAATTTCAAGTTATTAGTGCGATATTTCTGAATATCAGGTTAAGAAGAGATGTGTACCATTGACTGAATGAGTATTTCTGAATATCAGTTTAAGAAGAGATGTGTACCATTGGCAGTGAGCTGAGATTGTGCCATTGCACTCCAGCCTGGACAACAAGAGTGAAACTCCATCTCAAAACAAAACAAAAAAGAAATGAAGGTAGAGCTATGATCTTTCTTATCCATATAGTTACAGGAAGGTCTTGGAAACATATAGTACATACTCAATAAACATTTGTTCATTGAATGAATGGATGAATGAGGTTTTTTTCTCTAAAAAGTTAGTCTGGTGGCACTAGTTCATGATGTGGTGGTCTCCACCAAGTCACAATCTGATATGGAATATCTGAATGTGCATGTTTGTGTTTGCATGTGTTTGTTACAGTTTTTAGAGACAGCATGTGAAATAGTGACCAAGAAAGGCTCTGGAGTCAGATTCCTTGGATTTGAACCTCAGCTCTGCATTTACTAGCTTCATGGCCTTGGAAACACTGCTTAATTATCTATGCCTTAGTTTTCTCATCAGTAAAAGGAGGATAACAATAGCACTCACTTTATAGGATAATTGTGAAGATTAAAAGAGCTATTCATGCAAATAACATCATAAATTTGCTTAATATAGTTCCTGCCGAGGCATCTGTTTTTAGGCCTGACATAAGTTATTTGAAACCTAGTCATACTCCATGACCTTTGGCCTAGTTACATCTTCCCCTTCCAGTGTGATTGTTTGTGCTCTAGCCCCATTATTCTATCCCATTGACACAAAACTCAACACAGCCCAGAACTGCTGGCCATAATAAACCTAATGGTCAATGCCAGAGTCATGGGTGTGGTGGCATGCACCCATAGTCCCAGCCACTCAGGAGGATGAGGTAGGAGGATCACTTGAGGCTGGGAGGTTGAGGCTGCAGTGAGCCATGATTGCACCACTGCACTTCAGCCTGGGCGACACAGCTGTGTGTTTTTTTGGTTTCAACAAACACTCAAAAAAGACATAGTCTCAAAGCCGTTGCTCCACCTGATGGCTGTGCTCCCCGCCACCTACAGACTTCCTGTTGGCCACCCACTGGGACCCCTAGCTCTTCTGGGACCTGTAAGTAATACATATCATGAATTTTGGTTTCATTTCCCCATTGTGGCCTACCTGATGCACACACCTGAACCTAACTTCACCGTCACCCACTCACACACCCCCACCCCCAACTCATACCCCAGTGCTCTCCTACAGAGTGGCTAGCTTGGCTTATGGCCACTCTCAAGAGAGAGACCCCAAGACCAAATTAGAAAAAATTGGCTGGGCACAGTGGCTTACGCCTATAATCCTAGCACTTTGGGAGGCCGAGGCGGGAGATCACGAGGTCAGGAGATCGAGACCATCCTGGCTAACCTGGTAAAACCCCGTCTCTACTAAAAATAAAAAAATTAGCCGGGCGTGGTGGCAGGTGCCTGTAGTCCCATCTACTTGGGAGGCTGAGGC
The DNA here is from genome assembly GCF_000001405.40 of Homo sapiens. Lineage (NCBI taxonomy): Eukaryota > Metazoa > Chordata > Mammalia > Primates > Hominidae > Homo > Homo sapiens. The sequence goes on from NC_000008.11 coordinate 102,535,183, forward strand.
AGGAGATTGGTGTGAACCCAGGAGGCGGAGCCTGCAGTGAGCCGAGATCATGCCACTGCACTCCAGCCTGGGCAACAGAGCAAGACTCCGTCTCAAAAAAAAAAAAAAAAAAAAAAAAAAAGAAAAGAAAAAATTACAACCTAACTTGATAAAGGTTTGCCATTTAAAGCTGGTAAAATATAAAAAAGAAATGTAAATTGAAAGCAAATGCTTACAGAATTCTCAGATTGCAGGGGACATAGTCTGAAAAATACCAGTTTAAGAGAAAATGAATGAGAGGGTTTGTGCAGCTCAAAGCAAAATGATCTCCTCCTTTGATTTGCTTGCTGAATTAGTCTCAGAGGATGAGTGTCCAATATGTACAGAAAGATGTTTTTAATTGGAGAATAACCTGGAAACTCCATGCTACTGAACTATGTGTCAGAAATGGTAACAAAAACCACTGAGGACTTACTCTGTGCTAGACCCTGAGATAAAGTATGTACTTAAATCTTTTCATTTAATTCTCAGAAAATGCCCAATGAAATTGGTATTTTAACCCCATTTCCAGATGAAAAAAATCAAGGCCCATGGCCCAGTTGAAACTCTTTTGAATGAAGTGGAGGAGGCAGGATCTGTGTGATTTGAGAGTCCAGGCTCTGAGTCAGGACTGCCTCCCGGCAACACACAACAGCAACAAACACAGAGTGCAATCTTAGGGAAATGCCAAGACCTTCACCTTGAGCGTGTGCATGCGCTGCTCTACAGAACCCAGGAGGCGCCTTCCGCCCACCCACAGGTACTACAGCACTAGCTCATCCACCCAGGGGCCTCTTCCCAGTGGTACCAGGTGGCTGTTCTCCTTGAATGTCAAAACACACAGCCCTTGGTTTCTGCATTTCCTTTGTCTTTGCCACCCACACCCACCCTCTCGCCTTGTACTTATTAACACCACAGGCTTACCCAGCACCTTTTATTTTTAGCATCTCAAAATGTTCGAACAAGACATTTTTCTTACTTTCATGTGCCTCTGCGTGGGAAAATCAGAATCACAAAGACTATTACCATCATAATGACTCTGATGGTTATGCAACAAACAATTCAAGATAAAAGGAGGGGAAAGGCCCTTCCAGGTTCTGGGGTTTTGCAGGATGGATCAGGTTCAGAACACAGCTGCATCTCTTCTGCCAAACCTGCTGACCTGGCCCTGGGACTCGGGACTTGCTGATCTGTGTGAAACAGCTTCTTCCTACCAGGGGTGTTATTGACAGGAGGGGAGGCCAGACAGCTGGGCTGCCTTGAAGTGATGCTTGCCCATGTTAGCCATTTTAACAGTCATTTAAAATTCATTTCAAATACTAGGGATAGCAGTTTGTCACTTTCCCTGTTGTTTTTTTCCCACAGACATATTAATATGGATGTGGCTAGCAGGTTCCAAGCTTTGAATTGTGCTCATTAAGTCACAGCTGGCTGGGAATACGTGTCAATCCCAGACCTTTATTTCTCAAGCCGGTTTTATAATGAAATTAAAATGGACTCCTCCAGACACCCCCTTCCCTGGAAGCAAAGCATTTGCCCCTCTGGGGAGTAGATGCTGTGTTCTGATATGCTCTTTTTCTCAAAAGAAATGCATAAGTAATTTCAGTAATTAAAACATTTAATTTGGTGATTACCCTCACAAAAAGAAACTGCACAAATTAACCCTGGGAGGGGAACATTCCATCCAGCTGTTTCAGCGAGGCCTTTTCTGCCCTCATCCGTGCCCTCCTTCCCTTCGAGGGAGCAGCCCACCTGCTTGGGATGTTCCCCCGTCACTCACCATATCCCAGTGTTCCCAGTGGAAGTGTGGCTGGCCAGATGGCCCCCGCTATTAGTCACTTTCCTCCGCTGAATTGCATGGCTTGACGTCTGAAACTCAGTATTTATTTGTAAAAGGAGCTAAGGAAAAAGCTGATTCATTGTTACTCCAGAGGAATTCCTTCAGGGAATGTAATACCCTTAAGGAGACCAGACTTCATGAAAGACATTTTGGCTTAAGCAGAACTAGCTGCATAAGTGAACTCACCTGGGGAGCTTGTTAAACGCAGTGGTTCCTGGACCCCACCCTGGACCTACTGAAACAGGAACCCGGGAAGGAGCCCAGGAATTTGAATTTTAACAAGCTCCAAGGTGATTAATTTGCAACCTGGATTTTGGGAGCCACTGAGATGGAGGACACCCACTCATCATCAGCGTGGGGGTGGGGTGTAACTGTGAGTCACTCAGGGAATGATGGGGTGGGGGGTCTGACCTTTAATTGGGTGCAGCTGAGCTCACCTGGCAGCCTGTGCTTCGTTTGCAAATGACAAATTAGAAAACGATGCACAATTAAGCTTTTCAAGAGGGAATTAATCAGTTCACCCCCTCTTGTACCTCAGAGCCAGCCTGTGCATCCCTGGGTAATCAGGAAAGTCACTGACACTCCCCATGTTATGTGGGCTGAAGGATGACAGAGCGGAAGCCCTCAGATGTTGTCTGTCAGCCCTTAACGAGAGAACAGGCTGGGTGAGTCCTGCAGCCTCAGCCAGGCTGGGTCCTAACTCTCAGGGGCTGCTGAGGAAGAGTGCAGCATACTCATTCACAGACGGTTTTTCTGTGGTTTCCAAATGCCATCCCAACCCTATGCCTGGAGCTAGGCTGGCTTACCAGAGCCACCTGGGGAGCAGACCAAAAACATAAATTCCTGTGCCACCGATTGGCTTGGAGGCTGGGCCTTGTAATCTGTATTGATAGCGATCCTCCCTGGGATTTGGGAACCACTGTGAACAGACAGGACTGCCTGCTGGATCATGAAGTTATTAGAAATAAACCCACAGAGAAGTCGATGTAAAGAAAAGCGAAAGCTCCAATGGCAGGAGCTTTGAGTGACCCTGCAGCCCGTGGAGAACACCAGAGGGCCTAACAAGGGGAAGACAGTCAATGAGGACTGAAAAGAAAGACGTCCCTTCAAAAGAGGCTGTGTGATTCACAATCGCTTGGCTCCCATTTAGCACCGGGCGCTTCCAGAAAATGACGGGGAGGGTGAGATGGAGAAGATTCTAATTGCACAGGCTGCTGTCTCTTGTGAGGGATTTTTTAAAAGGGGGTATTGCCAGTGCCGTGTAGTAACTGGATGCTCCAGGGTGTGGTGAGGAGGCGGGGGAGGCCCTGGTTTGTAATGTTTGCTGATTTCCTTGCCACCAGCATCACTTCACTGAACATGGAGTTGGGAAGAGACCTGCGCAATCGGTTCTTTCTGTTGGCAGGCGCCTCCCCCAGCACACCTCTGGATAGTTCCCCGTCTTCAGAGAAGAGCTTCCTGCAATTATACCGTAGTATCTGCAGCAGCATCACCAAAATGTGGCCATACTGGAATCCCTGAGGCGGAGCAGCTGGACCCGAGGGCTCACTGATTGTGCGGTTGGGAGCGGGCGTCTCGCAGGCTTGCAGAGATCAGCTTTTGTTGCGCCAGGAGCTGATGCTTAATGGCCAAGCCTGCCTAAGGCAGAGCCCAGTTTCCTAAGGAAGCGGGGAGAAGCAGAGGAAGCAGGAGCTAAGAATTTCAGGTGGGGAAAGGGGTTCCTTTTGAATTCAGCTAGGAATCGCTCATAAAGACGAAGAGTTCACAATAAAGGAAATGGAGATGCTGCGGGCCGCCCCGGTACACTGACAAACCGATTCTTCACAGTTTGCTGCAGCCAGAGGCAGAGGGCAGGCTCTGCACAACCTGACTTGGAGTGGAATGGAAAATATCCAATTAATCATTCAAATTTGTGTCTAAGGAACCATGATACTCAGTTATGAATTTCAAGCACTTTTAAAAACTGCTTTTGGGAGAGATGTAAAACCTGTCATTGAAATAAAATTAGCAAATATTTCCCCAAGTAAGTTAAAATGTGTCAGGTAAATAATGGGAAGACAGAAGAGGTTTCTGGGAAATATTTCATTTGTGTAACTGAAGAAACATTGTAGGAGGTGATGGGGGAACAACACGCACAAAAATGCAGAGCCCGGGTTTGAGGGAAATATCTTTCCCCTTTTTCTTGGCCCTCATGGAGAGATGCTTGGCTCTGAAATGGAAACTAGCCACTTCGTACAACTCAGTTCCTATGTCCCATTAACGTGCTGAGCACATTAGGTGTGAAAAGCAAGGAGTGGAAAGACAGCAGAAAACATGGACTGCCGTATTTTCAAGTCCCTTTCTGTCTTGAGAACCCCTGCCCAGGGTGTGTGAGTGCTTTTGGGGTGGGGGTGAAGGCATGCTAGGAAAATACCATTTTATTTTTAAAAACAAGCAAACAAGATCCTGCCATATAATGTGCTACTAAAAATATTTGCTCCTGGCATTGACTGTCAAGCAGTGGCATGCTGCAGCCAGCTTGCGTTGGCTCATAAAAGCCAATGGTACACATCTCTTCTTAACCTGATATTCAGAAATATCACACTGATAACTTGAAATTGGCCATAGTGGAAGTATTTACACCATGGTAATTGTGAAATCCTACAAACCAGGTCGTTTGTCCTTGGAGAACTGGTTGTTAAAGATCTATCATCACAGAGCTGCTGGCAGGTTATCCTACTGAGAGATCGGATCATAACCATGTATATTAGTCAGCTTGGGCTGCCATAACAAAATGCCACAGTCTGGGTGGCTGATACAACAGCCATTTATTTCTCATAGTTCTGGAGGCTGAAAGTTCAAGAGTAAGGTGTCAGGGAGTTTGGTGTCTCCTGAGGGGAGGCCTTTTTCTTTGGCTTGCAGGCAGTTGTCTTCTTTTTTTTTTTCTTTTTTTGAGACAGTGTCTCCCTCTGTCACCCAGGCTGGAGTGCAGTGGTGCAATCTTGGCTCATTGCAACCTCTGCTTACTGGGTTCAAGCAATTCTTGTACCTTAGCCTCTGAAGTAGTTGGGATTACAGATTGCAGGCACCTGCCACCATGCCTTGCTAATTTTTTTTTTTTTTTTAGATGGAGTCTTGCTCTGTTGGCCAGGCCAGAGTGCAGAGTGATTTTCCTGCCTTAGCCTCCTGAGTAACTGGGATTACAGGCACATATCACCATGTCCAGTTAATTTTTATACTTTTAGTAGACAGGGGTTTCACCATGTTGGCCAGGCTGGTCTTGAACTCCGGGCCTCAGGTGATCTGCCTGCCTCGGCCTCCCAAAGTGCTGGGATTACAGACGTGAGCCACTGTGTCCGGCCTAATTTTTATATTTTTAGTAGAGATGGGGTTTCACCATGTTGGCCAGGCTGGTCTCAAACTCCTGACCTTAGGTGATCTGTCCACCTCAGCCTCCCAAAATGCTAGGATTGCAGGCATGAGCCACTGTGCCCAGCCATGGTTGTCTTCTTGATGTGTCCTGGTGTGGCCTTTCTCTGTGTGCACACATCCCTGGCGTCTCCTCCTCTTCTTCTTTTTTTTTCCTTGAGACGGAGTCTCACTCTGTTGCCCAGGTTGGAGTGCAGGGGCACGATCTCAGCTCACTGCAACCTCCACCTTCTTGGTTCGCGTTATTCTCCTGCCTCAGCCTCCTGAGTAGCTGGGATTACAGGCATGCACCATCATTCCTGGCTAATTTTTGTATTTTTAGTAGAGACGGGGTTTGACCATGTTGGCCAGGCTGGTCTTGAACTCCTTACCTCAAGTGATCCACCTGCCTCGGCCTCCCAAAGTGCTGGGATTATAGGCATGAGCTACTGCACCCAGCCTCTTCCTTTTATAATGACAGCAGGCATGTTGGATTAGGGCCCTACTCTTATGACCTCATTTAACCTTAATACCTCTTTAAAAGTCTCATCTCCAAATACAGTTACGTTGGGGGTTAGGACTTCAACACATTGATTTTGAGGTGACATAATTTAGTCCACAACACTATGTGACAGGCACTTGGGGAAGATGCATTTTATTTTCAGGGAAGTGGTATTTCAACTCTGAAGGGAGAGAATTTCAAGGCATTTCAAGCCCTCTAGCATGGTGGAGCAGGAAGGGGGAGACTTCTGTGAAGTAAAGGAGTGTTCTTGCTGGCAGTGGTACTGTTAGCCACGTAGCTGTTAGGCAACAGTCGTCTGCTCCCAGGGAACCCTGGAAACCCCTGATGCTAGATCCTGACTCTGGCAGGGAGAAAGGCAGTGGCCATCAGACTTGTTCCCAAAGATAGAACCATGAGGAAACACATACTCTGAAATTTTCCATTTAAGTATGAGTAAATAGATTAGTAAAGACCCGCTGAGCACCATAATGATAGCAATGACCTTTCACAGTAGTAAGGAGTGAGCATGCGGCAGGGTTGCAATCGGAATGAAGCTCAGGACTCTGACAGTTGTGGAGTGGACAGTCTCTCATCAGCTGTAACTCAGGAAGCATGTAGCCTTGGTTGTTGCTATCAGCTCTCTATGAGCAGGAGGGAAGCAAGCCTGAAAAGGAATCCAACAGAGGAGGGTAGAGAAATGAGCTAGAGTCTCAATCAAATAATGCCTGCCTCCCTGATATACAGACAAGTGGATTTTGTATGTTAATTATGTAAGTCAATATGTTCCTTTTATTGTCTAGTCCATTTTTCATGGAGTTCTGTTCCTTATAATAAAAACAGTCTGAAGGGTGATAATCCAGGAGTGCTCTGTGTATGTGTGGGAGGAGGGTGGTTTATGTAACCTGAGTGCACTGGTTCAGTGTGTCAGTGACATTATCATACATCTATTCAAATCACTCATTCTTTTTTTTTTACCTCCTCATTGTGTGTGATTCAGCAGTTAGCTGGGGCACCTCTGGCCCTGGCAACTGATAAGCTAGGCCCCACTGCGGGATCTCAAGGCAGTCGCTGAGATCTCTAGAGGAGACTGGCATCTCACAGTCACCTCTCAGCCTGAGCTGCTGGTCACATTTAGCTCTGCTCATGGCCCCTCCCCATCTCCCGCATGCAATCTTCTGTTCCATACCAGCTTGATGCCACCATGAACCTTAGCTCAGGCTTTGATTTTTCTTGGAAAAAACTCCACTTATATAAGTGGTCTGTGAAATATGCTAGGTGTTACTGAACATTTAGGAGCCAGACCTAACAAAATACCTAAATGGATCACAACTTGGCTGAAGACAGGATCCTACTACATATGATTTTTTTCCATTTCTTTTCTTTTTTTGAGACAAAGTCTCAAAAAAGTCACTATGTTGCCCAGACTGGTGGCTGGTCTGGACCTCTTGGGCTCAGGTGATCCTCCCACCTCACCCTTCCAAGTAGCTGGGACTACAGGTGTGCACCGCTGTACTCCAGGTACATACAGTTCCTCTTCTTGTTCTTTCTTCCTCCTCTCTCTCCCCCTCCTCCTCTCCCTCCTCCCCCTCCTCCTCCCACACCCACCTCCTCCCCCTCCTCCCCCTCCCCTTCCCCCTTCTCTTCCCCCTCTCCCTCCTCCTCCCCCTACTCCTCCCCTCCTCCTCCCCCTCCTTCTTCTTCTTCATCGTCATCATTGTCATTGTCATCATCTTGTTCTGTCACCCAGGCTAAAGTGAAGAGGCATGACCACAGTTCACTGTAACCTCCACCTCAAGGCCTCAGGTGATCTTCCCACTTCAGCCTCTCAAGTATCTGGGACTACAGGTGTGTGCTACCACATCCAGCTAATTTTTAAATTTTTTGTAGAGGCAGAGGTCTTCCTATGTTGCCCAGGCTGCTCTCCAACTCTTGGGCTCAAGTGATCTCCCTGCCTCGGCCTCCCAAAGTGCTGGGATCACAAGCGTGAGCCACTATGCCTGGCCCAGTTTTGAAATTTCACTTATAACCGGGAAACTTCTCTCCTCCTTTTTTCTTTATTTTTATTTTTAATAGAGATGGGGTTTTGCCATGTTTCCCAGGCTGGTTTTGAACTCCTGAGCTCAAGTGATCCGCCTGGCTTGGCCTCCCAAAGGGCTGGGATTAGAGGCGTGAGCCACTGCACCTGGCCCCTCCTTCTTTCTTTTACACGCTCACATGTGTATGCACACACATTATTCACAACTGGATTTTGAGCTCTTAATTTCAACTTCCTTCTCTTTTCAGATCCACAGTTGCTATTGACCTTTGAGGTATTTACTATAAGAATGAATGGAATAATAAATTAGTGAATGGTTAAAACAGGAGCACCCTCATTGGAGAGCAGGTCCCAGAAGCTGTGAAGAACCCAGGGCTCCATAGTTACAGAGGGTGGTCCACAACGGCAGCCTTGCTTTCTGCATTCAAGAGCCCTCGGCCCATGTCCCCCATTGCCAGGTTCCTGGAAGAGAGGACTTGGTTGATCCAGCTGTTATTGGGTTCTCTCTTGGTGCAGAAACTTGCACCCGGTGGGGGGCAGGTCATGTTTTAGAAGGATTCCTGTCAGAGCTCCTCCCAACCCCTTCCCCATGGGTAGGGGTTCAGTTTTTAAAGAAGGGAATTGCTGGATGGACAGATTTCCCAAAAGCTCTTTAACAAAGTTCTGCAATGTGAGACTGAATTGCTTTAGGAAAAGCAAAGTGATTGTGGCTTTGAGGCACTGTGCAGCTAGAACTCTGAATTAAAGCCGTGAGTCTCAACATGTGATCCCCAAAACCCTTTCAGGGGTCTGAGAGGTCCTTCCTTCATCAATTGCACATCTGTGTAAGGCTGGATTTTCTTCTGTATTTAAACCAAAAAAAATATTGCAACAGATTGAAGGCAGAAGATATTTCAGCTGCCCTCTGTGAAACCAGACATTAGAAAATGTAAAAATGTAAAACAATGCCCCCGTTCTCAGTTTTTTTTGAAAACACGATTCCCATAAAAAGATATTATTTGTGCTAACATGTAATGGGTTCACTGTCACTGATTTTTAAATGAATACATATTTTGTATATTTCTCAGTTTTAATTCCTAATATGGTCCATATCGATAGATAAAACCTACATAACAAAAAGCTCTTTGGGATCCTCGATAGTTGTTAAGGATGTCAAGTGGTCCTGACACCAAGAAGTTTGAGATACTAAATGAGAAGAAGACAGGTTTCACGCTCCCCTGTCTGTCTTCTTTTCTGTCCCCTCCTCCTCCTCGGGCCATCCAGTCCCGCTATTCATAGAGACCCTGGGTCTTGTCCTCTCTCCAGCTTTTAGCACCAGGAGCCCCACCTTGTTCTTCCCCTGCTGGGCTCCTGCGGGGAGTTGAGAAGGAGTCAGTGATCAGAATGTACTTCAGCTCCTGGGAGCTTTACCTAGAAAGCTGAGTCAGACAGAACAGTAGGTAAAAAGAGGGCTTTGGACTCCATGTTCTCTGCTTAAAAGCAACCCCAGCTGGAGGTAGAAAATTTGGGTAGAAAATCCATTCCCCATGCAGAGAACCCCTGGCAGAATGGCTCTCCGCTGTGAGGATGTTTTGTTCTGAAATTTTGGTATGCATTGACAAAGACAGTAGATGCTCCTCTACAAAATAAGCATCCACGCCATGCAAGGGAAAGTATTCTTGGCGAGAAATGTTCCTTTGGGAGAGAGGAAAACTTCTACTACCAAGAGGAGAGAGGAGCTGTGAATCACTTGCAGGGGCAGGTAGGAAGCAGCCCCACCCATCACAGGGTGGCTGCAGGCGGGACACAGGGGTGTCATGGAGCAGAAAAGCACTTTACTCCATCTGAACAAAAATGTGCAGCAAGTCCAGCTCTAGGTGTGCAGATAATGATCAAAGCACGGAACCTGAAATCCTAATGTTTGAGTTCAATTTCTCCTTCATCTTTAAGGGGTAAAGTCAAGTGAAATTTTCTTCTCAAGGATCATTACTCTTCCAAGACAAAGCGCTGACTGCCCATGTGGAGCCCTGGCTCTGCCACTTCCTGTGTGAATGTTCTGCCTCAATGTTCTTGTCTATAAAATGGGGATCATAACTGGCCGGGCGTGGTGGCTCACGCCTGTAGTCCCAGCACTTTGGGAGGCCGAGGCAGGCAGATCACAAGGTCAGGAGTTCGAGACCAGCCTGGCCAACATGATGAAACCCTGTCTCTACTAAAAATACAAAATTTAGCCAGGCTTGGTGGAAGGTGCCTGTTATCCCAGCTATTTGGGAGGCTGAGGCAGGAGAATTGCTTGAACCCGGGAGGCGAGGGTTGCAGGGAGCCGAGATTGCACCACTGCACTCCAGCCTGGGTGACAGAGCGAGACTCCGTCTCAAAAAAGAATAAAAACAATGGAGATAATAATAGTCCTACTTCATGAGGTCATTGTGAGGATTAGCCTGGCACAGACTCAAGCACTCATTAAATGTAAATATCATTATTAGTCAAGTAAGCATCTATTAAGAGATAGGCAGTTGTGGTGGTTGTAGTGGTAGGAATATAATATTTTTTAAACTCCCTCAAGTTAATCAGGCCACCAGCTGTGACAGAAGCAAGCCCTTCTGTTCCTAGGTAAACATGAAAATGTGCTTTTATGTTTGAATGACTCCAGTGTGAAGTTGAAAAAAAAATTTGGAGTCTCTGTTCTCATCAAGAACAATATAGACAGCCGCTAATGATTTTTCTTGGAGAATTCATGAGACTGAAAGCAAGGAGGGGGAAACACACAAGTGCAGGTGAGAGGGTAAGAAAGAGAAGAAACTATAGTTGTCACAAAGAATTCAGAACTTCTAATAAGACTTTTGGCCGGGCACAGTGGCTCACACCTATAATCCCAGCACTTTGGGATGCCAAGGTAGGAGTATCACTTGAGGCCAGGAGTTCGAGGCCACCCTGTGCAACACAGAGAGATCCTGTCTCTAAAAAAAACAAAAAAACACTCCTTACTACCCTTAGAGGTTGCAAGGAAGGAATGCAAGTTTGCATCCCAGATATGGGTTCAGTCCTGGGCAAATCAGAGTGATTGGTCAACCTAACACCCCCATGTACTCCTCAAATCTTTTGTTTTGTTTTGTTTTGTTTTTGAGACAGAGTTTTGCTCTTGTCACCTAGGCAGGAGTGCAGTGGCGCGATCTTGGCTCATTGCAACCTTGGCTTCCTGGGTTCAAACAATTCTCCTGCCTCAGCCTCCCAAGTAGCTGGGATTACAGGCACGTGCCACCATACCAGACTAATTTTTGTATTTTTAGTAGAGACAGGGTTTCACCATGCTGACCAGGCTGGTCTCAAACTCCTGACCTCAGGCGATCTGCCTGCCTTGGCCTCCCAAACGGCTGGGATTACAGGCATGAGCCACCATGCCTGGCCTAGTCCTCAAATCTTAATGAGGAACTTATTCATGTATTTATTTGGTATGTAAAATTCACATGATTCTTTCTCAATATCTGAATGATCTGCTGCAAGCAAAAGGAAAGCACACTCTGAACTGCTCTAGAGCTTTTAGACCCCACCAGGAGAAAGCAGCCTTTCCTCTGTAGTAACTTGGACCCTCAGGTTCACTTCTGTTGGGTGCAGCTGTAAGAGAATATACGAACACCCTCCTCCTCCTTATCCCTCACTGTATTTAGCAGGAAGATATTTGCTAAAGACCTTGTGGGCTGGGGAGAAAAGGGGGAGAAAAAATTACGCTAATCAGTATGGTTAGTCATAGGCGTATTGGCTATCCACACCAATAAGAGGGCATCTCAACCCATACACAAGCCCTAATTTCTTCCATACTTATCTGCCCGGGGTGCTATAGCAGAGATTTTCTACTTGAGTAGGAAGCTCTCTGGATGACTTGGGTTTTCCAAAGCTAAAGTTCTGAGATTCTGGCACCAGTGAAGCCTCTCTGGCTCCAGGGACAGTGTTCATGTAGGGGTCTTCCTGGGGATTTTCAGCCATTTTCCCTAGTGTGGGTCACTGTCATTGATCCATACCCACAGGGCCTTCAGGATGGCTGCTGCCCTGATGCAGCTGGATCTGGGTTAAGAGGGAGGAGCTGGACTTGCTTGGGACAATGTCCACTGGAGCCACAGCTGACTTGCAAGGTCAGCCTGGAATGGCCATCTGTGGGTAGATCCAGGGCACAAGCTGTCATCTCAGTTGGGTTCTTTAAATACGAGAAACAGAAACTGACTGGGTAACTGACTGGGAGCTTATTGGAAAGATGTGCAGGAGCTCTCAGGCCCAAAGAGAAGCCAGGGACCAACTTGAAAATTATGGAACAGGGCAGTAACTAAGGTGTAGTCTCCTAGGGTGCACTGTCAGAATGAATCAGCTCCAACTGTCTTCAGGCTTTATGTCTCTCTGCTAAAGATCAAATTCCCAGAAGACAGTCAGATCAGCCAGCTTTGGTTTCATGCCTGCCCTTTGGCTAGGCAACTTACTGGCAGCACTTAATGGTGGAGGGTGGGAGTGGGGAGCGGAGAAAGTTATTTTACCAAAAGAAGATGCCATGGATGATGGACAGACCAAATTCCAGATGTCCATTCCAGGGAGACTTCCCCAATGGCCTGCTTAGGGGGATGGCAGGGGCCAAAGGTGGGCTTAGCGATTCAGTACACAGCTGATTTCTTGAGAGTACAATATCAGAAAGTGTTTCATTATAAAACTGGTGATATCCTCATAGAAGAAATTTGGAAATCACAGAAAAGTCTAGAAAAAATAATTTTAAAAGCCATCTATGATTCTACTAGCCAGAGTTAACCACAGCTAATTTTTCAGGGTGTTTCTCTCCTTTTTTTTTTTTTTTTTTTTGTGACAGGGTCTCACCCTATTGCCCAGGCTGGAGTGCAGAGGTGCAATCATAACTCAATGTAGCCTAGAGCCTCTGGGCTCAAATGATCCTCCCTCCTCATTTTCCTGAGTAGCTGGGACCATAGGCATGTGCCACCATACCTGGCTAATTTTTAAATATTTTTGTAGAAGATGGGGTCTCACTATGTTGCCCAAGCTGGTCCCAAACTCCTGGCCTCAAGTGATTCTCCCCACCTCGGTCTCCCAAAGTGCTGGAATTACAGGTGTGAGCCACCACACCTAGCCTATGGATTCTTTTTTACAGAGTTCAGGTCACACTGTGTGTATACTTTCATATTTGATGTTTAAGCACTGTGTACTGACCTAACAACTGTTAGAAAAGTGTCTTTGTAACATTGGTCTGGTGACGAGACTTGAGCTGTAGCTGTGCTACCTGCTGGAAGAGGCAGAGGGGACCTTCTTTGGCTCATGATTTCACCAACATTGGGGACCAAGCAAGTGTTGCCCAACTTGGGAAAGTGTCAAGACCTGCCTTCCATCCAGAGGAGGTTCTATCCGGACACCAGCCAAGGTGAATGAGAGATTCCATGGACATAGTCCTGCATACGGAAGGTCCTAGTTCCATATTAGAATCCATATTAAAATCCTTCTGATATGAATAGATCACATTTCCATCTCATCATTAAAGAAGACACTACCTTTATTTAGTCACTTAAAATGATAAGAATATACTTCATGATGAAGAGTAAAATCACTAGGAAGGGACAGGAGTGGTGACTCATGCCTGTAATCCCAGCACTTTGGGAGGCCAAGGTGAGCAGATGGCTTGAGCCCAGGAGTTTGAGACCAGGCTGGGCAACATGGTGAGACCCCATTTCTACAAAAAATACAAAAGTTAGGCAGGCATGGTAGTGCATGGCTATAGCCCCAGCTACTGGGGAGGCTGAGGTGGGAGGCTCACCTGAGCTCAGGAGGTCAAGGCTGCAGAGAGCACATGCCACTGTGCTCCAGCCTGGGTGACAGAGTAAGACCCTGTCTCAAAATAAAAAAAGAAAAATCACTAGGAAGGTGGGATAATGGGAGAATCCTAGTTGAAATATAGCTATACCCATCTTAATAATGTACCATGTATACACAGATGTGTGTATTTAGGCACCTGAACTTGTGTATATAATAATATTAAACTGAGAGCTTGCCTGCTTCAATCTTTGCTGACATTTGCTAAGGGATAGAATTCAAGGTGATATAAGAATTCTCTGTCACCTGGAGCTAGAGAAATCTGTACAACTCCTGCAATTAACTCTCAGGAAAGAGTAGGCCATATTTCTATTAATAGGGTCCACCCCTCAGAATCAAATCACAGTGGAATCACTTTTAAAGAGGTCAGAATTTGTCCATAGAGGAGAATCATTCAGCTTTGCTTTTTGACTCATTCCACGTGACTCAAGGGGCCAGCCTCTCATTCTAATGCCTCTAGGGACACTTGTTTGCTAAGACACATTATCTGCACAGAAAAGGGCCTCCTAAGTCAAGGCTGGGGAACATCGAGCCATTGGGAATGCCATGCTTGGTCTAGTGACTCCCAAGGGACTCCAGCTGAGGGGGCTGTCGCCCTCTGTTACTCCTTCTATGAGCCTTTCATGGACTCCTTCACTCTCCTCATTTCTACTTATTTTTCCCTGGGAGTCGGCTTCAGCTCTCTTTTTAAATTCTGAATTATCTTGCCTGTTTCCAGGGTTCCAACTACCTATGGAATTGTGGCTTCCTAATTTATATCTCTAGCCCAGGCTTTCCTCAAATTCCAGACCCTCTTATCCACAGAATACTCCAGATTTCTACCTTAAAGTTGTCACCAGCACCACCTGTTCACCAAATCCCCAAACTTACTCTTCTCCCTGTGTTATTTTTATCTCAGTGGCACCAAGAGTCTGCCAAGCTTGAAAGCTGGAAGTCACCACTGATTCCTCCCTCACTCCATCCTCACTCTGTTCACTAAATCCTGTTGAATTCACCCAGATGGTCATTCAGTGAGTACATTTCAAGCACCTGCTATGTGCCAGGCATTGTGTTAGGTATCTACTGCGAAGCAAAAATAGACAAGGTCCTTGCCCTCGTGGCTTACAGTCCAGCTGGGGAAACAATATCATGAAGGAAATGTATCCTAAGTTAAGAGAGTGTTTAGTCTGGGAGACAGAGAAGGCTTCCCCAAGAAAGGGGGAGATCTAAAGGGTGCCTTAAGAATTAAATGGATGAAAGTCATAGGTGGGGAGTTCAATTTCTAAGCAGGCAGAACGTCCTGTGTATGAGCTCTGAATGAGGTGGAAGGAATGAGGAATGTCCTTCAAGGGACTAAGGAACGGCCTCTGGAAAGTGAGTGGTCTTCCAGGAAGGCCATCGTGGCTGAGGGGTAATGAATTGCAATAATACTAGGATGGGAGAGGAGAGTGGGGAAGTGGGAGAGGCCCCATTGCTCAGCACCTGGTAAAGATTTTGGTCCTTTTTTTGAGAGGACAGAGAAGACTTTTAAGGTGAGTGGGATGATGGGTGGGGAAGGTTGAGGAATGACAGATTTCTATATGAAAGTCGCTGTGGCTACAATGTGGAAAATGGATTAGATGGGGCCTGGGCAGAGGTGGGGGAAGGCTTTCCCATTGGCTTCCTCCTTGCCATCCCCATAGCCATGATCCCCAGTCCAGATTTTTGTTGTCTCTTCTTGTCTTGCAGCAGAAAACCCCACTACTATTGTCCCTAGCAACTTACCTTCAGTGTGGCTGTCTCACTTCTGACAAAAGAAAAGAAAATCAACAATCCTTCGTTGGGCTCAAAATAAAGTTCAGAGTCCTTAGTCTGGCTACAGGTCCCTTCAAACCTGGCCCTTGTCTCCCTCACCAGTGTCACATCCAACCACTTGTCATCAATACCTGAGCTCTAGTTCATACAAGGGAGACTCGAGAGCTGGACCGCAGTTTGAGGTGAAAGGACCAGAGGAGTAGAGGCACCGAGAGCCAAATCTGAGGCCGAATCAGAGGTCTAGGATGTTAACTGAACAGAAAGTAAAGGAAACTGGCCGAAGCGGGGGTTTCAGGCAGTTGGCTTCCAGCATCTTCAGGCGGTTGGCTACAAGAACATCAAAGACCAACATTTGGGAAGCACTCAGGGACAAGACATCCGGAGGCTTGGATGCAAGACCAAAGGTGTAGTTGATGGGAGGTAGTTCCCCAGGACAGGCCCCCGAGGACTGACAGATGGGAGCTTAAGGACAGGACCCCCAACCAGTAGAGAAATGAGGTTCCCGAACAGCCATGACCACAGCTGGCGCAGAATGGGCAGGACTCAGAGACTTGTAACTCAGAAGGTCAAGGACAATGGCTGACTTGAGGATGACTTGGTAGGAGGAGAATGATGAGAACATTCTTTATATTCTACCTGTCTGGAGACAGAATGAATTCTAGAACAAAAGGAGCAAGGCCAAGCTTCCAATCAAGGCTAGAGCTAGAAGGTCATGGAGAAAGGCGTGGGCAGCTCCTGCCTTCGCCTGCACCAAGTTCAACAAACACACAGTCATAGCCATGGCTGGTCCCCAGAGCACACACAAGGCAAGGATGTTAGTGGCCAGCCCCATGCACCCCGATGAGCTATGCTCGCTTGGGAGACCCATCCTCCTTGAAGGTGAGTGAAATCTCAACACGAGTATGGTTCTGAGAGTAGCTCTGTAACTCTGAGGATGGTCTCTGGAGACCATGACTGTGTACAGTTCACATGGTAACCAGAAGACTATGACATACTTCAGAAGGTGGTGAGGTCATAGAACACAAGCTTTAAAGTAAGTGAATCATGTGTGCCTCATTTATTTTTAAAAGCAACTTCTGAGAAGGGCTTAGAACAAATTTTTTCCCGGAGTGCCATTTCCCAAAGGTACTCACAGAACAATCAGGTGTGACCATAATGGCTGCACTGAGTTGTCTCTTGGACAGTGTCAGAAGGGACATAAAGAAGGTGGACAGAGAACTAAGGCAACTGAGATGCATCGACGAATTTAGCACACGGTGCCTGTGCGACTTGTATATGCACCCCTATTGCTGCTGTGACTTGCACCCATATCCGTACTGCTTGTGCTATTCCAAGCGATCACGCTCTTGCGGCCTGTGTGATCTCTACCCATGTTGCCTGTGTGATTATAAGCTTTACTGTCTGCGACCATCTCTCAGAAGTTTGGAGAGGAAAGCCATCAGAGCCATAGAAGATGAGAAGCGAGAGCTTGCCAAGTAAAATAACTTATTTTTAAATTTTTATAGTCGGTATATTAGCCTTATAAGTTGGAATAAGGAAAAATATGTGACAATCAATAGTTGAACAAAGATTAAAAGGGTTCAGGATAATGACCCTGGTGACTTAGGAAAGATTTAAGGAAAGAAGAGTAAATGAGTCCATGATGGGAATTGTAGGGTTCTCAAAAGACAATGTAATGATGTCGATTGGCAAGGTCGTCGGTGGTTTATAGCAAGAATGCCAGTATGATAAATAATGCGGCTTTAATGAAGGGAAGAAACAGGGGGTGTCATTAAAAAGCCATTGGAAGCAGCAAACTAAACATTTTTCCTGGTTATGAGTAAAGTGATTTGAGTATATTTGGACTTACAGAAATGACTACAGGAGAAGTAATAATAATAGATCAAATCCTTAATGTGTGCCAGAGGCTTTACAAGCAGGAGAGCAAATTGAACAGTAGAGGCATTGCCTTGGTTTTGTGGGAATATCATTCTCCTATCCCCCCACTCCAGGCAAAGACTTACCTTGTATCTGGAATTAGGTCTATCATGTTGGCCTCCCCTCTAACTCTAGCAAAGGTCTTGCAAATAAACTATGGCACTGAGTTGTAGCTTTCAGGATAGACTTGAAAGGCTTTTTAATTGAATTGGGTAATTAAAAAGAGTCAGTTTTTTAAAAAAATTTTTGTTTTAGATTATATTTTCTTTTTGCCTGGAGAAAACTTTCCTTTTCTAACTTTTTACATATGCCATTTAGTCTGTTACTGTTGATGAAAAAGATGGTTGAAAGTGCTGTCCCTGGTTAAATAAATAATACATTCATGCACTGGAATAATAAGTAAATATAGAAAGGATTGATGAAGCATCTTACATATTGATGTATTAAGTCAAACAAGCAAAGTGCAGAAAAACTGATAGACAGATGACAGATAGATAGATAGATAGATAGATAGATAGATAGATAGATGATAGATAGATAGAGTCTCTTGACAACAGTGACAGTGATGTTTCTTTGGAAAAAGCAATAGGAGGCCGGGTGCATTGGCTCATGCCAGTAATCCCAGCACTTTGGGAGGCGGAGGCGGGCAGATCACCTGAGCTCAAGAGTTCGAGACCAGCCTGGCTAACATGGTGAAACCCCATCTCTACTAAATACAAAAAAAAAAAAAAAAAAAAATTAGCCAAGCGTAGTGGCACGTGCCTGTAATCCCAGCTACTCGTGAGACTGAGGCAGGAGAATCACTTGAACCCAGGAGGCAGAGGTTGCAGTGAGCCAAGATTGCACCACTACACTCCAGACCGGGTGACAAAGTGAGACTGTCTCAAAAAAAAAAAAAAAAAAAGGATAATTATTGTCTAGGTCACCAGCCACCAATGGTCAGGAATGAACCTCCCTCATAGCCTGGGAGCTTTCACCTGTAAATTCATCTATACTCTTTGAACCAATGTTTGTTTTTATTTCTTAGGGCATCAAGTCACATAAATTGCTCACACTGTGAGGCAGGGACTCTTTTTAAAATATTTGGTCCAAGTTAAGGTTTCCTTGTGAGCAGATCAGTATCCACTCTCCTCCTACTTTTGGATACTTGAATACCCTTGTCCAGGTCTTTCCAGCCTCTGTCTTCCTGGCTTCTCTCCTATCCCCAGACTCTACCAATTAAAATCCCTCTCTGTCCTGTGCTGTCTACTCTCTTGATGCCTCTTTCAGAAGCCTTGTTTCTTGGCATGCAGTAGAAACAGCTTCAAGCTTAATTCTCGGCAGTGTAGTTTAGGCAAGAGGTAATGTTTTCTCTGGTTTGTGATGCTCTTCCTGACAGCGTCTGGGTCTTTGCCTATTTTTTCTCTGCCTGCAGGCAATATGTGAAGCTGGTGATGTCTTTACATTAATTTCTGGATCTCGGAAATGATAACTCCAAGTCCATTGTAGAAATGACCTCAGGCTTGTCCGCTTTATCTCTTCCAATTCACACCACCTTGTGAAATTTCTATGCTCTATTTCTGACAACTTGACATTTCACTCTCCAGAAGGGCTTAGTGTCACTTGCAAACCTAAATATTCAATTTTCCTGAATATGGGTGAAAATGTTAAACCCTGATTCTAGCCTCAGTCCCAGAAGGCCCCCAGTGTAGTATTTTTTCTTCTAGTGCAGTGCCTTTTATTCTTATCTCTAAGCTAGCGCCTGATCCATAACTAAATAGATGCAGAAATATCATGTTGATTCAATTTTTTAAAACAATCTTTGGTGTGAAAGCTTGCCCAAGGCTTTTTGAGTTTAGAATTCATATTCACATGACCTTCCTCCCCTTTAAAGAATGCAAGGGGGTTGGTTAGTTATGACATATCCTTTCAGATGGCAGGCTGTGTTGTCCAGAAGGTTCTTTGCCCAATATGAAGTAAAGACTCTATAGTCTATAGTTGCCTTGGCCCCCTTGAAACTGTTTTTCTGTGTCACAGTCAATCTGCTGTGTCTCTGGGTCCTCCTTTAATAACTGGTAAAAAGCCTCAACCAACAATTTCTTAATTGATCCCACAGGTTTCTTGAGCACTCCTGACTATATGTTATTTGATTGATGCATGTGTGTGGTGTTTTCTTAGACTGGGCATAGAAAATCCAATCCAAGCTGGGTGCAGTGGTTCACACCTGTAATCTCAGCACTTTGGGAGGCTGTAATAGGAGAATTGCTCAAGTCCGGGAGTTTGGGACCAGCCTGAGCAACACAGGGAGTCCCCATCTCTATAAAAATTAAAATAAAAAAATTAACCAAGTGTGGTGGCACATGCTTGTGGTCCCAGGTACTCAGGAGGCTGAGGTGGGAGGACTGCTTGAGCCTGGGAGGTCAGGACTGCGGTAAGCCATGATTATGCCACTACACTCCAGCCTGGACAATAGAAAGAGACCCTGTTTCAAAAAATAAATAAATAAATAAAAGAAAATCCAATCCATTTCCATTCTTTATTGGGCAGCTGCTTCAGAAGACACCATGTTGGCAGTGTCTTCCTTAGTAGAGACCCAAGTAAGCACCTTTGTTTCTGTAGCTTCTTTGATATCCTCTTTTCCTCCCCAAGAGGCAGGCAGTGTCCCTGTCTCTTCCTCCCTCTTCTGGATTTAGAGGGGCTGAGGGGACTGCATTGGTTTCCTTTGTCGGAAGCCATGCCACCAGCCTGATTTAAGTTGTAACTGATTCACCACCACATTTCATGGGCTTCCCTGCCCTCTGTCTTAGAGCCGGAGAAACAAAACCCAGGCCCTCCTCAATCTTGCCCTAGGAGTTTATGATCTAATTCATGGGTGCCCCATGTGGCCAGGACACCAAGCAGTCCTCGTGAGCAAATGAACCTTGATTTACAGCTGTACTCTTTACCGGTACCTAGAAACGAATCCTGAGACCGTGTTTCTGTCCACGTACCCAAGTGTCTGTTGTTGGCACGAATCTCAGTGAAAAATTCCCTTGAAATCCCCACACCAGGGGCACTCTCAAAACTTCAAAAATCTGCCTTCTCATTTCTTGGTTCCCCCTTCATGCTCTGAGGATGAGGTTTTCACTGAATCCACTCTTGCTTGGTGAGGCTGATGACAGTCAGGCCTCATGGTGAGCTCTTTGTGGATTTAGAGGTGCCTTGCCCAGGTCTAAGCCCTCAGAGAAAACATTCTAGTCTCTCTCATTCTCTGACCCAGAGGTCGGAGTATAAGTGAGCCCTATGGGGCTTTCTGGCTGGTGAAAGGCTGGCTCTTCCACTCCCACTGAGGGGAGCTCTCCCTTGTTAACCTCTGTGTCCTCTGCAGAAGTGGAAGTGAGTTGGGCCCTTGGCTGCCTCTCATCATAGACTCTTCACATCCATAGTTCTCAGAGCTCAGTCACCCCTTGGCTGTGGGGGTAAGAGTCTCTCCCCATCTAGGCCAAATGCATTGGTATGATTTGGTTTGACCTTGCTGTTTATTGATATAAGACTTAAAGCTTCAGATTAGGGCAAGTCCATGTAAGGTGGGGCCTGGTGCAGCTTGATTAAGAAGACATACACTTTATTGAGTGAAACTGTTACTAGCACTTCATGTTCATTTAAGCCTTGTAACATGGGTGACATGTTGGGTGATATTATCTTGGTCATCTTACAGACAATGAAACAGAGTCAGGGGCCATGTTCTTGATCACTAGGTGGTGGCAGAGCCAAGACTTGAAGCTGTGTGTGCCCGAGTCTGGAATCCGTGAGCTTAATCTCTGGTCAGTGGTTCTCGTAGTGTGGCCCCTGAAGCTGATTAGTAGCATTACCTGCAGCATGTTAGAACTGCAGATTCTCAGCTCCACCCTAGACCTGCTAGCTCTGAAACCTCTGAAACTCTAGGGGTGGGATCAAGCCACCTGTGTTTTTTGTTGTTGTTGTTGTTTTGTTTTGTTTTGTTTTGTTTTGTTTTGTTGAGATGGAGTATTGCTCTGGCGCCCAGGCTGGAGTACAGTGGTGTGATCTCGGCTCACTGCAACTTCTGCCTCCTGGGTTCAAGCGATTCTCCTGCCTCGGCCTCCTGAGTAACTGGGACTAGAGGTGCGGACAACCACGCCTGGCTAATCAGCCACCTGTGTTTTAACAAACCCTGCAGGAGAGTCAGATGCACCTGTGCCATGCTGCCTGGCTCCCTGCTGAGTGACATTGTCCTCAGTATCAACCCAAAAGCCTGGAGAAGAGAGAAAAGGCTGGAAAATAAGAGAAAAGGAGAAGAAAGGAGAAGAGAAGGAAAAAGATGTGTTGGAAAGAGAGGGATTGAGTTTAAATGGGTCTTTGGGATGGGGCTAAATTCAGGAGAAAAAGCAAAGTACTCCAATGAAGCCTAGAGGAAGGCCTGCCCCACCTGGTTCCCTGATAGAGGTAGACATTTTTCACATCTTCATTACTTTATTCATGACCGGGTTAAATCTGATTTTTATCTTTGAGAAGATGGCTGGGTATGCAGCTGATCATTGCTGTGGGCAGCATGTTTCATATTCGGGAGTTTGGTTGTACATCCGGGTGAAATTTAGCATTAGCAGGGAGGAGAGGAGGCCGCACAGAGCAGCAGACACAGGCACTGGCTGTCTGCTAGCTTTCCCCAGCTTTCCTAAGAGGCTTCTGCAAAGGAGCTGATTTCCCTATGTTTATTGAGACTAAGCTTCGCCCCCATGATAACAAGTATAGGAGGCAAACTCCCTTTGCGCAGAACCCCATAGAGCCATGGAAAATTCCAGGTGGGGTGATGGGGACATCACCAGGCAGGAGTCAAATTGCAAGTTCAGAGTTGAGTCTGATGAGTAAAATGTGGCTTCTGCAGTTTCCCCTAAACCAACACATCTTCCCTGATAACCACTGACTTAGAAGCAAGAAGAAAAAGAAGTATGATCTGGCCAAGACTTTTTGGGCAACTTCCTGAAGACATTTGTGAGATCCTTGTGTGCTGTCGCAGAGCCACAGGAGCCAAAGTGACCAGAATAGAGAAAAAAGAGGAACCCAAGCAACAAAATACATGAAATTGTGCCCTGGGACCCAGGTTACTTAGAGATGAATCTGGGCGCTGACTTGGGCTTATAGACCTGGCTCCCAGATCCAGCTTCTGTGGAGGTCAAGAGGGCTTTGCCAAAACCAGCTGTGGCCATAGCCAGGGCCACTAGCAAGGACTCCTAGTTGGGGCCCTTGGCCCTCCTTTAGGAGGCCTGGCTGCATCATCCTGGTGGGATTTGATGTTTCTCATCTCATATGAGAAGATCTGAGCTGAACAGGAGAAGTTTGATTCTCAGACCATGCACACACCGTGGGAGAGTCTTGAAAGGCCCAGAGAGTGCCCATCTTGCTCTGTGCTTCCCCTTGGCCTTGGCTGCTCTGGCTTTAAGCCTGTAATCTATCCAGAGAGGGTACCATGCCTGGAGTTTGGGCTGGTTCCCTGAATCTTTGTGAGCTATTTTCTGCCCATCCAGCAAGATAGAGTGCTTGTTCTCCTGCTTACCTCACAAAGATAAAGATTTCAAACAGTTCAAAATTCTCCTACTTCTTGTTAGTGTGGCATAGGGTACCCTGGCACACCCAGGGCAAGAAAGACAATCATGCCCCATGCCACCCCCAGGTTTCATGGGGCCAGAGGTAGAAATGGGGCTGAGGCCGGGCGCGGTGGCTCACGCCTGTAATCCCAGCACTTTGGGAGGCTGAAGTGGGCGGATCACAAGGTCAGGAGATCGAGACCATCCTGGCTAACACGGTGAAACACCTTCTCTACTAAAAATACAAAAAATAATTAGCCGAGCATGGTGGCGGGCACCTGTACTCCCAGCTACTCAGGAGGCTGAGGCAGGAGAATGGCATGAACCTGGGAGGCGGAGCTTGCAGTGAGCAGAGATCGCCTCACTGCACTCCAGCCTGGGCAACAGAGCGAGACCCCGTCTCAAAAAAAAGAAAAAAGAAAAAAAAGAAATGGGACTGAATACAGTCCTCTGGGTGTATTACACAAGTTGTTTCTGTTTGCCTCAGTGTCTTCTGGGACTGAGTTCTGTTTGATCATTTTATAATTAGCCACTAAGAGTCTTGATCTGTAACTTTCAGTACAAGGGTAGTGAGCACTCAAACTGTTATCTAATCATGTTAGGGCTTAAGTGGAAAATACAGATAAAAATCAGTACGTATAGCATGATTTCATAAGAACACATACAAAACTCTCTCTCTACATGTATATAGAACTACACACACACACACACACACAGACACATACTCACACACACACTCACATAAAGTCAAACACCAAAATGCTAAGGGTTATATGAGATTATAGGTATTTTTAAAATAGTCCATATGTTTACTTATCTGTATTTTGAGTCTTCTACAATGAACTTGTATAACTTATGTAACAAAAAGAAGTAACTGCATAAACAAAATTCAACATACAAAAGTGATATAGTGATAATTACATCTGCATCACAGTTATTATTGTAAAGATTAAATGAAATATGCCTTTAACATGCTTAGCACCTTCCACAGCACATTGCAAAAAAAAAAAAAAGAAAAGACAAAACCTTAACATCCTATGTGCCAAGTATTATTGTAAATATTTTCTTGCATTAACTGATTTAAGCCTCACAACAACCCTATGATGTAGGCTATTTTTATTGTCCCAGTTTTACAGATGAGGAAACTGAGGCACCGAGAAGTAAGTTATCCACATGTTAGAGCCAAGCTTTAAACCTCGATACTCCAGTTCCAGAGTCTGTTCTTAGGCACTTTGCTTTACTACCTCTTGACGGATCATAACTGATCAATTAGTGTGAGCTGCTGTTGTTATTTTTATTAAGGATTTACACAATAGAATTAGTGAATAGCAACAAGGTAGGAACCACAGTAGCTCTGCAGTGAGGACAGAGGAGAGCCCTAATATGTAGCATTTTCCAATTTCCATGGTGTAAATATCCTCATCATGACTATGATTGATTTCAAGCTATCAGCGTGCAGTACTAACTGGGGATCGGGAAGAGATGTACACGATCAGCTCTTGCTAGCTGATGTGATCCTGATTATGGACACCACTGAGAGGTTGTTCTGTATCTGATCAACACGGCCCCACCCAGCTGACTGCCTTTCTGCTAGTGCTAGCTGTCCAGAGGCTAGAGTGACTTCCCAGCCTGGAGGAGCCAGGCGCTGGGCAAAAGACTTTCACACAACACCAGCCTGGGCAGAGCCAGGCCAGGGCTCTCCTGCCATCATTGTTTGATTGAGCTTTCAGGCTGTCTCTGTGCAATTGCAAGAGGTAGCACCTGTCCCATGAACCAGTAGGGCTGGGTTCGAAAGCTGACAGCCATCTCTAAAATGCAGATTTTAAGTGGTATCTTAGTTATATCCCATTTTTTAATCTATATAAATATAAAATATAATTTTTATATAATTTAATTATAGTTATATACACAATTTAATTACAGTAATAATAATGAGAGTGGTAATAATTAAGCAGGATTTATAATGTACGAAGCACAGTGCTAAGTAAAATATCATAATCTCATCTAATCCTCCAATAGCCCTATATGATGCAGGCATTATTATTGTTATCATTATTATTATCTCCATTTTGCAGATGAGGAAACTGAGGTACAGAAGGGTTAAGGAACCTACACAAGGATCAATAATAAGAGGAGGAGCTGGTATTTCAATACGAGAGAAGATTTGGAAGGGCAGGCAGCACGCATTCATTGTTAACAGCTGTGTACTTGCGGGGCAGTGTGATTCGCATGGGTGGACTCACACTTTTTACTTCATGCATTTGTGTAAAGTTTATTTTCACAATGGCTAGTATTAACTTTGGCTATTTCAAAAGCTAGAAATCAAAATATTGCTTCTCAAGCTGTGTCTGGATTCTGAGGTCTGAGCTCCCTCCCACCCTATCCCTTTTCTCAATTCCAGACTGAGAAGAACAACAAATAGAATTCTGGCTTCCTCCTGCTGTAGCAGTAACATTTTAGGATCGGTGAATGTATGCGGTTTTGAACCCGATCAAGTCAAAGTTCGAGTGAAGGATGGAAAGGTATGTGTGTCGGCTGAGCGGGAGAACAGGTACGACTGCCTTGGATCGAAAAAGTACAGCTACATGAACATCTGCAAAGAGTTCAGCTTGCCGCCCTGTGTGGATGAGAAGGATGTAACATACTCCTATGGGCTCGGCAGCTGTGTCAAGATCGAGTCTCCTTGCTACCCTTGCACTTCTCCTTGCAGCCCCTGCAGCCCCTGCAGCCCCTGCAACCCCTGCAGCCCCTGCAACCCGTGCAGCCCATATGATCCTTGCAACCCGTGTTATCCCTGTGGAAGCCGATTTTCCTGTAGGAAGATGATTTTGTAAAGTGCGCATAGGAACCCATTACTTAATAGAAGTCAGTTACTCCAGCCAGGCAGCTCTCCCAATGTTTCTCCTCTCCTTCCCATGGCCCCTGTTGTTGAAGTACGTAGGAAACTGAATACATAACTGCAATCTGCTGGTGTTGTGTGAAAGTCTTTTGGTTAAACCCACTGCAGGAGCCCTGCAGAGTTAGTGAACATTGGAATAATTAGTGGATGGCAATAGAAGGACGATATGGTGAGATCCACCCTCCCATTCCCTCCTCCATACTCAACTACCTCCAAACTCCAGGAGAAGACACTCTTCTGGTGGGCATCCCCAGACATTGTTTTCCAGATGATCCAGTGAAATGGCCTAGCCCAGAAACCAAATGGTCAAAGCAGAAACAGATTAGTTAGAGTTGAAGGAAACACTTTTTCAAAGCTACTGCAGTAGGGAGTCTGGAAAAGAGACTCCTCGAGCACAGTGGGATTGTGGTTTTACTGGACAATGATCAGGATACAAAAACTACGGGGTGGTAGGTGGGACGAGGGGCATGTTTGCTGGCCAAGGCGGGGTGGCCATACAGCTTGTCATTTTTCAACATTCTTGTGGTTTGGGGGATTGGCCAGCTCTGGTTAGTATATGGATGCCAAACAAAACATTAAAAAAAAAAAAAGCATAAACATACCAGCTTTGGTTTGCAACTGGCTTGAGATTTATTACAACTATCTCTTTTTCTGTTTTTTTCTTTTTCTTTTTTTTCTTTCTTTTTTTTTTCTTTTTTCTTTTTTTTTTTAAGACAGAGTCTTGCTCTGTCCTCCAGACTGGAGTGCAGTAGTGCAATCTCAGCTCACTACAACTTCTGCTTCCCGGGTTCAAGCGATTCTTCTGCCTCAGCCTCCTGAGTAGCTGGGATTTCAGGCGGGCAGCACCATGCGTGGCTAATTTTTGTGTATTTTTAGTAAAGACAGGGTTTCTCCCTGTTGGCCAGGCTGGTCTCGAACTCCTGACCTCAGGGGATCCACCGCTTCAGCCTCCCAAAGTGCTGGGATTACAGGCATGGGCCACCGTGCCCGGCCTCTTTTCTTTTTTTTTAGACAGGGTCTTGCTCTGTCACGAAGGCTGGAGTGCAGTGGTGCAATCATGGCTTACTGCAGCCTTGATCTCCTGGGCTCCAATGATCCTCCCACCTCAGCCTCCTGTGTAGTTGAGACTACAGGTGCATGTTACCAAGGCAGGCTAAGTTTTGTATTTTTGGTGGAGACAAGATTTTGCCGTGTTGCCCAAGCAGGTCTTAAACTCCTAAGCTCAAGAAATCCGTTCGCTTCGGCCTCGCAAAATGCTGGGATTACAGGTGTGAGTCATTGAACCTGGCCTGTCTCCTTTCCTTAATTTCTGAAACTGCTTTTAGACACAGAAGTTCAATTCAAAGTTCAGGAGTGGAAAAGTACAGCTTTCACAAAATGATAGCGTAAGTCACCTGAACTTGGATCTGCCTGGAGGACACAGCCCATGAGCCATTCTTTATTACCAGGATTGAAATAAGTGTAAAGAAAGTACGAGATGATGGGGAACAATCAGAATGAGGATACTGGCTGGTTTCAAACCTGACTCTCAGAGGGAACATAAAACCCTCCAGTTTGCACAGTAAGTCTCTTCATGAGTTTCAGCTGCATGTGGGTGAAGGCAGTAGTTCTCAGCATTGGCTGCACATGGGGATCACTGGGGGCGCTTTAAAAATATGGATGCCAAACAAAACATAAAAAAACAAAGCTAAACTAAAACTAAAAACTAGAAAAGGCAAAAATTAAAACAAAATACAGATGTCTATGTCCTTTCTCCAGATAATCTAATGTAATAGACTTGAGATGCAACCTGGGCATTGTGACTTTTAAAAGCTTCCCAAGTGATTTAAGAATGCAGCTAAGGTTGAGAAGCTCTGGATGGGATATTAAAGCTATCCCAGCCTTTTATTTTAAAAGCTTCCTTTAGGCCAGGCACGGTGGCTCTCCTCTGTAATCCCAGCACTTTGGGAGGCTGAGGTGAGAAGATCGCTTGAGCCCAGGAGCTCGAGACCAGTCTGGGCAACATAGCAAGACCTCATTTCTACTAAAAATTTATTATTTTTTTTTAATTTTTTGAGACGGAGTCTTGCTCTGTTGCTCAACCTGGAGTGCAGTGGCGCAGTCTCGGCTCACTGCAACCTCCGTTTCCCAGGTTCAAGCGATTCTCCTGCCTCAGACTCCTAAGTAGCTGGGATTACAGGCATGCGCCACCACGCCCAGCTAATTTTTAGTATTTTTAGAACAGATGGGGTTTCACCATGTTGACCAGGCTGGTCTCGAACTCCTGACCTCATGATCCACCCGCCTTGGCCTCCCAAAGTGCTGGGATTACAGGCGTAAGCCACTGCGCCTGGCCTCTACTAAAAATTAAAAAAAAAAATAGTTAGGTGTGATGGCGCATGCTTGTGGTCCTAGCTACTTGAGAGGCTGAGGCAGGAGGATCACCTGAAGCCTAGGATATCGAGGATGCAGTGAGCTATGATCATGCTACTGCACTCCCGCTTGGGCAACAGAGCAAGACCTTGTCTCAAAACAAACAAACAAAAATTCACAGACAAAAAGCTTCCTTCAAGTTCAAGGCTGAAGAATATTGATGGTGGTAACAGATATATTTTGCTTCCAATTAAGGGAAGTAATGGCCCTCTAAAAGAAGTGGTGAATAAAACATATTGAACATTTCAAAAATTTACCTGTATAAGTATCTTGCCATGTTTTGAATATATGTTTATAAATATTCTATTTTCTAAGATACAAATTTTTGGAAAATGATTTTGAAGAAATTTCACCCTAGAGAGTCAATGGGATGTCACTGGGGTCTTTGGCAGCCACCAGTACTTCTTCAATGTGGAAAATAAACACTAAAAAACATATTTTTACAAACCTGAAGCATTTATCGATAATTTTATTGTGTCTTATATAAATCCACTGAGGTCCTAACACGTTGGATAAGCAGGAACTTCTGTCCTCTGGTGGGCGCCATTCCAGGACACTCTTAGGAACAGTTCATTCTTTGATTCACTCACACACTGACCCACCCTCCTTTCTGTTGGTCCTGCAGCTCATCCATTCATCCATCAACCTGCCAGCTAGACTTTATCATTTTGAATGCCAGATACCGTGCTCTGCAACAGGGATGGAGAGAGAAAGCATCCTTTTCACAAATGCCTCACACTAGACTCAAGGAGGGATGCTATAAAGGGGCTCAGGGTAGAGGGGGGAGACAGCCAAAGAAACTGAATGTACAAGAGCTAGAGAGGACAAATGGGCCTTCCAGACTGGCCCTGGGCATTCCCAAGATTTATTGTCAACATCCCTGTCTCAAAGGAAGCTTCAGGTAAGCCTGAGTCTGGCCTGCAGGGAATTGGCGGCCTTGGTCTGCTCACCACCCCTATAGGGAAAGACTTGCTAGAAAGACAAGGATGTATCTACTGAGTCCACTGCTCTGAGTAATTCACAGTGCCAGGAGCTTCTATATTTTAAGGCAAGACTAAGCTCCGTGATGTACTTGTCAGCGCACTTGACAGTGTGGGATCAAGAAGTAAATCAAACAGTGTGGGAGTGAAGTGCCCTCCAATCTCAGAGAAAGTGCGGGGAGGTGAAGCAGGCCTGGGTGGGAGGCAGAGCCTGGCTGTGGGCCCTGTCTGAGGCCTGCAGGAAAGGCACAGAGCAGGGCTTAGTCCATGAACTAACTGGGTTCCTGAGGATGGGGAGGAAGTTGATACAAAGGAGAGGAAAGAAGAAACATTTGCTGTTTTCAAAATTGCCCTTGGCTGGTCAGATGAACCCCAGAGCTTGGACAGCTCTGCTGTGGCCTTTAATGCAATTTTGTAGGTCAGGGTCCAGCCGTAAACACCTGACCCCATCTACCTGGGTGGGAGATGGGAATGGGGGTGACTCTTGAAGGTGCAGAAGTGAGAAATCGGCCCACATGGGAACTGAAAGACGAGAGGCTCTGAGCTGCTCCACTGCCCCGCACATGTTATGAATGAACATGTAAATTAGGCAAATGTGCCACCTTCTAATAAACATGCTTGGTAATACTGTAGAACTAAGAGCAATGAAGATAATTACACTTCTTTATTATTATTATTATTTTTGAGACAGGGTCTTGCTCCATCGCCCAGGCTGAAGTGCAGTGGCACAATCTTGGCTCACTGCAGCCTCAAATTCCAGGCTCAAGCAATCCTCCCACCTCAGCCTCCTGAGTAGCTGGGACTACAGGAACATACTACCATGCCTGGCAAATTTTATGTATTTTTTTTGTAGAGATGGGGTCTTGATATATTGCCCAGGCTGTTCTCAAACTCCTGGCTTCAAGTGATCTGCCCGCTTCAGCCTTTCAAAGTGCTGGGATTACACCTGTGAGCCACCACACCTGGCCTGATCATTACACTTCTTAGTGTTCATGGAATATATTTTAGAGCCAAAGAGCTATTTCACTGGATTATGAATTTAAAATTTCGCAGGTATAGGACTGGGGAGAATCCATACCCAATGACTATCTTGTATTATTTGATTTCTTTTAAAGCTCAGGTAGTGGATTATTTTATAAAATGATATTATTGCGCCAGGCGTTGTGGCTCACGCCTGTAATCCCAGCACTTTGGGAGGCTGAGGTGGGTGGATCACCTGAAGTCAGGAGTTCGAGACCAGCCTGGCCAACATGGTGAAACCCCATCTCTGCTAAAAATACAAAAATTAGCCGGGCATGGTGGTGGGTGCCTGTAATCCCAGCTACTTGGGAGGCTGAGGCAGAATCTTTTGAACTTGGGAGGCGGAGGTTGCAGTGAGCCAAGATCACACTATTGCACTCAGCCTGGGCCGCAAGAGTGAGACTTCATCTCAAAAAAAAAAAAAAAAAAAAAAAGGAAATAAAATGATATTATTAAAGATCCTCAGGTGACTGTTCTTCAGTCATTGTAAAATAGTTTTATTTAGTGAATTCTTCATGTCCCCAGAACTAATGGAATAAGTAAGTTTTAAAATTATTTCAACTTCTCTTCCTTGCACAAAAATTCCTTCTTTTTCTGTCTCTATCTCTGCCCCTCTCTGTTTCTTTCTTTGTCTGTCTTTGTCTTCCTCTCCCATTCAAGTGTCTATGAGTGTCACAGGTTGGAAAAGTTTGGGACACTCTCATTTAGCTCTTTGGCTGAGGACATTATGCTAAAAGTTAAGCTAAAATGGATACTGAAACCAGAAGACTGTGGGTTTGTAAAACAAGTAAAGGGAGAAGGTGTTGCTGGGTGACCCAGATGAATTCCAGTAAAGTTTGTAGGGTTTTTGGCCTTTACATAGCGCAATTGTCAACCAAGGCCTGGATGAGTCACACGGTTTGTGATCCTGGGTGGAAGATGGACTCAGAATTTATCCTCAGGGAGCAACTGCTTTTATTACTAACCTGGAAGCACTTCCTTCCCATCTGGAGCTGCAGTAAGTATTTGTTCTTGTCCCTAAAGGTATAAAACAAAAACAAAACACACCCCTTGCTTAGGCCTGTGGATCCTGATGAGTGTAGAGCATTTGACAATCAGACTTGAATACCCCTTTCCCTGAGCCACACCAAGACCTGGGACTTGTTGGCACACAAACGTCAGCAACGTGGTGGATGTAAACCTGGCCTTGGACAGACGACAAAGGCGATGATTCCAGGCCCTCAAGTGTGCCTCAGAGAATGTATCAGTGACAGGAAGAGTCCTGGAGCCAGGACACCAGGCAGGTTGCTTGAAATCCAGCAGACACTGTTCTTGGGCAACTGGTCCACCATTTAGAAGCTCTTGCAGTCAGCGGGTCACCTTTCTCTTCGCACAGTACAGAGTACCCACAAGGGGATGAGATAACCCCAGGTGGTTGAAATAACTTCTGCTTTTAGTGGGATGGGGGCCACCAAGCATCAGAATACCTAGAATTTCCAGTCTGAAAGGCTCGGAGGGAAGATAGCCCTTCTTTTCAACTCAAATTTTAGTGATAACTGCATTTTTATTCACCAAACTAAGGAAAGTGGTCTCAAAAGAGTTTTACTCTGGTTTGTGAATTTAGGGGTGGGA
Organism: Homo sapiens; assembly: GCF_000001405.40. NCBI lineage: Eukaryota > Metazoa > Chordata > Mammalia > Primates > Hominidae > Homo > Homo sapiens. The sequence goes on from NC_000008.11 coordinate 102,566,973, forward strand.
GCTGTAAGCTATTTTGTTATGCTCATAAATTCTGTAGGTCAGAAATTCAGATGGGACATGGCAGGGATGCTTGGTCCCCCTCATCTGGGAAGATCCAAATGGCTGGAATCTTCGGGAGGCTTCTTCATTCCCTGACACCTGGGCTGGAATGACTCCAGGGCTGAGCTGAGCTGAGCTGATGCTGTCCTCTGGTTTGTGATTTTAGATGAAAAGTCTCAACAGCGGTGTAGAAAACATCATACTTTATTATACACACAACTGCTTTTATTGAAAACAACATAACATCAAAAGAATCACAATATTTAGCATTTAAAATGTTCTCCTAATAGAGCATTTAGGATTAATACTGCTTTAGAAGGAATATGGTCACCACGTCTGTGGAAACAACTACAGTCAGACACACTTCAATAACTTTTCTTCACTTTTTTTTCTAATTATATTTCTGTTTTTGTTTTTTTGTTTTTGAGACAGAGTTTCCCTCTTGTCACCCAGGCTGGAGTGCAATAGCACGATCTCAGCTCACTGCAACCTCTACCTCCTGGGTTCAAGTGATTCTTCTGCCTCAGCCTCCTGAGTAGCTGGGGTTACAGGCATGCACCACCATGCCTGGCTAATTTTTGTGTTTTTAGTAGAGACAGGGTTTTGCCATGTTGGCCAGGCTGGTCTTGAACTCCTCACCTCAGGTGATCTGCCCACCTCGGCCTCCCAAAGTGCTGGGATTACAAGCATAAGCCACTGCACCTGGCCTTATTTCGGGTTATTAAAACCATTTTAATTGAAATGGATCAAGGCTTAGTGTTGGTATATAAATATCATGAGTGTGTATTCCAGATTTTCTGGGACAGCCCAGATTTCTAATGAGCATCTCTTGGTTTGGGAATGGGAGGATGTGGTCCCCTCATGTTTCCTGTGTGTGGTCAGGGTCTCCTAGTGAGGTGTTTAGGAGCTAGCACAGATCCTTCAGATTACATGAGAGATGGCAACAGAAATAAGGGTACAGGGACAAAAAAGGTGATTGAGACAAACATCTTGGAGAGCCGTGCGAAGGTGGCAGGAAAGCACGAGGCCAGGATTTGTCAGAGTAAAACTACTTGATCATAGATTAGGCGATGATCCTGGAAGAGGAAGTTGGTTTTCTTGAGTCAGCAGCTTAGTCACCTTCCGGTATCATCAGTGTCAAATGGGTTTTTTAGCCTTCAGGGACTGGCCCTGGGCTTTGGAGGTAGAACCCCATGTGGTTGGAATAACTTCTGCTCTTAGTGGGACGGGGGCCACTAAGTGGGGTTGTTCTACCGCCTAGGAAGGGGGTGGATTCTAGAAGTGTGTACCATAGAGTTCATTTGTGGGTGAAGCCTCTATTCCTTCTTCATGTGAACCCACGTGAGGACTTACTCTGTGCAGGGCAGCCTGCAAGAAGCCGGGCAGGATGCAGAATGGCCATGACCAGAAATCTTAGGCTTTTAGGAGTTTTTAGTCTAGTGTGGAAGATAGACATATAAACTGATAAGTGGTCAGGAGCAGTGGCTCATGCCTGTAATCCCAGCACTTTGGGAGGCTGAGGCAGGAAGATCACTTGAGGTCAGGAGTTTGAGACCAGCCTGGCCAACATGGTGAAACTCTGTCTCTACTAAAAATACAAAAATCAGTTAAGTGCGGTGCTGCTTGCCTGAAATCCTAGCTACTTGGGAGGCTGAGGCATGAGAATTGTTTGAACCCAGGAGGCGGAGGTTGCAGTGAGCTGAGATCATGCCACTGCACTCCAGCCTGGATGACAGAGTGAGACCCTGTTTCAAAAAAAAATAAAAATTAAAAAATAAACTGATAAGTGACAATGCCACCTTATCAAGGATACCTATTGAGATAGAACCAAGCACTGAGGGGCACAGGAAGGACAGAGCCACTAATCATGGGGTGACAGGAGTGACTCAGGCCATATTGTGTGGGTCACACACAAGTCCTTTCTATGCCTTCTTCTCCCCTCAGAGAACAAATGAGGGAAATAACAAGAACTTGCTCCCCAGGTCTTGAGGGGTTTAATTCTCCTGGGAAGTAAGGTGAGTGAGGGTCTTCTGAGAAGCCCCCTTGTCCTTCCAGGCTCCCTTTACATCTCTCCCTGTGTTCTCCGTTTAGGGACCTGTTAGAGTCCAGGCAGGAAACAGAGGACATTCCACTGGGATTCTGACAGGCTTTAATGAAGTGGCTTTACAGAAACGAGGGTGGCTCCACTTGAGTAACAAGGGATGCTGTGCGCACAGCAGCTACCAGCAGAGGGAAGCTGTCCTTGCACTGGGCCCAGAGAGGAGGGAAACAATGGTGTTACTGGTGCCCAGGAAAAAGCTGGAGCCCTGGACCCAGGGCTGCTTCACAGGAGGAGCTGGGCTGTAGACGGATGCTGCCGCTGCCAGAAGGACTGCCCAGTGGGTGGGGAGTGAGAGGAATAAATACTCCCACCTCTCTTTGCTCCCAGACTCCAACTCGCCCATAGTGCATCCTCCTTGGCCAGCTCCAGTGGGACACCCAAAGGCAAGGGACTCTGATGATGCAATTTACGGGGTTAGCTGCCCGGGCCCACAGCAGAGCAGAGGAGAACTTGAAGTGGACTTTTAGGGTTAATGGAAAATAATCAGCTTTCTTTCCTTCTTTCTTCCTTTCATTTCTTTCCTCCTCTCCTCTCCTCTCCCCTCCCCTCCCTTCCCCTCCCCTCCTCTCTTTTCCTCTCCTCTCCCCTCCCCTCCTCCCCCTCTCTTCCTTTTTTCTTTCTTTCTCTTTCCTTTTTTCTTCCTCCCTCCCTCCCTTTCTCTCTTCCTTCCTTCCTTGCTTCTTTCACTCTTTTCTTTCCTTTCTTCCTCCTTATCTGCTTTTCTGCTTGCCCACAGGCCATCATGCCAGACATTGAGGAATCAGGTATCAAAAGCCAGACCTGCTCCCCAACTTTATGGTGCTTATGGTCTAGCAGGGAGAGAAATACAGATCACACAAATAAAGGGGTGCAGGAATGGGACGGGTGGGCTCAGGGAAACAACTCTGGGGTCTGATTTTTCTTTTCCAAAGTCAGGCCACATAGCTCCTTACTCCTAGAACTGCAGTGTCCAAAGATCCCATGAAAACCCTCACTCAGAGCTGATCCTAGAAAGCTCAAAGGACAAACTACTCAGAATTCATAGGCAAAGCCCTGCGCTACCCCAAGTAACGATCCCTCCATTCCCTCTGCTATTCTGCAGCGTTTCTATCACTTTTGCCTAAGTCTACGCACTCTCCCATAATATGTAAGGAAAGAGAAGTTCAGAAGAACATCTTTTAAGCTTAGAATGGAGGAAAGCAATCTAAGGCAGACTGAGTGCCCAGAAGCCATAGCTGAAATATAGACATAGTCAATTACATTTCTAAATAAAGCCAATAGAGAAAGAATAAGTTAGGAAAAAATAGTTAAAACTTGATAAAATTTATATCCTTAGTAGTCAATTTGAAAAGCAGAGGACAAACAATTTTAAAATGGGCAAGAAGAATGTTTGTAGCAGCTTTATTCATAATCTCCAAGAACTAGAAGCAAACAAGATGTCTCTCAATAGGTGAATGAATAAACTGTGGTATATCCATCCAATGAAATATTATTCTATGATAAAAAGAAATGAGCTATCAAGGAAAACACATAAAGGAAACTTGAATGCATATTACTAAATTTAAAAAGTCAGTCTGAAAGGCTGTATACTGTATGATTTTAATGATATGGCATTCTAGGGGAAAAAAAAAAAAACTATAAAGAGGCATGGTGGCTCACGCCTGTAATCCCAGCACTTGAGTCTGGGAGTTTGAGACCAGCCAGGGCAACATGGAAAATCCCATCTCTACAAACAATACAAAAATTAGCTGGGTGTGGTAACACACAGCTGTAGTCCCAGCTACTCAGGAGGCTGAGGTGGGAGGATCACCTGAGCTTGGGAGGTCAAGGTTGCAGTGAGCTGTGTTCCTGCCACTGCACTCCAGCCTGGGTAACAAAGTGAGAGACCTTGTCTCAAAAGCAAAACAAAACAGAAAGACTATAAAAATAGTAAAAAGATCAGCAATTGCCAGGGGTATCGTGGGAGGGGGATAGAGGGTTGAATAAAGCATGGGGGATATTTTTTAGGGTGATGAAACTATTCTGAATGATACTGTGACGGTAGGCACAGGATGCTATGCATTTGTCAAAACCCAAAGAACTTTACAGCACAAAGAGTGGTCCAACGTATACAAGTATTTAAAAAATCATTTAGGAGGTAAGGTGATTTCAGCATAGACTGCAGACTGTGACAAAAGAATCTAACTGTATTACAAATGTATCAAAACATCTCACTGAAGAGGGTGAGGGAAAAGGTGCTGACCTAAGTAACTTTTAGAATGAGTAAAGTCCCTAAGACTAAAGGCAAAAAGAACCGCACGTAAGCACTGTACTCTAGTAGATAACATTTTTCCCCATCAGGATACAGGTTAACATTCTGATACTGCCATCCATGTATACCAAAGTTGAACAATTAATATATATTGCTGGATGGTGAGAGCAGGTTTCTCACTGTTGGGTTGGGAATTTACAAATACACAGGCAGAGGTGACAAGCATGATCCATGTGATAATGGATTACAGTTGCAGACACAGAAATGAGCTCATGTTCACACAGAAATATAGATATGTGTCTATCTATCTATCTGTCAATCATCTGGCTTCCTATCTTGAGTGCCCTATTTTGCATATATATGTGTGTGTGTGTGTGTGTGTGTGTGTGTGTGTGTATGTGTGTGTGTGTGTGTGTATATATATATATATATATATATATATATATATATATATGCAATTGTCAGGGGTATGGTGGAACATACCCCGGTTACTGGTTAGTATGCCCACATATATTTCCTTGCTCTGTCAGCTGAGAGAGCCTAGAAACAATGACACCCCAGTAACAAAAGGGCAGATCTTGTGCCCAGAACTTGGTTTTTCATGCTATTCTTCAATTTAAGAAATCAGGACTCCTTGGAGAAATGGTTGATTCTAGGACTGGGGCAGGAAATACACAGGGGAACCTGGAGCATCTTGTAGTACCAAAAAGTAAGGAAGTGCTTTAAAAGCAATCCATATCACTGGGGCATGTCAAAGGGACATGGGGGCAAACTAAAAGAGCTCCCAGTGGTCAAATCCGTAACCATTTAAGCAACACAATTAAGTAGTATTGGATTATAACCCAAAGTACAAAGTAAGTTTCCATGCATCTATACTGTTATGAATGAACAATTGAATAAAAAATTAAATGGGGGAGATGAGACAAGTCTCTCATACAGATGAATTCCAAATAATTTATGAAGATACTCCACCTTCAAGTAGGTGGAGCTCAAGTCTCCACTCCTTAAGTGAGGGCTGCACTTAGTGACTTCCTTCCAAAGAGCACAGTATGCAAAGTGAGGAAAGAGTAACTTCACAGTGAAGACACCTGACAAACACACCTCAGCCAGGTGATCAAGGTCAGTACCAACAGCAGTAAGTCTGGTGGGGGGCATGCACCCTCACACCAGTCCAGCCACGAGGAAAACACCAGACACAGCACAAGATAGGGACATCCTGCAGAATGCCTGACTAGTACTTTGCAGACTGTCAAGGTCAACAAAAACAAGGAAAGCCTGAGAAACCGTCACAGCCAACAGGAGCTGAAGGAGATGTGATGACTAAATGCAACGTGGCCTCCAGAGTGGGATCTTGAAACAGAAAAGGGATGTGACATAAAAACTAAGAGCTAAAGAAACCTCCATGAAATATGGATGTTAGTCAATAATAATACATGAATATTTGCTCATTAATGATAACAAATGTACCATATTAATGTAAGATGATACTGTTAGAGGGAATGGTGTTGGGTATATGGAAACACTACTATCTTTGCAATTTTTCTGTAAATCTGAAATTTTTTTAAAAAGTATACCTTAAAATAATAAAATAAAATAAAAAATGGGTAAGAATACAAACAGGCAATTAAATCAAAGAAGAGGAAATACAAGTCAATAAACGTTAAAAATGTCCTTAACCCCTGAGGTCTTCATAGAAATGTGAATTAAAACAACAGCATACTCTTTTTTTTCACATGTGAAATTAACATAGACTATAAACAGCTTTACTATTTCACTCTGGCTGGGAGGCTATTTCTGCAGTAAAGAGAACACACATTTCTTGCTGGTAAGAGTGTAAAAATTACTAAAATTTTGGAAAATAATCTGGCATTATCTACTAAAATACATAGAGATATCTTTGAATGATGCATTCTACTGTAAGGAATCTTTCTGAAATAAGAGATCTGGTGAATACAAGCAAAAGAATGGGTTTGGAAGCTTTGTTTCAAGGGGTGGAAAATGGGAAACCATCCAAATATCTCCCAGTAGGGGAATAGCTGAATCAATTCAGTTTACCCATCCTGTGGAATATTTGTCTTGCTAATAAATATGATGGGTGAGATCCCTATGGATTGGTTTGGAGGGATTCCATAATACATGAAGAGGAAAAAGTTGCAGATTGATATGTGTGATTCTGGTTCTGTAAAACAACAGCCACACAACACAAAAACACCCAGATTTGTATGTGTGAGGATGGTCGTGGACAGACAGTCTGAGTCAAACTTTTGACATTGTTTACTTGTCAAAAGGAGTTATTAGGGGAGAGTGGACTGATCAATCAACTTTTTCCTTATATATCTGCTTTGTTTGTAACAAAATAAGTGTGTGCTACTTTTTAACTTTAAAAAACCAAATAAAAGGCTGGATACCAAAAAAAAAAAAAAAAAAAAAAAGGACAAAAAGTCTAGGGGTGTGGCTTACACCTGTAATCCCAGCACTTTGGGAGGCAGAGTCAGGAGGATCAAGAGCATCCTGGCCAACATGGTGAAACCCCATCTCTAGTAAAAATAGAAAAATTAGCCAAGTGTGGTGGTGTGCACCTGTAATCCCAGCTACTCAGGAGGCTGAGACATGAGAATCACTTGAACACAGGAGGCAGAGGCTGCAGTGAGCCGAGATTGTGCCACTACCCTCCAGCCTGGGCAACGGAGTGAGGCTCTGTCTCAAAACAACAACAACAACAAACCTAATTAAGTTGAAATGAAAAAATTCAAAGGTCATGTGGTAGGCAGAATAATGTCCCTCTTTCCCAAGATGTCCCTGTCTTAACCCTTGGAACCAACGGATATCTTGTTTTACATGGCAATAAGTATTAAGTCAAATTTGCATGTGTGATCAAGTTGAAAATGTTTGTTTAAGATGGGAAGTTTATCCTGGATTATCCAAGTGGGCTCAACATTATCACCAGAGTCCTTAGAAGAGGGAGGCAGAAGGGTCACCTCCAGAGTAGAGAGGCAAGAACCTCTGCTTGCAGAGGTTAGAGTGGTGCCAGCCAAGGGGTCACGAGGAATGCAGGTGGCCTCATGGAGCCAAAAGAGGCAAGAAAATGGATGCTCCCCTGGAGTCTGCAAAAGGAATTCAGTCCCATTGACACCTTGATTTTAGGACTTCCGACCTCCAGAATTGAAAGAAAATAATTTGTGTTGTTTTAAGCCACTAAGTTTGAGGTCACAGCAACATAGGAAACGAATACAGGGTCATGTTTAAGATGTGATTTATCACTCCTGCTGTAGTATTTCTGAGTTCCTTGAAGGGAGATTTTTTTGTTTGATTTATGTTTTTTGGGTCTTTTTTGAGACGGAGTTTTGCTCTTGTTGCCCAGGCTGGAGTGCAATGGCGCGATCTTGGCTCACTGCAACTTCTACTTCCTGGGTTCAAGCGATTCTCCTGCCTCAGCCCCCCGAGTAGCTGGGATTACAGGCGTGCGCCACCGTGCTCAGCTAATTTTTGTGTTATTAGTAGAGATGGGGTTTCAGCATGTTGGCCAGGCTGGTCTCGAACTCCTTACCTCAAGTGAGCCGCCTGCCTCGGCCTCCCAAAATGCTGGGATTACAGGCATGAGCCACCACGCCCAGCTGAAAGGAGATTTTTACAAAGTTAAAAAAAAAAAAGGGCCGGGCGCGGTGGCTCACGCCTGTAATCCCAGCACTTTGGGAGGCCGAGGTGGGCAGATCACGAGGTCAGGAGATCAAGACCATCCTGGCTAAAACGGTGAAACCCCATCTCTACCAAAAATACAAAAAATTAGCCAGGCGTGGTGGCGGGCGCCTGTAGTCCCAGCTACTCGGGAGGCTGAGGCAGGAGAATGGCGTGAACCTGGGAGGCGGAGCTTGCAGTGAGCTGAGATTGCGCCACTGCACTCCAGTCTGGGCGACAGAGCGAGACTCCGTCTCAAAAAAAAAAAAAAAAAAAAAAAAAAAAAAAAAAAAAGGAGTCCAAGAATCTCAGACTTTAGTTGGGAAGGAGCCAGTCCTGTAGAAAAGAAGTATGAAGTAGCCCTTAAAGGATCACGAAACTTGTTGAGGGATGCCAGTGGTCCACAACCTGCCTATGCATCCAAATCAACTGAGGACTGCTAGAACCCTCCCCGACCCCGAACATTTCTCACAGGCCCCCAAGGGACAGGAGGTTGCTCAACACAGAGCTGTCACAGCTAGAGGAGAGCTAAAGGCCACACGGGCAGACACCCCCAGGGTCATGGAAAGTAGGAAGTGAAGGACCCTGTGCAGAATTCATGCTTCAATCAAGATAGAATCTTCAAACACAGTGTGAGGGAGAACAGGTAAGAAACAATGAAACGTACGGAATGTACATTTAAAACGCAAACACCCAAACATCACATATTTATAAGAATTGATTCACATTTAAGAACATAATCCCAGGCCGGGTACGGGGGCTCACGCCTGTAATCCCAGCACTTTCGGAGGCCGAGGTGGGCAGATCACATGAGGTCAGGAGTTTGAGACCAGCCTGGCCAACATGGCGAAACCCCGTCTCTACTAAAAATACAAAAATTAGCTGGGCTTGGTGGCGCCTATAATCCCAGCTACTCAGGAGGCTGGTGCAGGAGAATCCTTGAAGCCAGGAGGCGGAGGTTGCAGTGAGCCGAGATTGCGCCACTGCACTCCAGCCTGGGTGACAGAACGAGACTCCATTTCAAAAAAAAACGAACATATCGCAAACCCGTGGGGTACCCATAGCTGGGGGCTGGGAGTGGAAGGATGAAGAGGTCAAAAATAATACATAAAATAAAAAGATGGGCACTAGGAATGCACTGGTGATGGTAAGGTGCTATGTACTGACAGGTCTGATCAAGTCAATTCTGCATCTGGACTCTAAAAAGGAAGAAAAGATGCAGTTTAGAGAAGATCCAGCTCAGGGCCAGCCCTCAGTGATTTTTAAGTGATTCTGATGTGCGTCTAGGGCTGAGAGCTGGTGGCCCATGCCTAACACAGGCAGGTCTGCAAATAACCCTCTAGAAAAAAAGGGGTTCTGGAAAGAGCAGGAAGTGAGAGGGGATGGACATGAATGCGCCCCCGAAATGGCAGCTGTTGTGTTAGAACAATGGTATTATGGGAATTATCTTCCTGTATCTTCCAGATTCCTTTTAATGTCATTACATTGCTGATGTATTTTTTTTAATGCCACTGCTGTTTTGTTCCTAAGTAGTTCAGAGTTTCTAGGGAGAATTAAGAGCCATAACGGAACTCAACAGCCACTTGAGAGTTTAAAAGCTCAGCCTGAATGGTAGCAGGTGCCAGATTCAGGGGAAAAAAAAGTTACACTGCAGTTAAAACAAGAGTTAACGCTTTCCGTTAGGGAGAAGTCTTAACAGTTATACTTAAAACATTTATCCTTATATGTTGCATTTCACAGCTTAAATACAGGAAGTGAGTTGAACTAATATTTGCTATCTAAATGACAAGCTATGAAAAATGAGCCCATTGAAAGGGCAGAGTTGGCCGGGTCTTCCCAGAAGCAGATGCAAGACAAGACGAAATAGGCAAGAAATTAGGAGAAACATCTGTGAGAGAAGCCTGGGAGGGAGCCAGAAGACACGCTGAGAGAGCGTGGCTCCAGGCCAGATCTGATGCCCAGTGAAGGACAGAGGGAGGAAAGGCAGGCCCCGCAGCCTAGGGCAGGGTTGGCGCGGCTGTCAGGGAGTTCTCCAGCCAGACACCTGTCAGAGGGGGCCACGCCCCCAACAATAGGCCCGCTCCCAAACCCCTGCCGAGCCCTGTCATTGGCCGGAAGTAGCCTATGGGAGGCATGGCGTCGGTGTGAACAGGCGAGGGATTTCGGCAGGGCAGCTGGGGTAGTGGGTCAATGCCGCTCCCTGCAGTTGGAGGAGAGGGATGCTTCCTTACGGCCGCCACAGTTTTGCCAAGTGTTTATAAACTAAGCCTAATGTCTGCTCCTGGATGACATCTCTCATGGAGTGGTGGTGGCGCTGGGTTTTTTTTTAGGGGGGTGAGGAGTGCGGGGGTTGGGGTTTTTTGTTTGTTTGTTTGTTTGTTTTGAGACAAGGTCTCGTTCTGTCGTCCACACCTGGATTGCAGTGGCGTGATCACAGCTCTCTGCAGCCCCGACCTCCTGGCCTCAAGAGGTCCTCTCTTCTCAGCCTCTCAAAGTGCTGGGATTACAGGCATAAGACACCATGCCCTAAGTGGCACTTCTTCATTGGGTGAGGACAGTAACTAACTGGAAGGAATTTTAAATTTTTCTAGGACTTGCCTGAAACTTTCCCGAAACTTCTTTCTTGTGATGGAAGAAACATGGAAGGACAAAGGTCATCCACTTGAAAAGGTTTTCCACGGGTAACCATGACCAAGAACTAGCTCTATGCCAGGCCGAAACTGTCAGTGTGGCATGCTTTCTCTTTTCTCATCCTTACAGTAGCCCTCAGAGGTTGATGCTATTATTATCCCTGGAACAGGATCAGTGAGATAGTCATTTGTGTTTGGCTCTCCCTGAATTTCACAACCCTCACCCTCTGCCTCCGGGGAGGTTTGTGTTGCTGAAGTAGAAAGCAGAAGCCGTCCTCATATACCTGCCCTTCTGGCTTTTTCAGAAGTATGAATTGCTCAAGGGGAAAAGGGTGGTGATTGAGAGGGACAAAGAGGATCCTGGGCCATAGAAAGGGGTAGAGGGAGATTCCTGAGGCTGGTGGCTTCCTCAAGTAGGTAGAGGACCTGACCCTGTTCTTAACATGGTCCAGAGTATATAGCAGGACTGCAGAGGACCCTGATTGCTCCTCCTGAATTGAAGATTATAGGCCTTTCCTCATTTGGGGCACTGTGTTGGCCTCCTGGGTACCATGCAACATTGAGGAGGCAGAGGGAGCACCAATAATGCTTGGAACTGACCTCCCACCAACTTGGAAGGGTGGAGGCTTGGAGACTAAATTTGATTGGCATTTATGGAGTACAAGCCACAGCCATTTCAAACTTGTTCTGTGTGTGTGCGGTGGGAAGTCCAATTTCAGGCATTTGTCAAGGCATGCTCCTCTTAGGGTCGTTTAAGGGTCTTGGGGTAAGAAGTCTTTTGGCCTGCACCCATTGTGTGCAGCTCTGCCCTCATCTACCCATCTCTGGCTATGGAGCTACATGCAGTGGGTCGCCCTTGTCTGGTGTCCTGTCCAGGCCAGTGAGGCTCTTCAGAGGGTGGGCTGTTCCATGATTGGCATGTGCTCCCTCTATGCCTACTCATCAGGCATTTCACATGGCTTCTCAAGCCTCAAACCTACAATCCTGGATTTATTAGGAAAATACTATCTGTTGCACCAATCAAATCCCAAATTTCCCGTGGCTTGAAAAATAAATGTTTGATTCTTGCTCACATAAAAAGTCCAGCACAGGTATTCTTGGTTGGCAGGTGGCTTTCAGGGGCCCAGGGGCCTTTTATTTTGTGGCCCTTCCCTCCAAGATCCTTGAATTCTCTGTACCCAGGAGTTTGGTATAATAAAGAGAAGACAGAAAAAGACATACCTGCTTCTTAGTTCCCTAGCCAGGAAATGCCACAAATTGCTCTACTCCCAGTCTGTGGGCAAGAACTAGTCACATGGTCCCACCTCAACACTGGGGAGTGTGGGAAACATAGTTCCCGGCTGGGCAACTCTGTAATGTACGAGGGGAATGTGAGGGAACAGGAGTCTTTGCTGTCCCACCGGCCATCTTTGTCAGTCCCTCCATGATCCCCAGTTCTAGCCAAAGACCACACTTCACACTTTACTAGAAGGTAGAACCACTCAGACATTTTCTTATCCTCCTGCCACCAAATCCACCAGGATATGTACCCACACTCTCTGTCTTCTCTCCTGTCACAAAAAAATGCCATAGGTGCTAAGTACCCCTGAAGTGGAGTGCGGGGCCACCGCAGTAGGCAGCCCCTGAGACAGCTCCCAGTGCTCCTCCCCTCCTGGTATTCATGCATTTGTGTGATTTCCCGCCCTTGAGTATGGGCTGGGTTCATGACTCACTTCTTTTTTTTTTTTTTTTTTTTGAGATGGAGTCTCACTCTGTTATCCAGGCTGGAGTGCAGTGGTACTATCTTGACTCACTGCAACCTCCACCTCCTGGGTTCAAGCAATTCTCTTGCCTTAGCCTCCCAAGTAGCTGGGACTACAGGCACCCACCACCACCACACCTGGCTAATTTTTGTGTTTTTTGTAGAGATGGGGTTTCACCATATTCGCCAGGCTGGTCTCGAACTCCTGACCTTGAGATCCACCTACCTAGGCCTCCCAAAGTGCTGGGATTACAGGCGTGAGCCACCTCGCCGGCCTGATTCACTTCTAATAAACAGCATATTGCAAAAGTGATGGATGCCACTATGAGATTAGGTTATAAAAAGACTGTGCTTCTGTTAGGACCCCCCTCACCCCACTCCTCACTCTCCCCAAGAGCAGCTGGCTGCCATGCTGTGAACTGCCCTATGGAGATGCCCACATGGCAAAGGGCTGATGTCTCCAGCCAACAGTCAGTGAGGACCTGAGGCCTGCCCACAGCCACGAGAGAGAGCTTGGAAGAAGATCCTTTCCCCATGGAGCCTTGAGATGATTGCAGCCCAGGAGACATTGCGATTGCAGCTTTGGGAGAGCCTGAGCCTAAGGTGCCCAGATCAGCTGTGCCTGGATTGCTTTGCTGCCCCACAGTGTATTCCTTTGCTAGGGCTGCCATAACAAAATACCACAGACTTGGTGGCTTAAACAAAAGACATTTCTTTTCTTTTCTTTTCTTTTTGAGACAGTCTGGCTCTGTCACCCAGGCTAGAGTGAAGTGGTGTGATCTTGGCTCACTGCAACCTCTGCCTCCTGGGTTAAAGCAATTCTCCTGCCTCAACCTCCCAGGTAGCTGGGACTACAGGTGCACGCCACCATGCCCAGCTAATTTTTTGTATTTTTAGTAGAGATGGGGTTTCACCATGTTGGTCAGGCTGATCTCAAACTCTTATTCTGAAGCAATCCACCTGCCTTGGCCTCCCAAAGTGCCAGACCTTTATTTTCTCACAGTACATTTTTTTTTTTTTTTGAGACGGAGTCTTGCTCTGTTGCCCTGGCTGGAGTGCAGTGGCGTGATCTCGGCTCACTGCAACCTCTGCCTCCCGGGTTCAAGCAATTCTCTGCCTAAGCCTCCAGTGTAGCTGGGATTACAAGCACCCACCACCACGCCTGGCTAATTTTTGTATTTTTAGTAGAGACGGGGTTTCACCATCTTGGCCAGGCCGGTCTTGAACTCCTGACCTCATGATCCACCCAGCTTGGCCTCCCAAAGTGCTGGGATTACAGGCATGAGCCACCGTGCCTGGCTGTTTTCTCACAGTTCTGTAGGCTGGGTTCCAAGATGAAGGTGTCAGGGAGTTTGGTGTCTCCTGGGGCCTCTCTGCTTGGCTGGCGGGTGGCTGTCTTCTTGCTGTGTCCTCATGTGGGCTTTTCTCCATGCGCATTCCTGATGTCTCCTTATCTTCTTATAAGGACACCAGTCCTATTGGATTAGAGGCCTACCCTTATGACCTGATTTAACCTTAATCACCTCTTTCAAGGCAGAATCCCCAAATACAATCACTTTCTAAGGTTCTGGAGGGTTAGGGCTTTAGTATAGGAATCTGGGAGGGGGCACAATTCAGTTCATAGCACACAGGAACTGAGAGATAATACAAGTTTGCCATTTTTATGTTAATTTTTTTTTTTTTTAAGAGACAGGGTCTGGCTATGTTGCCCAGGCTAGCCTCGAAACCCTGGGCTCAAGTGATCCTCCCACCTCAGCTTCCCAAATAGCTGGCACTTCAGGCAGGCGCCACCATACCCAGCTGTAAATGTTTGTTGTTTTAAGCACTGAGACTGGGGTAGTTTGGTACACAGCAATCAATAACCAAAACAAGCACCTAGGCAAGACTCTGAGAGGCTGTGAAATCGTCTCATCCTCTATGGCTGAGGCATGAGAAGGCTATGGCTTCCCTGGGCCATAGAAGCAGCCAGTAGTAAGGATTTCTTTGAAAAGAGATGTGGGTCTGCTGAGCCAGGCTACTCCTGCCCCATCTCACCCATCCCACACCCCACTGGGCTGGAAGGAGTGCTTCCACATCACCTCAACTAGTGCGGGAAGTGTTGAGAGAACACATAGAGTATCTGAAGTGTGTTCCCTGAGGTTTGGAGGAACAGGGCTGGTACCTGTCTCCCTGGGAAACTCTAAAAGGGAGAGGTTCTGCCTCGGGGTGACTCCGTCAGGCAGCAGAGCCTGATGAGAGTGAGAGGGCAAGGGGCAAGCCTGTTTCCCAGGATCCAGGTGGACACTGGCAGGAGGAGGCTGGATTTGGGGGCCCTTGAAAGGGACATGGGTGAAAGAGCTTTCTGGAGCTGTTTGACCCAGTGAAGAGGGACACTCAAGTGTTTCTCCCACCTCGACCTCCCAAGTAGCTGGGACTACAGGCACGTGCCACCACGCCCACTAACTGTTGTATTTTTTTTGTAGAGAAGAGGTCTCGCTATGCTGCCCAGGTTGGTCTTGAACTTCTCGATTCAAACGATCCTCCAACCTCACCTCCCAAAGTGTTGGGATTACAGGCATGAGCCACCAGCCCCCAGTCAATATCACTATCTTTTTTATATTTATGTATTTTTTACAACTTTTTAAATAAAATATTATATAATATGTAAAAATATTTTTCTATCTTACCCCTTCAAGATGCAGGCGGGCTGCTGGCTGGCCTGGGCTTCCAGATGTCAGCCTTACTTGCCCTTTGCCTTTTGGTGACTCTGTCTTCTTAGGGAGCTGCACGGCCTGGATGTTAACTATCACTGTCTTTCACAAGGTTCTATTTTATTCCATTGTATGCAGAGCTATGTAAGTTGAGTTGCCTGTGTGTGACTGTAAGGCTCTGGCTCTGGGAGTGTGAGGCAGAGCTTTAGACCTGACTGTGCGTCACACTCCTGGGGGGCTTGTGGAAATGCAGATCCTCACTCAACAGGGGTGGGTGAGCCTAAGAGTCTCCATTTCTTTGCTGTTTTTATTTTGAGATAGGGTCTTGCTATGTCATCCAGACTGGTCTTGAACTCTAGGCTCAAGCTATCCTTCTGCCTCAGCCTCCCCAGTAGCTGGGACTACAGGTACATGTCGCCGCACCTGGCATCTCTATTCCAACAAGTGATGCAATGCTGCTGGCCCATGGCTCACACTTGACTTGTATGATTGTGAGCAAGAAACTGGGGGCCAATGCCCAGCGATGGGAGGCTCTGAAGCACTCACCCAAATGGTTCTTGAAGAATCAGGGATGGTGCATCTGCCCCATGCCAAGTAAGGACTGTAGGGATTCAAGAAACGCCTTTCCTGCCCGTCAGCCACCTCCCTTCCACCCGCACAACCCCAAGCCAGCAGCTAGTGGATGGGAGAGGGGAGCGAAGGGAGAGAGAGAGGTAGCCACATTTCCTCTTTCACTGTGTACAAGGCCGTTCCAAGCTGAGGAGGGAAGAGCTTTCAAATTGAACCAGGATTCGGGATTTCCTTGTCAGTCTGGACTGGACTTTTTTGTTTGTTTGTTTGTTTGTTTGTTTTTACCCAAAATAAGCTGAAAAGCTGTAGAATCTGCCCTAGACCTCATACGGACAAGGCTCGGTGCGGTGGCTCACGCCTGTAATCCCAGCACTTTGGGAGGCCGAGGTGAGTGGATCACCTGAGGTCAGGAGTTCGAGACCAGTCTGGCCAACATGGTAAAACCCTGTCTCTACTAAAAATACAAAATTAGCCGGGCATGGTGCTGTCACTTAGAACCTGGGAGGCAGGGCCAGGCACAGTGGCTCACGCCTGTAATCCCAGCACTTTGGGAGGCCAAGGCGGGCAGATCACGAAGTCAGGAGATCAAGACCAACGTGGCTAACACGGTGAAACCCCGTCTCTACTAAAAATACAAAAAATTAGCCGGGCATGGTGGTGGGCGCCTGTAGTCCCAGCTACTCGGGAGGCTGAGGCAGGAGAATGGCGTGAACCCGGGAGGCGGAGCTTGCAGTAAGCTGAGATTGCACCACTGCACTCCAGCCTGGGTGACACGGCAAGACTCTGTCTCAAAAAAAAAAAAAAAAGACCTCACTCAGCCAGAGAGGAAGCAGCCCACACCATGGGTGAAAAGGCAGTGGGGAGGAAGAAAAAGCTGGCTTCCTGCAAGCCCCTGCATTCCACTGGCTTCACATGAAGGGGCCCCTGATGCCCTCAGCCTTGCCAAGGCCTCTGTTCTGTCTCCTCTGCTTCTCCCAGAGCTACAGGCCCTAAGACTGCCCTCCCTCTCCTGTCTCATCATTTTCGCTCTCTCTCTCTGTTAGATCATTCCCAGCAGCATGAAAACCTGATGCTTCCTTCCTTTACCAAGCAAAACCAAAACAAGACAAATCCTTCCTCAACCCCTTGCTGCATTCAGCCACAGTTCTCAGTAAAACTCCACAGGAAGTCCCCACATGCTCCAGTTCTTTGCTTCTCATTCACTTAAAAATACATATATATTTAAAATTGGGAAATATGTTTATAAAGGGGGCTAAAAAAAGATTTTCTTGCTCCTTGGATGAATAACAAACATCTCTGAGGCTTCCTTTTCTTAACTATAGCAAAGGATGTGGTCTTGCTGTGTTTTGAGAGCATGAAATAAAATAATTCTGTCAACCTCCACAGACAAAAGTAGGCATGTACTCAGTCATACCTACGATGATATATCATATCCTGGTAAGTCCCTGGATCACCTTCTCCTCCCTCCCTGCTCCCACCGTGTCTCAGCTCCTTGTAGGCTTCAATCTCTGGGACTGGGCCTGAGCTAAGAATTGCAAAGTAAAAATGTTATTGAGCCAATGGGCTTGCTGCCCGATGCTCATGGTAGCCAGTACTGTGGCCACAGCTTTTAAGAAAAGAAAGGCTTTATCGTGTAGCCAGGCAGCAAAGAGATAGGCTCAAGTCTGTCTCCTTGATTTGGGGTCTGGGGCAAGTTTTAAGGGGTCAGAGGGCAAAGGAAAAGATTCGGGAATGATGGATTGGCAGGGTCTGATTGGAGGGCTTCAGATTGGCCCATTTATGGTAAGGTATGTTGGGGTGGATTATAGTCCTGGATCTTCCTTCCAACGGACCCCTTGCTTCTGAAAGAGTTCCTGTGGTCAAGTTCCACTCATGTCCCAGTCTTCTTGGTTCCACAGGCAGGAGTCATGTGTTCCAGGTGTCATTAGAGGTCAAAGCTTTTTCTTTTGTGCATGCCTGGGCTGCATGACTTGCAGTCTTGGCTCTGTTATGCCTACAAGGTAACTTGACATTCTGTTATCAACAGAGTAGGCCCAATTTGGGCTGGTCCTGCAGTTACAAAATCAGCAGTCAAAAGGGCAGTAATGATCCCATAGACCATGAATTCTATCCACCAGCCCGCAGTGCACTCACAGGGCTCTGGTGATTTCTAGATCTTTCTCCCTGTTTCCATATGGTCACACCCTCTTCTTTCAGACTCTGCAGGTTCTGAGGGCTTTGATGTGCCAGCCAGGTGCTGTGGGGTTTTAGAGACTTACCCAACACCTTCCTGCCCTCAGGAGTTCACCAGAGGGAAGAGCAACGCAATCCAGACTTCACCCGGGAATAGTTGTGTGGCTTTGGCCGAGATGTTTCTCCTCCCTGAGTGCCCATTTCTTCATCTACAAAATAGGGAGAATAATAAATACTTTGCAGGACTGTTGTGAAAATGTCACGGTGAAACCTAGCTACTGGGATTCACACAACACAGAAATTGTTTTGTTTTGCCTGTTGATTAAAAATGGATCAACGTCATAAAAAGAAATGGAATTTACTTCTCTCTAAAGACACGTAAACACGTTGGAGATGAAAAATAATGTATAGGAACACACAGTAACAGCAGAGAGGCTGGCAGGAAAGCAGTTGGGGGATGCTTCAGTTCTGTTGATAAGTAAACCCCAACTTGCCATGTGAAAGCTGAAAGGTTACGTCAACCTTTCAGCTTTGGTGCCACCGCTAGGGAGCGTCGGTTTGCATGACTCTAGCTTGACTGCAAAGTGATTCTGCTTTCCCTGCGGAAGGGCAGAGACAACATAGATAATTGTCAAGAACTAAGCTCAGGCAGGAATTGCATTTTCATTTTCATTTCATTTCTAAATTTAGTTCTTAATCCATGTGACAAATATAATAAAAGAGACTGCTGAGTGCCAAGGGAGCAAGAGAAACCTGCATTTTGGTCTTTCCTTTGTAAAATACCTCCTCAAGAACAAACAGTATTACATCACAATGTTAATTAGATTGCCGGGGCTCTGGAGAGCACATTATTAGAGGAATTTATTAATATAAATCTCACGATAATAAAGGGACACTGAATATCTTGCTTTGAGAGGTTTCTTGTTTGATTTCCTGGGGGATTTCTTTTGATTCATATCTATCTGGAAATGAATGTAAAACATGAAAATATAGTTTGTGTTAATTTCTCTCTGAAATGTTTTCTGTTTTGTTTTTGCTTCTGCGGGGATGGGGTGCAGCAAGCGCCCTCGGAGCTGTACTTCTCACACACTTTATTCAGGATTAGAAGGAGGGTGTTCGCTACCCTCTAGTGGCTGTCTCTGGTCTCCTTGCCAGGTAGAAACTGCTGGGCCAACACCCCACAGAACAGGCATCCACCCACCTCCAGGGTCAGCAGAAGAGGCGAGAAGTCTCCAGGCCAGGCAGGAGAGGGAGACAGGAAAATTACTTCCCATGGGGCAGTTCCTTCTGCTCCCCAACCCCACTCCCAGGCAGGAGAACAGGCAGGTTACCAGCAGCTGCAGGAGACCCCCTGACTCCAGGCAGCACCCAAGAGGCCCCAGCGGGGATGGTAGGAGGGCTGGCCCCTCAAAGGAAGCTAACGCGGAAGCCACTCTTGCCTTGTGCCTGGGTACTGAGAGAGGAAGGAAGGAGGCCTGTGGCCCAAGGGTGCCCCTCACCTTGCTGTACCAACATGGGCATGCCATGAGGGCTGAATGTCCTCGGTGGTCTCATGTCCCATGTTCACTGTGCCATCCAGATGGGTTGCCGACAAGCCCTCCATGTGTGAGTCTGTATCTGCTGCCTATCATGGTGGGATAGGAAGGGTTGGGGAAGACTCTAAGTAGAGGGGGTGCTCCCTCTTGTGGGAGAGTCCCCAGGGACCCTGCATCCTGCCACAGACTGCCCCCCACCACCTCCACCCCCTTTCAGGGAAACGGCTATGGTTAACTGTGACTATACTTGTTATGATTTTCTTTTTAAGAGAGTGGTGTTTATTCCATGATCAGTACAGACCAAATGCATATGCACGGTAGGAAAGTCAAACCAGTCAGTGACTCCAGAGTTTGCCCAACACCGAGTCACCAGGGTCGTGATGTAGTGTGGGTTCTCATGGCATGTATAACCTCACCAACTTTGCATGATTTGAATGTAGAGAAGGGCAGTGCTGCCAGGCATGGTGGCACATGCCTGTAGTCCCAGCTACTTGGGATGGGAGGCAGGGATGGGAAGATCTCTTGAGATCAGGAGTTTGAGATCAGCCTGGGTGACATAGGGACATACTGTCTCTAAAAACTAAAAAAAAAATTAAAAAGTAAGGAAAAAAGAGAGAGAAAGTCAGTGTTGCCTCCCAACTCTTTAAGGAACATTTTTTGCCTTCGGAGAGGAGGACACTGAAGTGCAGAGCCCCCCCGTGAGCTCTGTCAGGACACCAAGGAAGCAGGCAGAGGAGAGCCCAGGCCTGGGGTTTGGAGGCTCTAGCTCAGCACTGTGAAATAGAATTTTCTGCCATGGTGGAAATGTCCTATATCTGCACATCCAACATCCAACACGGTAGTCATTTATGGCTACTGAGCACTTCTTGAGACTCTGGAGGTCCATGGATGCCTGTCCTACATGGTTGTTGGCTAGTACAGCTAAGAAACTGAATTTTAAATTATGTTTGGTTGCTATTAATTTGAATTTAAAAGGCCACACGTAACCAGTGGCTATGGTACTGGACAGTGCAGTTCTAGAGACAATGTGAGAGGGAGACCTTTGTAATCCTAGAGCTGTGTATGAGGGTAGTCTCAGAATGAGACCCATCAGCAACATTTTAAGAGTAAAATTGGTGATTAATGGTGCAAGTTTGCTAGTGAAGGCAGGCCTCAGATGAGGTGCACACATTCATTTATCCACCATCCAACAAATCTCTTCCCCGCTACCTTGGCACAATGTTCAATTAGGATTTATTGGGTCACGTGGTTGGCCTCCCAGCTAGACAGATGCTGAGGGCTGAGACCCTGCCCCATTCATCTTGGTATCCTTGGCACCACACACTGTTACCTGATGTGTTGTAGAATCTCAAAAGTTGTTGAATGCAGTCATTCATTGAATGAATGGAGCTGGGCCAGGCCTTTGGGGAGATGCACAGATCAATTAGACATAGATCATGCCCCCAACGACCTATGGTTTGATCATAATACTTAAAATACTAGACAAGAAGACTTGAGTGAAGGCACTGCATTGCGCTGGACACATAGTAGGCCCAAAATAAATGTTAATTCCTTTCCTCCCTTCCTCTCTTACACTCCCTCTAGGACTCACCCTCCAAAAATTTCTATAAAAGGGATAAAATGCTCAAGGGTTTAGAGGAGGCTAAGGTTAATTTTGTCTGGAGAACCAATGAGGGCTTCCTGGAGGAGGTAGCATTGGATCTAGCTCATCCAGATCTCTGAGCAGCATGAACAAAGACATAGAGGGATGGGGATCAGTTCAATTTAGTTTGAGGAAGGGTATATGAAGAGAAGAAGTAGAAACCAGGGTAGGAAAATCCTTTGATTCTTAGGCTACTGAAGGCTCTTGAGCATGGTATTATAAATCTGGATTTTATTACCAGAGAGACAGACATCCCTGTGCTCTCTGCAGACTCAGTTATCTAACTACTGGCTATGTGATGACCCAAGCACACGACTTCACTCCTCTGAGCTTCACTTTCTTCATCTGTAAAACGGGAATGATACTACTTATTCATTCAAAATACAAACAAGAATGCATAGTACCTATACACTGTTCTCATGGTTTTCCACGTGGTAAGCTTTTTTATATTATCACATACAAGGTTGACCTTGTATTTATTTTATGGTGTTATCCTAATTTAATTAACCACTCCTCTATTCATGGATATTCAAATTGCTTCTAATCATTGCAAAAAATTGTACATATATCTACAGAATAAATTCCTAAAGTGGCATTGCCAAACCAAAGGGTATACAAGATTTAGATTTTTTTTTTTTTTTTTTTTTTTTGTAGGCAGAGTCTGACTCTGTTGCCTGGGCTGTAGTGCAGTGGAGCAGGAGCGATCATAGCTCACTACAGCCTCAACTTCCTGAGCTCCAGTGATCCTCCCACCTCAGCATCCCAAGTAGCTGGGTCTACAAGTTTGTGACACCACACCTGGCTAATTTTTTGTATTTTTAGTAGAGACAAGGTATTGCCATGTTGCCCAGGCTGGTCTTGAACTCCTGGGCCAAAGTGATCTGCCCACCTCAGCCTCCCAAAGTGCTGGGATTACAGGCATGAGCCACCTGCGCCCGGCCTGAAATTTAGATTTTGACAGAATTACCAAATTGCTTTCTAGAAAGAGTGAATCAATTTCCACTCTCATCAACAATATATGAAAGGATCTGTTTTCTCTGCCTTCACTAAAAGTCTTACCAGAATTTTTTGGTCTGTACCAATCTGAAAGACTTTAAATTGCTATCTAATTGTAGTTTTAATTTGCATTTATTTTATTCTGAGCAGGCTTGGGCATCTTTTCAATGTTTAAAAGCCATTTGTATTTTCTGCCCTGGGAACTGCCTATTTGCAGCCTTTGGCCATT